>NC_000014.9:47111713-47736713 GCF_000001405.40 Homo sapiens | reverse complement strand
CAATAAAAACATGAAAAAACAATCAGCCTAACTAGTCATTGTAAAATACTTTTTTTTTTTTTTTGAGACGGAGTTTTGCTCTTGTTGCCCAGGCTGAGTGCAATAGCGCGATATCGGCTCACTGCAACTTCACAGGGTCAAGCGATTCTCCTGTCTCAGCCTCTCGAGTAGCTGAGATTACAGGCATGAGCCACCATGCCCGGCTAATGTTGTATTTTTAGTAGAGATGTGGTTTCTCCATGTTGGTCAAGCTGGTCGCGACTCCCGACCTCAGGTGATCCGCCCACCTTGGCCTCCCGAAGTGCTGGGATTACAGGTGTGAGCCACCACACCCAGCCATAAAATACTTTTTCACAATCACAATATAATACAATTTTACACCCACCAGAGAGAAAATTTTAAAAAGTCTAACAATACTAAGTGTGAGAATGTAGAACAATTGCTGGTATAATGTAATCTGATATGATACCTTTGGAAAATGATTTGACATTATCTGGTAGAAGTAAAAGATACGTATATCTTATGACACCATAATTCAACTCCTGGAATAAATCCTTAAGCAACTGTTGTACATATACATATAAGGAGAAATTATAGTAATGTTAATCTTAGCCTGATTTTTCTTAGCAACACCTGAAAACAACCAATATGTTTTCTGAAAGGAGAGCAATTAACTATGTGTTTGTATATTTTAAACCAGTAGATGAACTTGTCACATTTGTTGAAACAGATGATACTGTGCTACAGTGCATTCTATTCACACATTCATTCTAATATAAGACATTACTATTAGGCTTACACAGTTTAAGGAAATAACAGAATCATCACATATTGTGCACTTTTTAATGTATGTAAAACTCACAAAAAAGTTCAATATTTTGCTCACAGTAGTGAAAAATATTCATATGTTTGTTTGTTTTTTATAGATAAGAGAAATAAGACCTACATAAGTTATCAAAAACAGAAATGTTTAAATGGCTAGTTGAGAACAAAATTTTAAACCTCTGGAAAAAGAGTAGCATTCATCTGAGAATTCTGAAGGTTCTAAAGTACAAACCTCTCAAAATAATTAATAGGAAATATAATCATTTTCTAGAACACTGGATGTTGTGTTTGTCCTGAACTTTTAAAAGGATGTTTGTGGTTATACAGGGAATTATGGACCAGTAGGACTTATATTATATCCCCTCCCCACTTAAGACAAATCACAAGGTAATTGATGAAAGAAATAAAGCTAGCCATAAAATATGTAAATAAGTTTAATTCCTTGGGAATAAACCATTATATTTTCCATGAAAGCATAATAATCTTTGCCCTCTGTAAGTGCAAACTAGTGCATTAGCAGTCTGAAAACTATAAGACATTTGAAAGAGATCAAAACAATTATTGATCAAGAAAGTTCGCCTTTTAAAAGTTAAAAGAAATTTTACAATTCCTTAATGAAGAGATGAAAAAATAATTAACCTTGGCATTACAGAATAGTCTTAGCTTGAATATGAAGTGAGCTAAATACAAAACTAAACAAACATTTCTCAAACAAAATAAAATGCCATGCTAACTTTTATAAGAGGGGATGATCTGTGGATGTCTCAACTTCTGCTCAACTCACTGATAATGAGAAAAAGCGCATAGAGAAATATCTCAGTGCCACCTGTCTCTGCACATGGTCACTCAGATTCCACCCCTTCACTGCCAGCCCTACAGACCATACAGTTCTTGCCACCTCCCAAGTTGACGATGCTCACCTACTCTCCCTGGGCTGATCTTATTTTGTGCTTATTTCCCATTAATCAAAGAACATGACTTTTTTTTTAATCTTCAAAGACATATTTTTCTTCCAAATACTTTTTTAATCAAAAGCTTTGCTATTCAGAATAATTGTACTCATGTGGCCTTCAGAAGATATTTTGGAGTTCTGAAACAGATTGTTCATTAGGTCTTTCTCTTTGCATTTCTTCCATAATGCACCTTGTTCTTCTACAGATGATGTAGGTGTTTCTGACAATACAGGTAAAGAAAGCTCATAAATATTTCAGTTTATCATCTTACTACACACATATTAACTGATATGGTTTGGCTTTGTGTCCCCATCCAAATCTCATGTCAAACTGTAATCCTCAATGTCGGAGGAGGGTCCTCCAACAATGCGGGAGGTGATTGGATCACGCAGGTGGACTTCCCCCTTGCTGTTCTTGTGACAGTGAGTTCTCACAAGATCTGGTTGTTTAAAAATGTATAGCACCTCCTCCTTCACTCTCTTCCTCCTGCTCCAGCCACATATTATGTGCCTGCTTCTCCTTCACCTTCTGCCATAATTGTAAGTTTCCTGAGGCCTCCTAAGCCATGCTTCCTGTACAGCCTGCAGAACTGTGAGTCAATTAAACCTTTTTTTCTTTATAAATTACCCAGTTTGAGGTAGCTCTTTATAGCAATGCAAGAACAGACTAATACATTAACCTAATACCTACTGTATGCGAGGGGAGTGGACATGCATTGCAGGAATGCCCTCTCAATGAGTTTGTCCTCCTTCACTAACAACATCAACAATACTTATGTGGATCACTTGAAAGGTAAAAGCAGCCAGCCTGCATTTGCCCTACAAGTCACACTTAGAATATGAATAAATGGAATACATTGAGAGTATTCCTCCAAAGAGAAATCTAAAGTTCATTTAAGTTGCCATAAAGAGAAATGACTTTAATCACTAAGAACATTATATTTATATTATGAGGTGGTATGCTTTATGTTTTTTTTTTGTATTAGCTTCATTTTAGACTTCATTTCGCATTCCTGCCCGTGTTTTACATATCTTTTCCTGTATCACCAATTTCTTCTATAGGCTATTGTTTATTTTATATATTCCTATGAATTGTAAATTTTCTATCTTTTAGGAACAAGATAGTGCATAAATAACTACACCTTTGACATATTCGTAGGTTGGTTTGGAGAAAGTTAAAGGTATACTCATGCATACTAAGAGTAGAGGAACAGATGGGTGTCAAGTATAACACTAACTAACCTATCTTTGGCATATATTATTCAAGTGATTATTGTCCCTAGATAATCTATTTGTTCCTTCATAAAATGTATTCTCAACCAGAAGTTCTCAGTATGCATAAAAAACAGATTTTGACAAATTCATATGTTCTGAAGCACATAAAATAGGTTGAAGGAAAATGTTTCCACACTGGGAACTTGACAACATTATAGTTGTGAGTATAACCATTTAGATGAGAGTGTAAGTCACGGAAAAAGGGAGGAAAATGTTGATATCAGAGAATTAACAGCAGAGAGATCGATGCAGGGAATATACAGGAAAAATTAAACGAGATTCCCAAACTTCTGGCCAGGAGAATGCACAGACTGTAGCTGTTATTTAAAAGATCAGAGTAAGTAGAGGAAAAAAAATCAAGTTGAAATAAGACTAAAATCTCTATTTCTGTGTATTTAATCAAGTGTGGGAGATATGACACATGCTTTAAATTGGCAATTAGTAATAATGAAAAATATCATAAAGATTGCTGCAAGAAAATGGAAGGAGAATGCAGTTAAAGAGAAAAGAGCATGGGAGAAATGTCGAAACCAGCTAAGATGCCACAGGATGCTAGCAGTATGAATAGGAACAAAAGCCTGAGGACACAGTGAGGTCTTCCAGTTGACAAAGAGTTCAAGAAAGCAAACAATATTTTTTAACCTAGACTTGCAGAAGGCATCAAAAAATTACTTCAGTAACAATAATTTCCCTTGAGTGATGCAAGATGTAGCCAAGCTGAAAAAAATATTGTAACTCTGAAAGACATTTAGACACACAAAGCAGGAAAATGGAAGTGGAGGGAACTGCTATTTATTGAGTAACACCTATCTGTCAAGTTCTATGCTAGCTGCTCTTCTTGTGTTCTCTGATTCCCCACTTCAAATATTGTAGCAAGAAGATTTGCAGCCAGTGGAATAAAACAAGGACATATACAAAGCAGGTAAACAACAACAAAAAAGACATTTACAAAGTATAATACTTCAGGTCACCAATCAAGAAGGGATTTAATCATTTCACAAGAAATTTCAGACAAGCAAGGCTGAGGGTCTACAAAGCAATTGGCATAGATTCTTCAAAATGTTATGATGATAAAAGATAAAGATAGACTAGGGAACAGTTCCGGATTTAAAGGGACTACAGAAACATGACAACTAATAGTATCAGAGTGTGATAATGGAAGTTAAATTAAAATAATGGTATTTTTCAAGATTGTATGATAATGCATATTTCAATCTTTAAAAACTTGTAATTTGTATGATGACTTTTTATTTCTGAATAAATATTGACTGTCATCCTTTTTTATTTGTAATGTTATATAATGTACAGTATAATAATATAAAAAAATGCAATTTCTTTTTTATGGGGCCCCTAAAATTGTATGAATTTCAAGCCCCACGAACCCCTGAATTTTCTCCTAGAAGCAGAGGCAGAATTTATACTCAGAAATGAAAGAAAAAGGGGAAATTTTTTTTATAGAGTAATTGTGTGCTATATAGTAAAGAAAAGAGGTGGGAATATTCATCTGAAATGTGCATCATCTTCTGGTTGAAGTGATCTCAGACCACTTTAGATGGATATGTTTACATTCCAATACTTAAAATCTATACTCAATATTAAAATGATCAATTAATGTGTACAACAGATTTATACACACAACAAAGACCCACCTATATTTTTATGATCAGAAAGTGATTTTACAGAAAGACTGGCATTTCCACTGAAGCAGAATCAATCTGCAGAACTCCATTGGAATGTTTAAACTGTGAAAGAAAACTCATTTACGAAATGCTGGCGTTAAAAATTAATAACTTTAAAGCTGGATTACCCTAGATATTTGCATTTAATTCCCTAGGCTCCTTCTTCATCCTGTTCATCTGTTATTAGCTGATTTTATGATATCAATGTGCACATCTATACGAACTGGCCCCAGTACAAGAGTCTAGTCACCTAATGTTTGAAAAACTTAAAGTTCTCATCAGTGAGTATAATGATCAGTTTCCCGTTTTTATACACGTGTTTGAAAGAAGCAGTCCTGGCTTTCAAATCTCAAGTATTTCATTAAAATCATCATACATGGTCTTTAACCATTTTGGTTCCAATATTGCTCAGTATTTTTTGACTGTTTGGATTCTCAAGCTGGGCCTTGGTGCTGTTGTCCTCAAAACTAGACACTATTTATTACTCATTTCAAGAATCACAAACCTCATAGTATAAAATCCACAAATGTAGGTTATATAGATTTTATTCAATTGTATATTTGTACATAGACTTCCATGTTCCATCCAAGTAAGTAAATATTTTGAGTGTCAGTTGTCACTTCAGTGCTTCAGAATGACATGTAGGCCCCAAAGCAAATTCTTACAAGATATTGTGTGTTAGTCACCTACAGGAATGTTCAAAAGATTGAGTATAATTTCTTGGTAACAGTTACCGTCATCTTAAATACATGGAGCTTAACTTAAAACTCATCAGCCACTCCATGAACGCTGTCTTGTTTAAAGAATATCTTGTCCCTGGCTTTTCCCCTGAGTTAATACGATATTAACAGGGTATTAGTTACACTTATCTGTGACATCAGCCCGCAGACTCACCAGCAAACTGTGACTATGAAGCAAGAGATGAGCTTTCAGGAAACAAAAACAAAAACAAAAACATTAAAAGCCTGTCAAAGATCTATCAACTACTGAGTTCTTGTGGGAGAGTTTCCTTCTTAGCCTCCATTCCCTGACATTGATTAGAAGCATGGGATCAGAAAGCAGCTCACTATTAGCCCCAAAATTACACTCTGGAAAGATACACAGCATCTGGCTGAATATGCTGTCAGACATTCTTTTATAGCAGGGCCAGAAAGAGAGAGATTTTGTATCTTATTTCTGTGGCCAGCACACTGTTAATTTCTAATCTGGTACAAAGATCTGATTAGTCAATGTAGTCAATGAACATATTTTGTTGATAAAAGCTCCAGAAAACAGTTAAAATGCAAACTACTTTGTTTTGGGAATTATTGATACTGTCCAAAAGACTTGCATCTGGCACTGTAGACATTTCAGCTTTCATCAAACTCTGCATGTCCTAGTTTTTGGCCATCCCCGTTCATGATTATTCCCAATTTTTTTGGAAATAACCAAAGGACTAATTAGGTCACTTGCAGCTTGGCTTCAGTGCCAGGTCCAGGATCCCAGCTGGAAGTGAAGGCGTTTAGGAGAGCAATCACCATGTCTAACACTGCTGCTTGGCTTTGGGGATAATTGACATTTCAAGAGCTGAACAAGCTTAACATTGAATGAAATGCACTGAGGCAGAGCTGACACTAGGAAATGAACACATTTGTTTTACAAATATTTTCCAGGCATTTGCTATGCGCCAGCCATTGTGCTAGATGCTGAAGACAGAAAGGTTAAAATTAAATAGCACCAGCCCAAGGAAACTACAGCCTATGGATTTAGATAAGTTGTGATTTACAATATAGTATGATGAATGCCACAACTGAGGCAAAGTAGAAGCGTAAAAGGGTTATAAAGGAAAAAGAAGGAAGGTTTTGAGGAAGAAGAGTCATGCTAGGGGTGACTAGGAAATAATAGCAGAAGTAAAAGAAAACAATATAAGTGGAAAACAGATTGTAAATTGAAAACATGGCACCTTCTCAGAAATCAAAATATTTAGAATATAGATTGCACGCTCATTCCCATGATTCTTAATACTCTGCATTATTACCTGCTTCTTACTTTTTTAGCATTATTTAAATGTTCACTATTCTTTAGTTTCTCATGCTTTGGTTCACATCTCCAACACTCTAAGCTCTTTACTGGTTTATACTCTTTGCCTATTTGGTTCTGCCACGATTTGATCAATCTTAGCCTTTTTCTCAGCTTAGATCTCATCTCCTTCAGGACATATTTAAGTGACCACATCTCCCTTATATTACCATCATGAAAACCTATAGAATCTCAATATTAATAGTTGTAGCAATTTATAATCACTGACTTTCATCATTACATTAGGCCCCTCCTATCCACAGAGGGGTATGTTCCAAGACCCCCCGTGGGTGCCTGAAGCCACAGATAGTATAAAACTCTAAAAACACTGTTTTTTCCTACACATACATACCAAGGATAAAGTTTAAGTTGAAATTAGGTACAGTAAGAGATTAATAATTACATCTAATAATAAAATAGAAAAACTATAACAATATACTGTAATAAATGTTATGCAAATGTTATGCAAATATTATGCTCACTCTGTCTTTCCAAGAGTAATATAATACTCTTAGACCACAGTTGATTGCTAGTAACTGAAACATTTGGAAGTGAAACAGCAGATAAGGGGGCGCTACTGTACTTGTTTATTGCCTATATTTGAGCATTTCTATCTCTGTTTCAGGACATAATTTTCATTGTTTGAATGTTATTTCGTCAGTATCTAGATCAGTGCCTGGTATATTATAGAGTCTCAACAAATATGTGTTAAACAAGTGAATGAACATTTCCCTCCTCTTCACTCTTACATTTCAAGAGAACATGGATAGTTGATCATATTTACCTTTGTATCCTCACAGTTTAGGTCAGTTCTTGATGCACAATCGATACTCAAAAGATAGATGTTGATTGATTAAATAAATGAATGCAGGGTGGAGAGCTGTAAGAAACTGGGTTGATGAGGTAAGTAAGAAGCCAAATCCTGAAGGGCTCTTTAACCCTCATTAAGGAATTTAGATTTTTCTCTGGGGGCAATATAAGCAAATGAATGGTTTCAAAATTGGGAGTGACATAATCAGAATTGTTTAAATAATAAAGGTGTCCCAGATGCAGTGTCACAATGAATCAAAGGGATAAAACTATAGCAAGTCTGGGAAATAAGTCTATAGAAACAATCTATATGATTCCATCTCTGTCCTAGGGATTAAATATACCAGCATAAGAAAGATAATGCTATCAAAAGATATTCTCCATGTGGGCCCTTTATCTTTATTTGGTCTTACAAAGCTGATGCTATTGCTTTTACATTTGTGTCCAAATGTTCCTTTTCTTGGACATTAAATGAGTGTTTTTTAAACGAAGCTCATTTATCATTAAACTATGAGGACATATTAGGAGGAGAAAACTTATTTTCTCAGGATCTTATTCATTTAACAATATTTAACATTAGCTGCCTTCCTTTTTTTCAGGTTTTGAGATTTTACTCGAAAATTTATAAAAGCAGAAAACTGTAGCATCTTACAAAATACGTTGAAAATGAGGTTGTATTTACCAATCACTGGGGGAATATTAATTTACAAGAGAGATACAAAACTGAATATGCTGGCTTTCAGTAGTGCACCTCAACCAATTTTCTAAATGCTTCTAACTTAGTAGTATTTAAATAAGTTTGGGAACCAGTTTAAAGGTTTCAGATAAAAGCAATTTAATGCCTTAGGAAGTCTGATAGATAAGACATTTCAGTCATATAGTTTACTTAATACTATATGCATTTCATCATTCAATATAAAAATAATGATAGATTTCCTGGAAGTTTATCAATTTTTGAATATCTAGATGATCATGAATAGAAGAGTATAAAGACTGTCATTAGTAATTTCTCTTTAGGAGACAATGTATGTACCACATACGTGCAGCTACCTAACCATAATTACATAGCGTGTCAGCAGCAGACCTCAGATTTGAAAACACAGTACTTGTGCATAAACTTTGGGTTGGTCTGAAACTAGGCTTGATTTCTCTTAATCTCTCTTTGTCTCCCAGATCTCATCAGATGAAGGATAAATAAACGTGTCTCTCAAAGCCATCTTTATTCGAAGAAGTTTCCTTCGCACTACAAATCTAAAGTTCTTTCTACGAACATCTTGTATGAATTGATACCTGATTAAGCGCATCTAACTACGTATTTGTATATGTGTCTCATTGCCTCATAAAAATCCAGAAGTCTTTAAATGTGATTCAAAACCAACAAAAAATCAAATAAACATTTAAATAAATTAGTGAGAAAATGTGATGTAGCAAGTAATAAAGAGTAAAATGTGAACTGCCTATCTAAAACAGGATAAAACTGAAAATGTATTTAAGAAAATAATATTTTAACAGCTTTTAAGGGATAGAAATTTTCTGCTAACTAGAGATACTTATAAATTTATTTATTTGTACTCCTATGATCCATAAAACTGAAATCTGCATTCCTTAAGCTAAAAAGAGACAATAGGGCATTAAAATGCTATGACTGTGCACTTTTGATGTCTTATGACTTCATTAGAACATACTAATTCTAACAGGTCATTAATTTATATTTATTTCTCTTATTTATACATCATTGATTTCACTTGTCAAGATCAAATTCATTGATAAAAATCTTTGCAGAATGGCTGGGAACTTCCTAAGAAATAAAACCTGAAGTTCATCCTATAGTTCTAACACAATGCATATAAAGGAGAGACTGTACCTAAATGTTTAAATATCTTATCCCAGGAACAAAATATCAGGAAGCAGTTTTTCTTGATCTACTGAAACAACAGACCAACTATATTATCCTTTTTTACAGAGAGACCACATTTTATTCTGCCCAAATATCTACGGAACAGTCCACAGGAACAATAACCTCAGTTGGGATTTATGATTTCTTTTCTTTTTTGTTTTCTTTTTTTGAGACAGGGTCTCCCTCTGTTGCCCAGGCTAGTGTGCAGTGGTGTGATCTTGGCTAACTGCTGCCTCTGCCTCCTGGGTTCAAGTGATTCTCCTGCCTCAGCCTCCCGAGTAGCTGGGATTACAGGCACACGTCACCAGCCTGACTAATTTTTGTAGAGACTAGGGGGTTTTGCCATGTTGCCTAGGTGGTCTCAAACTCCTGGACTCAAGTGATCTGCCTGTCTCAGCCTCCCAAAGTTCTGGGATTACAGGTATGAGCCACCATGCCGAGCCAGGATGATCTATTTTCTTATTACATTTATTTTCTGACTTTTTTCATGGTACAATATAAACTTTCAATTCCACTAAATGAATAATAACCTCCCAACTATTTTTAGGAAAAACAATTTGCTGAAAATATTAAGCAAAAGTGATTTTCATTGGATAATTGTTTTTCTGTGTGTTTAGTAATCTTCAGTGTTGTTATTTCATTGAGTATTTAAAAGACACTAGGAAAATCAATTGATGATGTGGCTTATTCAGGAAGAAAAATCATAGCATGTTCCTAAAGCCTGTATTATGAGTTAATTTATACGCTACAGTAAAATGTTGTAACTGACAGTATTTACAACTGTTAGTAGTAGAATCTAAGGAGACAGAAGGCAACAACTAGCCAGTCTTCCCTGTGAAGTCAAAATTCCATTCTCTTCCCTGGGGAAGAGGCAGAGTCAAATAATGGAGGTGCTCAATTTCTTACTCTCTGGGGTTACTTAATTTCTCAGCCTCGCAGCCAACAGAGTGCAATCAAGTCTCTACAAGAACAACTGATGCGGCTGAGCGCGGTGGCTCACACCTGTAATCCCAGCAGTTTGGGAGGCCGAGGCAGGTGGATCATGAGGTCAGGAGATCAAGGCCATCCTGGCTAACATGGTGAAACCCCATCTCTACTAAAAATACAAAAAAATTAGCTGGGTGTGGTGGCGGGTCCCACACCGAGTAGCCTGTAGTCCCAGCTACTTGGGAGGCAGAGGCAAGAGAATCCCTTGAACCCAGGAGGTGGAGGTTGCAGTGAACCGAGATTGCACCACTGCACTCCAGCCTGGGTGACAGAGCGAAACTCCATCTCAAATAAAAAATAAATAAATAAATAACAACTGATGCACGTGCACTCCTTTCACAACTGCTGGGCTCGGATGGTGGCTTATGCTGAGTACTCATGGAAACATTAATGTTTACTTCCATAATAGAAGGATTAATAACACACAACCTTCTTTAACTGACCAAAATCATTCTCTTCTTTCAGTATTGAAAAAGCCTAATGGTGAAGTAGAAACAGAGCTTTTTATTTATTTTTTAAGCAAAAGGAGCATTTAAGACTATCACTTCTGTATTGCTTAATATCAATATATTCTCTTTCTTCCCAACCACCAGCACCAGCACAACAAGAAGAAAGTATACACACATGAATACTCTGTACTATTTTATGACTCATCTCAGATCTCATTAATCAGAATTTTAATGTGGGGCCCAGGGAATCTATAATTTTTTCAAGAAAATAAAATTTTGAAAATGTGCTCTAAACTCTTGATAAACACCACGTTATCTGCCCATACAGATATATTTACTACCGGACACAGATAGAAGCATAATCTTAAGCTCTGAGAACATTCTCAGATGTGTATTACCAATGAAAACTGTAGCAATTAAGCCATGACACAATCAAATTAAATTTACAGTTTTAATAATAGCACTACATACATAGTATATATGAAAGTTTTCCCCAAATCATTATTTAATTACATGCATTTTAAGTTATTAGAAATACAACAGCTAAAGTCTGTCCTAGCTCCTAATGCCTATAAACTAATAAGTGCTTGTCAATTTTTTATTTTGCAGAGTTAAATGTGATCACATCCTTTCATCTATATTTCACTATCCACCCCCAATGCAATACACCTAAATGAGCAACGTAAAAATATTATTTTAAATATTTTACCATCACAGAGACTGTTCTATTTGTAACTAGGTTTGTTTTGGTGGCTATAGAAATATCTGGTAGTAGAGATTCAGGATTTCGTAAAACACAGGGCAAATGAGAATTAAAAAAAACTGGCTTTACATCTACTTGATTTATTTAGACAAATAGGGTATAGTTAAAAATGTTTTAATGAGTTTTATATTTATGTGAATTGACAGAAGAGGTAAAGGTTATCTGACATGTTTATCCTCCTTTCTGAAATAGACTGAAAATACGTTGTAGTTGGAATTTAGTATCTGGCAGTTACAACAGGCTCATAAACCGGGGATGACTTCAGCGCTTCAGTTAAAGACTGCAGATGGTAACATAAATGTGAACTCTCTTCAGATTTTCAATTTAGACTATAAAAGAGATTAAGAAATGAAAACCACAAATTATATAGGAAGAGAGCAAGAAATTGCATTCAGAAAAAAATCTATTTCAAAGCAAAATGGATAACTCTCCAAAAAAAGAAAGTGCAAGGGAATAGTTATTATAAATTCAGATAACAGTTATTGCAAATCAGATAACAGCACTGCATATACTATATTTGTGTAATATTGCTTTATTGTGTAGACTGCATATTACTGAAATGATCTTTCAGGGAATTGTCATCTTACTTTATTCACCATTGTTCTTTGCTTATTTTTTGTTAGTGCAACTGAGGAAAATGATTGAGCAAACTTAAGTCATTCAGAAATTCAGTAAAAGAGCTAAAAATAGAATAGACTTTACTGTCGGAATGTGTTTTTGTTTTGTTTTGTTTTGTTTTGTTTTGTTTTGTTTTGTTTGAGAAAGGGTTTCACTCCGTCACCCAGGCTGAAGTGCGTTATCTCAGCTCACTGCAAACTCGGCCTCCCAAACTCAAGCCATCCTTCCAACTCAGCCTCCCAAGTAGCTGGGATTACAGGTGCACGATCCCACACCTGTCTAAGGTTTGGTTTTGCCATTTGCCCAGGCTGGTCCCGAACTCCTGGGCTCAAGCAATCTACCTGCCTCCGCCTCCGAAAGTGCTTGGATTACAGGCAGGAATCTTAATTCCACTGTTGGCATTTCTTTTTAACTGTTCTTAAAAAGAGTCAAAATTTGGAAATTGTCCAATTTAATTACAGTATAAAACCATTATTTTGTTCTGAGTTATAAAATTGTGGGTATAACAAAGAATAACTGTGATGCTTGGATTCCTACAAAATCATGTGTTAAAAAATTTTGAAGACCTTAAATCATACTAGAAAATGAGTAACATGAGAATTATATTTTAGTTTCAAGCCTTACACATAATAAACGTTTCCAATAAGGACACTCAGTAGTCAATTTGATTATCTCCCCTTGGTTTGGGGGATATGTCACAGTGCCATCAAAAATGATCCCAAAACATGATCCACATGTGAAAAACAAGTAAATCAGGTTAGCTATTGGTTCCACATTTTGAAACTCCACATCTGCAGAACTGCAGCCTTCTTTCAAGAAGCTCTCTCCATCTAGAATGTATACAGCCTTGGATTATATGCCCAATGGACCTAAGACTCATCAGGACCAAGGCCAGCTTCACTCAGATTGCGCTCCATAGACTGCCTAGTCCTCTCCTCCAAGCCCTCTGTTTCCCACTTAGACAACTACCAGAATGCCATCTAGGCTTACACTTGTGTTGTTGCTGCATTGCCAACAGATAAAGGTGCTGTTTGAACTCTCTGAAGAAAATAGTCAAATGTCTCCTTTTTATTCTGCTTCTCAAATTAATACAGACTTTAAAGACACAACTCTTTCAGCATTTCACACAGTTCTTTATCCCCACAGCACATATCTGCTTCTAGAAAATCTAGGTCAAAGCTGTCACACAGTACTAGGAACCTCAGGCCCTGTCGTTAAAGCTGTCTCATCATGCCACACTTCACAAGTTCCTTGGTGACATTTTCTCTGATAGCTCAACCTCCTGCCAATTGTCTCCATTTTTACATGCCAATCCATACACCTAATATGTCTAAACATGTCATTCTCTTATGAGGCATTTCAACTTCCATGAAAATCAGAAGATAGATATATATTTATATTTATTTATATTTATATACCATATATAAATACAGTTCTTGGCTCCTACTATATATAAAAATATAGTCCTGGTTCCCACTCTCTCTATATGTGTAATTATTGTATTTATAATATATATAATTACAAATTTATAATATATTATAAATTTATATTTATAAATAAATATATTTATATTATATATAATTATATAATTACATAATCATATATAAATATATTATATAACTGTCTATCCATATATATATATATAAAGTAGGGGCCAGGGAATGGGGAAGAGAATGATGTTACCTATTTCTATAAGCTATTCATAACATTGAACTTCTCAGTATAAAAGGACTTAGTTGCCCAAGTACACAGAGAATTACTAACAATTGAGTGACATCAGTTTAACAGCATCCACGCTGTTATATATACACTTTCATTATCTCCCACAAAAAATTCTTTCACAAAAATTCACCTGAAAATTTTGATTTTCATGGTACATTATCATGATCATGATTTTGATCATTGTCTCCAACAACAACGATAAGAATCACAATATCTCAGCCTCACTTTATACTCTGTTCTTTTCATCCATGGTAGTAACATTCTACAGACAATTCATAATTTCCAGGACGCTTCACTTTATCCAACCGTGCATGCTAAGGCACTAGGAATGTATCTGGAGTAAAGTGGAGAATTGTGGTGAATATTCGTTGAATAAATAAATCAATAAATTAGTCAGCTTGGGCTGCCATAACAAAATACTGTATAATGAGTGGCTTAAACAACAGAAATTTATTTTCTCAAAAAGATCTGGAGGCTGGAAGTCTAAAATCAACGTGTTGCCAGGGTTGGGCTCTCCCAGGGCCTGTCTCTTTGGCTTGTGATAGCTGTCCCCTCATTGTGTCCTGACATGGTCCCTTATTTCTCCATGCTTAAGTCCACTGCCTTTAGGTGTGCCCAGATTTCTTCTTCTTATAAGAACACCATTCAGATTACATTAAGGCCCACCCTAAAGACTTCATTTTAACTTAATCACTGTTTCAAGGCCTTAAGCTCAAATATAGTCACATATGAAGTACTGGGGATTAGAGATTCGACATATGAATTTTAGGGGAACACAATTCAATTCATCTCCTGAACTATAAACACTTACATCATCCACTCAAAACTCAGTATTACAATAAGACAGGCAAATGCCAATTTATGTGAAAACCTCATTGTTATCTGTTTAGTCAGTAAGTATGCATATCCTATAAAAAATTTAAAATACTTTATTAACGGAGAAGAAACTCAGTAAAAATAATAAATTTTAATAGGAAAAAAATCAAGAAAAGAGTTACAATGTGTGATGGTTAATACTGTCAACTTGATTGGATTGAAGGATGCAAACTTTTGTTCTCGGGGGGTGTGTCTGCGAAAGTGTTGCCAAAGGAGATTAACATTTGAGTCAGTGGACGGGAGAGGCAGACCCACTCTCAGTCTGAGTGGGCACCATCTAATCAGCTGCCAGCACAGCTGGAATAAAGCAGTCAGAAGAAATTGGAAGGAGCAGACTTGCTGAGTCTTCTGGCCTTCATCTTTCTCCCATGCTGGATGCTTCCTGCCCTCACATCAGACTCCCAAGTTCTTCAGGTTTCAGACCCTTGGACTTAGACCAGTGGTTTGCCAGGGACTCTCGGGCCTTTGGCTGCAGACTGAAGGCTGCACTCTTGGCTTCTGTACTTCTGAGGTTTTGGGACTCTGATTTGCTTCCTGGCTCCTCAGCTGGCAGACAGCCTATCGAGGGACTTTACCTTGTGATCGTGTTAGTCAATTCTCCTTAACAAACTCCCTTTCATGTATACATATATCCTATCAGTCTGTCCCTCTAGAGACCCCTGACTAATACACAATGCCAATGTTTGTATAGGGAAACTAGTTAACAGGTTGAAGCTGTTCTTATACAATCCCTTCACATGTGTATTAGGTAAGTAAAGAGGATGTGTGATGAATGAAAAGTACAAGAGAAAAGAAGAAAAATAAAAACAGAACTCTAGAGTTCTAAACCCAAGGGCAACATTTTTAGTTTAAAATTAATTATATTGATGGATTTTGTTAAAAAAAAAAGAAAAACAAAGAAAAGAAGAACAAATCATAAAACTATTGTAAAAGAGAAGCAGAATTCTACAGTGGTTAAAAACAGCAGCTGGAAGCAAAGCAAACCTATGTCTCTCCCTGTGATTTGAATGACTTACTTAACTTTCTGAATCTGTTTTTTCTTCAGTAAAAAGTATTAACTGGGGATTAAAACAAGGCAAATGAAGAGCTTTGCACAGTGTCTGGAGAACAGTCAATATTCAATAAATGACAGGAAAAAGAAGAAGGATATACACGAAACTGAGTGCTAAATAGTCAACTTACTCGCATCAATATAGGGTTATGGATATGTGATTCATGTGGCACATGCTTAGTTTCCAGGTCAGAGCTAGAAATATAAGATCAAATCATCATCTTTTTCTTCTTGTTCATTATTAACCTTCTGGTAGTTCATATTTGCTGAATGCTGACTTTGCAAAACAATACGCTAGACATTTTATGAGCATGGTCTTATTTAATGTTCCATATACACACACACACACACACTCACACACCCCTAGTATTATTATCCACACTTTACAAATGAAACAAAGCAATTTTTCCAATGTCGTGCATTTACATTTAACTTAGGTATTTATAATTCTAGAAACTAAATTTTAGCCCAGCCTACTTATTGTCAATTGTGGTTGCTATTCAGATTGTTTCCAGAGAAGCCAATTGAAGCATGTTAACTAAATTATTTAATGTATATAAGATTAAAATATATTAAAATTACCTATTTATTGCAAATCTCAACCAAAAATAAGGTCAAATGTTTTCTCTTGCATTCTATTTTATAAAGAAGATATGACTACCAAGTAAACAAGTTAACTTTGGACATACATGGAAGAAAGGGGCTCATCTGTAGTCCCTTTCACTTGATAGATATGGGCCATGGGAACCTGCTTCATTGCTCACTTTTCAAAAGAGAACTTTTACTTTGATAGACAGATGGCTGCTAGAAGGTACCCCATGCCCTATCTTCTTGCCTGCCTTGGTCACTGATGTGGAAAGACAGAATTCCTGGAGCAACATGACTGATTTTGTTATCATGAAAGTAAAGCTAATAGCCTCTCAGAGGTGTCGAATTTAACAGCTCTGGAACCACATTAGAGCTTTAGGGTATAATTTTTGAATTAGTTGTCCATATTGCTTAAGCCATGTTTAATTGAGTTTTCTCATACTGAAAGCCAAAAGCCTCCCTGAATGATCCAAGTTCCATTCACTGTGCAAAAACCTTGAATAATCAAATGTGAATTAACTGTGACAATTCCTTATATTGATTTATTTTTTTCTCTAGTACACATACAAGATTACTATTTTTTCCCTGAGGAAAAAATAGATAATAATTTTAGACTAGAAAATATAGAAAGCTGTTCTTACACGAAAACTATTTTTATGTATGACTAAATTAACAAAAAGGCCTTTGGCAAAAAATGAAAAATTCTAGCAAAAATAATTTCACAGATGATATGAAGATTTTCCATGTAGCTCTAATTATGTGTATATTGCCCATAAAACAATTGGCATTTTCTGTATTTAGATCAATACTGGGCCAAAAAATTACAAAATAAGAAATACCTCTTGTCGTCATTGTAAATGTTCGTTTTGCTAAAATATCATTGATTTTTGTTTGTACTGTTTCATCATCAGTGATATAAGAATTCTATCTTTCTTCAACAATTGTAACACAATATATTTTCAGTGCAGACCATTTATTAGGATTTTGGTTGCTTGTGAACTGTAAATGATGCTGTTGCTGATGCTCTCCCTGGTGCTTACTATCCCTGAAACACCTTCCAAAGTTTTCGAGTTATCATCATAGAATCAGTCCACACTAGACTCCAGTCATCTGTACCATCATTGAAATTTCTTTTAAGGGTAATAGAAAGGGCAAGAGAAAACATTCAGAAGCCAAAAAGACTCTTCTGGTCTCCTAAGAGGTTGATGCCACAAGATTCTCAAGCAGAACTGGGTATACACAAATACATAACCTCAGAAATGCAGCACAGATTTGAAGTGTACCTGTACTCACAAGTTAAATAAAATTGTTATTTTTTAACATAAGCAATTAATAATATAGTGTTACAGATTAGAAATGCATAAGAATTTGGACACTTTCTCACTGTGTGAAAAGGGCAGACCTTCTTCTCTCAAAACTCTTCACAAACCATATCCATGAAATACTATAAAATCCCTGAAGACAGGTGATATCCTGTAATATAAAATAAAATGTTGTATTAACCTCTCTGCCATAGACATTAAAAAATTTTAGAATATAATTTTATATCAAAGTTTGTCAACTCAATCAAAAAAGGTTTTTCTTTTTCCTATAATTATATTTTCTTATTATGTATTCAAATATAATTTCTCTTTATGTTAATAATGGCAATGCTGGAAGGTAGTTTAAGGGAATTGAGGCTTGCTAATAATCAGGTGAACTGATCCTTCACCGCTAAGCCTCAAGACGACTACACGTCTGGCTAACAGCTTGACTACAATGCCATTAGAGACTCTTAGCATAAATCACTCAGCCAAGCTGCTCCAGGATCATGGATCTTCAGAAACTATATGAGATAGTAAATATATTAAGCTGCTAAGTTTTGGAGTAATTTGTTAGAAAGCAATAGATAACTAATACAGATACAAACTAAACAGGAACTATTTATTTGGCCATAGTAGTTGATAAATAAAAAAGGGATTTGAAGACTGATCAGAATCCATTCGCAGGACCGGAATCCACTTGCAGCATCTGCAATTCATGGTGTATGGGTATTGTTAAAAAGTATGTATTTCAAACAGTAGGTTAAGTGATTATTAATATGTAATTTGCTTTTTTTTGCAACAAAGTCCCAAGTTAGCAGGCATTATATATATGCTTATCCATCTAACTATCCATCTATCTTTCCATTGATATACTTAACTATCTAGAGATGGGACTAAATGAAGCCTACTTAAATATTAACAATCAAGGTTATGGGGCCTAAAAAGGGTACAATTTGTTTTACGTGACCAATTCTGTCTTAAAGAGTTTATTTCTTAATGTGCTGTTTATTCTATAATAATGATACTTCAAGGTATTGAGTGGTAAAATCTTATAGTACAATCTCAGGCAAAGAAAATGAAGAAAGCAGTTAAAGGCAAAAACAACACCAACAAAAAAAACATGGTGATGGCAGTGATGGCCCATCTGGAGGGACCACTGCAACGATGCTGACCGCAGCAGGGGAGGTGCAGTGGGGATGTGTGCTTAAGGAGCCAGTGAGGGATGGGAACAGGTCGAAGCCCCACTCCCTACTGAGTTGGTGGGTGCAGCTGCAGCTGCCCAGCCATAACTCTGAACTCAGGCACCCATACACTCTTGGGGCCCAGGAAGCCCCCCCTACCCTTGCAGACTTAGCAGTGCCTGCTCCTGCTCCCTGGCCTCTCCCTGCTCCCGGCACCTGCTCTGATTTTTAAGGAAAGCTGAAGCTAAGCCTGGGCACTGTCTTGACCTGGACAGGTGTGTGTGCGCTCAGGGTGGCGCTGACATGCCAGCCCCCTTTCCCCTTCTGAAACTTTGGGCACTGATGGGGCACCTCCAGGCATGCACTGAGCCACCCTCAGTGCCCCCACCCCGAGCCTCCCTCCCTGAACTCGTCAGTGCCTCAGCCCCATCTGAACCTTTGGGCACTGACAAGCTCAGGGAGGGAGACTTGGGGAGGGGGACTGATGGTGACTCAGTGCAGACCTGCAGGTGCCCCTCAGCACAAATGACCTGGTCACTGTGGACAGCATGTTGACAGAGGCAGGAGGAGGACAGGCTCCTGGGTGGAAAGGGGTGGGTCCCTGCTGAAATCTCACCTTCAAGCCAGGGACAGCCTGAAGCCTGCCAGTTCTAGGTGGAGTCTGGTGCCCACGGTGAGAACCTATAGTGTTTTAAAACCCAAAACCATAAAATCCCTAGAAGAAAACCTAGGCAATACCATTCAAGACATAGGCATAGACAAAGGCTTCATGACGGAAACGACAAAAGCAACTGCCACCAAAGCCAAAATTGACAAATGGGATCTAATTAAACTAAAGAGCTTCTGCACAACAGAAGAAACTATCATCAGAGTGGGCAGACAACCTACAGAATGGGAGAAAATTATGCGATCTACCCATTTGACAAAGGTCTAATACCCAGAATCTACAAGGAACTTAAACAAATTTACAAGAATAAAACAACCCCATCAAAAATGGGGAAAGGATGTGAAAAGACACTTCTCAAAAGAAAACATTTATGCAGCCAAGAAACATGAAAAAAAAAAAAACTCAACATCACTGGTCATTAGAGAAATGCAAATCAAAACCACAATGAAATACCGTCTCATGCCAGTCAGAATGGTGACAATTAAAAGGTCAAGAAACAATAGATGTTGGTGAGGCTGTGGAGAAATAGAAACACTTTTACACCGTTGGTGGGAATGTTAATTAGTTCAGCCATTGTGGAAGATAGTGTGGCGACTCTTCAAGGATCTAGAACCAGAAATACCATTTGACCTAGCAATCCCATTACTAGGCATGTAACCCACCCCCCACCAAAAAATAAATCATTTTACTATAAAGACACATGCACCTATATGTGTATTGCACCACTATTTACAATAGCAAAGACATGGAACCAACTCAAATGCCCATCAGTGATGGACTGGATAAAGAAAATGTGGTACATATACACCATGGAATACTATACAGCCATAAAAAAGAATGAGTTCATGTCCTCTGCAAGGACATGGATGAAGCTGGAAGCCATTATCCTTAGCAATCTAACACAGGAACAGAAAACCAAACACCACATGTTCTCACTCATAAGTGGGAGTTGAACAATGAGAGCACATGGACACAGGGAGGGAACACACACCCGGGCTAGTTAGTGGGTAGGGGGCGAGGGGAGCGAGAACATTAGGACAAATAGCTAATGCATGTGGGGCTTAAAACTTAGATTACAGGTTGATAGGTGCAGCAAACCACCATAGCACACCTACACGTTCTGCACTTGTATCCTGGAACTTAACATTTTAAAAATAAAAATAAATAAATAAATGTTAAAAATAAATAAGGTACAATAAGAGTTTAACAGCAGTAGCTAATGGTAAAATAGAGTAATAACAATAACAATTGTTATGGTAGTTCCCCTTATCCAATAAAATTGAGCAATAGCAATAACAAAACTATAACAATATAACACAATTACGTGAATGTGATGTCTCTTTCACTGTTTCTCAAAATGTCTTATTGTACTTAACTGACCCTTCCTTTTCTTGTAATTTGTAGGTCTGGTAACCAAAACCGCTACTAAGTGACTAAGAGGCAGGTCGCATATACATCATGGATACACTGGACAGAGGGGTGATTCACATCCCAGGCTGGATGGAGTAAGAGGGCACAAGATTTCATCATGCTACTCAGAATGGTGCACAATTTAAATCTTACAAATTGTTTATTTGTGGAATATTTCCTTTAATATTTTCAGACTACAGTTGACCACAGATAACTGAAACTCCCTAAAGTGAAATTGTGGATAAGGGGACTACTGTATTAATACATAACCAGAGTACACACAAGATGCCTTTTTTATAGCTATCCATTGATCTCCAAATATTGTTATTCTCCAATACGTACTCTACTGTATCTGCAGAGCTATTGCCCAACTGTGACGAGTTTTTTTTACAAATCTCAATGACTTTTTTAGTAGTAATCTTACATGAAAAGACTTCTTATAAACTAGTAATCAACAACTGAATTTAAGGAGAAGCTCTATAGCAAGACATAAACTCAAAAACAATAAAAATCTTGATTTATCCAGATATTTAGGAAAATAATCATTCAAGTTAGAATTTTATAGAAAGCTGAATATTCATTCTTTCAAAAAACACAAAAAAGATTGTTTTCAAGTTTATTCAAAAGTATAATAAATCACAAATGTATAGGCCAGTGAATTTTCACAAAATTATCAGATTTCTCTAACCAGTACCAAAAACAAAAGAACAAGTATTACACCTACAAAACACCCTTCATTCCTCCTCCAAATTAATTTTTATCAAAAGGAAAAGCATTATTTGACTTTTAACAGCTCAGATTAGCTTTGCCTGTTTTGTACTTTATATAAATAGAATCATTTATTATGTACCTTTTTGTTTCTGGGTTATTTTGTGCATGCTTATGAGATTCACCCATATTATTAGTAGTAGTAATTACTTCATTCTTACAACTTTTATATAGTTCATTGTGTGACTTTTTTTAATTTTTTTACATTTTTTTAAATTTTGGATTTTTCTAAAAAAAGTATTGCATTGTTTATCATTATAAATAATATATACTTAGAGTATTTTCTTCCTGATGCAGGTTCCTAATTTTGAAGATCAGTTACTCTCCTGTGAAGTATATGCTTTTAAGAACACTGGAGTAGTGCAGGGATTTTGGCCCTTCATCCATGTTTTCTTTTGATTTTAAGAATTTTGAGTCATCGTCCTTATTTTCATATTCTATCTTTGCTTATTTTTTCCAGTTCTCTATTTTTATCTGTTATGATTTGGGAAATAAGAATTTTGAACTTAATGAAAGTAATGTCAACTCATTTCAAACAGAGTTAACTGAATATTTACAATTGGCCTATAAAAACCGGCCCTGGGTTTATGAGATGGATAAGATAACAAAGTAATTGGCTTACTCTCAAGGGCAGGGTCTCTCCAATCATGTTCAATAAGGGATGGGTTTTTATTTTTCCTCAAATCCTTGTGGACTGATAGTTTTGTAAAATAAGACAAAAATAAGATACTAGAAAAAAATGAAAAAGTATATAAAACATAAGCCTATATTATTGATTCAACAGGTATCAAATTACTCTGTCAAAATAGTATGTAGTTTTCTAAATATATACTATCAATTTCTGTATTTACATCATTGTAAGTCAGTAATAAACATTTTACAAATCATAACAGTCCATGGACCACTACACCAATCAGTAAATTCTCCACAAAATACTCTAGGTGTAATCCTTGATTACTTCTGGGTTTGTGACTTTATTGATACAGTCATTAATTAAATTTTTATCTTCATCCCTATTTGACCAAATATACATGAAAAAAATGAAATTTTGCTTCACAGTATTTCCTTTGCTGCCAAATATAAAGCCTTAAATAACTGTTTAGTAAATTAATGAAAAAATGAATAAATGTATTGATGGGTAGATGGAATGAAATTGCATGAATCGTAAATTCCCTATTAACTGTTCAAAGAATATTTAATTTCAGATTTTTACCTGGGTCCCTAATAACTAACTGATATTGTTGTGTTTTATCTATAGGTAACCTTGTTCTATAGCCATGTTATAGTATAAGTTGTTATTTGTAGACAGGTTTATGTAGTGTATGGTGCTGTTGTCTCCTGCTCAATAGAGACCCTTTCTTTCCCTCTAGCCACTCCTCTAAAGCCATGTACAGTGGAGATATGTATACATCAGTTAGTGCTTTTAACCTTCCCCCAGCAAGTCAATATTTTCCTAAGATTTAAAGAAGTAGCTGTTTCCTCCAAGGCTTTTTTTCTTAGTCTCTAAATCTTAAGTTGCAAATAATGGAATCTAAGTTTAAAACCATGCTTCATCAGAAATACTCTCAATGTACTAATGGAACACATTATCATTGCTGATTATTATTTTCTCTAATACCATAAAACCTCTTGATTATTTCTAATACTCATATAATAAAATATATTTTATATTGGTAACATCAGGTAAATAAGTTGTTATGGATATCAAAAGTATGACCAGTACAAGCCAGCGTTTTATATTGCCTCCCACCTTAAAAATTACACTGTTACACATTGATATCCCTGAAAACAAATGTGTTAATACATATCACTCTGAATCATTCACAGTGATATTACTCAATTAATTGTTTATTTAATTACCCTATTTGGTAATCAAAACAGGTGTACAGGAACCATATCATGCAGTAATTAAGCTGCACCCCTATTAATACGTGTGTCTAAAGATTTTTTCACACTTTGTTATTTGACTAAGGCTATATCTTAGAGACTTAAATAAAATTCACTCAATATTTCTATAAAGCTTTTTGAAAATAAATATATTATATGCATAACAGATATTTTTGTATTTGGGGGCCTGCCTAGTATCTGTGCCTTTTCCTATGTTTGGAGACTTCTCCATTGTATAAGTCTTGACTGGAAGCAAATTTCTACCACAATTATAAAAGCCGAAAGCATAAGATTCTAACTTACCAATTTCTTCTGACAGATAGGATTCCAGAATGTTAGTCTAGATTTGGCCAAGCTTATGAAGCTCCTCGGTGTGTGAGTCTTGAGCTAATACACAAAGACTTGGGCATCATAAAGAATTCTTTATAGCAGAGACAGTAAGTGTAAGGTTTTAAAGACAATAGCATTTGGTGCCCAGTGCTTTTATTTTTGGCAAGATGAACTGTGGAATGGTGTTTTTACCAATGAAAGTAGTAATTCTGTTAGGAAAGAATTTTGGCTCTTTATTCTTATCAATTTTAAGACCTTAGGCTTCTTCTATTCTGGTATTTATGTGAGATCCTTGACATCCTTCCAATAAAGTTATTTTTTATTGTTATTAAGTTGCCAAAGTCAGATTATGATGGTTGCACATAAGAAACCCAACTGATAACTTGGTACCTAAAGTGATGCAGCAGAATCCGAGGAAAGCAAGAGCATCTTGGAATACTTATTTGGCTGGACAAAAGTAAAAATATGGCAGAAGCGACACTGTCTTTAGGCATAGCTCTTGACTGCTTTGAGATCTCTCATTTTCCTTTTGAAAGTTTGCTTTTAAGATGATACCTCTGGGAACACACCTTCCATACTGGAAGCCCAGAAGGTCATATGTAGATACTATAGTTGAGAGCCCTAGATGCACTCCCAGCATCAAATACTACCCCTGTGAGGGAGCCATCTTGGACATTCGGCACAGTAAAGCCTTCACATGACTGTAGCCACGTGGGATAAAGTGACATTCCAAGAGGGAATCATCCACTGATGCTGTCAAACCATGGAATACTAATACATTGCTGAGTAAAGCTATGTAGTTTGTGGGTATTTTGCTATACAGCAATAGATACATAGAAGTGACATATCAGTTAGCATCCAACAAGAGATAGAAACCACAACATCAATTTGAACAGGGAAAATGTAATATAAAATCTGTTAATTAGTAAAAAGTGGTTAATCTCAGCTCACTGCAACCTTTGCCTCCTGGATTCAAGCAATTCTCCTGCCTCAGCCTCCCAAGTAGCTGGGAGCCTGCCACCATGCTTGGCTAATTTTTGTACTTTTAGTAGAGATGGGATTTCGCCATGTTGGCCAGGCTGGTTTCGAGCCTTATTTCACATTGGTTATGTGCATTTCAGGCAAGGAGACAATCTGCAAATCTAAAGCAGTCCTTATTTTTGTTATTGCTCGTGAAGAGGTATCTATGACTTGCTTATCTTAATCTTATTACACATATTAAGTTAGATTTCCTTTCCAAACTCAGCTGGTTGTGGTGTTTTATCTAGTGGGTGAACAACCATTTCTGAAAGGTTTGAATCCTTAATGATTTTGGCTTTTTGATTTTATTGTTGTCATTTTCTATTAGCACTTAACATTGGTCATGGAAGTACTTAAAGGCACCTGCAAGAATCCCCTGGGTTCCAGACATAATCCTCATTGGCCTATTGTGCAGCAACAAATTCATGTCCCTTGAATTATTAGGATCAATCACTGCACCTAGTGGAGTGACACCTTTATTTGTTTACACACTCAGCAGCATGAAAAACCCCCAAAATATGCAGGCAACACTCTATGCTTCAAAGGGAATTGAAAGCATTATTGTGTTCCCTGGTGAAAGCATTCCCTTTTTGGGAATTAAGACCTCAAGGTTTCCAGGGTGGGAAACAAACATTCTGTGTCTGCATAATTAGGTAAAATCATGAGAGACACCAATCCCTAGCTTTGATATTCCAGCCTATGTTTCTGGTGTTAGGCGAAACAGAAATATGTAATATTGTCTCTGACCTAAATTATATACTTCATCCTATGAGACCACATTTTTTCAGAATAGTGTCACACATTATTACTATCAATGACTCTTCAGTAAAGCATTCTACCTTTGTATTTGGCCAACTACTTGAGTGAGAGAGTATGTAACAAGGCTGATGAACTCTGTAAGACCATTGTAGTTTATGTTGAGAAACTAGTGCCTTGATTAGAATCAATGCCCTGAAAATCTCATAACATTGATTAACGTATTATGAGACTGCAGATAGTGGTGCTAGGAGAAACATAACGAGCACTGAGGGCAAAGCCATATCCAGAAAATATTTTTAATCATGGTGAAGTTAAATTTCTATCTCCTCCCTCATGTAAAAATGTAATATATCTGCTTCCAAATGGCATGCTGGTCCACATGAGGAAAGGTGCTATATAGAGAACTCATTGTTGGTCTATGTTACCAGGAGATTAGGCACTCAGCGGTGGCATTATTCATGTCAGCTTTGGTGAAAAGGAAGCCCTCTTATTGAAGTCCATATTTCATCCCTACTGCTATGATCTCTTTGTTCACGGGCCCATTGAGTGAGTACTGGGATGGCTAGGGAAGGAAGCTAGGGAGGAGTACTGGTAACCATGGAGTTATTTGCCTACTTTGTAATTTAAGGTATCTTCCAAAGTGCATGCCTTTTGGTAGGCATTCACAAAAAGCAAAAATATCTTCACAATATGTTCCTACTCGAGATATCTGTCCACATGTCTTCCCAAGAATTTCTTCTAACCAATTTGTCACTCCTTTCACATCCCTAATCATCCAGTCAAACTACTAACAGCTATATATCAATCATTGTAGTCCTTAAGTCTAGATATCTCCCATTCCATCCAAAGCAGACAGCAAAATAAATTGCTTGAAGTTCTGCCTAACGGGAGGTCACACTTCACTGCTGCCCCTCCAGGGTCATCTTTGTGGGACTGAAAGTCTGCTGCTGGTCACTTTTAGGTGCCATAAGCATATCATCCAGAACCATCCAAAAAATATTGTTTTCTTGCTTTTAACCCCTCAGTCCATGGATCATAAGTAACTCCTCATGAGGCCAGAAGTGCGGTTTGAAAGAGAGGAAGCGATGCTGCAAGAGTTAGTTCCAAGTAAGTGTGAACCACCTGTTCATGCAACGTATTAGTACCTCTGGGACCTGCCTGAGCCCAGTTTCTAATATACTATGTCCATTTGATGATTATTGCTTTTGCTCATGCCCATCCTTTAGTCTGGTAGATCAGAAAATGACTAGTTCATGATTAAAAGATCAGACCTCATGGTACCTGATATTCCACACTTAGCACTGAGTCTTTACCAATGCTAAGTAGCAAGCCAGAAGCTCTTTCTCAAGAGGAAAATAGTTATCTGCCAAAGAGGGCATGGGTTTCCTCCAAAATCCTTAAGGAATTTTTAATCCTTTGTACTGCAGTTCTCCAATAGGTTTTTGCCAGGTTCTCCATACAGTATTCCTATTTGCCACAGGTGATTAGAGTATCACTGGATTGCCATGATTATAGGCCCAACAGAAAAGTCGGATTGTACTGAAGGGTAGATTGCAACAGAGCCTTCTTTTCCCCTGGGAGACCAAACTTACAGGTAATTTGGTACAGAAACACAGAAATGTGGCACACATTTCTTCCAAATTAAAAACAACAACAGCAACCCCACCAAACACTGCCTTGTGTACGTGTGTTGGTGGGGTGGGGGGTGGGGGCAGGGGGTAGTTAGGCAATGTGAAGTAAAGTAACCTGTGTTTCAACTTGAAGAATATATCTTGTGCCCCAGACCATTTGACTTACAGAAACTATACTGACGTGAGAAGCCCCTGAAATTTTGTGGGGTTTATCTCTGTCTCTCTGGCTCATCTATGTATTACTAAGATATCTAAAGAATTTACTACTTCCAGCTCATCCAATCCAATATGAACAATAACATCAATTTGTAGAAACAATGTGATATTTTGTGGAATCTGGTGATCAATACCTCTGAAGACTGTATTATGCACAAAGGAGGGGAAGAGACGTAACCCTGAGGTATGGCTGTGAGAATGTACCATTGATCTTACTAGATGAGACCAACTTCTGATAGTCCTTGCAATTTTTGCATGGAGAAAAAAGGACTGGTTAGGTCAATATCTGAAAACCAAGTTTTAAGTACTATATTGATTTTTCTACTAAAAATATTATATCTGGATTATTGGCTGCAAACAGAGTCATCAAAGTCATTCTCTAAGATCTATCCAACTTTTGTGTAGGTCAAATAGTCAAGTTAAGTGAAGATGTGATAAGTATCACCACCCTGCATTTTTACAAGTCTTTATGATGACAGTACAAACATTTTCAAAGCCTTCAGGCATTGTTTCTTGTTTAATATCTGAATAGGGAGAAAAAGGCCCAGTGGCTTTCATTTAGACCTTGTTACTATTGTGGCCTTTATGCATGGGCCACAAAGCTAGCATGGATTTTGCCATTTACCAAGTGCGTCTTTTCTAATATATATTCAGAAACTGGAAAAATAGCTATGGAATTGATCTGTAGACCAACTAGGAGCCCATTGTGACAAAATGGGGCTAAGACTTCAGCTTTCCCCTAACTACCATTACCTCCCGCTTTGTCTGGTGAACAATGGCAACAAATTTTGAAGGGTTCTGGGCACAATGGAGTCGAAAAGCTGCTAGAGAAACTTGCTAGAAGGCAAGGGCTCGTAGCCTATGAAAGTTGATGCTGTGATGAATAATAGTAGGCTCCCTACATAACAATCCACTAACTTTTATGTGGGACAAAGTGTATAGGGAAAAGGAAAGTTCTTTCCTCCTGCTCTGATCTTGCAGTGACCTTCTAGTGTCCATTACAGCATCAAGTCAAAGTCTACAATCTCAAATCCAGTCAGCTCAGTAGTCCCCCCAAATCACATCATCTGAATCTGTTAAGTAATCCATTAGGTATAGCACCTGGGAACAATTCCTCTCCATCTATGAATAAGTGACATTAAAAAGACATTTTCTCTACCCAACCACAATGGAGGGACAGGCATAGCATAACAGTTACAGACATTATGGTTCAAACAGGGAGGAAATGGAATATAGTAAGCGTTCTAAAATAGTTTCAAAATCAAGCCCAGCAAGCTCCATATGTTCCACCACCTGGAGTAATTCTTTGTGGCTCTTGACTCTGTCCTCTGGTCTCTGCTAACCTCACAAATTATCCTTCCTTTTTAGTGATAGTTAGCAGGATTTGCAGGTGAATAGTTTGTTTGTTTGTTTTTTTAATTCAAAGGTGTAGAAATTTATTTTTAAATGTAAACACAGTCCTAATATTATTTAGAAACTACATGGAAAATGAAAATCACAGAGTGTCAAAACTGCTTTGCAAGTGTTAGTTTAATTTCAGGACTAAAACATCAGGAGAATCAATCAAAATACATGATTTGAAATTCACATTCATGTATTTCCCATGACTTCATTATGAGACTGTATCAGTCAGGATAATCTAGACAAAAGATTAGCAAATAAGGCTCCATGGACCAAACCTGACTTGCCAACACCAACTTTTTACTTTGCTTTTAATATTTTTATTGTGGTAAGAACATGTAACGTGAGATCTATTATCTTAACAAATCTCTAAATATACAGTATAGTATTGTTAAGTATAAGCAAAATGTGCAGCAGATCTCTAGGACTTACTTACTCATCTTGTATAACTGAAATTGTATACAACTTGAACAGCAACTCCCCACTTCTCCCTATCCCCAGCCCCTGACAACTACCATTCTACTGTTTCAATTAGTTTGACTATTTTAGATACTTACATAAGTGGAATCATGCAGTATTTGCCCTTATGTGACAGGCTTATTTTATTTAACATAATGTCCTGCAGGTTCAGTCACGTTGTCACACATGGCAGATTTTTATTTATTAATGGTCAAATAATATTCCATTGAGTGCATATACCACATTTGTATTTATATATCCATCCATTGATAGATATTTAGGTTGTTTTTAAATCTTGGCTATTGTGAATACTGAGATGAACATAAAATAAAAATAAATTTTTGAGATTCTGACTTCAATTCTTTTTTTTGAGATGGAGTCTGGCTCTGTCACCCAGGCTGGAGTGCAGTGGCATAATCTTGGCTTACTGCAAGCTCTGCCTCCCAGGTTCAAGTGATTCTTCTGCCTCAGCCTCCCGAGTAGCTGGGATTACAGGTGCATGCCACCACGCCTGGCTAATTTTTGTATTTTTAGTAGAGATGGGGTTTCACCGTGTTGGTCAGGCTGGTCTTGAACTCCTGACCTTGTGATCTACCTGCCTCAGCCTCCCAAAGTGCTGGGATTACAGGCATGAGCCACCGCGCCCAGCCGGCTTCAATTCTTTTAATAAATACCCAGAAGTAGGATTGCTGGATCATATGATAATTCTATTTTTAATATATTTAGGAGCCACTATACTGTTTCTCATAGAGACTATGTTACTGAACCATGAGAGGTTTGGTCTAGGTCCTGCTGCTCCCGCACAGAAAGCCAATCAGAGACAATGATTATTGCCAAGGAAGGAGAATTTAATTAGGTGCACAGTGAAGGAGATGGGAGATCAGTCTCAAATCCAACTCCCTGACCAACTAAAATTAGGGGTTCGTATGACAAGGAAGAAATTAACTATGTATGGAAAAACAGGAACTCAGGAGGAGTAAGAAGGCAATCATAATGAATGAGGGGCCTGGTTCTCATTGTCTAGCTGGGATGTTTCAATTCTTTGATAACTTTTGAGAGGTCTGGTTTTTCATTGTCAGGATCTGCTAAGTTTCAGGCTTAAAACCAGAAGGGTCAATTTCTATGTTTATCAAAAACAAAACAAAACAAAGCTGTCTATGGGACTACTGGGTCGGTTTCAGTCCCCTCTTTGTATTGATTGATTCCTTAGATGACTAAGGGGAATCTGGTTGTTGATTTTTCTGGCTGCTTTATGCTGAGAAGGGGGTGTCCTTTGCAGCTGCATACCATGGATGACCACGTGACCACCCAGGAATCAAAGGTTAATCTAATACTGTAGTTTTCTTCTGAAAAACAATCTTTCTCTCTCTAGTCCTCCACTTCTACCAAAGACTAATCACAGCAGGACTAACTTACTTACCAAATAATCTTCAGTCTCATATACTTGGACTGATTACCCACACAAAGTGCAGCAAGAATCATTGTCCACAAAGGCTCTTCTAAATTGGCTTTGCTGGAACCTCTCACAAGGTCATTTCAGTCAAAACCATGGGAAAATAATCAGTTCTTTCAACTGTGTCCCATTATAAAAGGAAACAGATTCTTATTAAATGTATGCAAACAAACACATTGCCATAAATTAAGAATCACAAATAGTTTACAAATTCTGGGGAAATTAGGCAAAGAGAGATAAATATGCCTCAAATTCTGTATACTCTACTCAGTATACCTAAAGTGTATTTAAAAGCTATAAATAGCTCAAAAAAAGTTCTCCAGACCCTGAAAAGCAAAACAAAAATAATCACTGATATTTCAAATTTAAAAAGCCATAAAAATTATTTCAGTTCTCCATTAGTTCAGTCTATTCAACAAACTCCTGCTCTGCTTCATATTGGTTTAGTAGTCTTTGTGAACACATTAGTCTTTTAATTAGGGTCCTGGAAGTTTTCTCTCTAATCCAGTGGCACAATTTCCAAAGTTAGGAGAAACTTGCATCCAAGAGTCCTTTCCATGAGCTCCCCCAAAGAAGCAAGCTCTGGACTGTAATTGATTATAAGTCACTTTTGGGAAGAATCAACACAAAACAATTGTGGATGACAAAAGTCTTAAGGCAGCCATAAGTAAAGACACAGTTAACAAGGAAATTTTGTTATTTCTGTTGGCATACAACAATTTAAAATAATAATTGTAATCATTACTGACAATATAAATTAAGACACATCAGAATTTCAGGAATGTTACATAATCCTGGAACATATATTAATAACACATCTATATAAATATAACTCAAATGAAGCTAAATAGCACCTCACATTTGACAATGCTTCCTGTATAATTTTTACATACCAAATAGCCTAATATGTTTCACTCGGACTTCAGGGGACCCAATATCCAAAAACAGTTACTTTGAGGTCAAAAAGACTGAATTTAAAACTAATATTTTGCTGCTGGAAAATATGTCAAATATTAAAGTTTTAAGATACTTGATATCACAAAATAGAATCACAAGTTATTCTAAAATAGTCATTCATTTAGCCAAGATGATAATATGAAGACATTTACCCTTTGATAGTGAGTAGACTCAATTTCCCAAACAATAAGATCTAATAAAGATAGCATGAGGCCAAATAAATCTTTTTCTCCCCCATCCTCTTTTCTCCCCTGAATTTTACTCATAAGGTAAACAAAAATCTCTTATTATCCCTTACATAAAAATTTTTTTCAGAAAAGAAAACCAAATTGTACCTTTGTATAGTGTATTATTAATGTTAAAGCTAATTTTAATAAAATCTTATAAACAACTTATCTAATTTTAATCAGTTTGACCATAAGGTAAGATTTCCATAAACCTTTTATAAACTTTTACAACTTGCTATTAAAGAGTAGATCAGTGCTTCAAGAAAACCCTGTTATTCTGACATATGGGCTCCAACACTGGCTTTGCATCAGTGTGCTTTTGATATTAATATTTACTTTATAGAAAAGCTCTGATCTAATTTTACCCCTCAAAATTGACCCTTACAATTTTACATGCCCACCTCTTCTGTGATAGTCCCTGAGCCTAGATGGATTGAATGGTTGTAATTTCTGGCCCTGTGTCTCACAAGAGCAGTTCATTTTTATTGTCACTTTCTCACAGGTTTGAAGACAAGACTTTGACTTGTGTCAATGCTCAAGATTTATCTGAAGTAGGTGACTTTTTCTGACCCGGAAGTCAAAGCCTGTAACTTAACAGCACAAGAATTAGTTAATAGGATATTTATATTATAGAAAGTCCTATAATTCCCTCTAACATGTTACAAGTTAAAACATTGTAATTTGGAGTGCAGGAGTTACTGCCTGCAGCACTTCAAATCACTGTATGAAAGCAATTAGGTTACTCATTGCATATGTCTAATTGCTAGCATTCTAGTAACAGGACTGTGACAAAAAACATAAAAAATATGATAGGTCCTACGCCAAACTTAGCAAAGTAAGACAACTAATGTTTCTATCCATCATTAAAAAATGGCAAATGCAAATATCAGCTTTGGAAATTCAATAGGAAGACAAATAATCTTTCATTTAAATACCATACAACAAAATGGGGATGAAGTAAGAACAAGCACACGGTAATTTCTTTTCAGCTATTTTGAAAGAGCATCATCACACATTACCAAGATTAGTTTCCAGATACAGTACTGACAACTGATTAGGCAATTTCCACCATTAAAATCTTCAAACCAGTGCAACACTTGCATATATTTTGTTTTCAAGTACATACATGAAGCCACATCAGTGATAAATGTCTTGGGATAAAAAAATCACTAAAAGTCTCACATATGTTTATTACTACTTAATCCAAGTGAACATCACTACATTTCAATATTAGCAAAGACAACAAAATCAGTTTGAGAGAAATCCCAATGAACATAATTTCCTTACAGACAAGGCCAATCTTTGCAGAACACTAACACTGTGTACTTATATCACAGATTTTCTTCATTACTTAAAGGAAAAGATTCAAAAACAACTCAAATTATTGATTAAATTGAATTATCTTGGAAATAAACATGATTTAAACATTTTTATTCTCACCTAACAAATAACAAAATAATGTACTATTTTGGCTTAGAACTTGTAAACAAAAGTCTTTTATTTTTATTTTACATTTTGCTGGGAACCTTAAAGCTCATACCCTCTAGATCACCAGAAGTAAACAAAATCAATCAAATTTTAAGTGGCTGGTGTCGTCTATCAATTTTTTGCAGGCTGACAAAGGTAGCTTAGGCATTTTAGATACATAGAACCACTGAGAAGTTGCTGAAAATGCAAAGCGAACAAAATGGCTATTCATAAATAGAATCAAATAAAAGCCTTCCATTAGAACCTAAAAAAATCAATGGTTTCATATATATGTACATGTAAATAAAACTCAAATGATTTTACCTATGCAGACAATCAAGAATAATATTAAACAATGCAATGCAGACATTTATGTGAAATTTGGCTCCATGTTCAATCTGGCTTCATGCCTAACTATGTTTAAAAAGAATCTCCAAACTGCCAATGTATTTTATTACAGTATTTCTTAATTTACCTTCATCAAGACTAAGAGCTTTAGCTATAAGCAGGGTTAATTAGACACTTCTCCAATTTTCTATCAGGTTTTAAATAATATTTTACTATCTAAACTTTTTCAACTTTTATTTTCTCTGAAAGTGCACAGAGATACACATACAGAGAAACAGAAGAAAAACTACATATGACTTATACAAACTATCTATAACATTCTTGGACTTTTTGTTTTGTCCTAATTTTTTTTTCTTTACAACCTTCCATGCCAAAAATACATCTTCATATCCATAACTTTCTTCACCTCTCTCTCCTCTTTCCTACTGTTTTAATAAATAACCTTTTCAAGTCTGTAATGTGAATTAATCTTTAGATAACTTCTGAATTAGAAAAAATTATTCTTTTTCTCAATAAAACACATCTTTCTGGCACATTTCATATACAGAATTATGTCTTAACTAGAATTCTTATCTTTAGTAACCTTAAATTTTAGTGAAAACCTCGAAGGGAAGAGATCCTAAACTATCAGATGTTCTGGGGGCCTCTAAAACTGTGTATGCATCTTCTCTGGACTTGTTCATGTAAATTCTCCATTAGAGAGATTGTCCTGTTTCTTTTTTCAGAAGTTTGTAATGGCTCCCTCCCTCTGGTGTGCCTCTGCTGTACTGTGGCTTCTGGAGCTGAAGCAATCCCTAGGCTCTCTTATTTCATTATTAGTAGCCTCTAGGCATCTAGATTATGCCAGGTCTTGTCCACATTCCAATACAGGTGAAAATAAAACCAGTCCTCTGGGCAGTCACCTTAAAAGTCTAAACACTGGACAGATGTTCCAATTGTTTATTTCCCTCCCCTGCAATAAGCCAGGGGCTGAAAGACTTTCCAAGCATGCTACATTGAGCTGGACGTTGGCATGTGAACATGTACTTGAATAAGTCTCCACCTTTGTTCTCAGAGGCCCTCGGGCATCTAAATTTGCCAGGTACTATCAGTTCTCTGTGAGAAGCAGACAGATGTCAGTTTCTTGGGCAACCTCTTGAAAAGTTGGAATATTGGACTCATACTTTAACTCTTTTCCTCTCCAGGGAGAGGCTAAGTTTGGGGGGTTTCATGTGCTTTCTCTGTACTGAGCCAGGATAGGAGCTATGGCAAGGTTGTCCAACCCATGGCCCATGGGCCATATGTTGCCCAAGACAACTCTGAATGCAGCCCAACACAAATTTGTAAACTTTCTTAAAACATTACAAGAATCTTTTGTCACTTTTTTTTTTTTTAGCTCATCTGATATTGTTAGTGTTAGTGTATTTTATATGTGGCCCAAGACAGTTCTTCTTTCAGTGTGGCCCAAGGAAGCCAAAAGATTTCACACCTCTGGGCTATAATGAGTGCCTGTGTTTTAGTCCAACTGCTGTCTTTGTTCTCAGCAGTTCCCAATATGGGTCCTTTCCTGTCAGTGTTCAGATTCAGGAAAAACAGAAATCAGTCCCTCATGCAGCCGCCAAAGAAGACAATGTTGGATATACAATCTAGCTCTTTCATTTTCTCTCCGGGAAGAAGCTGAGACCTTGGGATTTCCTCTGGATTTCATTGTGCCAGTGGGATTACAGTAAGAAGGATCATCAAATTTTACTAAAACTTCGATCTAACTAGTTTCATTCTTTTCTGGAGTACTGGAGCCACTCAGCTGGTTTCTTAATTTCTCACCAAGGAAACTGGTTCACGTATTATTGTTGAATCAGTGTGTCCATGGGGAGAAAAGGGGGAGAGAGCCTCTTATTCTGCCATCTTGCTCCAAACTCTACAGATGACTACTTTAATCAGCCTGGTTTTTACCACTAGAGTTTTTGGGGTGAAACACTCTTTCATTTTTTACTCTCTGTCACTTTTAGTCCAACCAGATAGTTTTACTCTAGACATAAAAATTTGAAGAACTTTCTGTGCCTACCGTGTATATCACAGGAATTTGCTCCATTATACAAGATACTTAGTGAGAGATCTTACCTAAATAATCCCTTCGTGATTTTTGCTTTTATTGATGTTGCTGAGGAACATTGCCCTTAAGTTTTCTAGAGGTCCTATGGTTTAATTGAGAAGCTCTGTGAGTCATACCCTTAATCTTAAAAAAAAAAAAAAGGCTTTTGTGTGGCTAAATACTCTTATCTTTTGATCTTTATGAGGTTTCAGGAGAGAGTTTTAATGTCACATCCCAGCATTTTCTATAGATCACACTTTCCTGATTGTAAATTTCTTCTATCTTACCATAGTTGCAATGTGGATTGGCTGAGAATTTCCAAAAATCATCAGTCCTTTTCCTTTTAGTATAATAATTCTTCTCTCAATTTATCTCTCTCTTCTCAAATTTTACTATCCCCGCCAAGCATAAATCAGGTCACACCTTCAAAACTTAGCTTGGAAAACCCCTTAACTAAGTATCATACCATAGTTCATTGAATCAATCCCTATTAATGTGTATTTGCACTGTGCTATATTCTCTTTCTTTTACAAATAGTACTACATTTTGTTTCCTGTACACATGCCTGTTTGTATATTTTTGCCAGTATATGTTTGGGATAGGAAAGAATTTCCAGATACAAGGGAAAATGTGTATGTGATATTGTCAGGTTGCCTAACTTCTTTCCTTACTTGTTGCACTATCTTGTGCTAAATGAGAATGCCTATTCCCCAAGTCTTACTAACATAATCATTTCAAACTTTTAAAACTTTTTCCATTACGATAGATGAGAAATGACATTTAGTGCACATTCATTCTGCATTTTTTGCTAGTGCACATTAGTCTGTTTGCATTGCTATAAAGGAATGGCAACCGGGTAATTTATAAAGAAAAGAGGTTTATTTTGGCTCATGTTCCTACATGCTATATAAGCATGGCACTAACATCTGCACAGCTTCTGTTAGGGGCCTCAGGAAGTTTACAATCATGGCAGAAGAGGACAAGGAAGCAGGTGTATCACACGATGAGAGAGCAAGGGGAAGGATGTCATACTCTTTTAAACAAGCCAATCTCACATGAACTTATACAGTGGGAGCTCACTCATTACCATGAGGACATCGCCAAGCCACTCATGAGGGATCTTCTCCCATGACCCACACACCTCCCACTGGGCTCACTATCAATTTTGGAGGTCACAACACAACATGAGATTTGGAGGGGACAGAACATCCGAACCATATCATATTGTGATTAAGAATGAGCACCTTTTCCTCTTGTTCACTTCATTTGTGAAGACTATTTCCTCTGTGTATAGAATACTTAACTTTTAATATTTTGAAGATATTATTTCACTGCCATCTGGCTTTAATTTTTTTCTGTTGAGGAATCTGGCTTCAATCCTATTTTAAATTCTTTGTAGGTAACCCATCTTTTTTCCGGGTGCTTTAATGATTTCTCTTTGTTTGTTTTGTTTAGTTTTAGAGCATATTTATCTTATTATGTGGAAGTGCACTTTCTTCATTTGACTTCTTCCTAATAAATATAATGGGTAAATATAATTTCAACTTTTTATTTTACATTCAGGGGGTGCATGTGCAAGTTTATTACATGGGTACATTGTGTGATGCTGAGGTGTGGGATACAAATAATTCTGTCCCCAGGTAGTGACCATAGTACCCAATAGTTATTCAATGCAGAGCCCCCAAGTTCCCTTCCCTCTCTAGCAGTCCCCAATGTCTATTGTTGCCATCTTTACATCCATGAACACTCGATGTTTAGTTCTCACTTATAAGTAAGAATATGCAGCATTTGGTTTTCTGTTCCTGCGTTAATTCTGTGTTCATCCTGTGCTTAGGATAATGGCTTTCAGCTACATCCATGTTGCCTCAAAGAATATAATTCCATTCTTTTTTTATGGCTATGTATTATTCCATGGTGTATATGTACCACATTTTCTTTTTCCACCATTGGTTCACACCTAGGTTGACTCCTTGTCTTTGCCATTATGAATAGTGCTGCAATGAACATACAAGTGCATGTGTCTTTTGGGTAGAACGATGTATTTACTTTTGGATATATACCCAGTAATGGGGTTGCTGGGTCAAATAAGAGTTCTGTTTAAAATTCTTTGAGAAATCTAAAAACTACTTTCCACAGTGACTGAACTAATTTATATTGTCACAAACAGCGTATAAGGATTCCTTTTTCTCCTTGCCAGCCTTGTCAGCCTTGCCAGCATCTATTGTTTTTCAAGTTGTTTATGATAGCCATTCTGACTGGTGGTGAGATTCTCATTGAGTTTTTGATTTGCATATCTCTGATGATTACTGATGTTGAGCATTTTTTCATGTACTTGTGACTGCTTGTATGTCTTCTTTGGAGAAGTGACTGTTCATGTCTTTTGCCCACTTTTTAATGGGGTTATTAGTTTTTGCTTGTTTAATCATTTAAGTTCCTTATAAATCATTTTTTAGATGCACGGCTTGTAAATAGTCTCTCCCATTATGTAGGCTGTCCATTTATTCTGTTAATAGTTTCTTTTACTATGCAGAAGTTCTTTAGTTTAGTTAGGTCCCATTTGTCCATTTTTGTTTTTGTTGCAATTGCTTTTGAGGACTTGGTCATAAATTCATTCCCAAAGACAATGTTAAGAATGCTGTTTCCTAGGTTTTCTTCTAGGATTCTTAAAGTTTGAAATCTTACATTTAAATCTTTAATCCATCTTGAGTTCATTTTTGGATATGGTGAAAGGTAGGAGGAGTCAAGTTGCATTCTTCCGCATCTGGTTAGCAAGCTATTCCAGCACCATTTATTGAAAAGGGAGTCATCTCCCTATTGATTATTTTCATCAACTTTGTCAAAGATCAGATGGCTGTAAGTGTGCAGGTTTACATCTGGGTTCTCTATTCTGTCCCACTGGTCTATGTGTCTGTTTTTTGTACAAGTACCATGTTGCTTTGGTTATGGTAGCCTTACAGTACAGTTTGAAGTTGGGTAATGTGGTGCCTCCAGCTGCATTCCTTTTGCTTAGGATTGTTTTGGCTTTCAGTTTTTTTTGTTGGGGGGTAGTGACCCCGTTTTTGTTTTCCTTTTGTATGACAGATCTTTCTTCAACCCTTTACTTTGAGTCTATGGGTGTCATTATGCATTTGCTTCTTAATCTGAGGCTTTATATTATCATCAGTTTTTAAATTTTTCAGTTATTATATCTTTAAATTTTAATACTTTTTTTCCTCCTTGGAATCCAATAATGTATACATAGACTATTTTTATTAATCTCGTCTCATATGCTCTGTTCTGTATTTTCTAGTCCTCTATATTTTTTTGCTATATTTGGGAAATTGTCTTCTGATCTATTATCCAGTTCAATAGTATTTCTTCATCTATATCAAATCTGTTATTAAATCCATCTTTGAGTTCTTGATTTCAGTTTCTCAATTTTCCAGTTATAGAGTTTCTCAGGTTATTATAAGAGTTTCCATTTCTGTGTAAATCATTTGTTTTAGTTCCTGGAATATTTTAGGTATAGACTTTATTTCCCCTATATATAGACCACAACTATCTGTCTTCCCCATAGATATTTCTATTTTATGTTTCCTCGGGCTTTTATCACTATATTAGTATAACAGTACTGTGATGAGCAAGTACCAGTCAGGTGACTAACATAACAGAAATATATTTTCTCACAATTTTGGCTTGTAGATGGCCATCTTCATCTGATGTTTTCACATCATTTTCCCTCTGTGTCTGTTTTAATATCCTCCTCTTATAACAACATCAGATAATATTAGATTATAGCTCATCCATTGTCCCAATTTTATCTAAGTCACCACTTTACAGGCCCTATCTTCAAACAGAATCATTTTCTGAGGTACTGGAAGTTAAAACTTCAACATATGAATTTGGGGGCAGAGGTGGCACAATTCAGACAATAGCAATCAATTTGCCTTATTTCTTCATACATTTGGATATACTTGATTAGGCCACCAGTATTGCTTATTTTAAAATGAATTGTAGAACTTCCAGCCTCAGTAGCATGGACGTATAGTCCCAGCTAGTTTGCAGGCTGAGGTGGGATGATGGCTTGAGCCAAGAAGTTCAAGTTCAGCCTTGGTAACATAGCAAAACCCCATCTCTAAAATATTAAAAATTTAAAAATAATTGGAAAATAAATAAATTGTAGAACTTATTTGAGACTTGAGGCAATATGATATTATCTGGATTACCTTAATCAAATAAGTGCTGGAGTTGATTTAAAGCTGTGATTCAGACCCAGTGAGAGCTAGTCTATTTCAGTTTCATCTTTACTCCTAAATTGCAGATCTTTCAGCTTTCAAATTAAACTTGGTATTTTACCATGCTTTATTTGTTTAGTGTGGCCTAAATCACAACTTTACCCTGCTAGGCCCTTGAATTTGTTGAAATATTCTGCTTTGCTTTTCAGCCTCTTGGCCACATCTTCAGGAACATGCTCATTCTTTGTGTTGAGAGAAAAGGGAAAGTGACCTCAATGCTTGGGTTACTATACTAGGTTTTTTTAATCTCTTAAATATTGGCCCCACAATTCTCACTGGCTTGTTAGTTCTCTGTTGTTTAGATAAACAGACAGACAGACACGTAGATTGATGTCAATATATAGCTATACAGAAATTCTCGTTACAAATTACTGATTTTTCAGTGGCAATTTTGATCCAAATTACCTAGACTGTCATTACCAGGAAGAAAGCTCCACCCCACTGATACTTCTTAATGAGCTCAAATTAGCTATGACAGCAAGGATACTGGAGAAAGAACAAACTAAAAATGAGTTTTATTTTTTCATTACATATTTCAAGTGCTTTTAATTATTATTTGAGAGGTAAACAATTAGTGTTAGAGACATTTACTATATTACTTCCTTCTTTCTTTTTGAAAGCATCCCTGGAAACTTATGCTTTTAAGTATTTTCTTCAAAAATTGATTTAGACAAAATAAATATCTTCGAGCCAAATAATTTTAAGAAATGCATATATTTTAAATGTTTGCTAAATTAGAAAAATAAATGGCAATTATACACTATCTGCAAAATAAAGAAGACAGGTAATTTTCAATTCTGCATGCTGGAAGTCATTGTTTCTGAGTGCAAATTCTTTTGGTAGTTTAAAAATTAAGATTAAAAATAACGGTCATTATAAGCCATATGCAGTGGCTCATGCTGGTAATCACAGCACTTTGGGATGCTGAGGTTGGAGAATTGCTTGAGGCCCGGAGTTCAAGACCAGTCTGGGAAACAAAGTGAGAGCAAGTCTCTACTATATATATATATATATTTAGCCAGAAGTGATGGTGCCTCCCTATAGTCCTAGATAATCTGGAGGTTAAGGTGGAAGAATATCATGAGCTCAGGAGTTTGAGGCTGTGGTGAGCTATGATTACACCATGCACTCCAGCCTGGCCAACAGAAAGAAACGCTGACTTTAAAATTAATAATAATAATAACAGTAATATTCACTATAAATTATTTTAAATAATCTGTCACGACCTTAGATTTCTTGTACATAATTTTATTTTATACTTATTAGCTTTCAACATTGTGTGAGAAATCAATATTTTGTGTTTACTTGAATGTTTTATTAACTAAATGTGATAATATTATTTGAATAGTGATACTATTTATTTGCAATGTATCATTGAAAGAAGGCAAATATATTGTATTACAAACCTAGACTTTCTCAAAAGTGATAATTACCCAATTATGTTTTCACAATTTCCTGTTTACAACTCTTTCTAACATTATTAATTCAATATGGAAAGTAAACATGAGACTCACTTTATTTTGAAATGTAAAGAAGTAACTTGAAATTCACTATCAGTTCTTTATTTCTATGCTAACAAGAGGAAGGGTTACATTTCAGCAGAAAAGGCAATACACCGAGTCAGATAAGCAATAATTTTATCCTTTGGGCATTTGTTTATCAAATAGAGAAGCCCTGAATAAATATGGAATTACTCTATATTGTGGGGAAAGACAACATATTTTTAAAATATATTGCATTATGTCATCATCAAAATTAATTATTTTAAGCATTTGCAAATTCAAAGCTGGATTTTAAATTAACAGATATGTCCCAAGAAAAAGAAAATTATTCTGAAACACCTCTAGTCATCCTAAAATAAGACTTTCAACATAGATTATGATTTACCCCCAAATAAAATAATTACTTGAAAACTTGGGTTAAAGTTAGGATGTAATGGTATAATCTAAGAATACTATTAATAAAATTGCAGTTTCTTAGCAAAGTGATCCAATTCAAGCTATGAAGAGATAGCAAGTCTCAAAAGTCAGTGTGTGCCTTTCACAATCTTTGAACCTGGGACACTGTTTTTCTGCCTAATTCCAAACCTGTAGAGTGAAAGCATGTATTTTACTCTCTCATTATATATTTTTCTTCAATTAACTAAATCCAGGTTTTGTTCATTTCTAATTAAAGCATTTTTCAACAAAATTTTTGGAAAAATAGTATGCTTGTTAGGAAGGTAAAGCATGGTGTGACTAGAGAGTGGTTTGTCTTTAGATTAGACTTAATAATAAAATGACAGGATGAGTGTTATCTGCTTTAAAAGACTCTTGAAAAATAGAATAATATAATATGTTCCTGTGTTGGTGTGGTGAGTGTTAACTGAGGAAGGAACGGGAATGGGGGAGGAATTTGAAAGTGCTGACAATATTCTGTTTGTTTTGTCTGTGTGCTGGTTACATCAGTGTGTTCAGTTTGAGAAAATTCATTTTACTGTACACTAATGATATATGCACTTATGATATATGCACTTTTCTGTGTATATTACAATTCCATGAAGATTTTAAAAATTAAGTGGGATAGGACACATTAAAATGTATAGCAAATGTTAATATTTATTGAAATTGAATGGCAGGATATATGGGGTCTTATGCTCTGCTTTTAGAATTTTGAAATATTTTGAGATTTTAAAAATAAAAGGATTTTTAAAATAAAGTAAGATGATGCAAGATGGATAGCTGGGTTGGCAACAATTACTGACTTCCTGGAATGAAGCTTTACATGAGAAACTAGCACTATTATATTTATGTAAAACAATGGCTTGGAACAAACATTGTGGTGATACGTTTAATTGAATAGAATAAATTTCTAAGAAATTACCTCTTGGACATATATGCATTGATTGACACCTCCAGTAATGATTTGGTATCATATATACAAAGCTTGGAGGTGAATCTCAGAATCACATCTAAGAAAGGGAAATGCTCTCTAAGAAAGAAGGGCACTTCTTAGGTGATGTTTCTCCACAAGTAGTGCCTGATCCCAGAAAGCACGGTTAGGGAAATGAGATCAAAAAGGGGGTAAAGTCAATAAACCATGTGCTAATAAATGGGCATTGCTGTGAGCAACTGGAGACTCAGATTTGCTGATTTCATACTGAGAGAATTTCTCACCAATGAGTGAGAAAGCTGAGGTTTTATCTAGCAATCAATATTCCTTATAGTTGCTCCTATGGGCATTAATTTTCCAACACCTCTGGCCTGCTCCTTAAGCAGACTTCATGTGCTTCTACAACTACAGAAAGCCCTCAGGTTGAGGTGTCTGAGGTAGGAAGCCATTGGCTTGTATGACATTCTTTACTGAAACTGCAGGTGACCTCCAGGGTGGACCAAAAGAGTAAGGTCAGGGCATTATAAAAATGCTACACATTCCTGAATGTATTTAACCAATGTTTCAAATGTATTAATATTACTACTCATCTAATAACTTTTAATTCATACTTTGTGGTTTTGCTTCCTTTTATTTCATATAAAGTTGATAATAAAAATAATAGTAAGATGCACAATGTATTTGGTTCAGATGTTTTGTATGGGTTCAGGGTTCTAAGAATTTTCTCTGAGATTCTGAAGCAAGAGTTCTTCCACTTTCAAAACAGGTGACCTGTGCTAAATCCATTTCAGTTTAATTTCTGTTGCTGTAGAATGAGATTTATTTATAATACAATCTTATAATTATACTTTGTGATTCTATCATTCTTTTCATCAGTATTTTGTAAGCAATAAGGGAAATTTAACAAAATTCAAAATAACCTGAAGAATACAAGCAAGGCAAAATTTATTAAGGCTACCAGGTAACAATATGCAGAATAGCTGGATTGTTTACAACAATGAAAGTAAAGATGATGACTTAAACTAAAAGTTTAGAAAATTTAATGTAATAATTCCCATTTTAATGATATGTGGCTATGAGACCCCTAATGCAGCCTTCTCCAGACAGGAAAAAAAAGAAAGCACAGAAAAAGACAAAAACTAATAAGGAAAAGAGAACCTTAGCCTTAGGCTATAACTGGGGCACAATTGACATACTTAAAATACACAGAAGTAGTTGGAGGGAGAACACAAGAAAGAGGGAAGAAAGGGAGGAAGGGAGGGAAGGAAGAAGGGAAAGGTGGAGAAAAAAGGCAAAGAAAAGGAAAGAGAGAAAGAAGGAAGGAAGGAAAGAAGGAAGGAAGGAAGGAAGAAAGAAAGAAAGGAGGGAAGGAGGGAAGGAGGGAGGGAGAGAGGCATGCAGCAAGGGAGGGAAGAAGGAAGGAAGGAGAAAGGAAGAAAAAAAGAAAGAGAAGAGAGGGAGGGAGAGAGGGAAGGAGGAAAGAAAGGAAGGAGGGAAGGAAGGAAGGAAAGAAAGAGAGGGAGAGGAAGAAAGAAAGAAAAGAGAAAGAAAGAAAAAAGAAAGAAAGAGAAAGAAAGAAAGAGAAAGGGAGATAGGAGGAAAGAACCTATCTAATTCTGGCAATAGCCTCCACTAAAGTCAAGAGATTGACTGCAAAAAAAAAACATGAAAGATGTTTTTTTGCATTCCCTAATTCAGAAGCTGTACTAACTAAATATTAGGCAAGCATGCCTCTTTACCTTTCAGGTGCAGTTTGCAAAGGAAGTCACACCATGCACACTTTCTGGAAAGTATAGTTAACTACAAAGTGAGCACTGAAGAGGTGACAGACATTTTAAAAACCCTGTTGCAGCATGCTGGAAATTATGGAATTTATCTACTATATTGGTTTAGAACCAGAAAATCAGATTCTGCATGTAGTAGAAAAAAAGCCTGAAAATAATAGAGAATTGCGTGGCTTGCTCCTTGCTAAGGCTAAAGCAACTTACCCTCAGCGATCACTCTCAGAAGGGAATTTTACCATTGCAAAAATAATAAGAAAACAGGACCTAAGACAATTCATTTGTTCTGCTAACAAAAATTAAATCCTCATAGATCTAAACTCTGTTTTAAAAGAAAAGTAATTAGCATCAGGCTAATACAAAATTCTGCAGCAAAAGAGTAAGGGAGTGACACTGAACAGAGCGCATCTCTGACAATAATTTACTTCAGGATCTAGAAGAAAATTATAGTTACTTATTTAACAAGGCTTAGGAGCTCCTGAGTGTCAGGGGAGGATATGAGACAAAAACAGGATGAAGAAAAGAAAGCAATAAGTAAGTTATCAAAAACCTTCAATGAAAATTATAAATCAGTGATAAAATCTCCATTTGACTCTTGAGCGGTTATTCACTGTTGTGGAAAATCACAGCGGTATATAGACCAGAATCATTAGAAGATTTTTTTTTAAGTATTTGCTTTATACTAAAGCCTCTTTCATATATATATGTGTGTGCCTCTGTGCGTATTCATTTGTGTATATAATATATAATATGTATATATAATATACATGTGTAATATATATACATATAATATATGGGGAATATATGTATATATAATACATGAAGATATATATAATGTATAATATATGTCTTCATATATATGAGGCGATATATATATGTATGTGCTCATTTGTATATATAATATACATACACATGCACATGCACACACATGTATATATATGAAAGAGGCTTTAGCATAAAGCAAATAGTAGTTGCTCCCAAAAGTGTATGACTAGAATAAACAAGGAAGACATAATTAAGAGACAACATTTCAGAGATGACAAAGGGCTTATTATATTTAAAGTATAATTTCTTAGAAAGTATATATATATATGTATATATATCCTGATGAAATATGTGAATCACAAACACGAAATAAAAACACTGAAAGAATCTGGGGAGAAAAAGCAGATACCTATAGTGGATGAAAAATCGACCTGGCCTCAGATCTCTTCTCTACAATAATGAATGACAAAATAAATTGGTGCAGAAGGCATCAAATTACATCAAGATACAATGCACATAAATAATCTAATTAGGGTTTTTTATATTTATATTTACAAATAAAATTTTTAATCTTACACTTCAGATTACTCACTATTTTTAGAGTATAGAAAATATTTACCTAGAAGAACCCTAAAAGGCCACAATACAAATTTCAATGAACTTAAAAAAGCAGAAATAATATAGTCTTCATTTTTGTCAGTATGCTATATTTAACGGGGCAGTTATCTAATCAAAAGGTAATTTTTAAAAATTCTTCCTGGCACCCCTAGGTGACCCAGAATTCAAAGCAAAAACTGTACAGTCTACGTGGGAACTAAAAAAAGACAACAGAATCTGTGCAAAATAGAATGAAACAGCAAATTCTACACTCAAAATCAGAAGTGCCGCAATAAACATACGTGTGCATGTGTCTTTATAGCAGCATGATTTATAGTTCTTTGGGTATATACCCAGTAGTGGGATGGCTGGGTCAAATGGTATTTCTAGTTCTAGATCCCTGAGGAATCGCCACACTGACTTCCACAATGGTTGAACTAATTTACAGTCCCACCAACAGTGTAAAAATGTTCCTATTTCTCCACATCCTTTCCAGCACCTGTTGTTTCCTGACTTTTTAATGATCGCCATTCTAACTGGTGTGAGATGGTATCTCATTGTGGTTTTGATTTGCATTTCTCTGATGGCCAGTGATGATGAGCATTTTTTCATGTGTCTTTTGGCTGCATAAATGTCTTCTTTTGACAAGTGTCTATTCATATCATTTGCCCAGTTTTTGATGGGGTTGTTTGATTTTTTGATTATTTAATTATAAAATTATAAACTAAGGTATAATTTCTATTTGATTATTCTCTCTTTTCTTCTTTATTAGTCTTGCTAGCAGGGCCACAGAGCACTATCACACACCCTTGGGACAGGTTCTTTCTTCTACCACCACTGCCACTGCTGCCACCGGGGCCAAAGTGTGTTCTCACCCGTGCCTGAAAGCCACACACATGTATGCCTGGAGTTGCTCCCACTAACAGCAACCTCCCCCACCACCAAGCAGTACGGCTGCTGTGCACAAACATGCACTCTGCGAATAGGCTCCTTGTACACTGCTGCAGCTGTCACCAGTGGCCCAAACACACTCTCCCCAGAGACTGAAAGCCTCCCAACTACCTGGGAATTCTCCCATTGGTAGAATTCCTCCAACCCCCACCAGCAGCAGGGCCATTGTACACTTGCATGTGACCTGAGTCCATATGCTCTCTCTATAGGTTGCACTGCTCTACCCATCATGGTCTCTGCCCCTCTGCATCACTGTGGGACCTGATGACAGGCGTGCCCCATCTCGCTGTTACCCACTGCTGCCACTGCTGGCCCTTGAACAAACCATCTAGAGACCAAAGAATAGACCCACCTTGACCCACCAACAATGCTAAAAATTGACAGGGATAACTCCTCACATATCAATAATAACCTTGAAGGTTAACAGATTAAATTTTCCACTTAAGATACATAGATTGGTTGAATAAACAACAAAACAAGAAAAATGAATCAACTATCTGCTGCCTACAGAAACTCATTTCACTTGCAAAGACACATAGAGTCTAAAAGCAAAGAGATGAAAAAAAGATATTCCATGCAAATGGAAACCAAAGCAAGCAAAGGTAGTTATATTTATATCCAATAAAAGACTTCGAGTGAAAAATAGTAAAAGGACATAAAGAAGGACATTATGACAAAGAGAGAAATTCATCTAGAAGATATGACAATTCTAAACATATAGGCACCCAACACAGGAGCACCCAGATATATATAGCAAATGTTATTATATATAAAGGTTGAGATAGACTCCAATATAATAATAGTGGAGACTTCGACACCACACTCTCAGGAGTCTAGAAAATCAACATAGAAACACTGGATTTAAACTGGACTTTAGACCAAATAATCCTAACAGACATTTACCAAACATTTTATCCAACAGCTGCAGAATGTACATTCTTCTCATCAGCACACAGAACATTCTCTGGGATATACTACTACATGTAAGGCCACAAAAGAAATCTCAACAAATTTTTAAAAATCAAAATCATATCAAGTATCTTCTCAGACCATGAAGGAATAAAACTAGAAATTAATAACAAGAGGAACTTTGAAAACTGTAAAAACACATGGAAATTAAACAACATGCTTCTGAACAAACATTGGTTCAATGAAGAAGTGAAGAAAGAAATTTTAAAATTTTGGAAGAAAATGAAAATGGAAGCACAACATACCAAAACCTATGGGATACAGTAAAAACATTGATAAGAGAAAACTTTATAGCAATAAACACCTACATCAAAATATTAGAAAGATTTCAAAGAAACAACATAACAAGTCACCTCAGGAAACTAGAAAAGGAAAAAAACACAAAACAGAATTAATAGAAGGAAAGAAATAATAAAGATCAGAGCAGAACTAAACAAAATAGACCAATAACATCAAAAGATTAATAAATGAAAAGTTGGTTTTTTGAAAAGATAATTAAAATAAACCACTAGCTACACTAACCAAGGGAAAAAAGAGAAACTCAAGTAAATAAAATCAAAAACAAAAACTTAGACATTATAATTGATACTACAGATATGTGAAAGATCATCAGAGATTATTATGAACAACTATACACTCAAGACTCTCTCTCGAAAACCTAGAGGAAATAAGCAAATTCCTGTATGAATATAACCTACAAGATTGAATCAGAAAGAAATAGAAAATCTGAATGGACCCATAATGAGTAAAGAGATTGAATCAGTATTAAGAACTTTCTCAGCAAAGAAAAGCCCAGGACCCAAAACCTTCACCAACAAATTCTACCAAACTTAAAAAGATGAACTAACTCGAACTGTCCTCAAAGTATTCCAAAAAATTAAAGAGGAGGAAATTCTCTTTAACTCATTCTAGGAGGCCAGCATTACCCTGCTAACAAAGCCAGATAAGGATACAACAAACTAAGAAAAGTATTGATCAATATCCCTGATGAATATAAATACAAATATCCTCAACGGAATACTGGCAAAATGAATCCACAGTACATCGAAAAGATAATACTCCATGTTCGAGTGAGATTTATCACAAGAATGCAAAGGTGGCTCAACATATGCAAATCAATAAACATGATACATCACATCAAGAGAATCAACGATAAAAACCATATGATCATCTCAGTAGACAGAGAAAAATCATTTGAAAAAATTCAACATTGCTTTATCATAAAAACCCTCAATAAACTAGGCATAGAAAGAACATCCCTCAATATCACAAAGGCCTTATATGATAAACCCAGAGTTCACATCATACTGAATGGGGAAAAGCTGAAAGCCATTTTTTTTAAGAACTAGAACAAGACAAAAATGCCTACTTTCACCACTCCTATTCAACATAGTATTAGAAGTCTCAGCCAGAGCAATCAGACAAGAGAAAAATAAAAGGACTCTAAGTTAGAGGAAGTCAAATTGTCCCTTTTTGCAGAAAACATGATGTTATAGTTAGAAAAGCCTAGACTCCACCAAAAATCTCTTAGAATAGATAAACATATTCAGGAAAGTTAGAGGATACAAAATCAGTATGCAAAAATCAGTGGTCTTTCTATACACTAATAATGAACTAACTGAAAAGGAACTCAAGGCAATTCTGTTTACAATAGCTACGATAAAATAAAATACTCAGAATAAATTTAACCAAGGAGGCTAAAGACATCTACAAAGAAAACTACAAAACACTGATAAAAGAAATTGAAGAGTGCAAGAACAGCAAAACATCTCAGGCTAATGGATAAGAAGAATTAATATTGTTTAAATGACCATACTACCAAGAGCAATCTACAGATTCAATACAATTCCTATCAAAATACCAATGCTATTTTTCAAAGAAATAGACAAAAATTCTGAAATTCATGTAGAACCACAAAAGACTCAGAATAGCCAAAGCAATCCTGAGCACAAAGATCAAAGCTAGAGGCAACACATTACTTTGAAATATATTACAAGGCTGTAGTAACCAAAGTAGCACTGTATTAGAATAAAAACAGACACACAGACCAATGAAACAGCAATGAAACAGATAACTCAAAAATACATCCATGTATTTACAGCCAACTGATTTTTGACAAAGGTGCGAAGAATATACATCAGGGAAAGGATAACCTCTTAAATAAATGTTGCTGGGAAAATTAGATATCCATATGCGGGAGAATGAAACTAGATCCCTATCTCTTACCATATACAGAAATTAACTCAAAATAGATAAAAGACTTGAACATAAGTTGGAAATTTACTTAAGTGTAAATTTATAAAACTACAAAACTACTAGCAAAAAACATAGAGGAAATACTCCAGGATATCGATGAAGGCAAAGATTTGATGGTTATGACATCAAAAGCACAGGTGACAAAAACAAAAATAGAGAAATGGGATTATATTAATCTAAAAAGCTTCTGCACAACAAAGAAAACAATCAATACAGTGAAGAGACAACCTGATGAATGGGAAAAATATTCACAAACTATTCATCCAACAAGGCACTAATATCCAAAATATACAAAGAACTCAAACAACTCAACAGCAAAATAAACCCAAATAATTTCGTTAAAAAGTAGGTAAAAGATCTGAACAGACATTTCTCAAAAGAAGACATTCTAATAGCCAACAGGTACATCATCAAATGCTCAACATCACTAATCATTAGGAAACTGCAATTCAAAACCACAATTAAATATCATCTTGTCCCAATTAGAATGACTATTAACGAAAAGACTAAAAATAACAGATACTGGTGAGGATGCAGAGAAAAGAGAACTCTTATGCACTGTTCGTGGGAATGTAAATTAGTAAAGCCATTATGGAAAATGATGTGGAGATTTCTCAAAAAATCTAAAAATAGTACTACCATATATTCTTACAATCCTACTACCAGGTATTTATCCAAATACTATTGGGTATTTATCCAATCAATACTACTGATTAAGGAAATCAGTATATCAAGGGAATAACTTAATTCCTATTTTTAATGCAACACTATTCACAATAGCAAAGATATGGAATCAACCTAAGTGTTCATCAGTGTATGAATGGATTTTAAAAACTGGCATATTTACACAATAGAATACTATTCAGCAGTAAAAAAGATTGAAATCCTGTCATGTACAACAGCATGGATGAAACTGGAGGACAATATATTAAGTGAAATAAACCAGGCACAGAAAGACAGACATTAAATGTTCTTATTAATATACAGAAATTAAAAGAATTGATTTCATGGAGGTAGAGAGTAGAATAATAGTTACCAGAGGTGGAGAAAGATGTGTGTCAGCAGCAGGTAGGGGGCGGGACGGTAGAGGTTGATTAATGCATACAACATACTGTTAGATAAAAAGAATAGCATCTATTGTACAATAGCAGAGTAGAGTGACTACAGTTAACAACAATGTATTCTGTATTTCAAAATAGCTAGAAAAGAGGGCTTCAAATGTCCCCAACACATAGAAATGATAAATTCATGAGGTGATGTATTCCTAAATATCCTGACTCGATAATTGCACATCCTATGTATGTACGTATCCCATAAACATGTACAAATATTATGTATCAATAAAATAATCTTTATTTCTTGTCTGCTTTTTTATTATTTGTTTCCTCTCATTAGAATGTAATCTTTTGAAAGAAACCAAATGCTAACGAGGGAGGTTAGTTAAATGGTTACATTGCGTTTACACATTGGAACGCTATTCAGTCATTAAAAATGTTGCTGGAAATGATCACTTATTGCAATGGAAAGATGTCATTCTGTATAAAAATGAAAAAATGAATATAAAATATGTAAGAAAAAAAGAATGTCATTCAACATATATCTTTAAAGCTGGGTGTGGTGTTGCATGCCTGTAGTCCCTGCTACTAGGGAGGCTGAGGTGGGGGATCACTTAAATCCAGGAGTTTGAGGCCAGCCTGGGAACATAGTGAGACTTTGTCTCTGATATATACATATATATTAGAGACATACATATGTTTATATATCTCTTTCTATATATATATCTCTCTATATATATCTATATATATAGATCTATAGATATATAAATATATATACATATATGTTAATATCTCTCTATATATCTTTATATATATTTATATATAGATATAGATACATATGTATATACATATATACATATATCTCTATATAGAGAGATATACAGATATATATACATATAGATATTATATACCTTTATAGATCTAGATCTATATTACATATATATATATGTCTATACATGTAGGCATACACACACACATACACAGATATATAAATATCCCTCCTCTAAGGCCTAAAATATTTATTACCTCAGGGCAGAGTGAGGATAAATGTTAAATGTTCTCTTCAGGCTTTTTAGATAGAGGAGTTGCTTTTTTTAAATTTATTTTTGTTTTTTTGGATGTGCACCTCAGCATGCCCAAAACCAGGATTTTTTTTTTTTTTTTTTTTTTTTTTTGAGACGGAATCTTGCCCTGGCACCCAGGCTGGAGTGCTGTGGTGCAATCACGGCTCACTTCAACCTTCACCTCCTGGGTTCAAGCAATTCTCCTGCCTCAGCCTCCTGAGTAGCTGGGATTACAGGCACCGGCCACCAAACCTGCTAATTATTTTATTTTTAATAGAGATGGGGTTTCACCATGCTGAGCAGGCTGATCTTGAACTCCTGACCACAGGTGATCTGCCTGCCTCGGCCTCCCAAAGAGATGGGATTATAAACGTGAGCCACCATGCCAGGCCCCAAACCAGGATTTTCACTTAGCATAATCTATGACATACTAAATAGTTATAGAACATTTTTAATATGTTCCAACCACACTTTTTAAAGATAATGCGGAATCAAATGGAATGAATAGAAAGAAACATATCAAAATACTTTACACGTGGTAAGGGTAATTGCTTTGTGAGGGAAAAAATATGTTCTGGATTGTGTGTGCCTGTGTGTGTGTGTGTACTGGTTCACAATATTATTTGGGGTTGAGGTTAAAAAAAATGGCAAGAAAAGACAGTTTGAAAGCTTCTACTCTACATAAATTTTATTTAAGGGAGACAGGAAGAAGAGGGAAATTCCCCTCTTCTGGTCAAAGGAAAGTAAGAAAAAAGAGGAGAGGGCTTGTGAGATTTCCTCAGACCTTTTCTAAGTAAAGTGGTCTTCATCAGATAGATGCAGGGGAATGCTGAGGACAGGGGCACTGCTGCCTTGATTCTTCTCTAGGACATCTCGGGGTACTACACCCCTATCTGGAGAGCAGCCTCATTGAAGTTAACTTGGGCATAGGAGTCCTTCAAGTCTAGTTTTCCTGGTTCTTTCTGGTTCCCTGATAGAGGGAATAATATGTCATCTATGTTTCAAAAAGCGTTATTCCACTGAGCTCTCAAGATATTTTTCTGAAGTACGTTTTACAGATGCAGAAACTCAAGTGCTATCGATTTGTCTAAGCTAGGCAAGTGTGATTCCATAATGATTTAAAAGAAAATTTCCTAAAGACAAGGAACTGGGATAAAGACCCTAGTTATTTGGTCTTAGCCAAATAACTTCTGTGTAGACTCTCACTTAAGGTACAAAATGAGCTCTTGTATTCATTTCCTAGGAATGCTGTTAACAAGCACCTCAAACTGGGTGGCTTATAACAGAATATTTTTTTTTATCTTACAGTTCTGGAGGCCAGAAGTATGCAGTCAAGATACACAGCAGGACCATGCTGTCTCTGGAGGATCTGGGAGACTGTGTTCTATGCCTTTCTCTTAGCCTCTGGTGTTGCTGGCAAGCCTTGACATTCCTGAACTTGTCAATACATCACTCTAATCTCTGACTCCATTGTCACAAGATGTCCTCCCCTGTGTGTGTGTCTTTTGCTGTGCCTTACTAGAGCATGTTGATCCCCATCTGTTTCCTTGCTCTGCTAAGCAATAAAACTTGAAAATGAAAATTAAAAAAGACATCAGTCCTATCGGATTAAGGGCCCATGCTACTCCAATATGACCTCATCTTAACTAATTTCATCTGTTGCGACCATTTTCCAAATCAGCTCACATTCTGAGATTCTGAGAAGGATGTGAATTTTGGGGGGAAACTACACCCTCTAGTACAGCTCCCTTTGCCACATTTCTTCTTTCCGTATCTATCTTGTCATGTTCTTGCCTGTTGGCCTACATCAGGTGACTCAGCTGCATAGGTTTATTTGGCTGGTCTTATTTTCTTTACTCTTCCAGTTTGATGAGATACACTGGGATACTGGCCTCTCCAAACTCCTAATAATCAATTTCCTTGCTACAGGTTTTTTTCCCCCTTCTTCAAGGTACTTCTTTTCATTGATTCCTCTGAAATCCTCCTACTCCAGCCCTGCATTCCTGTGGATCTCCTCCTGACCTTACAAAAAGATGTTTTGCCTTCCTAGGCCACCCCAAATAGACAGGTCCTGGTCCTACCACCTTACTAACTTATTTATAGAGGGTTGGGCAATGCAGCCATAAATTGAAAATATCTTATATTCAATTTATTTCTGATTCCCTGTAATTCCTGCTGCTCTATGGTTTCACATTTATTGAAGTCGAGCATCCCTTCAGGGAGAGGGCAAAAGCCAAGGGAAGAAAAAATGTGTCAGAGCAGATATTTGAGAGAAAAAGGTTTTTTAGGGGAACTCCCAGACTTAAGCTTTAAATTATTAAATTCTAGCTCAGAGGATTCAGACCATGGCAGTCTTTTGTAAACCAGAGAGTAGGGAGAATGCAAGGTTGAAATGAGGTCCATTTTTCCCTATACAAGGAAGGTAAAAACTGCCCTGGTGGGAGGCTTGGGGGACAGTGGAGGAACAGAGAGAGAGAGAAAGAGAGACAAAAGAGACAGCCAAGTTGGAAGATAGGTATATGCATGCTCCTTACACTTTAAACATTCTGTGGTATAGAAAGTCTTTTTGCAAACCTTGCCTTAACTCTGATGAAAATGCCTCACAGAGTATAAATTAGAAAATATACAAAGGAGTAGAAATGTCAACATGGTATATCCAGGTACAGAGAATGAAAAGTGGAGCCATTTGGTTTCCCAATGTGAGTGATATGCAAGAGTTCCAGAATTTCTTGATGGCCTCAGAGGAGAATGGGAAATGCTTCCATGGCTGGAGAGCTGGGAAAAGCCTGATGTTTGGAAGAGGAGGGAGCTAAGTCCTTTTTACTCAAAGCCAGTGGGCAAAGATGTGAGCTGTGGGTATAGCAGGGTAAGTGGCAGACACTCACAGATCAAGTGGAGGCCAGAAATATTGGACAAAAAAGGACATCCTTCCTCATTGTCAGGACAAGGGGAGAGGACAAGGAGAAGACTGTGTGAGAGTAACCCAGAAAAACTGGGTAATTACATAAAGAAGACTAAGTTGTAAACCCAGAAGATATTGTGTTTCTCTGACGTCCAAACATTAGCTGATATGAGTAGCTCATTAGCAGATTGAGTTTAATTATGGAGGATGTTAGAAGTTACATTTCTATAAATATCTGTTGTGATGGCAAATTTCAAGCCTATCATCTGGTTAAGACGCAAATATTCTTTTATTTCCTAGTACATGCACATCTGTAAATTGCTCCAAATACAGAATCTTGGAACACATTTTTCAACTCTCTTCTAGTCCTTTATATCTTATCTGCGGGTTAATCAGATCATCTCTTTGTCAGAAACAATAGATGTTTTAATATTTACATCACAAAATTTCTAATCTAACTTTGATGTTGATCTTTAATCTGGTCTATTGGCAATCTAAACGTGTGTGCATTGCTTCATACTGACATGCTTTTAAAAGATAGTAAACCAAGCATAGTGATAAACAGGAACTTCTTCACATTAATATTTAAGCTGTCGAGTTCTCCAAGGCTACATCCAGGGATGTGGCACTTTCAAAAATAATCTTGAAGCAGAATTGCACTCTCAAATTTTCAAGTTTCCAGAAGATATTAAGTGATGCCTAAGTACTGAACTGCCAAACCATTACAGCTAAACCATGGAAAGACTTCAGAATTCGATGTGACTGGACAGAAATGGGGCAGATGAAGTTTGAATGAAAGAAAGTAAAGTAACGCTTTTAGAGAAAAACATGTCATCGTACTTATAAAACTAAAGGTTCTAAGCTGTCAGTTCATCCCCAAATGGAAATTATCCAAGTTATTACCCCTATATATTAATACCCTTTAACTAAAAATATTATCAATAAAAATATTAAGAATAATATATTACTTGACCACTATGTGCTAGGTGATGAGTATATCTTACATGTATTATTTTATTTAAAATTCTAGTATTCTTTTGCTCTTTTCCTTTTACGGGATAAGGGGAATGTCAAGGTCATACTGACATCAACGATCCAGCCTAGGGCAGTCTGATGTCAAAGCTCAGACGTTTACCTACTATGTCACACTGCCCTGCACTGAACATCTTCTACTCTGGAACAAATCAGCCTTGTGTCTGTTCCTGAAATAGTGTCAGAATTATAATAAGAGTTCAAGGTAGACATGCCAGAATAAGAATAAATCTAGGGCAGGGCTACTAAAATTACCCAGGATATGGTATCTAAGGGTAGCCTTTTAAAAAATAATTATAGGTTCAAGATACAAATTGTATAGAAATCATGAGTGGTACACAAAATCCTGAAAGTTGAAATTAGGGACTAGCGTGTCTGGCTTGAAAAAGGGATGGCATTTACCAAACAAGTAAAAACTCTCAGAAATGTGCTGCTACTTTTAAGCTGAAGATAGAATATCTAGAATACCAAGATCCTTGCCTCATGCTTTCTGCCTCTCCTTCTTTTCTCAGCTAGATACTCTTCACTGGCAGCCACAATATATCTGAGACCTCAGCCCCATCATCTGGTTACAAATTACCTTGGCATCCTCTCAAACAGTATCCAAATATACAGCCTTTCCTGGGTACCTCCTTTTCTATTTGCACCCCCAATCTGCTGTTTCCAGGGATTGTTCTTTGGGTATTTTGTTGCTTCCTCAAGTTGAATATCTCTCCTGGACCTCTCTCAGTCCATACAGTGGGGATCTGGGACTTGACCTGCCTCCTTATTTCTAATATTAGAATTAACCATTCTTATTCCTCTCTTTGTTCTCACTAAAGCCCTCTTGAGAGATAATTCTGTTTCCCTAAATGAAATTTTCTCGTACCTAACAGCAGTGTCTGCATCCCACTGCTTAGGAGCAACTGCCCCCTATCTGCCTCCTGGAAATAACCAGCACCTGGAATCTCCAGTGCTATTCTGTGCCTCATGGCTTTCACTATCATCTGAAACAGCCAGTTCTATGTGATGCTTCTTAGACTTCTAAAATTAAGTCTTGCATGCTGGAAACTATTACTAAGTAGAAAGAAAGAAATGGGTGAACAGGGATTTGGCTAGAAATAATTTACCATAATCACTGATAATTTTCACATTCTTGTTTGGCAATAGTGTGAATAGGAGTTTGTGTGACTTAAGGGGCCAGCAGGGAAAATGGAAGTTGATGTAAACAACAAACAGGACCTGAGATTTGTGTTTTGGGATGAGGCTAAATTGGAAAGAAAGACAGATTTGTCCCCAGTGTTCTGAATTTGCCTTACTCAGCTGTATCTCTGGAGATACCAGTTTTTCTCACCTCTGTCCCACTACCTTGGTTGAATCTTGTGCCAACCTGTGACTCTTTCCATGAGAACGTCTCCCCCATGCTATGGAGGTTGGAACATCAAGCTCATACTGGAGAATGGAGACAGAAATTTTAAATAAAACTATAGTCAATAAAATGATAACAGGTTATGTGGAATTTTTTATGCTCTATGCAACACCCATATTCACTGTGAAAAATCCAAGAAACTTGTGATCTCTGAAATTATTTACACTGTTCCTGAAGAAAACTGCTCTAATGGGAGATATAAAGTGTGCTGGGCCAGATTTCATAGTGTTCTCTGGGCCTGCCTTCTATAGCTTTTCCCTTCTCTCTGATGTGAACCATCTCTTGCCTGTCCTTAAGCTTCAGCTCAGGCTCACCACCTGGAGGCCTTCATTAGCCAGTGCTAAGGTGTGGTTATATATATTACGTCTGGTTGGTCAGTGCAGCCTGAAGAATGTTGAATTGCAAGAAGCAAAAAAACGTCATTTGATTAAACTGACAATTATTTCCATAAGTAATCTATGTAGTATTTTCATAGGAATAGAAAACCCATATTAAATACAGTGCATTTAAAAAATCTGTTATGTAAGTCATTTAATGATTGCATGTAAAAGTTGCCACTTTGTGGCCTAGGACTTTGTTTATCTACAGCACTTACAGTATCAGTAGAGGTAATGGTGCATATGTTGACCAATGCACTCTGCCCACTAGATTGTGTGCTTCTTGAAGGAAGGAAATATGTCTCATAAAATCTTTAAGTGTACAACAGTCTAGGATAAGGCCCAGCAAAGAGTAGCTGCATCTAGCTATTTCCTCATTTTTAATTTAAACTACAACTGGAATAAATTGTAAATTGACTGGGTTCTCTAAGTTCTCTAAGTTCAAAGATTTCACTCAGGCATTGCTGAGGGCTCACTGGGTGCATGTTCCTTCCTCTGCAGAGATGAGCATTATACAGAAAAGAAAGGTCCTGGGCTCCTGAGGCTCTGTTCTAATGTTGAAGGTTAATAAGAGTAATCTCCATACTGAGTCTGGGCTCCTTTAAAATGATACACCAACGTTTGGGGATGACAAAGTATTCCAATCTAGAGTCCTTCACACACTCAAAGATCCTATGATTCCATAACTAAGCATTAAAAAGTACAGTACAAATATGGGGGGGAAGTACTACTTGAACAGAACATGATAAGCTGAAATCAGGAAGAGCCTCATGGACAAGATACATTATGTATGAGCTTTGATCTGAGAAGGGAGGTGCAGTTTATTGCCCCATGAAGCTACTGTGCTGCAAGTGTACAGGAATGATCTACTCACAAAAGGCAGATTTCTAAAATCACGAGACAATTTTTACCCCACAGGTGACCAGTGAGTGTCACTCATTTTTCTTCAGAAATGGCACATATTGACTTTACTTATAGTATGACGCTTAATTCCATCTAGTTAAAGTGGAATTTCAAAAATAACGGGTTCTCAACACTATGTGAATGATCCTCTGGGGGACCTCTCAAAATGTTTGGTTTCTCATGTCTTGTAAACCCAGAGGGTAAGCACTAAATCGCACCCTATAAAAAATAATATGCACAATTCATTTAAGTGAGGAAAAGGACCTTGGGGAAAGACTGGGGACTACACATTTTCCAGTGCTTAGGGTCCCCCACCCCCAACAGAAGTACAGCATGGGGAGAGGGACCTGCAGTGTGTCCTACCAGCCTATTATGGGAGCAGATAAATGAATACTGTGCTCCAGATTTCCCATGGCAATTACTTTTGTAACACATGTATAAATGTGCGTTTTAAACCAATCACTTCCTACCCATATGCTGTTTGAATAGTGAAGCATATATTCAACAAAGTGGACTGCGTACAGGAAACATTATTATCTCGGTTACAGGAAAAAAACACTACTATATTCCCAGATGTTCCCTATTAATTTTTAGCGAAGTATTTCCACACTTGTTGCAATGTAAATTAAAGATGCTTTAGATTTTCTAATCCTTTTGTACCTATAAGTTTTTAAAGCCCCTGAAACATTAGAGCTACCTCTGCCCCAACAAAAGAGCCTGTCTTTCACACAAGGAAAAGATTTTCCAAGCAGTTAACTTTAGTAGGAGACATTGCATATAAAATAAACTAATCTCTGAACTCCTAGTGTTTCTTCCCCCAGTGCCTTCATCTACTGTGATGACCATATTTCCTTTAAAGAAGACAGAAATAGAGAAGAAACGTTGCCACTTCCAAATGCTGTGGCCTGTTCTGCCCTCTAGCCAAGCATAACGGATCCTGGAAGACCTTGGGCGGCGGAGAGGAGATAGCGTGTCATGTAATTACCCTGGGTCTAAGGTGGTAGCTGGCCCTTCAGCGTGCAAACGCAGACGGCGGCATCAGAAATACATAACGGGCATTCGCCACCGCGGAGCTCCCCGAGAGGCGAGGGAGCGCTTTGGCGGGGGAGGTTGGAGGCCAGATGCCGCCGGCCTCGCGGAGCCTTTCGGCGTTGTCCATACTGATGAGCTCGGCTGACACAGGAAGGCAGAGCAAAGGAGGGGCAGAGGAGGCGCGGAGGCAGGCGGCAGAGCCGCGCACCCGGCTTTGACGTCGCCCGGCTGCGGCTAGCAGCTCGCGCTCTCAGCACGTAGCGCACAACGTGACCACACACAGCCTTCCTCCCCGGCAGCCCAGCAGCCCAGCAGCCCGGCCGCCGGTCCGCCTGCGCCCCGCGCTTGCCGCTTCGCCCTCCTCCTCCTCCTCCTCCTTCTCCTCTTTCTCCTCTTTCTCCTTCTCCTCCTCCCTCCATTCGCCTCCGCGGCGCGCATCTCCGCGCACACCCAGGGATCCCGGCCGGCGTCGAACCCCAGGCGCCCAGCCGCCCAACCAGGGCACCTCTGCCGCAGCAGCGGCCCGAGCGGACGCCACGCAGCCGGGTGCCCTCCGCAGGCGGCCGCTCCCGCGTTCACCTCTGGATGCCACCACTACGTTAGCTCAAGCGGGGAACCCCTTCTGCGGCTCCCTCCTCTAAACTCCCGCCTGTCCCGACCGTCCCCACCCCCTCCACCTGGCGGGGGCGGCGCGGAAGCGAAGAGGACGCGCGCAGTGCCGGTGGGCACGCGTAGACGTGTGTGCGGATCGGGTATTTGCCTGGCATTCTCCCTCTCTTGCAAGTGGCGGTGCCTGGACTCTGCTTTCGGCTCCGGGAATTGGTGCGGCCGGCCAGAGCACCTCTACGCTGGCCGGGCGCTAAAGGCTATTTTGGAGAGCGGTGGCGGTGGCGGCTGGGCTGGTGTGCCCAAGCGAGCTCCAGACGCACACTCCGCTCCCTGTTGGACCCTTTCCTCCTCCTTCTTCCCCCTCCTCCCTTCCCTCTTCCCCACCCCCGTTCCCCTAGCCCCACTCCTCCTCTTCCTCCTCCTCCTCTTCCTCCTCCTCCTCTTCCTCCTCTCCCCGTTCGGCGATGCGAGTCTGTATCGTGTAACAGGATTGGCGTTGCAATGGCAACTGATGGAATGGGGGAAGGCAAGACAGCAGGGCTGGGGGCTTCGGACTGCGGGCGGGCGGGCCGCTGTCGCCGCTTGACGCCCCTCCGGGGACCTTCGCGAGTTACTTTGTAAAGGCGAATCCAGGCAAGAGAGCCCTGCTCGGTGTCCTGGGTCAGAGGCCACTTCCTGCTCCTCGGCTGTCCAAGCCAGGCTCCTACCGCGCGGCACCCCCGGCCCCCTGCCCGCGCCCGCCGCCGGCCCAGCGCGCCGCCGCCGCCGCCGCAGCTGCGGAGACTCGAGCCCGCTTCCCTGAAGAACACTTCGCCTCGCAGCTCCCCTTCCCATCACCGCCCCCTGCTCCTCCCCGGCGTCTGCGATTTTCCCAGGCACCCGGTGTGAGTGCGGCGTGCGTGTGAGTGTGTGTCAGGGTATTGTGTTGTGGGAGAGTGTGTGAGTGTGTGTGAGTGTGTGTGTGCATGAGTGTGTGGAGTGCGGGGCTCCTGCGCTCCGCTCGCCGCCGCCGCCGGGGAAGGACAGACGGACGGCGCTTCCTCCTTCGGCGAGCGGTTCCCGGGCACCTCGGCTTGGCCCGGGCGCGAGTGGAGCGCGCCTGGCTGGCCGCCGGCCTCCTGAAGGTCCCGTTGCGTACCCCCTGGGCTGGATATGTTCATGTTCACGTGAAGATGGATTTACTGTACGGTCTCGTGTGGCTGCTGACAGTCCTCCTGGAGGGGATCTCTGGCCAAGGAGTGTACGGTGAGTGGAATCGCGACGCTATCGTGACCTTGTGATTCTTAGGCAAGATAGGCTGGTGAGCGAAAATGCACGACTCGCGCCGTTCCGGGGCCCCTCCCGGCGTGGCATTTGATTTACACTTCATCACGTTATTGGGAGCGATAAAGAGGCAGCGAGCGCGCTGCGGATTGGGCTGCGAGCCGCTTCCCCGGCGCCTGGGCTCTGGCTCGGAGTTGGGTTTAGCCGGCAGCAACGCACTCGTGCGAACGAGCGGCTTTGCACTTGATTTATCCCCGCGGGGAATCCGAGCTCCAGCAGTCTTTGATTTAATAATGGTTTGGCTCCTTGCATGCCACGGTGTCGGTGTCACGGTTTCCCCCCACCCCCCAGGGAAGCTTCCAGTGTGACCCCGTGAGTCTCCCCACCCCTCTCCGCCCCCGCCGCCTCCTCCTCTCCACCTTTTCCTTTTTCTGTGAATGCCTACATGCCTTGATTTTCCGGCTCAGGAAGTGGGGTGACAGTTGAGTTGCGTTCTGCACCAGCGGTTGCCATGAGCACTGACTTCGGGAGGGGAAAATAGCAGGCAAGATTCTCGGTGCCAGACACAATTAAGGGACATGTTTGTGTGAATGGATGAGCAAGTGCATGAATGAACGGACTGCTAAGTCCGCGCGTCTGGGTTCCAGGGCAGGACACTAGCTCGCTGCAGCGGGAACACAATCTCATCTCCCCTCTGGAAAACCCAGATTTAGGTTTAGGAACTAGAGAAGGGCAAGCTTGTTAATTAGGAGGTTTTGAAGTCCTCAAAAGCAAATACAGGTTTTTTTGCCTGTCAGCAGTTGGCACCCTTAGCTTTCAGGATGGAAGCACACACACACACACACACACACACACACACACACACATCCAGGTCATAGTTAATAGTGGACTAAAATGTATGTCTTCTCTTGGGACAAGCAGGTGGTGCCCAAAAAATAACTTCTGTGTTTTTGAGGTCTGGTGGGAGGTTAGAGGTGCACCCCTTGAGGGGACATCAAGCCAAGACCCGCCCACAGCCGGTCCCACCCCTCGCCCCTGAGTCAGTGTCCACAGAATGTGTGCTGAAAATCCAGCCCACTTGCCCTTGGTTTCACTCAGGGGTTTGGACTCCGGTGCTGCAGGACTAAGTCAATGGCTGACCCAGGGCAAAAAGGAATGAATATTTGTGGAAGTGTCAGAGCTTTCCCTGCAGACCCTGGAACTGACTGCAGAGTGGACACAGGTGCCAGTGAATCCTGAGTCCTCAAACTCTCTGGGAACGGAGTGCACAGTGGGTGGGTGTTTGGGGATGAATGCTACAGACCCAGCCTTTACTGTGTCCACTGTGTTCTGTCCAGGGCTGAACAGTGCTGAGGTGAGCTCTGGTACCCACTGCACTCCATCTGCTCCTCCCCTTTCCTGTGTTTCTAGCTCCCTTCTTGGCTCCCAAGAAACCTTCACTTTCTCCCGACTCTAAGGATCAGAATGTCCCCTCTCCCAACCCCTCCTTCCCAAGTGAAAGACAACTTGTCTCGTGGTGGTGATGGTTGTGGTAATGGGGGGACGTGTGTATGAGAGAGATGCTGAGTCTCCTGGCAGACCTCAAGGTTTGACTGACAACAGGAGGTGGGGCCTGAAAAGAGTAGGAATTAACTTAGTGCTCTTGTGACTATCCTGGACCCCGGTGCCCTCTGAACAGCTGAGAAAAACGGGGATTCTAGCGATGTAGGAATGCTGGAGATAAAGCTTTCTCAAAGGGCTGTTCCTTAGGATGGGAGAGTCTGAATTCTTCTCATCCCATGCCTAACTCTGTATTCCTCTCTCATTGATTCAGATCATCTTAGCTAAAAGGAATTTTTTGTTCTGGTTTGTTTTTTAAATTTGTATGTATGCATGTGTGAGTGTATGTGTGTGTGATGGGGTGATGAGAAGTGAGAAAGGTTGGGGACGTGGGGAGACAGTGGTACATTGCTGGAACTATCTGGATCAGAAGGACATGGTTCCATTTTCCTGTCACTTTTTGTTATTCAGATTATTTGCCCTGGCAAGTCTCAGATTGGGTAGTGGAAAAGGGTAAGATCTAGCAGAGAAGACAAATAGGAAACAATTGCATTAAAATAATCCTGTGTTTATGTCTGTTAACAATAAACAAGGAGGCAGTTCTGCTACTGAGCTGATGATTGTAATGAAAGTGGGGGTCTTTTTCATTTAGTTTTGTTTTTATATTGATGTGGTTATTAGTCATGTAGCCAGGAATAGAATTGTTTTTGTGTGAAAAATATTAATCAGTATTCCTGGCCATTATAAATGTCACAGCTATGAGGTGGGTTAAAAATTATGTATTACTTTTAAGATATGTTTTACCTGTCACAGAAGTTAGGTTCTCAAAGAAGATTAGGCCCCTAATCTTCAGCATTAGCATCACCCTGGAACTTGTTTGAAGTGCACATTTTTGGGCCCCTCTGAGACTTTCTAAATTAGAAACTCAGAGTGTAGGGCCCAGTGATTTGTGTTCATCACCTCGAGTGATGATTACAGTGGACACTGAAGTTGAGAAGCACTAACATAGGCTTACAGTTTCATTGCTTTGATTTTGTAAGTCATGAACTTTCTTAACCTAAAGTAGTTTTGTTTTTATTTGTGGAAGCATTTATAAGGAAGAGAACATTTTTTAAATTTATCAAAAAAAGGAATCAATTGTAAAGGACATAGACATAAGATTTAGTGTAAAGTTAAAAAGTGTGTTTTGAACATTTTATATGAATAACTTTGAGAATGATTAATTTAAAAGGCAGGGTTATTATAAACAGAAACTTCAACAGCCTAGACAGGAACTTTGCTAGCATAAAAATCTGTATTCCTTTATTTGCTTATATTTGCTACATGTAAAGCCATTCATACTACACACAAAGTAATATTTCTCAATAGTGTTTTCTAGTATCATGGTTCAAGAGGAAACACAAATGATTTTCTAGGTTACTCAGGCAAAATCACTTCATTGTAGCCTAAAATTGTTTACATGATTGAGAACTATGTCATTATAAACTTTCTTCCCTGGAATAGCTAGGGTATCCCTTTTCTCCTCTACTTCCTCACTGAAAAACTCTGAGCATGAAATTCAGATTCTGTTTTTTAGTGAATTGAGAATATTTGCTGTAACACATGGATTATATTGTCTCAAGTATTTTAATCTTCTTCCTGTTATGCCCAATCTGTTTGACAACCCTGTGCAATACTTAAGTGTAAAAGTTTCTGCTATAGACCTAGGAACTTACTGTCATTTATCTGGGAATAGTGCTTAGCAAACGAACTGCACAATAGCTAAGATTTATATATGGTGTCACAGTTGGATGAGGGAGATTATCTCTTAACTGCCTGCCTTCCACCAATAATTCTGTCCTATAAATTTTTTAAGTGGGATTTGTACTTTATATTTATTACATTTTCAATATCAGATGTAACATTATAGTAATATAAATTATTTGAAAATATTTCTGAAGGAAAAATTGCAAGAAAACCTCTTCATAATAGAATAGCACAAAAAAATCATATGGACTAACCAAGGCAATTTTAATGGATACTACCCATTTGACATATATATTTGGCAATATATATATGTGCATTTAAAAAATTTTACTTCCTTAAGCTATAGATTTTTGCTTATTGGATTTTAAAAAGTTATTTATATTAAAATAATTCTCCCAAATACTCTTGGAATGTTAAAGTTTTGTTTGAATTTTCCTTTTAGCTTAATTAAACATCACTGGATAACAAAAAGTCATTAAATGAACTGGTATCTATTTTTCACGTTATTAATTTTGTTGCACTCACATTTCATTAGATTTAGGATAACTAATCGATGTAGCTTCAAGAATTGGAATGTAAAACCTAGCTATCTGTATGCTTATTGAAGTACCTAGAGCTAAGTGATCCAATGCATTTTCTTAGTTTTGAAAGTTTTCTTTGTAAGTCATTGTATGGTAGTAAGTCATTTGGGTTAACTGTGTTTTCTAGAGATCCTATTGACAATGACATCATATCAATAATTGTATCTCCTGTAAACTTATCAGTTGGCTTGCTAAAAAAAGAAGAAGTACTCTATTGACATATTCTGTAATTTTACTTCTGGTCATCATGCCTTTAATTTCCAAGGAAGTTATTAAACATTATGAATGCATCAGCACAGACAAATCCCCACTGCAAACAAAAAACAAAATACAACTCAAGTCTGAATAGCTTTTTTGGGAACCAAATCAAACGGTGATTTGGTGTCCTGAAATGGTTAATTCACTGTCCAAAAATAGCTTTCAGAATGCATTAGAAGTAATAAATAGAGTAAGCTTAAGAAACACTTGAGTATGACAAATTAGCAAGCTATATTAACTCAATTCAGGTAATATCAGTAAATCTCATACAATTTAAGAATGACAGCCCAGGCAGTAGCTGGACAGAAATGGCCTTGGTGAAATTAAGAACAAGGGCATAAGTGACACAAGAAAGCTCTGGAAGATATTTCAGATGGTATTTTAGTGGGTTGAATCTGGATGGATAGGAAGGGATAAGAATGACATGGATGGTCAGTTGGCCATTACATTCAGTCTCAGGATGTTGCCATTCTCATAGCAAAGCTATCCGAAGGTATATTGATTATGATTTTTTTTTCAGATTGGGTTTGGAGAGGCCGTGTGATGAGATACTGCCTTTGACTAAACCATATTTAGGGTGTTAGTCTGTAGGAAAAGAGGAAGAGATTATTTTAATAAATGCTGTTAAAAAATCAATGTGAAGCTCTATTACATACCATCAGCTCCAACCTCTTTTTCCTCTTCTCACTCCATTGTCCCTACACACTCATGCACATTCTTATATTGTCACCACCATGGCCACGATCATGAAAGAAAAGTGGCTGGGCTGCTCATTGTATCTTGGGATCATTTTTGCCCATTCAAAAATTGTCCTTGTTGGTCATATTACTGAGATTTCACATGCAAAATGGGCAGATTATTTTATATAGTGTTACTTGCTCATGTCCTATATTTCCCTGGGAAAGCCCCTAAGTGGATTAATAAGTATTTTAGATTGAGCAAGTTGAGCCTAACTTATTTTACAATGAATAAGTCAGTGAGAGTGCCAGAGTTTAGACAATTAACAGTCAGAGATAAAAGTTTAGAGATGAAATAATTCCGGTGAATAGATGTCACAAAAGTAATTCCAGGAAGGCATTTTTCATGATCTTGATTTCTTTGCTTAATCTTATTATCTCTGGTTATGCTTCTTTATACTTATATTTTGCCAATATTTTTATTTTTGTTTTATAGTTGTGAAACACCTTAAACCCTGGTTGAGAAGCAGGGTACAAATAAACTTTTCTGCAAGGATGTGCTCTGTACTTCTTTAAAACTTATTATTTTAATGTAACTGCAGTAGGACTCATGGGGATGGGATTATAGCATAAGCCTTGTGAGTTCAATTGTATTTTATTAAAACATTGTCAGGAACCATGGTTTTGGGTTGTGTTCCAGGTATAGAGGCGATTCATCACTCATATTCTCTGATTTGATCCTCATGCTTTGAGAAGAGTCTTGCAAGGGTTGGGCTCAAGGTTTGTAATCTATAAAGGCAACAGCAAACAGCCAGATACACTGACCTACTCTGGGAACTGAGCTCGAGAGCTTATGCTCTTTGGTAGCTCAGATTAACTAAGGGAATGTGCTGTCATCTCAGTTAAATAAGATAAGGTCTTCCTTAGGCTCCCTTTTGGCTATTTTGGAAGGACATGCAAAGTATATTGCATATATTTAAAGTATGAAAAGAGTGAACATTTTTAGCTTCTTTGTAATTGACATTAACTTAATGGTCCCACAAAATAACTTTTGTTTCTTTGCTTCAGTGACTGAGTGTAAACACTATATTACTTAGAGCAAACAATAAAATATTGCATTCATAGAAAACTATATCCTATCTTTATTTTCAAATCCAATTAATAATCTTTTGGCCCTGTAAAATCATAAAGTGGGAGAAGAGACTTTAAGATATCATTAAATCATCTCACTAACTCAAGGCACAGTGATTTTACCATTATGTCAGGCAGATGGAGGTCCTGCATTGTTTGTGAAACTTATTTTCTCCAGGGTCCAGTTGTATTCATTAGATGAATTTGTTTTTTACAAATTACTAAAATCTCTTATTAAAATAATGGGGCATGTACTTAATTATTTCCGTTTTATACCGGTGCAATTCCATTTTCTTTTCTAACTATACCACCTTGCACTGATCCCATTTCAGCTTTTCTATATCAGTTTCTTGCTACTTTTCCAAGACACTATGCCATTTCTAATCTTACATTTTTAAAAACTGTTTCTTTTCCTGCTGATTTCATTGATTGAATTGAGTAAGATCTGTGCTTTCTGTTTCAACATCCAAATGATATATTCCCTAGGAGTTACAGAAGAGGATTTCAACTATTATAAACATATTTTTGGCTATTACACATTTGTTATTTAAATACATATTATGGTATGATGAAAGGCATTAGAAATTATGATGTAACTTACACTTTGTGTCTCTACAACTTTGCATAAACAGGAACCTCAGTTTCTTGCTGTTCCTGCTCAAATCTATATTAAGGACTGTGGTGTGGCTGAAATTTGGGGTCATGTGTATGACATGTTACAGTATCTTCAAGCAGTATATTTTTTGTCTTGTTTTGTTGTAATGTGAATGGTGGAAATAAAAATAATCAAGTGATCCTGTAGAAGGGGAAACACATCTTCCTGAAAGAGGAAGGGTTTGTTCACAGCTAGGCGTCTCTAAGTCTTAATGGACAGCACAAAAGACAGCTGAGATCTGAAGGAGGTGAGTAGGAAGTAAAGGCTATTGGAAAAATGTATCTACCCTTTAAATAATGGCAAAACAGCAAAAGCATATATTTTTATCTGAAGCCACTAGAACTTTGTTGTAGTGCATCAGGATGAAAAAGAAAAATGCCTGCTGTCTGCCTGAAGAAATACCATCTTAAGGGAGATTTTTCTGGTGTCCTGAAAGGAAAGGATGAGGAGATAAAGGGCTCTTAATAGAGCCTGTGGTCACTCTGAACCAGATTACTCTTCTCACTGATGGATTGTGGGATTTGGGAACACAAGGAAAGGTTGGGTACAGATTGATCATTGGAGCATTCCGTCTTTTACTCCTGAGTGTAACTGAGTTGGGTTTTTGCCTCACCTGTGCTGGACTGCTTACTAGGAAGGCAAGAAAATACTGGAGGAAGATGTGCCACTTTTCAGAAGTGGTGACCAGTTTGAATTCCCCACAGAAACTCTAGGCCTGTTTAGGTTCAGTTCTCATAAATTCAGTCAACTAATTAATGTATAACTGCTGTAGATGATGCATGTAGCTATGTAGTAATGTGTCCGGAATTGGTGGGTTCTTGGTTTCACTGACTTCAAGAATGAAGCCGCGGACCCTTGCGGTGATGTTACAGTTCTTAAAGGCAGTGTGTCCGGAGTTTGTTCCTTCTGATGTTTGGATGTGTTCGGAGTTTTTTCCTTCTAGTGGGTTTGTGGTCTCGCTGGCTCAGGAGTGAAGCTGCAGACCTTCGCAGTGAGTGTTAACAGCTCTTAAGGCGGTATGTCTGGAGTTGTTCGTTCCTCCCAGTGGCTTTGTGGTCTTGCTGGCTTCAGGAGTGAAGCTGTGTAGACCTTCGCAGTGAGTGTTATAGCTCATAAAGGCAATGTGTACCCAAAGAGTGAGCAACAGCAAGATTTATTGCAAAGAGTGAAAGAACAAAGCTTCCACAGTGTGGAAGGGGACCCAAGCGGGTTGCCACTGCTGGCTCAGGCAGCCTGCTTTTATTCCCTTATCTGGCCCCACCCACATCCTGCTGATTTGTCCATTTTACAGAGAGCCGATTGGTCTGTTTTACAGAGAGCTGATTGGTCCGTTTTGACAGGGTGCTTGATTGGTGCGTTTAAAATCCCTGAGCTAGACTCAAAAGTTCTCCACATTCCCACTAGATTAGCTAGATACAGAGTGTCGATTGGTGTATTTACAAACCCTGAGCTAGATACAGAGTGCTGATTGGTGCATTTACAAACCTTGAGCTAGATACAGAGTGCCGATTGGTGTATTCACAATCCCTTAGCTAGACATAAAGGTTCTCTAAGTCCCCAGCAGATCAGCTAGACACAGAGCGCAGATTGGTGCATTTACAAACCTTAAGCTAGACACAGAGTGCTGATTGGTGCATTTACAAACCTTGAGCTAGATACAGAGTGCCAATTGGTGTATTCACAATCCCTTAGCTAGACATAAAGATTCTCCAAGTCCCCACCAGATTAGCTAGATACAGAGTGCCGATTGGTGCATCCAGAAACCCTGAGCTAGACACAGGGTGCTGATTGGTGTGTTTACAAACCTTGAGCTAGATACAGAGTGCTGATTGGTGTATTTACAATCCCTTAGCTAGACATAAAGTTCTCCAAGTTCCCACTAGACTCAGGAGCCCAGCTGGCTTCACCCAGTGGATCTCGCACCAGGGCCACAGGTGGAGCTGCCTGCCAGTCCTGTGTGGTGCGCCCGCACTCCTCAGCCCTTGGGCAGTTGATGGGACTGGGCACCATGGAGCAGGGGGCCGCGCTCCTCAGGGAGGCTGAGGCAACGCAGGAGTCCATGGTGGGGTGGGGCGGGGTGGGGCGGGGGCGGGGGGGAGGGGGGGCGAGGGAGGGGGCGGGCTGCTAGTCCCGAGCCCTGCCCCGCAGGGAGGCAGCTAAGGCTGGACAAGAAATCAAGTGCAGTGCTGGTGGGCCAGCAGTGCTGGGGGACCTGGCACACCCTCCACAGCTGCTGGCCCAGGTGCTAAGCCCCCCATTGCTCAGGGCCGGCAGGGCCAGCAGGCCGCTCCGAGTGCAGGGCCGCCAAGCCCACGCCCACCCGGAACTCCAGCTGGCCCACAAGTGCCCAGCGCAGCCCTGGTTCCCACTCATGCTGCTCCCTCCACACCTCCCCACAAGCCGAGGGAGCCGGCTCCAGCCTCAGCCAGCCCGGAGAAGGGCTCCCACGGTGCAGCGGCGGACTGAAGGGCTCCTCAAGCGTGGCCAGAATGGGTACAGAGAGTAAGCGAGGGTTGTGAGGGCTGCCAGCACACTGTCACCTCTCAGTAAGTGCTGTAAAATCAAAGAGGTTATGCATGAATCCAGGAGATAGAAACAAATGGAAAAACAAATAAAATAAGGCTATGAGAAATACACAAATGTGTGTATCTAGAAGAAGAGAGAGGAATTACATTTCCTATTGTGGTTGGAGAAAACTTGAAAAAGCTCGGAACAGTTAAGACTTGAAAGTGGGTAGGCATAATATAGATAAAGAAGGAAGAAAGGGCATTGCTATTGTGTGGGTTCTAGGTGGAGGAACAGTGGTGCAGAAAGAAAAGTAGTCCTGGAATGGGTGTGTAATAAAGCCTCAGCAATTTCTTTAAAGTTTACCCCAACTAGAAAGATGTATCTGTCCTTTAACCTGTGTCATCATACAATTTTATTGTATGATACTCTGGAACTTGCTCAGATATATATGTCCATCAAGATTCTGAAGTGTGTGTGTGTTAAATGTGCGAAGCTAACTGACCATTTCTTCAGAAGGTAGGACAGTTATCTCTAAAGTTCCTGTGGGGGGCAACTCCTTTTGGAGGTAAACTCAAAGACTTTTTAAAGTCTAAATTTTTAGAGTGCTAAAAAGAAGTGCTGTTTAGCAGCAGCAACTATGGGTCCAGAATGACTAAAATCATTTCGTTCTTTACGAATGTACAGCCACTGGGATGAAGGCATTGCCCTTGTGAAAAGAGAGGTATGTGCTTTCATTATTGTTTTTTATTACAGTGCAAGACAGCATGATGTAGTTGAAAACTGTTGGGTAACGTGGGCTTTCTTCTTGTTCAGCTGCTGCTTTACTGTGTTACTTCAGGCAAAAATCTTGATCTCTATCCCTCAGTTTCCACATCGAGTAAACTCTTAGGAGAGTGGGCTGATGCATAGAAGAAATGTAGATATTAGCAAGAATAAGAAACTATGGCTGCATTTTTATATCTGGAGTAGAAGGGGGAGGGAGCATGGAGAGTTTCCCTTCTGTTCTTAAAAATCTACACTTAGATGCTCTAGCAGTTGAACCTCATAATAGGACTATCATTTAGTTTTTAGACCAGAATAAGAAGCTAGAAGGTAACAGAGACCAAGTAATTTTTTTTCTGGAAAAAATATTCTGGTTGTGTCAGTCTAGGGGAAAATAACAGAAACTGAGTATTTTTAAACACTTTAAGTATTATAAATATGTGCATGAAAATGCAATTTGATATTGTATTTCGATGCACGTGTAGTTTATATTGTTGCTTATGCTAGTCTCCCTTTCTCAATCCACATAACCCAGGAGTTTCTCCTTCTTCTCCTTAACAGTGGTGGTTAGCAAGGAGCTGGCATCCTCCCCCTCATTTGAGAGCTCCAGAGAACATTAGTGTATCCTAAACCTTATGGTTATGGGTAAATTTATGCTTATATAAATCTATAAGTGTGTTCAAATACGTGTATTGATCTTGTTGTTGAATCAAGGAGTAAGAGTATTCTTAATAGTCTTCAAGACTAATTAATAGTCTTCATTTCAAGACTAATTGGAAAACAGCAGTTTATAAAAATCAGCCACCCAATTGGAAAAAATAACCTAGGGATATATTTATTTATAAGAATACTTATAATTGGTAGTTAATACATAAAAACAGAAAATGAGGATAAACCATTAAATGGGGTCATCACACAATTACTGTGTCACATCTTCTAGTTTTGATCCAGAAGTAACCAGAATTGGTGTTTCCCACCCAGTCACCTAATCATTTAAAACATTTTTAAATTAGAATTAACTGAAAAGGACTGAGTGGGACTTTGCTCACCATTAAACTGTAACAGCCACATACCTAAGAAAGCATTTTATGCATAATGCAATCGTTTTCTTTGGCAAACACTTTCTATTTTTGGAGGGCGGAAGGTAGTCCACTTCCATATTCTCTATTCATATAATTAACTAGATGGCTGTAATTGCTTAATTCAATTATTATTCTCCATGTCTGAATATTAACTCAATATTAGTCAAGTATATTGGTCAAGTATCTCTTTAACCACATAGAAGGCAATCTTTACTCAGGACTGTGAAAGACAACAAAAATTGTTAGTTGAGAAGATTTTTCCCATTATGTGAAATGAGCAATATTGACTTTGCTAAACAAATCACCTTAAGCAAAGACACACAGTACTGTGTAATATGGAGAGATACAACTGCCAAGTAATTTCACAGTTGTCAGTCTAACTTGGTATCTCAGAATGAGTTAAGTTATTATCAAGAATTGGCATAGTTAATGCTTTTATTTCAGTTCTGAACTCGTTCCTTGTTTTTCATGGGTTACTCTACGCCATTATTGTGACTCTCTCTCATCCTTTGAGTAACTTATATTTTTCATTTGGTTCATGTTTCACACTGGTTTGTACCACCTGTACAACAGAGATGCTGTATGCATTTTAGAGTTTTAGGTCTTTGTCCCAATTAATCAAAGCTCAACCTTTGACTAATTTTGTTCTTCCTTTGTTGTGCATAGATTTATCTAAATATACTTGTCTAAGGAAGTGCAACCCTTTTCCATTATGACCATTCCCTACAATATTATAAACTCCATAATGACATCATTACTGTGAAAATCGGGGTTTAGAAACCTCCCAGTCTTTCCCCAAGACTAGAATAACTCCCAGTGGACTGCAGCCTGAAATAATCTGTCTTGTTACTCAGAGTCTGCTTACTCTCTGATTATTTCCTGTGCCTCACTATCAAACATCCCTCCAATTGCAGCAGCTGGTGTGGAAAGTGGCCTTCTTCTTGCTTCCTGTGATTTTGCAGTTGAACTCTATGGTCATTATATCTTTTTGATTCATATTTCAAACAGTGTTTCAGTTTTACTTTCTGTCGTCATTGATACTAATTTAATGCCTTAATCTCTAAGCTTACTTATGCAAAGAAGTACTTTGACACCCTTATGTTTAACCACCTTCCCTCTTCCAGAGAGAGCTAAAGAAGATACACACACACACATGCACATGTGCATATACATACACACATTCATAATACAAATATATGTTTGTATATAGAGTATTTGCATGTATACTATAAAAAATACATATTACATGTTCAAGCAGAAATCGATTAACTATGTTAAGAGTATATAAGAGTGCGTATGTGTATTCAAAAAATGCATGGAATAGTAGCTAAACTTTATTTAGGCTAATCCCAAGAAACTGGGTGCTTTTCCCACTTCCCTTGCAAAGCTGACTCTAATTCAGTGTTGGCAACAGAGTATGCAGTCTCTCACCTAATACTCAGTTTGTGTTTGAATATTTGTGATACATTCATGTTTCTATTGTTCATGGGTTTACAAAATTACCTTTAGAAACTCCAACTACTGGCTGGGTGCGGTGGCTCACTCCTGTAATCCCAGCACTTTGAGAGGCCGAGGCAGGCGGATCACCTGAAGTCAGGAGCTCGAGACCAGCCTGCCCAACATGTGGAAACCCTGTCTCTACTAAAAATACAAAAAATTAGCCGGGCGTAGTGGCGGGTGCCTGTAATCCCAGCTACTTGGGAGGCTGAGGCGGGAGAATCCCTTGAACCTGAGAGGCAGAGGTTGCACCACTGCACTCCATCCTGGGCAACAAGAGCGAAACTCTGTCTCAAAAAAAAAAAAAAAAAAAAAAGAAACTCTGATTACTTCGTTTTTTGCAGTTGACAAAAGAGAAATATTTCTTAGCTGCCTAACAGCAATGCATGTGCAGTTTATTCCACCTGCATTACAGTAATGTGTATATTTGAAGCTTAGCATCACTTGCATATTCAGAAGACCATCCCTGCCGTTCTATTAATCAGGTCTTTTAAGTTGTATTTTATTCTTTATAAGTGAGCTTTCAGTGCACCAGGCATATCTATATTCATGTCTGGATTCTAAAATACATGCACAAACAAAACTTAAGTAACTTGGATTATCTTTCATCTTTTTTCACCTATAATTGAAAAATAATTAAAGATGAGATATAGTAATTTTTCATAAAATAATTGCCATTTATCAAGTGCCTACTGTATGCCACACCTTGTATTAGAAGTTTTATACACATTGTACCATGCACTAATCTTTGTATGAGATAGATGCAAAATCTGAAGCTCATGAAGTTTAAATAACCGCCATATAGTTACTGGTGGCTGAATTTGGAATCAAATATGAAATGTATGTAAAAGTAAATACTTGTATTTATACTTATTTATATTATTAAAATTATATTCAGATATGTGTGTGCTTATACTTATTCTAATTAAATCATAAAAGTTAGGTAGCTTACATTGTGCTATGCATGAAAATTATCTTAAACAGTATATACTTGAAATGCAACTTGGGTAATAATACATTTTAGCTTGTCACATGCGAAGTATATGTAGGTAGCTAATGTCAGCACTTTATACCATATGGTTTTCTTTCTTAGAAAAGAAAGATATGTTTTATAATTCTTTTTTCTTTTCAGTATTGAAATGCCCATACTGAGGACTCTCTCTCATATAATTTATTTTTGGAATGATAGGATATTTTAAGCTTATTCATAATTAGTAACCTGTAAAAATGAAGAAATGGTTCTACTACATATTCTGCAGAAGTAGTTATATTCCTCCATGTAAAATAGTAGGTATGTGCTTATAAAAAATAACCACTGTCAGGTGTACTACTTTATTTCTCCCTAGGCTGATTAACAATCGCTGGTCTTGGAAAGATTGATAGTTAAATGTCATATTTGGCCTGATTTTTGTTGAGTTCCCTCCGAGTATTGCTTGGGCATTTTTCGCGCAGAGTTAATTGAGGAGACTCTATCAGCGGATTTCTTTTCTTGACAATCTTGTTGTGTTCAAGAGGACAGTTGATTGCGAGCTCTGCCCTTCTCTTAGCTGACAGTGAGTTCCTCAGACCTCAAAGCTTACAGATTAGTGCAGTTTAGTGATTTGTTTTAGGCTTTTAGCTACAGTATTTACCACTATAAAAGTCATTTTTCCTATGCTTTTTGAATGCTGTTATTGTGTCCTATAGTATAACCCTGTATCATTGTGACTATTGTGTGATTGATACAGAAACTGCTTCAATAGGAAACCATTTCAAGAGAGAACAGGAAAGGTATTATATTCAGCTGTAGCGCCATGCATTTCTAAGCAGCTGATGTTTTCTTTAACTGATAAACATCCCCCCTCAAATTTTCAGAGGCAATTGAGTCTTTAGAACTTTAACTCTTAATTCAGTCTGGCTGCAAGAGCACTGCCCTGAAATTCATTATACATTCACATTTTACAATTGGCAATTCATTAATTCTGTAGTATAACTGTTGTTATTGTATTTCAAAGCCAGATCTCTTCTTTAAAAAAAAAAAGCATGGAGAAGCACTGATTTTGTGAATTCCTTCTTTAAGCAATGGCTTCCTAATATCTGACCAAATGCTTGAAACTAATGGGATATGACTTTTTGCACACTGGAAATAGCGCTAATGTTAAATGGTGGAGCCATCATGCATTTTGTAACTAAAAATTTCAAATTAAACTGGAAGCCTTTGTAAAGGATAGAGTAAAAGATGAGTCAAATCCAAGTTCATAAGAGTTTAATAGATTTCGTGATTTTACAATTTACACATTTAGTTCTATATTTGGGAGTACTTATAGAATATAGTACACCTTTTTAAAGTCTTTCTCTGCTTCCAATTTTTGCATTTTGTGATATATTAGATGCATGCTCTATTTTGAGTGAGAGTGGATAGTGACTTCATAATTGAGGTATACACTTATACACCTAAGATTTAAGTACATCTCTATGTTGTGGTTTATCATTTAATTTTACCAACAATAATTAAATAATATCCATGAAAGCTGGAATACAGTTTCTTAAGTAAAATAAAAGGTAAAATATCTTATGAACCTAAAAATGCCATTTAAATGTCTTTGGCTGTGACGAAAGCTAATTTAGACTTTCTTAAGATATTTCTAAGTTTGTTCTAAGAATATTTTTAGCGGCTTAACTATTGACTGCTTCTCATTCATTTTACATAGCTGTCACCCTCCCAACAATTATTATGACATTTCAGAGGTTTTCACAGTAGTAATGAAAGACTCAGCATTTCTACAGATGGAAAGTTATTTATAAAGCAAATAATGAAAATAGTAAAGCAGAATTTCAACCTACTATTGTGCTCTGCTCTGGGGATTAGACTTGAAGTTGCATGGGTAGGAGCAGATGTGTTAGTTTGGTCATAATCTTAGCCTAGAGAAATAGGAATAAATTTATTGACATAGCAGGGTGATAGGATTTCATGTCATGAGGATTAATAGAATAGATCAAAGCAGAATGCAGTGTGTTCATGTCATAGGTTGACTTCTCCAGGAAACCGACCCCAAGTGGAAGGTTTACATGCAGGTGGTTTATTAGAGAGTGATGTTGGGAAGAACACCTGTAAGGGAAGAAGGGAGCCTGGGAAGAGCAGAGGGAGAAGGTGAACTCTGATTCACTTGCAACAGAGTCCTAGGCTGAGTGCATGGGATGCTGTAGAGTTGGGATGGACCTTCAGAGATATTCCAAATAGAGAAAGAATTCTGTTTACTCTCTTTTCTACCAGTCCTTGGACGTGGGTTGCCCCTGGGGCAGAGCCAATATATTTGGGTTAGGCAGCTCCCTTTACTGGAAGGCAAATTCTGGGAGGAACTCAGTTGTGAGCAATCATCAGGTAACACTCTTGGAAGTTGGGAGAGTGGATGTCTTCTTCATGCAGAAGGAGTTCTGAATGTTACACCCCATCTTAGACAGCTTTTGTTGCTCATATCTGCTTGCTTATCCTGTTTGAGAACTGGCCCTCCAGGAGCTGGCCTTTTATCTTAAGGAAACTCACAAAAGAGGATGGTTAGCAGGACAAACGTCAGCCAGCCCTTATGTCTGGTCTCAGAACCGTGTCTGATACTCATCATTCCTCTTTTCTACTACTTCTTCTAGAACCCATTACCCTTAGCTAGCAATTCTAAAGGATTAGATTGTGAACTTGGCAAAGTGAGCTGAAGGGCCTAAGATCTTGGTCACCAAGATCTTCTCAGGTCACAGCTGATGGATTTATCGGTTTCCTACCAGAACTAGGTAAGAGAGCATCAACACATACTTAAAGTGGGTCACTGGGGTGCCAGAGTTCTTCTCCCCTGCTCATGTTACATAACAGCAGCCTTGCCACCTCCAGACAATCAGGATTTATTATCCCTGCCTGAAAAGTGACTTTGTTCTTTGCCTGCTTGTCTTTTGCATAAGGAGCCCAAATAAACAGGTGACAACTGTCACAGGAGTTTGAGACTTTTGCTATTGTCCCTAAGAAAAGTGTCCCCCTCTGGGAACCAACACATCTTAGCCACACAGGCCCTGTAATTCTGGGGACAGGAAGCACAGGTACCCTACATATGTCATGAGAGTGAAGATAACTGAGGATACTACACTGTCTCCTCTTGGTTCTTGGACTTATGTATTCTACCTACTGGGGACACAGCTACATATAATAGTCATTAATTTAGGACTGTGTCATATCCTGCAAGTGTGGGGTCCAACTTTAAGAGTATCATCTCCAAGCTGCTGAATTAATGCTGCTCCTTCAAAAGTTTTCTATTAGATGATGTGATAGAACCAGTAAATTCCATTATCATTGCAGCACCTTCTTTTCTGTTCAGTGGATCCCTTTGGTTAGTACAATGTTAGGAGAGATCCTGTTTTAGGTATATCACATATTCTGAAATCTCTTACATTGATGTGTTTTATGGGGCACTGTAGGCACAAGGTAACTGTCAGTTCCAATCAAGATGAATTTCTAATCTTTCATTTGTAAATGGAGTCCATTGTACTCAATTTCTACCAAATGCCTAGTTAGTTTCCTTGAGGAATGGGGTACATCAGGGTCCCTCCTGCTGGCAGGTTGGACATTTAGCAGCAGCATTAGCTAGTTCAATGCTGATGAATGGGAGCTTTTGCTATTCAGTATATGGATAATGTCTATAATTTTCACTACGGCTTCTTCCCTTTTGTGTCTATTGATGCAACACTGGAGTAGCTGATGGCAAGCTGACTAATATCAATAAATCAAGTTATTCTGTATTCTGATTCCAATTGCTATTGCTCTGTAACAACCCACCCCAGCTTTGTGGTATAAAACACTCCCTTTATTATATTCGTGGATTCTGTGGGCCAATAATTTATATGAGGGATATTCAGAATGGCTTATCTTTGCCCCGTAATTTCTGAGCCCTTACCTGGGAAGACTTGGAGGTGGAGGATGACTTGACATCTGGAGGCTGGAATCATCTGCTGGCATCTTCACTGACATATGTGATACTTGAGACTCTGGCAGATAGCTGGGACTTTGGCTGAATTGAAAACTTTGGGCTTTCTTACAGCACGGTGTGAGGATTCTAAGAGTAAGTATCCTGAAAAGGTACAAAGGATCGCTTTGAATTTTGCCTTGGAAGTTACATGCATCGATTCCGTGACGCTCTATAGTTTGAGGCAGAGACAAAGGTCCACCCAGGTTGAAAGAAAGGGATTATAAATCCCACCTCTTTACACCTCTTTATGGGAATAATGTTAAGTTTACATTTGATGGAGGACTTGTAGAATTGGAGAAATTGTTGTGGCCTTTTTAAAAGAATACAATCTGCCACATGCCTCTTTTGTGGTGGATGCTCTCTGGGGGACAATAACATTGTCTACAAAGATCTCTCTACTTTGTGCCCACTCCCATAGGAGGTACATTTGCATGCCTGTTTTTCTGAGTTATTGTTGCTGATTTTCTGTCACTTCTCTTTGCAGGCGTCCAGCCAACAATCAGCTAAGTTATTCACTGCTGCCAATAAGACTATGTTTATTTTTACCGCAGCCACTTCTCTTTCCATACAACTTATATGGTCCCTGAAGCTGTACCCCATTGGGAATATTTTCTCTCATTGCACTCTTTGAAGGCACCCATTAGTGGGGCTGCAGGGCAGGTGCAGTACCTTTTTGGTTTATACCACATGTGGAGCTAACTGATCTGTGAACCTGTCTTGAACTTGGTGGTTAGACAGGACTGCCCATGCAGTCATAGGGATGAGCTGAGGGAAATGAGGCAGTGCAATAGGAAAGATGTAGGGGTTTGCCATTTCTGCATATAGCTTACTTGGGCTTTCTCTGTCTACTTGTGCTCAGTCCCAAATGTATCATTTTTATTTAATAATGGATTGCTACAGGACCTACTTGATCTTATGACTTGGCTGACAAAACCTAGTTATAATGGACATTTTTGGCACCATGGTCTCTTAATTGCCTATTTTCAGGCATTCTGCCTAAGTAAGTTCCCAGTAGTATGCCATAAACTGTTTGTCAAGTGATTTGTAATTCTATATTGCAAATGGCACAGGCTTGCTGAAAAACCTTCAGTGGCTAACATTGTGATTTTTCTACAGGGACTTGCCGTAGACTTTACGTGTGGCTTGTCACACTAAAGATACTTCTAATATCATGGGATGTGTGGGATTATATGGTCTAAGCTTGAGGAATTAATTCTTCAGTTGAACCTATACCTCCTCCAAGGTCTTTAACTGCCCTAAGCCACAGTCCAAGCCAGCATCCTTCTGTGGCACTGGTAAATAGGTCAGAACAGTATTCCCAGCATGGACTGTGTTCTCTCTTAGATCTAAAGTGTTCTGTTATGGATTGTGCTACCTTCTTATTGATGGGGAAAGTGAGCTAATTTGTTCTTTTTTTGGAAGATTGCTTTTTATTTTGGAATGTGCATCAATTTGTCTTTCTCTTTGGAAAGATTGTCTTTCCATGACTCAGGCCATAGACTCCTACAACTCACTGAGGAGGTGTCTATTTTCCATCCTCTGAGCACATGTCTTACCCAGACTTCCGAAGTACTTGCCACTTTTTGCTTATTCGGTTCTCTTACAGGATGTCATTGATATTATGTAATGGACCAGTGTAATGTTCTTTCTAATATCCAATACATTCAGATTCTTTCAGACTGTATTATGGCAGAGGACAGAAAAGTTATTATAATCCTGGGTCAGGATGGAAGATGCGTACTGCTGTTATGTCCATGTGAATGAGAACTGCTTCTGGTTCACCTTCTTGGTAGAGATGGATAACAGTGTTTTTGCTAGATCAATTGCCAGGTACCATGAACTAAAGTTGGATTAATCTGCTGTAGCAAAGATACTGCAACTGGCCAAGCACTTGCAACTGGGGCTTCTACTTGGTTGAATTTGTGTAGTTCAATTCCAACTTCCAGCATCTATCTGCTTGTTTATCAACAAGAGTGGTGAATAAAATGGAGGGCACAATGAGGACTATAAAATGTGCCTCCTTTAGATCTTTAAAAGTGGTACTGATATCTTACATTTTGTCTAGAATGCCATACTGTCTTTATCCTAGCAACATTATCATCAGGGTGTTATTAAATCCTGTATCCTGGGAGGGTCCTCCCACATCAAAAATGCCTCTCTTATCCAACATTATATTCCTTCCCATCTTAATCTAGCGTCCTTAGAATCAATTCATATACACACTCTTCTAACTTCTGCCAGTACTTATTGGCTAAATCTGCCTCTTTCAGAGCACAGTCTTTTTTCTTCTTCTTTTCTCCCTTGGTAATCTAAGCACCTTCATTGCTGGGTTAATTTGTAACTTAACCCTGGTGATGAGTTTGGCTGCCAGTAGGAGAGTTGGGGATATATTCTAAGGGGAAATATACTGTCTTCATAGGTGGAGATCTCTTCATAACTGGAACTCTCAGTTATTCAACTTTATGTTCCATTCTCTGGTGACCCAGCATCTTCAGAATTGGTTCCAAAGTTATTCTACTGATTCTACTGGAACATATTGGCTGGGTCCTGTGGCTCTTTTGAGCTATTGTCCCTGTCCTCCTTTTGAAGGGTTAGCACTTCAGCCAGTTGTGACTTACCGTTAGTTATTAGCCAGTTGGCCAGCAGAGGAGGTGGTGGAAAATCCTGGGTGGGACTTACATTCTTTTTCAGGGAAGAGTCATCTTCATTGTCTTCAAGCAGGAAACACTAGTCTCTTAACAGGGAGACTTCTGTAGGCACCTAGTGTCCATAGGAACCTGATGATCGAGATTATTGACTGCATCAAACTAGATTTTGTTATCTCTAGGGCTCTTTATTTTCCTAATTTGCACCCTTACTTTCATGTAGCTGACTTTTCAGGTGAATTCAACCATATCTAGAGCTTTGCTCTTATAATTAAGTTCTGTACCTGAACCTAAGGAATTTTTACACAATTTGTAGAGGTGAATTTCTTTTTATTTACTCCATGGGAAGATCTTTGGCCTTAAATTGATGGTTGTGTTAGTTTTCTTTTGTTTTTGTAACAAATTACCACAAACTTAGTGGTTTTAAGCAATATTAGTTCTCTATGTAGGTCAGAAGCCTGACATGGGTCTCACTGAGCTAAAATCAAGGGGTCAGCAAAGCTGCACTTCTTTTTGAAAGCTCTAAGGGAGAATCCATTTCCTTGCTCTTCCCAACTTCTACAGCCTCCTTTTATGTCTTGGCTTGTGGCCTGTTTGTTCCATCTCCAAAGCTAACAACATCACATCTCTCTGTGCCTTTCTTCCATAGTCCTGTCTCCCTCTGACTCTCCTCTTTTTCCGCTGTCTTGCACTTTCTGAGACCCTTGAGTACATTGGACCCACCCTGATAATTCAGGATGTCCTCTCTATTTTAAGGTCAGCTGATTAGCAACTTTAATTACATCTACAATCTTAATTCCACGTTGTCATGCAGTCTAACATATTCACAGTTTCCGGGAATTAGGATGTGAACTTCTTTTGGCGAGGTTTGGTTTGTTACTGGTTTATTACTGCTTACCACAGTAATACATCAGTGTCATCTTTCCATTTTCCATTGGCTTTCTCAAATGCGTGGGTAGCCTCCAGAGATAACCATCTAATTTTGTAGTCCTTGTAATTATTACTTCCCCCAACTCTTTAAGCACCAGCGACATTTCACTTACCTTCCTCTGATATATTATCCCAGTTCACCTAGAGAAGACAGAATTACATAAAGCTCAAGAGCAATCTCAGCCATAGATCTCAGCAAATCTCAGCAAAGAACTATTGCTTCCACAGTATTTCCTGGATGAATGAAATCTATTCTCCTGGAAAAATCATTGCTATTGTCTTGTTCGTATTTCCTGAGTTTTTTGTGTTCCATAGAAAATTGATTTTTCTATTTTAAAAGACCTTAACTGTGGCAATTTCACATGTTCTTATGGTGAGGATTATTTCTTGTCCATCTAAGATTCTTATGGGATATTGAGGTTCTACTGGGATAGCACTCATATCCACCAGTGGCTCCATGAGTTGGTTTTTGGAAGTTAGCAGGATAAAAATGGAGAGAAGATAGTTTGTCAGACAGTGCTTCAGCCTGAATCTGTCTCAGACTTTCAATTACTTCCCCATGGTGTAGTAAGAATCTGGGCCACACAGGTCAGTTCCTCAGGGATTTTGAAATCCTGATTTCTGACTCTGAGTTATAGTTCTTATTCATTTTTACTTTTTTGAAAAAATTAAAAGTGATATGTTTTCTTTCCACTATTAATTATCAGTTGCTGGATAAATATTTGTGTGTGCCTGGGGGGAGGGGAGCAGCACTGAAATGATCTTTGCAATTTTAAAAATTACTAAAGAGTTATAAGGTACTAATTTTTTATGCAATATCCACTTGCCTGGTTTGCTGATGTTTTACAGTACTTGTTTTAACTCAGCAAATAATTATATAATCCTGAAACTTTAATGAAATTTTAATATCATCTTTATAAGCTTGTTACTTGTGAATCAAAGTTTAATTCTATTTCAACACATATAACAATTATAACTTGAACAAATCAGTATTTTCAGATAAAGGAAACTGACTTTGTAGTTTTGCCATCATTGGAGTTAGTCTCATTTATATAACATTTAAGAACATTCATGTGTTTCTGATACTTTTATTGCTGTTATGTATGTATAGTAAAAGTTCCGATTTCTCTGTGAATAATTTATAATGTCTATATAAAACTTTGTTCTCAGGAATAATAGATGAGAGGAATATGGACTGTATATAAATTTTGTGTAAATAACCTTCTTTATTCCAAAATAACTTCAGATGTTCTGATAGTACTTTATAGCAAAAGAAAGCAATAATACTTTCTAGCAGATAATTATATTTGATAACTAATGCTTCTGTATATCTTTTGCTAGTTCTTCCTGTTCTCCTCAATCACGAGTAATCAAGATCCTTATATTTCTGTCCTTGTCCCTCTTTCTTTTCTCACCATGCACCCTCTTGCCTTGGGCAGTTTAAATACTGTCCCTGTCTGCCAACTTTTAAACTTACACTTCATATCAGGTCTTTGTTCTGAGCTCCAGATCCGTATGTGTAACTGTCTCTTTCACATTTTTACTTAGAGTGCTCAAAGGCATCAACATTAATTTGTCAAAAGCTGGACTCTTGGTCTACCCAACTCTTTCTCCTCATCCTACCTCTTCTCATTAAGTCACCCAGGTCCACATATCATTCACCTGAAAGTCATGCTTGACCTTGACCTTTCGTTTTTATCCCTGAAAGCAGATCGTCACCTTTATTTGGGGAGCAGTTCTGCAAAATAGATCTCAGATGTACCACTGCCACCACCGTTATCCCTTCCATGTTTCTATTTTGTCTCATCGAATGTAGTATTCTCTTCATTATTCTCCCATTTGCCCTGTGAGTACCCCTTCCTCATGCTTCATATAACTCCCTACATACATCCATACATCAAGCCTGTGTGATGGCTAAAAAAAAACAGCAGATTACATCACTCTTCTGATTTGAAAGCCATTCAGTGGTTTCTCATTCCTCTGAAGATAAATTTGAACCTCTACTATCATTCTCACACACTCCAGATATGGCCCTGCCCACTCTGCTGCCTCATCTTGAATTGCTTCTCCCTTTAAGCACTGTGGTGGAGATACAGTGATTTTTATTTCATCCCACGGAAGCGCTAAGTTCTTTCGTGCCTCAGAGTCTTTGTGTGTGCTTATCCATTGCTCCGAAAATGTCTGCCCTGTATTGGAGCTCTTCAGAGAAACAGAACCAATAGGATATGTGTGTATAGGTATTTATGGGTATACACACACACACACACACACACACACACACACACACACCACATGCACACACACACAGAATCTCCCTTAAGGTCATCTACAGGTTCTTGAAAACTGTGACTTTAAGCAAAATGACATATAATGAAACAGACTTTACCATAGGCTAGTTAACATAAATGACAGTTAAGTTCCTGTGGTATATTTTTGATCACAAAATCATCACTGAATTTCTAAATAAAGACCCAAAAAGCTTCTAATATTAAACATTGAAATAAATGTTAGTTACACATACTTTTAAGAAATAATAACACCAAGTAAGATAATTATTTACCCAATTTTTGGTGAATCATTGAGTGACAGCAGTCATAGTGGCAGTGGGTCAAATCAAGGAATAAAAGTTTGCAAAAAGAAAACTGTCACTACCTACCATCATGCAATTCAAAAGAAACAATAACAAATATGATGGGCTTGCTGAGTGTGTTCATTCCACATTGTTTTTTTGTGCATTTGTATGATTATCATCTGCTTCACATATTTTTATTTTACAATAATTTGTGTTAATTCATTCATTTATGCATTTTTCCAACCTGCTTATTCCAGTTCAAGGTTGCAGGTGGCCAGACTCTATCTCAGCAGCCCAGGGTGCAAGTTGGGAAGCAACCCTGGACAGGTTGCCTTTCCATCACAGGGTGCATTCACACATACCCATACTTACTCATACTGGGACAATTTAGACATGCCAGTTTGCCTAATGTGTATATCTTTGGGATTTGGGAGGAAAGCTGAGTACCCAGAAAAAACCCATACAGATATGGAGAACCTGCACACTCCACACAGGCAGTGGCTTCTGCTGGGAATTGATTTCTTTTTCTCATCAAAATTATAATGAAAGATGTTGAAAGAAACAATGTTATTCAAGGACCTGCTGCATATGTAAAATAAGGAATTGGCTCACATGATTATGGGGGCTGATAAGTCCCAAGATCTGCAGCTGGCAAAGTGGAGACCCAGGAGAGCTGAGGACGTAGTTCCAGCCTAAAGGCTGGCATGCTTCAGGCCCAAAAAGAGATGTTTAAGCATGACTCCCAGAGCATGAAAAAACATGATGTCTCAGTTTGAAGGCAGTCAGGCAGGAGGAATTCCCCTTTATTTGGGCAAGGGTCTGCCTTTTGTTCTTTTCAGGCCTTCGATTGATTGGATGAGGCCCACCCACATTAGAGAGACCATGTGCTTTAATCAGTCTGTTGATTTAAATGTTAAAATCATCTAAAAGCATCCTCATAGAAGCACTTAGACTAAAGTTTGACCAAATATCTAGTATCCTATTACCCAGTCAAGTTAACACATAAAATTAACCATTACATTCTCTACCTCTCTCCCAACTTTTTTAGCCTAATTCATCCTGGTTTTTCAATATTCAGATTAAAAATAGAGCTGCCTCAATTATCACCATCCCCTAAATTTAAATTTAAATCCACTGTTATGTCTCCTATAGCATTACATATTTTCTCTCTGAGTACTTATTATAATTTATTATGCTCTATATATTTGTGGGGTTTTTTTGTTTTGTTTTGTTTTGTTTTGTTTTTGAGATGAAGCCTCACTCTGTTGCCCAGGCTGGAGGGCAATGGCATGATGTCGGTTTACTATAACCTCTGCCTCCCAGGTTCAAGCGATTTTTGTGTCTCAGCCTCCTGAGTAGCTGGAATTACAGGCACGTGTCTCCATGCTCAGGTAATTTTTGTATTTTTGGTAGAGACGGGGTTTCACTGTTGGCCAGGCTGGTCTCCCAGGCTATGCTGTATAAATTTGTGAAATGATTTGTTTAATGTGTAAAATTGGATGACCAAAAGGACAGGAACTACTATGACTTGTTTGCCATTTATACATAAAGCACTTAGCAGTTTGCCTGACACAACACATTTATTTTACTGGAGCCACAGAATTAATGGGTAGATCCATGAACAAACGCTTTAGCTTAAATTTGTCTATAGATAAACTTTTAAGCAGTTGCTACAGTCTCTAAATAATAGAACAGTAAGAAAGTTTTCCAGTAGTAAGTTGCAATTTACTCCCTCATTTATTAAGAAGAAAAAAATACCCAATAGGTTTTTTGGCAAAAATGTAAAGTTACTCTTAATCACTATGACTATGGAAATAATAATTAAAACATTTAATGAGTATACAAATATTTTATATGATGAATTTTAGACATTTAAAAATGTATTGATATTACTAAATAATTATTTCCTCTAGGTACTAGACATGAGGTCAGAATACATATATAAACCATCATTTTTAAGTGTTAATGTGATAGCTGTAGGTACAATTGATGTTAATATAATTTTAGGTAAAAATGTATTATCTCTTCTCCATTTCTGTTTGTATTCTAAAGAAGATCTGTTTAAATATGGTTTAAGAAAGAAGTGTTGAACACAACATGAAGAAATTCCAAAGTTAAGTGATTTTATGAACACTTTCTTATGAACTTTATTTTAAGAACACTTCAATTAGGTCAAAATATGCTTCTGAAATGTATTCTGCAGAGAACATTGGGTGATTTTATTTATCCAGTCTTATGCTACCTATGAAAGGCTTTTACTTCCCATTCCTGGTCCCCTGTCTGCCATAGATCTTTCTCTGACTATACCAGCCCACTCAGATATTCTTTGCAGCTGAACTTTGCTTGTGCTTATCTTTCAGTGCCTTATGGTTTAGCACTTATTGCCCTCTATTTATTTTTGATTACGATCGTTCTTTGAGCAAATCATTATTAGACATTATGTATATAGCAGGCTACTTTCTAGTCATTGAGGGAAACACTCAAAGAACTATAAAAATGGTTTTTGTCTTCAAATGGCATATACTGTCATTGGAAAGATAAGGGAATTTATAATCATGCCCATAATAATACCATTTACTGAGAATATACTATATAGAAAGAACTTGATTTCAAAAATTCTCAACATACTTCTTTAATAGTATCCCAAAATTCAGAGGAAGAGGTTAAGTCTCAGACTGCATAAATAGTGAAAGGTTATGTAACTAATAAATGTGAAAGCCTAGATTAAAAACAGAAGTGTCTCACTTGACAATCTGTATTCATGTCTCTTAACAATATAAAATGGCACAGTATGACATAGGCAAACCATTGGAAGATTCACAGGAAACAAAGTTTGAAGTTGTGTGTGTGTGAGTAGATATTTGCCTACACAATTTGAAGTGGTTAGTCATAGTTTATTGTTGTTTTGTAGGCATTTATTTGTTTATTTATTATTGATGCATAATAGATATACATATTTTGGTGGCATCTGTAATAATTTAATACATTAATATAATTTGTAAAGATCAAATCAGTGTATTTGGGATAGCCGTCACCTTAAATGTTTGTCTTTTCAAAAATGGATCTATATAAGTTATAACAATAATTTTATAGAATTCAGAAAAAATGACAAAGATGCTACAATGTATATAGCTGATTTCATGTTTTATATTGCATGTTTAACCTTCTAAAACTTTTAAAACAGCTATAAAACACATATATTTTGGACATAAGGGTATTAATATTTCCATGTTATTTTGTGGTAGGCGAAAAGTGGCAAGCCACCTGCCCACCCCAATATTACTGTACTGCACAGAATAAGTTAAGTATCAACATGGGTAATGTGAACTACTTTTTTCTATAAGAGGAGATCAGTATTGTATACAGTGTTTATAAAAGGTTATGGTTTATGTCTCCAGTTGGGTTTTGATCAACTAGGATGAAAAATCTTATGACATTCAGTCCCTGAGCCAAATGGAGAAGTGGAATTGTGTTTCACATAAATTATCATTTTTTTTTTGCCTTTTTAAAGCTTGTGTCTGATGTTAATGCCTACTATTATAAGGAAAAGTCATCCCAAGGATGACATTACAAAGATTCATACAGTGCAATAAAATGAATAATTCATTTGAAATAGGCCATGTGTGTTACTGCTTATAATCTAATATAACATGTTGCAATTAATAGAAAACTTTTGAAGTTGATTTTGTAAGGTGAGCCTCCAAAATGTTTGAGCAGACCTAAAATATGCTTGAATAATTAAAATCTTAGAGTATTTTTAATCTTCCTGACTTAATCTGCATGACACGTATTTGGCAAATGGATACAAACATTTATTTTTATGAACATTTGACATATTAGAATACCATATATGATGATAGAGCTAAAGATTAATCCAAACAATATTGAGTATAGACAGACATAATTCATAAGACATGGCAATGTATTTCATTAATAAACTATCTCTTAGATGTTCATGTAAATTATGGTGCAGTAGAATGCTCCTAAATAGTTGAGTGAAACTTGGCCCAAGGGAAGCAGAGATATTAATCACACAAAGCACTATTTACACACACTAAAGAGTGTGGATTTAAGGAGCAAGTAAATCTCACTTTCAAATTACAGATTCACAAACAATTTCATTTTACATAAAATGGCTCTGATCAAAATTCAACCCTAAAATTAAATTGTCATCTAATATTTGTGCAGAATGTGCCATATTTTACGCTAAGGGTTGTAGGGCATTAAATGATGCATAAGAAAAACTTTTATTCATAGAAATTATGCTCATGATTGGGCAAGTATTTCATATGCATTCTCAGCTGCACACCATAATGAAGAATGCACTACTGTTATCCCCACTTCACTGATTATTATACCAAGCTTAGAGAGGATAAATAACATATCCAAGTTCACCCAACTAGTAGGTGGCTGACCAAGGATCCAAGGATCCAGACCCGAGAAGAAAGACTCTGAAGCATGCATTTTCAATCACTTTTCCACTATTTTGGCTTCAGAAGTAAAATTTAAACTGAAAATCTGCTAAGAATTATATGTATAATATATATGCATCTATATGTATTATATATGAGTATTATATATGTTATATGTGTATATGTGTATGTATATACATGCATATATGTATATGAAAAGCTTAATGAAGTAATTGTATGGATTCTTGAAGTATGCTTTAAGAAACTAGTTTGGTAATCTATCCTAGACAATCATTAGTAAGTGAAAAAAGCAAAACCTATTGGTATATTGTATATATTTATATCTTTGTATTTAACATTGAGTATATTTCAAAAATGAAAGTTTACATGACGTAGTCAAACTGAGAAAAATTTTCTTCCTTTTTTTTTTTTTTTTTTTGAGACGGAGTCTTGCTCTGTCGCGCAGGCTGGAGTGCAGTGGCGGGATCTCAGCTCACTGCAAGCTCCGCCTCCCGAGTTCATGCCATTCTCCTGCCTCAGCCTCCCAAGTAGATGGGACTACAGGAGCCTGCCACCACGCCCGGCTAATTTTTTTTTCTTTTGTATTTTTAGTAGAGACTGGGTTTCATCGTGTTAGCCAGGATGGTCTCGATCTTCTGACCTCGTGATCCACCCGCCTCGGCTTCCCAGAGTGCTGGGATTACAGGCATGAGCCACCGCGCCCAGCCAGTTTTCTTCATCTTTAATATTGGGTGTTATTGTTAATCTGTTTTGTTAAATAGTTACATTTTGGTTAGAGCTTCTTTTGATCAGTTGTAAGCATTTTTGTTAGTGCTGGTACTAGTTTTATGAAATCTTAAAAAAATGTATAATAATGAAACAGTCTGTAATTATAATATTTGTAATTATAAGAATTATTTTTATAAGAATTATACGAATTTTCTTTTAAGATTTATAAGAATTGTGAATCATAAGAATTGAATTGGGCCGGGCGCGGTGGCTCACGCCTGTAATCCCAGCACTTTGGGAGGACGAGGCGGGCGGATCTTGAGGTCAGGAGATGGAGACCATCCTGGCTAACACGGTGAAACTCCGTCTCTAATAAAAATACAAAAAAATTAGCCGGGCGAGGTGTCATGCGCCTGTAGTCCCAGCTACTCGGGAGGAGAATGGCGTGAACCCGGGAGGCGGAGCTTGCAGGGAGCCGATATCGCGCCACCGCACCTCCAGCTTGGGAGACAGCGGGACTCCCTCTAAAAAAAAAAAAAGGATTGAATTATAAGAATTGTGTAAAGATGGTAGCTGCATTATTTTTAGAGAAACAGTGTCTTAGTTTCTTATTGCTGCTGTAATGAATTCCCACAAATTCCGTGGATTAAAGCCATTCAAATATGTTATCTTAAGTTCTAGAAGTCAGAAATCTGAAATGAGTCTTATAGGGCTAAAATCAGTCTGTCTGTAGGGCTATGATTTTTTCTGCAGGCTCTAGGGGAAAATCAGTTTCCTTGCCTTTTCCAGCTTCTAGTGGCTGCCTGCATTCCTTAGCTCATGGCCCCTTCCTTCTTTTCCAAAACCAACATGGTAGCATTTTCAAATCTTTCTCCTGCTCTGAAACTCCCACCTAATTATTATTTTAAGATAGATATATATTTTTAAGATTTATTTTTAGTTTTAATTGACATATAATAATTGCATAAATTTATGGAGTAGAGTGTAATGTTTCCATATACATGTGTAGTGATCAAATCAGGGCATTTAGCATGTCCGTCATCTCATACATTTATCATTTCTTTATGATAAGAACATTCAAAATCCTCTCCTAGTTTTTTTTTTCAAATTTACAGTACAATATTGTTAACTGTCTTCACCCTGTTGTGCAATAGAACACCAGAATTTATTTCTCCTATCTTAACTATAATTTTATACCCATGGATCAATCTCTTCCCTTCTCCCTCTCCTTCCTACCCTCTCCAGCGTCTGGTAACTTCTCTTCTGCTGTGTACTTCTGCAGCTTTTTTAGATCCCACATATGAGTGAGATCATGTGGTATTTGTCTTTCTGTGTCTGTCCTGTTTCACTTCATGTCCTACAGATTCATCCTTATTCAAAAATGACAAGATTGTAATCTTTTCTTATGATTAAGATTCCATTTTGTATATATATCACATTTTCTTTATCCATTTTGTCCATCCATGGACACTTAGGTTGATCTTATAAGAATCTTTGTGTTTCCATTGAGCCCAATTGGATGATCCAAGATAATCTTTAAGTCTCAAGATCTTTAATGTAATCACATTTTCAAAGTTCTCTTTGCCATATAAAGCAACATATTCACAGCTTTTAGGGATTAGAGTGTGGGAATCTTTGGGGGCCATTATTCTGCCTACCACAGCCAGATTCTAGTATGTAGACTGAAGTGACTGTTTTTCTATGAAAACATATCTTTATATATCTTACAGTAGGCGTATAGATGCTCTAATAAACTAATTTCAAATTGGCTGTGGAAAAACTCACCTGGTCTACACTCTGATCCACTGAATGACCTTTTAATGTCTTATTTCCTCCTTTTCACTATATAAATTATACTGAACAAGGAGAGTGCTCAGTAATGAGCTTTTAGCTTTTACTGTATTTTTAAGAACTGATTTAATCAGTAACCCTCACAAAAATTTTTCTTTTCTATTTAAATAAAGAAAAGTGGAGAATCTATGCCATTTAAAAATCCTGGCCTTGGTTGTTCCTAAATTTATCTTTGCAGGTAAAATGAAAAAGTAAAAACATTTTGTTATTCTATCAAATGAAGATTATTACATAAGGAATGTGTCAGTCAAATTATGACTTCTTGATATTTTTTATGTACACAGCAGACCTTTTAAGAAGAGATTAAGAACTGTTAGGTACGTTAACATTTGGTGCCTCTTTGCTTTCCTACTTGAGAATGGCTGGTGATAGAAAGATGCAAGGTTTTATTTCAGGAACTAGGATGCTATTCTCTTGCATATTAAACTACTACTAGGGGATGGGTATCTAGGAATCATTGGGAAGAAATTGCCATATGCTATTTATGTAGGTAATTTCCATATAGCAAATCTGATGGTGTAGAGAAATCATTAATTTACATATGCATGTCCAAAAATGGTGAATGTTAGTGATTGCTGCATCATTTAAAAAATGATTGACAAGAAGCACCATAGATGCTAAAACAGGCTGCTCATTAAATATGTTTTCAACTTTTGATAGACATTTTATTAAAAATGGTATAATGTAATACTTTAAAATATTTTCCTTTTAAAAATTTTTTGCTTATGAATAGAATTAAAAATAAATGAAGATTTACAGAACCTGTTATGTATTTGGCTCTTCCTTTAAGAATAGAATGTGATTTCTCATTAGTATAAGGAAGGAATATAATCATTGTGATTTATCCAGAATAACAACAGTAATGCTAATAGCGAATGCTTACATAGTGGTTAGTATTTGCCAGGTGATATTTTAAGTGCCTTACATACATACATACATACAAAATACTCTGTTGTTATCCTTATTTGTTGACATATGAGGAAAATTAGGCAAAGACACATTAAGCCCAAGTCCCATTAGTCTTAAATAAACAGCTGGAGTTTGAACCCAATCTATCTCCAGCTCATTAAGAAATAAATTATATTGGATTGTTTAAAATGTTATTAGGGAGTAGTCTTGATGAAATGCGAATAAACCAATCCACTTATTAATCTTCTAGAGGCTAAATTTACAAAGTTAACCTTTTTTAGTTAACAGAAGTTGGGTTATGGAATTTACAATGTTTATGCTTTAATACAGATATTATCATCTAGAGATGGATAGATGATAAATAGATAGATAGATAGATACATAGATAGGGCTGGTAGAATTGAGGACTCTAGTACTTCTATATAATATGGATTTAGGAACACAGTTTGTTTGCTTGGTAGGATATGAAGCAGTGTTTGCCAAGCAATATGTGTGAGGCTGAGAAATGTAAATTTTTGATCCAAATGTATCTGATAGATAATCTGTGGGAACTAAAGCTCTCTCGAAGCCCTCTTTTGGAATGGTCAATGGATGTATGTTATTGTCTGTTTTTAATATGCTGCAAAGTCATGTTTTGAGCTCACTTTATTGTCTTAAAATGTATACATATTTGTTCAGCATAAAGAGTTATGTACTGCTGATTTATATATCACGCCCTTTTCTAAGTGCCTTGGGAATACTGATTCAGTTAATTCTCATAAGAGTCCAATGAGATAAGTACCAAAATAATTCCCATTTTACTGGTGAGGGAGCTGAGTAGTAAGAAATGGGTACATAGCTGAAGGCTACTGAGATAACAAGTGGCAGAGCTGTCTCCAGAGTCCATTCCTTATTCATAAATAAAGTAGTTCACATCTGTAAGAGCAAGTTCCCCTAGGGAGAGAATCTTCTCCCCTCCTTATTTTACCCCACTTTACAATTTTTCCTACGTTACACATTTGGAATGAGGTAATTAAGCACTGTAACACCCAGTTCCCATTCTTCACCACTTGGGTTCTAGCTTATTTTCATCTGCAGATTGTACTGATTCTCTTCTTTCCCCTTCACTCTCCTCTGCTCTCCTCTTCTCCATTCCTATCCTTGCATCTCTTCCCTATCAAATGAGTTCAATTGATGAATGAACTGCTAAATAAATTAATACACTTCTGAAATGGCATTTTATATGCAGTGCCTGACAACCTTAGCTAAAGCTATTACATGCAGATGAGGTATTACAGCAAAACTTTCTAATTATTTAATATCAAATTGTGTTATCACAAATGTTCAACCTAAAATATATTCTAAGAGGTTGATATCCTCATTATGATAAATAGCAGCTTTTTAGAAGATAGCCACTACTTATCAATCTTTCTTTTGATTTCTTATTGGCTCTCGTCTGGACTTTTGAACTCCTGGCCACCATTCAACTCCCTATTCAAATGCTGTTTCTTTTTGGTATCCTCTCTTTCACTGGATCTTCTCTCTCCTTTCCCTTTTTCTCTAATACTTGGATCCTCATTATAGTATTTTCATTAGTCTACTTTTTACAGTCACATTTGGACCTGGACTCATGTAAACAGAAATGGTGAGATGTCTCTAGAGACACTCATTGAATCAGGGATTACAATTGTCCACAGTGGGCAGAGTTGACAATGTAAATGAAGTAACTCATCATGCTCTGGAATCAGACTTGCATATACTTGACTAAGGAACCTGTTTTGTCCTTTAGACCAGACGTGGTCATTTAGGAATCAAGCTAATGATCTGTATCCCTGGCAAGCCTATGGACTTCTTGGCTTCACTTCAAGTATAACAAGTTGAGACATACTTAATTTGCATTGAATACATACATATGTATAGGTGTACATATGAATACTTCTGTATTTTTAATTAAATGAGTAATTTAATGAGTGTTTCATTCACTGGGAAGAAGATGAATATTGCTTCTTGCCATTGAGGAGCTACTTGAGTAGGGAAAACAAAAAAAAAAGGTAAAGAAATCATTGCGAACTTGCTTATTCGGGAAATGGTTGATACGTACTTTCTTGGTGCAAGTCATAGTAAGCTCTATAGTACTAGCTGTGAACCAGAAACAAGTGCTCCTGCCTTTATCAGCCTTACACTGGGATCTTGTGTATGAGAGAAAGCAGAAAGGGCTTGATGATAACATAAAGAAAGGAAGGCTTCTTAAAAGAAATTATGTTTAAGTCTTTGTAAAAGCATCAGAAATATTGAGGGACGTGAGGATATTTTGTGCAGAGGGATAAGCATGTTCAGTAAGCCACAACTTTTGACACTTGGATGACTAGAAGTGGGACAACTATTGGAGAGTAGATGGATCTTAGAAGGTGAGAGAACAGTCAAGTGTCAAGGAAGATGTACAAAGAAGAGGTAGGATTCTTAACATTTGGGGCTTTTATGATATGCTAAAAATTTGATTTATATGCATTCTAGAATGATACAGAAATCCCTCCACAAATTTTTAGAAAGGAATATGACATGATGATTTTACCATTAAAAGCCAACAACCACAACAATAAAGAGCAACCATAAGGAAGACTAGTGGGGTAAAATTGGAGGCAGGAAAGACAGTTCAGAAGTCATTGCAGTACATCGGGTAAGAAATAATGAGGGCATGAATTGGCATAATCATGTCAATGTTAAATGAGGGAAGACTCACTGAAGAGACATTTAGAAGAAAAAACCTTCAGAAGTTGAAAACTGGATATACACCATCAGGGAGCAGAAATGATTCTCAAATCCTTGACTCAAGATGTAAACTATCCAAGAAGGGGACCATTTGGCATTAAACTTGAGGGTGAGGAAAGAGGAGATGGAGAAATATATGACTTACGTTGTGACCATGTTGTGCATTAAATGTGCGAAGACGCTCCCAGTCAAGAGAGCATAGCTAATAGGAAGCTTGCTATAGTTCTGGAAACAAAGGCAAGATGTTACCTAGAGTTACACATTTACTTGAGAGTTCTCATTCATTCAGCAGATATATACTTACCTTCCATTCTTTACCAAGTACTGGGCTTAAAGCTAGTGATGCAGTAATGAGCAGGTTAAGGCCCCTTTTCTCAAGGAGCTAAGAATGGAAAAGTGAATAATGGGTATTTGAGAGTTTAAGCTATATAGATATTTGAGATTGTCCAGGCAGTGTTTCTACTGTGCAGAAAGGCACATGTGGAGTCTTATACAGTGTTAACATTTTGACGGATTGTTGTTGGAGGAGAGGTCCTTGAATGAGAGACTGGGAAGCAGCAGCCTCTGGTAGGAGCTGAACTGGGAAACACATGGAAACATAGAACAGTATACAATATGAAATGCCATAAAAGTCTTAAATAAAAGAAGAATAAAAATAGCATTTTTTATTTGAAATCTAAGAGGTTATCTGTGCCCCTTTTGTAAGGAGTTATGACGTACTTGTGCGCAGGATTCAACGTGTAGTGCTTTGATGCAAAAATGCAAAGCACCGTATGCTGGAGCCCATGAGTAACTGTAAAAGCAAGGAGGGCTCATTTCTTAGACAAAATAATTTTTTACAAAATTACTGTCTCTGTTATATTCAAAGGGGAAGAAAGTGGAGGAAAGCCAAAGGATTTATCTATGTCTGGGACAGAGTTTTTCAGAGAGTGAAGTTCATGGCGGATGAGGCATGGTAAGGCGGTAGTGAATATGTTTCTTCATCAAAGTTTTAATCAAATGACATTTTCAAAAGATATAAATCGCTGTTCACATGGAGCTTACATTCTAAGAGGGTAAAATAGACAACAAATTTATATCTATATCTATACACACACCTTTATACTCACGCATATCAGGTGGTGATAAGTGCTATAAAGAAATATAAAATAAGATGAGAAGATAAAGAAAAATGGCAGGAGGTTCCTAATTAAAGTAAAGTAGCCAGGGAAGACTTTCTGTCGTGACATTTCATCAAAGACCTAAATTATGTGATGAAGTTAGGGTAGAGTATTGCAGGGTGAGGAAATGCTGACTGCCAAGACCCTAATGTATGTGAATGTCTGGTATCTTCAAGGAATGCCAAGAAATTACACAGAACTAGAGAAAGTAATAGAAGGTGAGACCAGAGAGGTAACCAGGGCCCAGTTGTGTGAGGCTTGACCATTTTAATAATGAATTGTAGGGTCTGAATGGTGATGTGAAATAATCTATCACAGGTTTTAAAGGGATCGCTTTGGTGCATGGGTAAAGACTTGACTATAAAGGGTTAAACCTGTATGAGAGAGGCCTGTTAGAAGGCACTTGCCATAGTTAAGGGGAAGGATGATGTGGTTTGGACTAGGGTAGGAGATGATGCAAAGATTCATGATGCATTTTGAAAGTAGAGGCTTAACAGTTTTGAGTACTGGGTGAGGGGTATGGGAGAAAAAGAGGCGACCAGAACTATTCAGGAATTTTAGTCGGAGTAATGGTGCAGGATTAGGCTGAATAAATATGAAGGTGAAATTGTTTGGGAGATCTGTAATTCCTACTTCTTACCTAACACTGGCAATTGCATGTTCCAAAGAGCCTGCACATGGTATACATTTAATGAATGTTGGCATTAATTCCATCCAAAAGTAAGGATGGAGAGGCAGTTTTTGTTTGAGGTGCACAAATTACTCTAGGTACTGTTGTTGCTAAGTTTTCTCACAGCAAAACTGGGTTTCTAATTTATTATCTTCCCCTGAATTCTCTCTGCCTGTTACTCCTACTGCTCAAATTAAATTTATTTTGATTGATTTCAACTGCAAAATGGGTTTTATATTTATATGTAAACATTCGTATATCTGCACACACACCCATAATGCACACGTGTATTCTGTGGACACGTACAGACTTAGCATGGACCCCTTTTCTACTGAGTATTTCTGACTGTGGATGTCAGGGGCCTCATCTAAATTATTTGCTTTAGGCATCATTAAACCAGCTTCTGTGATTCTGTTGTAGCTTTGAAGACTATAATCACATGTTCAAAGCCTGGCAGGATTTGATTGAGAATGATGGTGGCAAAGGAGACAGTAAGCAAATGAATCAGAGTTGTGTCATATCATCTCTTTGGGTAACAGCGTAGACATTTAATCTTAGTGTGTTTTAGTTTGCCTCACCAAAGCCAGTGTAGGAACAGAGCTGTGCAATTAGCATGAAAGTTCATCCAAGAAGAACAATGAAATGAGACCAGCTAAAGTTTAGTATTACGTATATCATATCTGAAATCTGACACTTGACACTATCTAAAAACTAACTTGCACTTACAATTTGGATAACATTTTCTATGGTGAATTCGCATGAGTTTTTATTTCTTATAATATGTTACATGAGGGCATTTTTATGCAGAGCTACATGTATTTACAATATGCAGAATTTAGATTTTTAAGAGGTAGGAGTGGTACAAACTTTTGGGGAGATATTTAAACCTCCAAAAATTATTTCCTTGAAGTTTCACCAGGATATTCTTGGAAAATTGTTTAAAACTAAATTTTTGTACTGGTTATTTTAAGTGACAATTTGGCTGTATTATCTCAGGAGGAACTTAGCTATTAGGAGAGTGGTTTTCCTCTCAAATTCATTTTCTTATATTTATGCGGAATTTAGTTATTTTAAATAATTTGCTGCCAAAGTTAAATAGTTTATTCATAAAATTAAATAACTGTGGGTATCTTAACAACCAACAAAACCAGCATCTCATAATGGTTAGAGTTAGAAGCGCTTGAATTATTCTACTTGGATTTGTATCCTGTTTGTACCCCTAGCCAACTGGGTGATCTTGGTCAACTCATTCCACTTCATATACATACCCATATCCATAAGTATGTTTTATGAGACTTGTGTCCTTATTTATAAAATGCAGATAAAATAGCGGGTCTCATAAAGTTGTTTTATATGTTGAAATGTGAAAAGGGGTGTACATATTTATTATGATGTTTAAAACATTGTAAATACTTATGCACTTTTTAAACTGCTTTAAGTATATGCATACATTTATTCATTTTTTTAATTTTTTTTTTTTGAGACAGAGTCTCGCTCTGTCACCCAGGCTGGAGTGCAGTGGCATGATCTCAGCTCACTGTAACGTTCATTTCCCGGATTCAAGTGATTCTCCTGCCTCAGCCTCCCGAGTAGCTGGGATTACAGGCACGCTCCACCATGCCCAGCTAATTTTTGTATTTTTTTTTTTTTTTTTTTTTTTTTTTTTTGAGACGGAGTCTCGCTCTGTCGCCCAGGCTGGAGTGCAGTGGCACGATCTCGGCTCACTGCAACCTTCGTCTCCTGGGTTCACGCCATTCTCCTGCCTCAGCCTCCTGAGTAGCTGGGACTACAGGCGCCTGCCACTACGCCCGGCTAATTTTTTGTATTTTTAGTAGAGATGGGGTTTCACCATGTTGGCCAGGCTGGTCTCAAACTCCTGACCTCAGGTGATCTGCCCACCTTGGCCTTCCAAAGTGCTGGGATTACAAGCGTGAGCTACTGCACCCGGCCCACTCAAGCATTTATTAATGCTGGCTTCTGGATGCTAGATATCTTCAGTTGATGTAGCTTTCTGTAGCTACAACAATTTTAGTGGATTTTGCTCTGATGATTAATTCAAACCTGGAAACCAACAAAAACTGCCTTCTTCATTTGCATGAATGAAGGCACAATTAGACAGCTTTGAGGTTTCACACAGTTTATTTCCAGTTATACTGAGAAGTTGTTGCTTTTAATAGTAAAATTAATATTCTTTTACCTTTTTTGCTTAAATTCAAGTTATACCTTATGAAGATATATGTGTTTTAGGAGTTTTTGAGTCTGGGGGGATCAAAGTGTTTGAAAGTATTATATAACCATAAAAAGATCAGATGTAGTGATATGATATCCATGTTGTAAGAAATTATTTGTCCTTTACTGGCAAGCCTTATTCCCTAAGTAGCTTTTTGAAAAAAATTTCCGATTTATCCTGCTGCTTCTTAGTTGCTCGAGCATTTTAAAATAGACAACTTTTTGAATGAAGATTTGCAAATGGCCTGTGTTTTTTGTCAATAAGTTTATTGTCTCACCATCGTTCTCTCAGATTATGTCTTACATAAGATGTGTCTATTTTTATGTTTTCTAATTTAATACTTTTCCACCTTATTCTTCGATATTCACACACTGCTTGTATTAAACCTACACTCACTGGAAGATAACAAGGCATGAATAATTTTCCTGACAGCAAATCAGCATTATTGTTCCTGAAAGTTTGAGTTGCAAGATTATAAAACATTCACACTTCTGATTTTAAGGACCATTGAATTTGGGGGGTTAATTGTTTTCTCTGAAGACAGATTTAAATCAGATAATGGCCACAGTCCTTTGTACCCAGAAATTGATATTTTTCTAGCCTTGTAGAAAGGTATTAGCACTTTGGCATCAAAGTACATTTAATATGTAAGGGATGATGACAACTCATGGCATTCAGCCTGTTGAAGTTAGTTTTTATAAATTAAATTCATGTCTACTGGAGCAACTTTTTTTCGCACAATTATCCCTACTTTTAAAAAGTATTATTATTTGTAAACCATCTGCTCTGTGTTAGATACTACGTCAGGTCATATAAAAATTAGGAGAGAATAAATTGATGATATCATATTCAATTCTGTTGTATGTCTCATTTAATCATGTCTAAATCATAATGTAGGCATTTATCTGATTTTATTAGTGATGAACCTGATACTCAGATAAATAAGTGACCTGCTTAAGGTCAAAACTTTGAGATACAGAATCCTTGGACTTTCTCTTAGAAAAACAACATAAAATTTATTTCTTGCCATGCTTTGTAGAGTACTTTAATATAAAAACTAGCTGTGATTAAAAATGAGTGACGATGATACAACTCATAAATATTGTTTACCACCTGCCATTTACTGATCTAAATGTTTTCTGTCTATAAAAACATTTAATGTTCAGCACAACTCTATTGGGTAGGTATTATTATTATTACCCATGATAATAATCAGATGAACAATTTGAAGCACAGAGATGTTAAGTCACTTGCCTGAGGTCACACAGTTTATTAAAGAAGTGTTAAACTATGATTTTTTAGCCTGCCATTGAAATAGTTTTATTTCATACTAATGTGCTCTTTTGAAAGTGATTCAGTTAGTGAACCTGAACATGGTAATGATTGAGATGGAAGACTCTAAGAGCAATAAGCCTTTTGCCTAGCATCCTATAGATTTTTCATTTGTCACAAAGTAAATAAAACAAAAGTATTCTTTGCCTATATGAACTGGGGCTCAAGAACTCATGAAGTCAGATTAACTGCTACTAAGATCAATCAGTCTAACTAAAGTTTATGGTTTAGGCATATGAAATAGAAAGTTGATCATTTTATTTAAAAAAATGTAGCACAAAATATAGCTTAGAAAAGCTAAAAAAGAAAAAACAGTTTTGTTTACTGGAGGCCAGATTTACAAGCGATTTTTCTTTTAGAACAGACAACATTAATAAAATTCTAAGACTGTGTTTTTACATTTGAGGAATTTTTTTAAATGGACACATATAAAAATATGCATATTACACAGAATTTATTAAGTGAGCTTACACAGTTATACAACTAATAAATTATTTGTTTTCTTGTCTACTTCTTGATATGATTATATAATTTTTTACATAATTGAAATCAGTTTATATCAAATATTTTGTATGATATTTTATGATAACATGAAAAGTGCTTATGATATAACTAATTTTAAGGGCTGCATTTGATGTGTCATAATATACAAAATTCATTTTGAATCTAGATAGATTTTAGTTTTTCCCCTCTATTTTGAGAAATACCACACTAAGCAAAAAATTACAACAAATGGTGCATTTGGCTTTTTTCTTTTTATATTTAAGGTGAATTCCTTGAGAGAGGATTACTGAGTCAAACTATACAAACATTTTTCCAAATTACCTCCCAAAAGATATGTACTTTATTTTCTTTCTTAAAGGATCCACTTACTGGCTACATACACTTTGGTCTGTACTTCATCCTAGGAAAGGACAGTCTATTTTTCAAACCTTTCACCTTTATAGTATTTTAATGTAGGGAGTTTGTCATCTAAACATTTCGGACCCAGTTAATAGAGTTTGCACCAATCCTTATGTTACAAAACTCAGGATCCTTTAGCTAACCTACAGGAAGTATTTTTGAAGGTGCTTAGACCCAGGGAAGAATTAGACCCAGGGTAAATGGTCTATCATATATTTAAAGTGGACTGCAAACTAAAATTTGTCTTGTCTTTATAGCAGCATCAGTAGAATTCTGCAACTTTCGCACAGCATTTGTAAAATAAGCAAAATGTGCAGTGTAGTTCACTGGAAATTACTGATGTGATACCAGTATTTTGGGATGTATTGGAATTCTTCAAACTGAAATTTGGCGTTTTTTCTTATATGCCCACTTAGTTTTGTCATGTTTACCTATGAATTTATTTATACTACATGTTTACTAAAGTGTTTACAACATAAACTAACATCTCACATTTTAAAAAAGTAAACAGTGTTAGAGATTATCCCTGAATGGTTCAATTTACACACTTACACATGCACAAATACTATGATTATTCCTTCCAGGAGCAGCTTTTAAAAGTGCACAGCCTGTGTAGTTGGAGAGTTCTTTGGAATTCCAAAGCCCCCTGCTCTTTATTGAACTAAGGTTTAACTGGTGTTCTTATGGGCTCATCTCTGTGTCAGGTGTCCAGAATTCAGCAGCAAATAAAATGGGCATAGTCCTGACCCTTAAGAGCTTCAATATAGTGGAAGATTTGAACAATAAAAAAAGACATCGTCGTTCCATGTAATGGGAACAATGACAGGAGCAGTAGGGGGCATGATGAGCGCAGTTAGGATACTGACCAAAAACATTTCTAGGGTCAATGAAAGCATCCCAGGTGCATGAAAATAATATTTATTGACAACATTTGCCAGGCAGCATGCCAACCACTTTACAAGCATTATCTCATTTAACATTTATATAGTTATATGAGATAACATATTTCCATTATCCTCATTTTAAAGAGGAGGTAGTTGCAAATTAGAGAAGTTAAACAACTCCTTCAGGTTCACACTGTAAGAAATGATAGAGTCCCAGTTCAAACACAGGCCGAGTTAAAAGTATGAGCATTTATTGTTGAAAAAAAACTTGAAAGATAAGTGAAGTGTTAATCAGAAGGAGAGAGAGGTTGGGGAAGGAAGGAAAGGAAGAGCCCCCCCCTCAAAAAAAAAGAAAGAAAAGAAACTATGCCAAGTCTTAGAAGACAGAAAGAGCATGACAAACTCAAGGAAAATTAAGAAGGTCATTATTTATGTTTCTTTTAATGTGAAAGACAAAATCACATGCTATAAGACCATAAAGGAAAATAATGATCAGTTCATGAAGGATCTTTTAAGATAACAAGTTTGAACTTTATTCTGAGGGAACTGTAGGACCACTGAAGTTTTATTAAGAAACATGACCTTTTACAGTTTGCTTTTTACAATGTTTCTCATGACTACCATTTGTGTATTGGAGTAGAGGGAATGAACAAAACTGGGAACAGTTAGGAATAGTAATTTAGGTACTAGATAATAGCAGCCAGGCTGGGAAAGTAAGGATGATATCAAGAAGACATATTTAAGGATTAAAAAGACTTAATGATTGGTTTGGACTCAATGATTGGATGTTTGTGTAGGAAGAGAGAGGTTTCAGGAATGCAGGTATGTTTCTGGGATGGGAGTGAATTCATGGCACCATTCATTTCTATAGGGAAAATGGATGATAAAATTTTGTGCAGGAGGATGATGAGTTTGCCCTTGGACATATTAAGTGACTGCAGACATGTCTAATTTATAGTAGGACATATGAATGCACAGTTCAAGAAAGATTAAACAGGGCATCAGGATTTGTGATTTACATCCCATAACAGTATTCATATGGTTTCATGTCCATGCATAGGTGTCCAATCTTTTGGCACACCTGGGACACATTGGAAGAAGAACCTTCATCTTGGGTCATACATAAAATACACTAACACTAACAATAGCGGATGAGCTAAAAAAAAAAAAAACTTAAAAAAATCTCGTAATGTTTTAAGGAAGTTTACAAATTTGTGATGGGCGGCATTCAAAGCTGTCCTGGGCCACGTGCGGCCTGCAGGGTGTGGGTTGGACAAGCTTGCATTAGATATTATGAGAAACCCTTGTCTTGCATCAATGTGTGCAAGACAAGAAGCTTGCAAAGTGACTAAGAAGGACCTTACAAATCATAGGAGAAAAAGCCTGGAAAGTGCAGTGTTGCAGCAATGAAAATAAACAATTGGGAAAGGAAAATATTAAGAGTCAACTACTGATAGGAGAGATATTGGGTGAAAAGTAATTTTGGTGTGAATAGATTATATTGAGAGTTGAGGTAGAAACCAGGCTAACAGGGTAATGTATGAGTGGCAGGAAATATTGTCATCCGTTACGGATAATTTGGGGAAGAAATTTGGCTTTGTTGGGATAGGATGGGCTGAAAGGTTATGTGATGACAAAGAGGGCTTTTCGTTTTTGTTTTAAAAAATAAGAGAAATTTAATCATTTTAAAATAGCAATGGAAATGTATTTAGGGAGGTTCCTGGAAAGGAGTTTGGGCTGGGGGAAGAGAAGATTCAAAAATTACTCTCCAGTGTAGGCCAGAGGAAGGGGATGTGGATAGAAAGTGTCCATTACATAGCATCTACTGTCCTTGAGAAATGAGAAATGAGGTCATCATCTGGTTACACTGATGGGAGTAGAAGAGAACAAGATTATTTAAATGCTCCAGAACAGTGGTTTTCAGCTCTGGCTATGAAAACCAAATATCAGACAATTTATGTTAGAATCTCTAAGAGGTAGCATCTAGGAATTACTACTGCAAAAGCCTTCCAGGTGATCACATTGTGTATCCATGGTTGAGAACTATTAAGAGGATTTTTTACCTATCTTTTCAGAGGAAAAAAGGAGCTGTCTTGCTCTGTGACCAAGGATGGATTTCTTAGCATTTCTGTTTTGCTTGCAAAATGGGGATAACAGGGCTTAACCTCACTAGGTTGCTGTGAGGAATAGCTGAGCAAAGAGATGTAAAGCAACTACCATACTCTCTGGAATATAGGAAGTACACAATGAATATTGACTGTGTTGTTTTTTGTATCCAGATAGAAAAGAATCTTAGAAATGTGTTTCATTTCTAATATCTGGCTGTTCTATGTACTCAGGACATTGGGATAGTTGTATTGACTTCATTGGAATGCAACAGGTAGAGAATAGATACTCTAGATGTCCTTACTTCCTTTTGTACTATTATAATAATTCATTCTCAGAGTTACAGGATGCATAGCTGCATATGGCTTATTTTGATGATCGCCATTGTTTTTAATATTTAGACAACTGAAAGTATAGGATTCTTTCCAGAAAGAAAGTCTCTGTATTGTATGGATAATTCTGTAAGCACAAAAAGTAAGATTTTTACTGAAGAAACAGACATGAAACCAAAGTGTTTGGATCATCAACTTGTGTTATCTGTCACTGAAATGCATTACATAATCTTTGACATACAAAATTTGAATCTGTGTATGATGCAAACACACACACTTATACACATACATAGACACATACTACATACATATATACTCAAATTACAAGCTAAAAATTTAGTTTCCATAGTATAAAAATAACCTATTGAAACTTTTATTGCTCCATGTAACCGATACTTATAAAAATATGTAACTTTTTGAGGTATATATTGCAGAAGTGATTGCTAACTAGGCTTTTGTCTATGTGTTCATTTTATAAGTACAACAATTAAGTGCCTGTGTGACTTTTTTTAAACTTATGCTGTGTGTGTGTTTGTGTGTATTTTTTCCTTCACAAAAATGGTATACATCCTTTTTTTTTTTAGTATCAGAAGTACTGCCTTATATCTAAATCATATTCTGTGAGCCCTCCCCACAAGTTATGTTTTTATACCTTGCTTTTATACCTTGCTATTCAGAGTGTGGTCCATAGACCAGCAGTATCAGTATCACCTGGGTGCTTATTGGACATGCAGAATCTCAGGGCTCACCACAGACCCCCGGAATTAGAATCTGCATTTTAATGAGATCCTTTGGGTGATTTGTGTTCACAGTAATGTTTGAGAAGCCCAAGTGCCTCAAGGGAAGCCTTTTCTTCTCTAGTAGACATTTTCTAATGAGCTGCAGAGGAAGGAGAATGTTTATTCCTTTAGGAAGAAAGGATGCACCTAATTTTAATTGCTTAACTATAAAATATGCATAACTAATGTATAAGGGAGAAAGTAATAAGGGTTACATTTTAGCTAGTCGGCTGCAAAATAATAATTCCTTTATTTTAATAACAAACAGTTGTATCTCCTTTTGTATAAGGCATCTCTTCTTACCCTGAACTAGTTACAACTTCATTCTCCAGTACTTACTCTCTGAACCAATGCCTTTATATGGAAGATCTCCCGTTTTCAGAGAGGTAAACAGAAACCGCTGTGGTATGGCACAAATAGGGCATGCCTGCCCTCCACTATTTCCTTTTTTTGGCATACAACTGTTTTCAATAATGTATTACTTAGCCTGTGTTTATCAGGCAAATGCAGACCATAATAGTTAATAAATTTTTAAAAACCAGAACAATAATACCAATATATCTGTAAACCTCCACTCAGCTCAAATGAATCAGAATTGCTATTAATATAATGCTGTTGTAAGAATCATATGCTGTCCTTCTAGTAACTTATTTAATAATAGCATGTACATCCCCACAACACAGATATGACACAGATTATTTATAAGCCGTTTTTATTCACATACAACCCTAATGTTTTTTTTCTTGTCACCAATGGGAAGAGATACCCTGGATGTGAGGCGGGCCCTGAGATGGAGGTTAGCATGCAGGATGTTTGTTAGGTGTGGTTATTAGAATCAAGAGAAGTGAAAGAACAGAAAAGCAGGAGTGGGTACAGGGAGGAGTTGAGTGAGGCTACAGTGCCTGTGACAGCCTCTGTGTACTCCATGGAGAGTTCTGGAGGTGGGATGGCTCTTCAGCCTTGTCTCAAGTTGGGATATGGGGCTGACCTTTATATATGTGGAGTATGAGTGTCCCTGCAAGGAGGAAAGTCCTCAAACGCAGCAGTTTCCTTCGAGACTTTCTAAAGCTACGCTTAAGCGTAGCACAAAGTGAGCTGTAACTCTCACACCAGCTGGGGGGAAAAAAATCTTCATTCTTGAAGGGGAGTCTGGCTGGTGCATCATAGTATCCGTCATATTTCCCCTTGAGATGTAAGTCTAAAGAAATACAAGGTCCTTCAGTATATCTTGATACTCAAAAAGAGGTTAGTACTGTTCACCATAGTTTTAGTCTTAGGAGTTTTGGTTGGTCTTTGAAAATTGCCCATTTGTTAATCTAATACTTAGTGAGAACCCTCTATAGGCAGTTCTGTATTATACAATTTCTTAGTGTTACAAAGTTACATAGAAATCACAATTCGTCAAGAATAATGAAGCTTAATGAAACAGACTTTAAATTCATTAAACAAATATTTCTAAGCACCAAATGGTGCCAGTCACTGTGCCAGGCCTTGAGTTTAGGGTGGTGAACAAAACCAACGTGTTCTCAGACCTCATGGAACTTATGGAGGATGTAGAGGCAGATATGAAACAAATAGTCATGCAAATAGGCCCATAATTACACATTTTGATAGGAGCTATGAAAGAAAAGCAAAATATGCCATGCAAGAGCAATTTGCATAAAAATGGATGAGGAGAATTACTGAGAAAGTGTCAGGTAAGATGAGACCTGGAGATAAGTGATGGCAAGAGTGGGGAAGAAGAGAACTTGAGACAGTGGGAAGAGAATATGCTAAAGCTGGTAAAGAGTTCAGGTTCGCTCCTTTTCTACCTACCTACCCCACCAAAACCCCAAAACTATGGCAGGTGGTACTGTGTCCGGAATTGGTGGGTTGTTGGTCTCACTGACTTCAAGAATGAAGCCGCGGACCCTCACGGTGAGTGTTACAGTTCTTAAAGGTGGCGTGTCCGGAGTTCGTTCCTTCTGATGTTCGGATGTGTGCGGAGTTTCTTCCTTCTGGTGGGTTCGTGGTCTTGCTGGCTCAGGCGTGAAACTGCAGACCTTCACAGTGAGTGTTAGAGCTCATAAAGGCAGTGTGGACCCAAAGAGTGAGCAGCAGCAAGATTTATTGCAAAGAACAAAAGAACAAAGCTTCCACAATGTGGAAGGGGACCCCAGCGGGTTGCCACTGCTGGCTGGGGCAGACTGCTTTTATTCTCTTATCCGGCCCTACCCACATCCTGCTGATTGGTCCATTTTACAGAGAGCCGATTGGTCTGTTTTACAAAGAGCTGATTGGTCCGTTTTGACAGGGTGCTGATTGGTGCCTTTGCAATCCCTGAGCTAGGCACAAAAGTTCTCCAGGCCCCCACTAGATTAGCTAGAAACAGAGTGTTGACTGGTGTATTTACAAACCCTGAGCTAGACACAGAGTGCGATTGGTGCATTCACAAACCTTGAGCTAGATGCAGAGTGCCGATTGGTGCATTCACAATCCCTTAGCTGGACATAAAGGTTCTCCAAGTCCCCACCAGATTAACTAGACACAGAGTGCCAGTTGGTGCATTCACAAACCTTGAGCTAGATGCAGAGTGCCGATTGGTGCATTCACAATCCCTTAGCTAGACATAAAGGTTCTCCAAGTCCCCACCAGATTAACTAGACACAGAGTGCCAATTGGTGCATTCACAAACCCTGAGCTAGGCACGGGGTGCTGATTGGTGTGTTTACAAACCTTGAGCTAGATACAGAGTGCTGATTGGTGTATTTACAATCCCTTAGCTAGACATAAAGGTTCTCCAAGTCCCCACCAGATGAACTAGATACAGAGTGCCGATTGGTGCATTCACAAACCCTGAGCTAGACACACGGTGCCGACTGGTGTGTTTACAATCCCTTAGCTAGACACAAAGATTCTCCAAGTCCCCACCAAACTCAGGAGCCCAGCTGAATTCACCCAGTGGATCCCGCACCGGGGTGCAGGTGGAGCTGCCTGCCAGTCCAGCGCCGTGCGCCTGCACTCCGCAGCCCTTGGGCGGTTCTGGGCGCTGTGGAGCAGGGGGCGGCGCTCGTCAGGAGGCTCTGGCGGCGCAGGAGCCCACAGAGGGTGGGGGATGCTCAGGCATGGCGGGCTGCAGGTCCCGAGCCCTGCCTCGCTGGGAGGCAGCTAAGGGCCGGGGAGAAATCCAACACAGCAGCTGCTGGCCCAGGTGCTAAGCCCCTCACCGCCCGGGCCGACGGGGCTGGCCGGCCGCTCCCAGTGCGGGGCCCGCCAAGGCCACGCCCACCCGGAACTCGCGCTGGCCCGCAAGCGCCGGGCGCAGCCCCCGATTCCCGCCTGCGCCTCTTCGTCGGCACCTCCCTGCAAGCTGAGGGAGCCGGCTCCAGCCTTGGCCAGCCCAGAAAGGGGCTCCCACAGTGCAGCGGCGGGCTGAAGGGCTCCTCAAGCGCGGCCAGAGTGAGTGCCAAAGCCGAGGAGGCGCCGAGAGCGAAGGAGGGCTGTGAGGGCTGCCAGCTGGCTGTCACCTCACAGTGTAGCGGACAGGAAGAAGAATGTTGCCAGGCAGGTAAGGCTGAAGACTTAAGCCGGACTATCTCAGGTAGAGCCTAAGGCGGCTGTTGTCCAGAATTCAGGAGACAAGTATTGACTGTTTTTAATGATATGATTAGTTTACCAAAACAAAAAAACCAAAAAATCAAAACAAAAACCTATCTGCCATGTAGAAAATGGATTCAGCCTAGATTGTTGATAGATAGAATGCAAATATTCAGAGGATGCAGTAAGACCACCCAAGAGGGCATCTAATCAAACAGAGGGTCAATGCCATGCTTGAGCAGAGACTTAAGTATGAGTGAGTCTCACTGTACCATTGATGGGAAGCAAAGGATTCTAGGTCTAGGAAAACAGTAACTTGGAATTAACAGAGACTGGAAACTCTGTCTGGTGTCCTGAGGTTCCACTTAGAATAATTAGCTGTATAAAGATAGCAAAAGAACATGGGGCAAAAGAGAGGGCAAAGGCTAAGTCATTGGGCTCCTGAGATTAAGGTTAAGAATTTTTCCTTTTTTCTGAAAACTAAAGCACTAATGAAGGCTTTAAAGCAGAAAAATGACCATCAGCCTAATGAGCATATTAGAAAGATAACTTTGTTAGTCCTGAGAAATAAAGTTTGAAGAGTGATTGGTAAGACTTGACGTAGGGAAATGGTTAGACAGACATTTCAGTAATCCAGATAATAAATAAAGGCGGCTTATTTTGAGACACTGAAAATAAAGATTGAGGAACAGAATCTAAAAATGTTTCATGTGAATCTTTATATGTCTATTTTTATTTGCCAGTTTTATTTGATAATCCAAAGTCATGGGGCAATTTTGATAGTTGGAAACCACAGTTACCCTATTTTAGACTGAAAATACAAATATGAATTTTGTGTAACATTGCTGTTAGGGTGATATTGTGAGCATCAGCATTGGTATGTGAGTAGCAGGTACAATTTAATATAAGTTTTAATAGGAGACTAAGTAAAACATTGTTATATAAATATTTTAGTAAAGAATCTTGTATTCTGAAGTTAAATGACATACTTTTTTTTTTGTTTTTGCATAAACATTGTTTAGGATCATCTGTGTCCTTTATCATTTCTCTCACTGCAGATCTAAGAAGTTTGACCAACTTTTAATAGAGGCCCTTACAGTATGCTAAAGAAAAGCATTCCAAGATAAATAAAAACTTGTCACAGAAACAACTATACTGTAACCTGTTGTGTAAAAGGAACCATAGATTTGTCACTTACTACCTATACAATCTAGGGCAAACTGTTTAATTTTTAGGGCCTGTAAGTTGGTCAGGGCATATATATTGCAGCATTCTACAACATAAAACTTTAAAAATGAGAGTTTCAGTGATTTTTTTAAAATTTAGATGTCAAGTGAATAGTAGAACCAAGTCTAAATGAAGGTTCCATTTAATTATGATACTAATAGAAATATCTATATGGGCAAAGATTAAAATCATATATTCAAAATTCACTTATCCTGCATTTGCAGAGTTTAATGGGGTGCCTGACATACAGTCTCTTTATTTCTATGTACTACAGTTTTTATCTGAGAAGCATTTCTTGTTATGAAGAAGATAAGCAGAAATGTTATGTTTCCCTAGGTTGAGATCAAAGGAACTAAATTGGTTTTGACTTCTACCATTTCAGTGACCTCAATTTTAATTTAAAATTAGAAGCATATAGGGAAATTATTTGCCATCTATCTTACAGCCTGGAGCTTAAAAAAAACTGATTAGATATAAGAATATTCATTTATATTCAGGTTCTGGAACCAACCCTTTGGCTCTATTTATATCCTTACAGTTTGATAAAATGTATAGTTGTTTTCTCATGGGTAAATAGAAAAGAGTTATCATTTATTTATTTGTTTGTTTGTTTGTTTACTTATTTGAGATGGAGTCTCGTTCTCTTGCCCAGGCTGGAGTGCGGTGCTGTGATCTCAGCTCGCTGCAACCTCCACCTCCTAGGTTCAAACGATTGTCCTGCCTCAGCCTCCTGAATAGCTGGGATTACAGATGGCCGCCACCATGCCTGGCTAATTTTTGTGTTTTGAGTAGAGACGGGATTTCACTGTGTTGGCCATGCTGGTCTTGAACTCCTGACCTCAGGTGATCCGCCCGCCTCGGCCTTTCAAAGTGCTGGGATTACAGGCGTGAGCTACCGCACCCGGCCTAGAAAAAGATTTATCAGACAAAAGGAACGAGGACCTTCAACCTTACTACGTTGTGAGCACATATTTTACAAATTACAATGATTAAATTAAAACAATACTTATATGGGTAGACATTAAAGGAAAATCAGTGCCTCAAAAAAGGGGATGGTAAGGCTAACATAGATTAATAACCTCCTGAGCATACAATGTAGCTGAACATTTTTCTCACTGAGATTACCAGAAGAAGTCGGCCATTGTTCTTTGGTTTGGGAATTAAACAAAAGAATTTGTTTGAAGTGATGGATAATTTCAGTATATACTTGGGTTTTGCCATATAGATAACCAGCTAATGCTTCTGACTTTTCTGCATAGATTGTTTAAGTGGCACACATCAAAGGGGTAATAGTTTGGGTTTTAATTATAATCCATTACAAACTCACATTGGGATTTTAGGCAAGTGTTAAAATTTGCTCAAGCCTCAATATTTTTTTTTTCAGTTATAAAATGAGGATATTAATACTGGTTTTCTGTAACTCACACAATTGTAATGACAATTAAATGAGGTGTTTATGATGAATGGGAAAGCATTTGAAATAAAGGGAAGTGCTATGCAAATAAAGTAGTAATACCCCCTTAGATCACTTAAGACATGCCTGCCTCTGCTGGTTCACAGAGAGAAGTATTTAATATATCCTGATGATATAGGCTGACAGTACTGCATTAGATATTGTATGTGACCTAATTTTTTAAAAAAATCTATGCATTAGTTTCATTGAGACCACCAGTCCCTTGAAACTTCAGCTTTTATAGTTTCTTGTCAGTAGAAACATCCTGTCTTAGTTCAGTTTTTGTTGCTGCAATGGAATATCACAGACTGGTTAATCTATGTAGAAAAGAAATTTATGTCTCACAGTTTTGGAGGATGAGAAGTCCAATATCAAGGTGCTGGCATCTAGTGAGGGCCTTCTTGTTGCATCATCCCATGGTGGAAGGGTGGACAGGCAAAAAAGCATGTGTGAGAGAGAGTGGAAGGGGACTGAACTCATCGTTTTATCAGGAACCCACTCCTTCAATAACAAACCCATGCCTGAGATATTGGCATTAATCCATTCATGAAGGCAGAGCCCTCTTGATCTAATTGCCTCTGAATAGTCCCACTTCTCAACACTATTGCGTTGGGGATTTTTTTCCAATACGTGAACTTTAGGGATGCATTCAAACCCTACCACACCCTCACCACCATCCTTTAATTTTCCTGACTTAGATAGAATAGTCCACAATGACAGCTACACCCTGGTCAACATCCACAATTCATTTCCTGGTTGGCTTCAGTGCAACCATCTGGCATCAGAAGCTACTCTGGAACAAGCCACCTATCTACTTCCCCATGACTATGACCAATCCTAGTGTTGCCATAGAAAATCGCCCAACTCTGAAGATTCATGCCATTCTGATGACATTTTACAACAGGCTAGCAACAACACCTAGAAGATTTCCGCATCCATGGGTCAGTTTCCCTACTTATTTTCTGTAGTGGCTGCATCAGACCTCATGCAACTTCCTAAAGATCAGCTTTCGTCCCCCACCACCTTTAATTGACAACAGATGGTGTTATTTGTTTTCACTGGGAAATCATCATCAGCTGTCTGCTCTACCTGAAACATTCTTTCCATATCAACTTTGTCTACTTCATCTACACACCTCCCATTTATTCTTGAGGTTACAACCTGAGGAAAATGTCCTTGATCCAAGTCAATGTGTTTTCTCACACTGGAGGACACATATCCTTATAATTGCTGCTTCCTTTTCATGATTTCTCTAACTCAATGAAGGCAGAATTGCCCCCTTCACAGTTGTCTCCTTAATGCCTATCACTGTGTCTGACTCATAGTTAAGTGTTCAATAAATATTTATTGAGTAAAAAATAGTGATGTCATTCATTCTCCCATCCCCCTCCAAATCTTCTTCTTCTCTCTTTTGTGGCTCTCTTCAGGTTACCTTTTCGTTACCTTTAACTTTGACTTAATGCAATATGTATTTATTAAGTAACTGTCACTCTTCTAGGCATATCAGGAATTTATAAAACACATAGTTTTGTTCTTTGAAGGATGTTAGAAAATGAAACAGATATATGTGGAATATGTTATAATAGCTCATATGAATTTAATACTTACTATGTTACAAGCACAGTGCTTATCACCATGCCCATTATCTCATTTAATCATCACTATGTTTAACCAACATTACATGTTAATTCCTATGTAATAATGTATTAGTTTTCTCTACATCATGCTCTGGTGACATAATCCCAGAATTTCAGTTGTTTAGAACAATAAAAACTTATTTTTCGCTTACAACGTATGTTGGCTGTGGTTCAGCTGGGATTCTGCTCTGTGTCTTCTTCACTTTGGGAACTAAACAGAATGAGCAGCCCCTACTCAAGATATGTCTTAGTCCTTCTTAGGGGTTACCAACATTCAGACCACAGTAGGACTTGACATTCTTGTGTCAGAAGGAAAAGAAAGAAGTGGCAGAAACAGTTAACATCATCCCTGCTCACATTTTGCTGGCCAGAGGAAATCACATGGCCACTCCTAATGCCCATGTTTTGATGTGTTATACTTATGAAGAGATGCTGTTTGCTCTGGGGGCATGATCAAGAGAATTACATGAAAAGAGGCAAGAATGTATTATTAAGGAGTGGGAAGCCAATCACAGTGGTGAGCTCTTGTAGTCCTAGCTACTCAGGAGGCTGGCGTGGGAGGATCATTTGAACCCAGGAGCTCCAGTCCAGCCTGGGCAATAGAGCAAGTCCATGTCTCTAAAAAAAAAATTTTTTTTTAAGAAACAGTAAAAAAAGATGAGGGAGGTTGGGCAGAATCTCCCATGCATGTTTGAGTATTAAGAAAAGTGGCATGGAAAGAAGAAGGGAGAATAGTAATTCCTAAAGACTAGACCTTAACTGTATTTAATATAGGGTTCAAGAATTTGTGAAGGGACTTGGAATTGTAAATAAAAGGAAAATCAAGTTCTAATATGCAAGAATATGAGTGGTGGGAGTTAATGAGAGTGCTCAGTAATGCCAAATGCATGTATTCAGGCATAAAGATCATTAATTTGGCCAGCGGAAGGAGGGTGACCAAAATTTCAAAGGATTTGCTCTGTTTAAGTAATCTCCAAATATTTGTTATGTTGAAGTATATTACAGGTAAATGGCTGGATCTAATTTTCAGCATTGGAGATGCTCAGTGATTACAGTCGTAATTGGACTTCAGGTGACAAATAGTGGGCAATTTTGCCAACTCATGCTTTACCTTGTCTTAATTAAAGTGATGTTGTGCCGTTGTGCCTCAGCCAGCCTGACCCAGTCACGGTGAACACAGATACCCAATCATTTACTGCTGGGGAAAGTTCAGGTTTGCTATTCCAAAAGACTGAAAGCCCATTCTTTCAATTTCTCTCTTCTTCCCTCAAAGCTTTATACTGTATTTGAGCCATACAATGGCAACCAGATTCTTAATCTTATTTAAAAATTGTTGATACTCTGAAGGGCAGTGTATAAGCTAATTTTATAATTTGGAAATTGGAATAGACAAAATTTGGGGGCAAAGTTTATGGCCCAATTAGGGAAACAATTAGGTTATCCTGCCCTCTCATCAGTATTTGAAGAAGTATATTTGTACGCATCTACAATATACATCTATTATTAGATGGAAAGTATTCACGTGTAATCAAATCTTTATGATTTAAAAATTTGGAATTCAAATTGAAGAAAGTTTTAACTTGCATTTGCCAAAGATTTCGTCTAAACAACAATTTTCTAAGAGTATCTTTATATATGTTAACAATATCACAGTGGTGTCCACTATATATCATTTTGTTCCATGTGTCCTGGCACAGGCCACACAGTGTCATGACTGCTAGTTATTGCTGTCATTCAAAAACTCAGTTATTAATGTATTCTTGAATCAGAAACAGTGATTCATAGTTTGATAAAATATTCTGTTGCCATTGAGCATTCCTTTATTTCTAAAATGTAGCATCAATTCGATGCCTTGGTTTTCATATTACATGCATGGTTAGGTCCTCATATCCATCCTTCAATATTTAACTTCAGATTTAATGTATGCCGGCATTAAGCCAGGGATTATGTGTGCTCCTAGCCAAGAGCTTCCTGTGAACCTTTCATTGGAGCCTCTTTGGTGGCCAAGATGTGAAGGAAAGTTTGAGCCATCGGAATCAAGTGGATGGCTGTGTGCTGGGATGAGGACAACAACAGATCAATCTGTGAGTCAGTCAGGCTCCACTGCCAAGAGTAGAGCAGCCCTGGATATCTAAGTAATAAGTTAAATTTCAATCGCATTTAGAATCAGTGTTAAAAACCTATTCAGATATTGTCTGTGGTGAAAAGTGTCCAACTGGATGACTGAGTTTGTCAAAGGAAACAAAACATAAAATTCACAGCCTTTTAAAACGTCAGTACCAGAATCAAAAAGAGCAATATAGCTCCTTATGCTTGACCTGTGAGTACAGGGAATTACCTACTCATCTGTGAGTTGTGCTACGTGCTCCCTTGAAAGCCCTTAAGGCTTGGTCATTCTGAGATTCCATGTTTGCCATCCGAAAGCTGGAGAGATGTGTCACTGTGCCCTTTATCTGCCTCCTCAGATGCTTTCTGACTGAATACACAGTTCTGAGTCATGGCTACTTCCACCCTTCACTTGATGTATGAAGACTTTGACTTACCTGTGAAATTATTAGTATTAGTTTTAATGTACTTAAAGCTGTTTGCTAATTCATTCAAAAAAATAAGCTATCCATTTCTTTGTTAGCAGCCCACCTCATTGTGATGATGACGCAGCTAACTACTGTACCATAAAGAGTACAATTTTTATTCATGTGGTTTATATTTGGAATATTATTATTGGGCAGTAAAATTATTAGTTACTATTTATGATTGTCTAGTTAGTAGTATCTAACACAATGCTAGGTGCGGTATAGACATTGTTTCCAATCATATTAGCAGTTTTGTAGATAATGTATCTGTGTGTGTGTGTGTGTGTGTGTGTGTGTGTGTGTAATTAAACTGAGGCTCAGAGATGCTATTATATCAATGTATCAAAATCATTATAACCTAGAGATTTGTACTTCAGGGCTGTGTATCAAAACCTTGATTCTTCCATCCTTTCAACCTATAACAAAAAAAAAAGAGGCCTGCGGAAGCTAGAGTCCCTGGATGGGTCACATCTGACCACCATGAAAGGCTTTTTTATTCCCTCCAGTGTGCCTTGTATGTGTGGCCCTTTTCTGTGATTGCTTTGAAGAGAAAATTTGGAAAACTCTAAAGTCTACTAAGTTGTGGTACTGGAATTTCAGCTCAAGTCTGCATGGATCCAAAGCTGTGTTATTTTGCGTCATCATGGCTTAGTTTTTTTGTTTTTGCTTTTAAACTCAATCTAATTTCGTTCATGTTCCAAGCTTACGGACATTTGTAATTTTGTGGCCAGTTAAAAGTACTAGAATAGACATTGTAGAAAAGTAAATGCAAAGAAGAAATGCAAGGTAGATAAAATAAAATATTAGATGCGGCATTCAGAAAAATTGCAAAAATGAGCGACATACAGTGCCTTCTTGTAACACATTTAGAGAACTTAACATGTATTGCAGTAAGAAAAATTGAAGTAGAGAGTTTTAGAGAGTCTTGAGAAAGGACGGGTCACATTCAGGGAGTAGGGGATGATTGAAACATCCAGATAGACATCCACACAGACTTGATGGACAGGTAGGCTTTTGATAATGAGGAGCATGCAGATGGACACTTGGCAAAAGGAACAGATAAACAGAAATGGAGGTACAATGCCTACCAACTTTCATAGAATTCACTTATCTTTCATTCTGAATTTTGCATCTGCAAAAAGTGCACCAAGATAGGTCCTCACTACTTTATAGGCATCGGAATGATATTTAAGACTGACTGTGATACAATTTATGAGTGGAGCATTTTGCTTGATTAGAAGCAGCATCTCAAGCTAGTACAGTTATTTGTATTTATGCATATGTTTATCCTTGTCTCCCTTTTGGCCATAATGATGATAATTATGTTTCTCAAAATTGCTCTGAGTTTTGCCATTTTCACCCCTATTGAACACTGATAGGATGTAGCTAAGAGATGCAAAACCAGTGAATTCTTAGCTGAATTCAGACTCTCAGATTCAGCTTATATTGAAAACTTTTTAATTAAAAAGTTATTTATTAAGAAGCTGTTTGGGTTTTTTCTAAGTACTGGCATTTTTTAATATAAATCTTTTATTAATCCACTCATTTATGTACAGTGAACATGAATTTACCCACCATTCCCCAATTACATTGTTCTTCAAGCTGCCTCTGTCTCCATCTTGGTCTACGTATACTATTTAGTTTGCACATAATATGCTATAGGCAAATATATAAATAATATGCATGTAACCTAAGGAAAAAGCAATAAATATAAATTAGTTTACCAAGCAACTCAGTTATGGTTTTGTAAGACATCCATAAAGAAATTGTGTTAGGAGACAGTTAATAAAGAAACTATATGAGACCTAAGAACTGTAGCAAGCTGGTAGGTTTAGTGCAGAAATTGTTTTTTAAAACTGTACTGACTTGACAGCAGCATGCAAGCTCACCAGTTTTTCATTTAAAAAGGACTAATAGGCCGGGTGCGGTGATTCACACTTGTAATCCCAGCACTTTGGGAGGCCGAGGTGGGTGGATCACCTGGGGTCAGGAGTTCAAGAGCAGCCTGGCCAACATGGTGAACCCTGTCTCTACTAAAAATACAAAAATTAGCCAGGTGTGGTGGTGGGCACCTGTAATCCCAGCCACTCGGGAGGCTGAGGCAGAGAATCGCTTGAACCTGGGAGGCAGAGGTTGCAGTGAGCCGAAATTGGGCCACTGCACTCCAGCCTAGGCGACAGAGCGAGCCTCCGTCTCAAAAAAAAAAAAAAGACTAATACAATTTAAGTGATCTTAGAAATGCTTTATTATTCACCCAGTTTACCAGAATATTCTACTCTTCACTATATATGAGACTGTTAGATCTTTTGTAGGCATATGAGTTGAATCCCTTAAAGTTCTTTATTTAGTAACAAGATCATACCAACAGTGGTGCTCTAAAATCATTGCTGTCCGGTAGAACATACGTGAGTGATGGAGATGTTTTATATTTGTGCTGTCCAATAGGACAGTTGCTAACCACATTTGGTTTTTGAGCACTTGATATGAGGCTAGTAAGAATGAGGAAGTAAATTTTTACTTTTGTTTAATTTTAATTAATTTTAATTTAAATAGTCACATATGATTAGTGACTACCTAGTATATAGCTCAGTTTTAACTGATTCATGTCATATTTCTAATGTTTTTGGACAAATGTATCTTGTGAACATTTTATATATGAGCTCATACAAATATGGAAAATGCATTTATAGTCCATTATCTAAAAAATTGTTCTATTTTTATGTTATGCTTTCTTAGGTGCAAACTTTAGAAATTAGTGAGATTTCAGTTGTCCCTTTTGTGTGTGACAACTTCTAAAAGTAGCCTAAGGAACCATTTGGCCCATTACTTTGTGCTTAAAGCAGACCCAGTAATTCACAGGAGAAGCATATAGAAGAGCGTTTGGAAACTCAAGACAGGCCTCAAGCAAAAGGTGTCTGAGATAAAGAAGTACGTGCTCCAAAACTGTACTGGCAGGTAAGTAATGAGGAAGGAGAAGTTAACATCATTATAAAATTTAGGTCTTCTTCTTTTTTTGGCATTTTAACCCAATACCTAGAACAATAATAAAACAACAATTATCTTACAAATTATATAAGTAGCATAAATGCATAAGCAGACACTGTTAACGTATCTCTTCTAATTGGCTAATTTAGAGTTTACTGCCAGGAACAAAGTAGTCTGGAAATTTTAGCAGCGTATCAGAGGAGGAGCAGACAATGTGCAGACACTTACTTTGGTTCTCCTGTCAAATTTGACAGTAATGGCCCTTCATATTTTACTGTCTGCTTCAAAATTCAGAGTCAAATGTATTTTAGTTATAGCACTGAAACTCACAGTGCTTATTGGTCTTATGCTGAGATTTTGTGGTCCTGATCTCTCTTCCTCACTTTCTCTCGCTCCTACTCATTCCTCCCAGGAGACGTGGAGTAACTTTTGTTCTTGGAGAGATTGGAAGGAGGAACAAGGCCTCCCCCTTTAGTATTTCCAGCCCCACCCATGCTAGTGCCAAAGACCCCATTGAAGGGCTCAGGCTCAGATTGTTCCAGTGTGTCAGTGCTGAATGGACATGGTCAGTCCACTCAGTTCTGGGGTCAGTATCAGGCATCCCATTTGCTCACAGATTTCAGTCATACTTTACAATTTCCACTTTATTAATAATCACGGTGAGGTGGGGAAGAGGTTTGTTATTTATTAGACCCCTTTGAAACCTAATAGTTCTCACCTAAGCTGGTGATAAATGAGATTGAGGCTTTAGGATTGCCTATTAGAATATCTGGGGGACTGTGTCAATGTGCATTTGTCCTCTTCCTTCTATCCTCTGTCTAACTGACCTAATTCAACTGCAGTCCCTGTAAATATCTCCACTGAGAACTGGCTTAGGATATTGGAAAAGCCCAGTTACTATTCTACTTAGTGTAGACTTGCACATTCCGCATTTCAGACTTTTAACTACACCAGGCTACTATACTGTGAAACATTGTTGTGTATGTGGGCTTGGGCTAGAATCATACACTTTACATTTATCTTGGTCAGTCCCTCAATGCTTAACATAGCCATTGATCTGTATAACTGGAATTACTCTTAATATGTTCATGAATTTCAAATTTTATATTGATTTTTAGTAAAATGTTATTATAGAATGGTTAAAATCACTATTTTGGTGGAAATTAAAAGCACCACTAAAATGTTATTTTTAAATTTTCTGAATCTTTTTTTATTAATTCAACATCTGTTGCTCAGGAGGTCAAGGCAAATAAAATAAATGTGTTTGTCTTTTTTATGGCCATACATCTATGAGAAAGAATATAAAGGCAAATAATAATAATAATAATACCACATCAGGAATATGAATCAAATTTGCTATAGGATTTTTTTAAATTAAATAATGAATTCTACCCGAGAAAAAAATAAAGCAAATAGGTGCTTACTAAGCCCACCAATTATAGAATCTACTTTGTGACTGCCAAATACTAATAATAAAGTTAAACTTATGGAACATTTACTGTGTACCAGATACAGAGCCAAATCCTTAATAGATACAATATTCTAAAAATCCAAACCCCACCTGAAGTGGGTACTATTATTGGCACCATATTATAGAAGAGAAAAGTAAGAGATAGAGAAATTATGTAATTACTAGGCCCTGGAAACATGTACCTTAACATCTTACAATGTGGAATTGGTTTAAATCTGAGATGCATACAAATTGCTACACTTCTCATTTTCCCTTTTCTTCAGTAGAGGTTTTATCTGATCAGATAGCGATTTAGATCTTTGTCCCACTGGAGGGTTTTAAATCAGGAAACTTGGCCTTTTTAAAATCTCTAGCCATTTTTAAGAATCACTCATTGGTGAACACTTCTAATTTATATGGCTTCATGGAAGCATGTTGTATTAAAATTAATCTATAATTTATCTGTGAGTTAGCACGAGTGTGGAAATAACATTAATGGAAGGCCAGTATTGGGTGTAAGAGAGGTAGGCTTCTGCTCTATAAAACTGAATGAAATGCATCTGAGAGAAATCATTGATTTAAAAGGTGAAAAAGTGGCCGGATGCGATGGCTCATGCCTGTAATCCCAGCATTTTGGGAGCCAAAGGTGGGTGGATCACTTGAAGTCAGGAGTTTGAGACCAGCCTGAGTAACATGGTGAAACCCTGTCTCTTCAAAAAATAAAAAAATTAGCGCAACATGATGGCAGGTGCCTGTAACCCAAGCTACTCGGGAGGCTGAGGCAAGAGAACCATCTGAACCCAGGAGGCAGAGGTTGCAGTGAGCTGAGATCGCACCATTGCACCACTTTTTTTTTTTTTTGAGACACTGTCAAAAAAAAAAAAAAAAAGAAAAAAGAAAACAAGAATAACCAATCTCTGGGCAAATTTAAACAACATTTTTTATGGGGAAAATTGATTTTTGTCCGGGAAAAGTTTATCATAACTTCTAAATAATCTATATAAATTTCTTCTAGAATGGCACAAATTCTGTTGTCAACCCCTCCAATAGAGCTACATAGTAGCCATATTTAACACAACTCCAAATATTGCAAAGATGTTTTAAATGTGTTCATAACTGATGAAAGAAATTTAAAATAGTTCATATAAAAGTATAGGTAAAATTTTTAATAAGTGAATGGGGGTTTATTTTTAGTGTGACATGAAAAGTTAACCACATGAAATCTTTTACCAGCAAAGAAAATTACATTGTCATCACGTGTGATGAATGTTGATAGGACAGATATGTATCATTCACAAAGGAAATCAGGATAGCTATATATAAATGTATGTGCAGATAACATATTAAATCCATATCCTAGATTGTTTGGGTGTTTTCAGCCCTCATAATATGAAGTGAATCTCTCTTTCACAATAAATAATATTTCTGCAAGTTCAGGATTTGTTTATTTCTGGGATGGTTGGTGGGTGTGCGTGTGCGTGTGTGTGTGTGTGTGTGTGTGTGTGAGAGAGAGAGAGAGAGAGAGATAAATGAAGTAAAGTTGCCTGCAAATAGTAGATTCAGAACTTCCTCCCCAAAATATGCATTCCCCTCTTCTGGTAAATGTCTGAAGTCTACCTTGCAGCTTGTTTTATTTCTTTTGTTTAAAACTTTGCTAATGTGTTCAGATGTAGAATTCATTTGAATAGGATATGTTTTCAGCAGTTTGCAGTCTAATGAACAACGGGGCTTTTGGGGTCACACAGAGCTGGAGTTGACCCTTGCCAGTAGCTGGCTGAGTGGCCACAGGGAAATTATTTATACCCTAAGGTCTCCTCAATTATCTCTACAGGAAAATAAGGTAATGGTAGTTACTTCAGAGTTGGTATGAAAAAGAAATGAGAAAACTATAACAATGATCACAATGGCTGGTGTTTGGAAGGTGCTTAAAACTCAATGTGAACGGCTTTCTGAGATTCTTCTCTAACTTCGGTTTTCAATACCCGCAATAAGGGAAAGAAAATATGGTATCAGTAGGTCTCCAGAGGATGCTAAAGTGTTGGAGAGGTGAGGAAGGGGAAATATTAGGTCCTGCTAATAAACTTGATCAGCTTTTAAGTATCGTCAGGTTTAGATAACTGGAGCACATTTGCCTTATCAATAAGTACCATATTTTAAAATAGATATGAATTTTATTCTGTGTATTTTTACCTGGTGGAATATGTATAAAGTACACTTAATTTCTTGTATATAACACATTTCCTATAGAAATGCTATTTTAGCACCTCTTGTGGGAAAAAAACAAAGTATAGATAGCTTTTAAAGAGTACCAACAGCGGCAAATTGCTTGGAGAAGGTATAGAAGCATACCCAAATAGTTTCTCATAGCCAGTAATTTAAAAAATTACGTTATAAATGCTGTTTGAGAAGTTGAAAGACAGATCACCTTGGAATACTAATAAAATTTAAAATTGAGATGACGGAGGTTCTAACCTTCGACATCCAGAACTTTGAGCAGCTTAAGAAAGTTATATGACTCAAGTTTTTGTTATTGTTGTTAAAGCTTGTATTTGAAAAAAACATTTTGAAGTATTAGAAACATAACAACTTATTATTTTAGATTGGTAGTTTTTCCATGAGTATATGTAACCTCCTAAATTACATGAATTCTATTGAATAAGCTTTTATACTGTGACTGTGGGGTGTCACACTTTATGCCAGATGACAGCAATGAATAAAACACAGAAGATCTATCTATCTATCTATCTATCTATCTATCTATCTATCTATCTATCTGTCTATCTATCTATCTATCACATTTGAAATATAATTTGGTGAATGCAGTGATAAAGTAGAATTTGGGTACAGAATAGGGAAATCATATTTCTTGGATTCAGCATTCATTTGGAAACTTGCGAAGTATTGCCAGATAAGATAGCCGGAGTTTCTTCCCACTAAACATTTTGTTTGAGTCCCAAATAATTTTTTAAACTTGTGATTCTGTGGTATCTCTGCCTTGCTAAACACAACTTTCCACTCTTGGAAAGTAATAGGTTTTAGTGTTTCTCTGTTTACTGAGCAAGTGCTTCACATAGGTGAGTTACTCTGCTGTTGCTCCCCATAATTGCTTTTTGATGTGTTATGTTATACTGTTGGCCAATAAAGTGCTTGATCAATATGCACTACATCCCAGATAATCCTGTTATTTTCATTGGCTCTACTATGCTTTGTTTGGCATGTGGCTTTCCAAGCACTTAAGATTGGGAACATCTCAAACGTAACATCAGAACTGAATGCCTACTGTTTTTTTATTTTTTGATTATGGCCATTTTGGCAGGAGTAAAGTGATATCACATTGTGGTTTTGATTGGCATTTCCCTGGTCATTAGTGATGTTGAGTATTTTCTCATGTTTGTTGGCCATTTGTATATCTTCTTTTGAGAATTGTCTCTTCTTGTCCTTAGCCAACTTTTCGATAGGATTGTTTGTTTTTTTGCTGATTTTTTTTGAGTTTGTTGTCGATTCTGGGTATTAGTCCCTTGTCAAATATATATATAGTGAAGATTTTCTCCCACTCTGTGGGTTGTCTGTTTACTCTGCTGACTGTTCCTTTTGCCATGCAAAAGCTCTTTAGGTTAATTAAGTCCCAGCTATTTATCTTTGTTTTTATTGCATTTGCTTTTGGGTTCTTGGTCATGAAATCTTTGCCTAAGCCAATGTTTAGAAGGGTTTTTCCAATGTAATTTTCTAGAATTTTTATAGTTTCAGGTCTTAGGTTTAAGTCCTTAATCCATATTGAGGTGATTTTTATATAAGGTGAGAGATGAGGATCCAGTTTCATTCTCCTACCTGTGACTTGCCAATTATCCCAGCACCATTTTTGAATAGGCTGTCCTTTTTCCACTTTATGTTTTTTTTGCTTTGTCAAAGATCAGTTGGCTGTAAGTATTTGGGTTTACTTCTGGGTTCTCTATTCTGTTCCATTGGCCTATGTGCCTATTTTTATACCAGTACCATGCTGTTTTGGTGACTGTGGCCTTATAGTATAGTTTGAAATCAGGTAGTGTGATGCCCTCAGATTTGTCCTTTTTGCTTTGTCTTGCTTTGGCTATGCGGGCTCTTTTTTGGTTTCATATGAATTTTAGAATAGTTTTTTTCTAATTCTGTGAAGAATTATGGTGGTATTTTGATGGGGATTGCATTGAATTTGTAGATTGGCTTTGGCAGTATGGTTATTTTCACCATATTGATTCTCCCCGTCCTTCACAATATTGATTCTCCCCATCCATGAGCATGGGATGTGTTTCCATTTGTTTGTGTCATCTATTATTTCTTTCAGGAGTGTTTTATAGTTTTCCTTGTGGAGGTCTTACACCTCCTTGGTTAGGTATATTCCTAAGTTTTTGTTGTTGTTGTTGTTGTTGTTGTTTGTTTGTTTTTAGCTATTGTAAAAGGGGTTGAGTTCTTGATTTGATTCTCCGCTTGGTTGCTGTTGGTGTATAGGAGAACTACTGATTTTTGTACGTTAGTCTTGTATCCGGAAACTTTGCTCAATTATTTTATTCTAGGAGCTTTCTGGAAGAGTCATTAGGGTTTTCACGATAAACGATCATATCATCAGCAAACTGTGACAGTTTGACTTCCTCTTTACCAGTTTGGATGCCCTTACTTTCTCTTGTCTGATTACTCTGGCTAGGACTTCCAGTACTATGTTGAAGAGGAGTGGTGAGAGTGGACATCTTATCTTGTTCCAGTTCTCAGAGGGAATGCTTTCAGCTTTTCCCCATTCAGTATTATGTTGGTAGTGAGTTTGTCATAGATGACTTTTATTACATTGAGGTATATCCCTTTTATGCCGATTTTGCTGAGAGTTTTAATCATAAAGGGTGCTGGATTTTATGGAATGCTTTTTCTGCATCTATTGAGATGATCATGTGATTTTTGTTTTTAATTCTGTTTATATGGTGCATCACATTTATTGACTTCCCTGGTATGAAACCCACTTGATCATGGTGGATTCCGTTAGCTAGTATTGTGTTAAGGATTTTAGCATCTATGTTCATCAGGGATATCAGTCAGTAGTTTTCTTTTTTGGTTGTATCCTTTCCTGGTTTTAGCATTAGGGTGATGCTGGCTTCATAGAATGAATTAGGGAGGGTTCCCTCTGTCTCTGTCTTGTGGAATAGTGTCAATAGGATTGGTAGCAATTCTTCATTGAATGTCTGGTAGAATTCTGCTGTGAATCCATCTGATCCTAGATGTTGATGTGGATGCGGTGATTGGGGAACACTTCTACACTGCTGGTGGGAATGGAAACTACTACAGCCACTATGGAAAACAGTGTGGAGATTCCTTAAAGAGCTGAAAGTAGAACTACCATTTGATCCAGCAATCCCACTACTGGGTATCTACCCAGAGGAAAAGAAGCCATTATACAAAAAAGATACTAGCACACACATTTTTATAGCAGCACAATTCACAATTGCAAAATCATGGAACCAACCCAAATGCCCATCAATCAACAAGTAGATAAAGAAACTTATATATATATATATATATATATATATATATATATATGATGGAATACTACTCAGCCATAGAAAAGGAATGAATTGACAGCATTTACAGTGACCTGGATAAGAGTGGAGACTATTATTCTATGTGAAGTAACTCAGGAATGGAAAACCAAACATTGTATGTTCTCACAGATATGTTTCAGCTAAGCTATGAGGACGCAAAAGCATAAGAATGATACAATACAATGAACTTTGGGGACTTGAGAAGACGAGTAGGAGGGAGGTGAGGGATAAAAGACAACAAATACTGTGCAGCGTATACTGCTTGGGTGATGGGTGCTCCAAAACCTCACCAATCACCACTAAAGAACTTACTCATGTAACCAAATACCACCTGCACCCCAATAACCTATGGAAAAATAAAAAAGATAAAAATAAAAAAAGAACTGAATGCCTGATTTTCCCTCACTGGACCTGCTCTTCTAGACTTTTGTTTTTTTCTCAGTAAGTGATAAATTCATTCTTTTAGTTGCTCAGGTCAAAAACCTTGACTCCCTTTTTTCTCTCCAGACCAAATTCCAACCTGTCAGCATAGTTCTGCTTCTACAAATATCCAGAATCCAGCCGGTTTCTCTGCTACTACCCTCATCCAAGTCACATGTCATCACCTGTCAACTGAATCACAGACAAGATCCTAACTAGTCTCCTGCTTCTTCCCTGTGCCCCTCCAGTCTGTTTTCAGTACAGCAGCCAGAGTGATTCTTTTAAAACTTACTTTTACATCTTTCAGCTGCTTAGAACTTTCCAGTGACTCCTTGTCTTATTCAGAGAAAAGCCAAAGATCTTTACAGTGGCATAGCAGTTCTATATGATCAGGCCCTTGTTGCCTCTGAATTTCCTTTTTACAGTGCCTATCTCCTACTAATATAGCCACCTGGACTTTCTGCTCAGTGTTCTTCATATATGGACGTGCATTCACCCATTTCACAGCCTTTTTATTTGTATTTGTTATTCCCTTTGTTTGAATGTTCTTCCCTACGAGCCTCACTTAGAATTTTCTCGTGAACATCATATGCTCTCAAATATTTTTGCAAGAATGTATGGATTTAGTGGGACCTACACAAAAGTTGACATATAAGTTGCCTTACTGATGTCTGTCTGAGGATCATGTTACATAATTAGGATTATTTGTTTCTCACAGTTCTGTCCAGAAAAAAGTGGAAAAGTCTTAATAAAAGATGCGCAATTCACGAGGAACTACTTGTGCTTATTCCTAAGCCAGTGTCTATGAGAAATGATACATGCTATGCATCATTCAGTGATATCTTTCCCACCATGAGTTAAAGGTATTACTCAATGGAGATTAAACTGTTATTTTATTGGGCTTACATTATGTCTCTCAAACCATTACCAGTGACATTGTGGTCATGGAAATGTAAAAGAAAATCATAGTAATTTAAATAATGACAAGTCTTTTAGAGCTTTGTATTTTTTATTATTAGGAAAAAACAATAAATGTAAGTTTATCAGAAAAAAAAATGGCTGTGATGCAATTCAAAGTATTACCACAATGCTTGCTTTTATCATATTATGAACACTTTTCCTGTGGGGCTGGATTAGGCCATTTCTAATATACACAAGAGTATTAACCTCTTTTAAGTATTCAGATAGCCATTGACTACTTATTTGAACATACTGAATTAAGTTTGCTTATTAACCAGTTTTATAAAATACATATCCCATATCCCCTCTGGCCTACATGATGCAATCAAAACCACTTACTCTGGATGCAAGGAACTTCCTGCTTTGTCCATTGATCTGATGACCTCACTACCCTATTGCTTGCAAGGACCCTCTAACCCCCTGCCCTCTATGCCCTCAAAATTCAGCTCATTGACTTGTATGTTATGAACCAAAACTGCTGCCATTGATCTTTGGTGTCCAACCATACAATTTGAACCATTTCCCAGTTTAAAATGTTTATTTTAAAACTAAAGGCACAGAAGATTGTATTTAAATTTTTATTTTGCCTAAGGAATAGTTATGTTGATATATAGCAACTAAAATAACCTTATATTTTCCTTCTTAGCTGCAGTAAAATTCAAGAAAGGTGAAAAATAAGTGGATGAACAAGGTTCATATATCACTAGTTGTAATGTTTTCTTAAACTATAAATGAAATTGAAATACCTATCTTTGTAAATATGCACTTTATTTTCTTCTTTTCCCCATGCTGATCTCTTTCATAGGAGAGTAAAGAAGTTACAGAGATTTGGAAGCAGCACATATCTGGAGATGAATGTCAGGCAATTTGTGTTCTGCTAAAGTGTGCAATATAATAGAGAACCATAGGTTTTTTTCCTTGGGTATTTATATCTTATAACAAATCTTAACTTTCAAAGTAATTTGACTCTTGCTAGTCATTGACCAAATAATCTTTAGCAAACAATAGTGCAAATTTTTTAAAATTAAGGTGTTGAAAAATTTTCCTCTACCATTTAAAATTTAGAAAAAATTAGTTACACCAGTGCGTGTGTTTTCTTTATTCAGGCATCCTAATGTTGTAACTTTTACCTATACAGGACATTTTTTGTATTACTCATTAAGCTGCTAATAAAATGGCAAAGTTTAAGCAGTAGGGAAAACCGGTGAATTATTTTACAAAATTCTCTGTGCTTCATGGAGCGAGGCATTTCAGTTTTACAGAAGATGCATGCTTTCTGACTCACTCACAGCAGCTCTTTTTGTCCTACAAACCATTTCTTCCCAGTGGGAAACAGATCATATCATACATCTTTATAAGTATACTGTGCACTGTAGGGAAGGGTGGTGCATTTTCAAAGTAATATGGTGGATCTGCTGACACAAGGCAAACAGTACCTTTAGTATTTAGCCTCAGATGTAAGTTTTTAGCTGGAGGCCATGATTCCAAGATTGCTACACACAGTCAGGTCTCAATTACCCCTACTGATGGAGAAGTGCAGGTATCTCATGTTCTGACATGTGATAAATATAATAAATACATTTAAACATATAGAATATATATTTAGCTTTTGAATTAAATTGTGTTCCACACAATAGATACAATTTAAAAAGTTTCATTAGGCCCATATCAAAATTTAGCTTTCTTTTTGGAGTACTGATGTTGACAGAAAAGCAAGAGATTCCAAATTATGTGTCAGGAAGAAATTACGTGGGATTAAATACTTTAGCCTGGCTGGTAGATCAACTTTGCACTTTCTATATCTAGTTCATTTGTCCAGTTCATGCAACAAACACATATGTTCTAGATACTAAGGACATAATAGTGAGTATGGAAAGGAAGGTCCTTGATCTCATAAACTATTAATTTAGTTGGAGGGAAATAAATAATAAATAAGTCAACAAATTAAAATGCAAGGTAATTTCAGCTAATGATATGTGTTATGTAAAATAGTGTATCAGATTAATATTTAACACACTAATTTGGGCAACAGGCACCATTAGATATGGTGTTTGAAGACGGCCTCTTTGATTCAGCACCATGAAGGAAGAGACTTGGATGATGACCAGGAGATGGCCCTTTGTGTGGACTGAGCATATTTGAGATAAACCAAGGCCACACTAAAGAGTGGGAAGGGAGATAAGGAGAGATGGGGAAGGAATTGGATTACTGGGGGCATTACATTATGAAATATGTGTATACCGTATGATCAAATGGCAATAGAGATTTTGAAAACCTACTGTAAAATCAAATTTGCCTTTTGTGGGGGATTATCAGTCCTCAATTTTTGGAAAGGTATTCCACAAACGTCCTTCAGAACTTAAAGTGATTTTGAGGAATTCTGATTAATCTTTTTTTTTTCATTGTAACCATTATAAAGCTTATCTATAACACTATGGGAACATTGGGCATTGCCTTAATTTTCCTGCCTTGAATATTTGCTGGGCTGATTTGATGTGATTTTCTCCATTCTGGCAAGTGATCTTATTCTATCTGTAATGTTTATAGAAAAATGTGAAAGATACAGCAGTTTCTGATCTTCTGTTTACCAGCTGAGTCATCCATTCCCGTGTGTCTATACATCTCTCTTGTAGTTAGGACTTCTACATTTTAGTACATAAAGTCCTTGTAGCTATAATAAAAAGTGTGTGCATGTGCATCCATATGCACACATATACAAACACACAAATATTGCCACTTAACTATTTTTCTTCTTATCTATAAGTGAAAAAGAATGATTGCCTTCATCTGTCTCGTTGAAAATTTAAATGAATTCATGGGGTCCTGGTCAAGTGCTGTGTTACTCATTGAAAAAAAATGATTTGCCAAAGGCAAATAAATAAACCTAAGGGAACTCTTATGACTAGACAAATGTCTGTAGCATTGGTAGCACAGGGCATTTTAAACTATGGGGGAAAAGAGAGAGGAGGAGTAAAAGAAAATGAGACACTGAAAATGGAGTCTTTCAGTTATGCATGCGTTCACAGCATACACCCCCCCCAACCAAGTTTAGTGGTTTAAAAAAAAACCATGAATTTGTGAATGGTGTGGTGGTTCTTCTGCTGGTCTTGCTTGTACTGTGTAATGAGCAGTCCTGTGCAGGTAGGTCAGCTGGGATGGCTGGGCTTTTCTCTATGTGGCATTTCAGCCTCAAAAAGAAAGCCAGAGCAGGCTTCCTGAGAGCAGGCAATCTCAAAGTACCAAAAGGTTGAGAATGAGGTCTTTTTGGAAATTGCAAGATCATTTCCACTGAAAGTCATAGAACCAGCCCAGACTAAAAGGATGTGGAAATAAATTCCCGTTCTTGACAAAAGGGGCTGCAAAGAATATGTGGTCCTTTAAAATTTGAGAGAGAGTAAAACCAAGATTGAAGACTAGGTTGGGTGTGGTGGCTCACACCTGTAATCCTAGCACTTTTGGGAGGCTGAGACTAGAGGATCACTTGAAGCCAGGAGTTTGAGACCAGCCATGGCAACAAAGAAAGATCTTGTCTTTATAGGGGGGTGAGGGTGGGGGGGGGTGGGGAAGCTGTGAATGGTGGAACACGCCTATAGTTCCAGCTACTTGGTAAGCTGAGGTGAGAGGATAGCTTGAGTCCAGCAGTTTAAGGCTGCAGAGAGCTAAGATTGTGCCACTGAACTCCAGCCTGGGTGACAGAGCAAGACCCCATCTCTTAAAAAAATAAAAATAAAAACTAAAGAAAAATAATAAACATGGGATGAGAGTGGTGGAGGGGAGAGAAAGGGATGGAGGTGGGAAGGAAAGGAGAAAGTGACATTTGAACTGCCAACATGAAGGTTACAAATATTCCTTCCAAGTTTTATTCTGTTAATCAGCCATATGTAAGTTAAGAAAAGTCTTCCAAAGGCTTGGAGGCTGTGTTTGGCTGTTTTCATATTGCTATAAAGTAATACCTGTGACCAGGTAATTTATAAAGAAATAAAAGACATTTATTTGACTCATGGTTCCGCAGGCTGTGTACAAGCATGGCACCGGCACCTGCTCAGCTTCTGGGGAAGCCTCAAGGAAGCTTTTACCTAAGGTGGAAGGTGAAGAGGGAGCAGGCACTTCACATGGCAAGAGCAGGAGCAAGAAAGAGAGCAGGGAAGGTACCACACACTTCTAAACAACCAGATCTTGCGTGAACTCACAAATAGAAAGCACTCGTTACCAAGGGGATGGTGCTAAGCCATCCACTGGATCTGCCCCTGTGATCCAGTCACCCCTCACCCGGCCCTGCCTCCAGAATTGGAGATTACATTTCAACATGATATTTAGAGGGGACACATCCAAATCATATCAGAGACTATGGGTGCTGGGTAGGAGAAGGAAACGAGGAAGGGAAGAGAGCAGAAAGAGAGAACAAGAGAAACAGAGAGAGAGAGAGAGAGACTATGAGGGATAAGTGGGGGAACTGGAAACAAATCCTCATTCTAATTTTAGCTCAATCATTGGACAAAATAAAAGTATTTGCTAATCAGCATTATGCAGAATATAGGTATCTTGTTAGTTCGGTGGAATGACCGGGCATAGCACTTTGCAGTGTGATATCAAATATGACCCCCTTTGAAGAAGCTAGTCTTTCGACAGTGATGATTTTATGTCTATGGTATACAATTTGAAGATGTACTCTGATGTTTTGGACTGATACATCATTATGTGGAAGTAGTGCAGACTGATCTATTCGTGTAATAAAGCATTCAAATGAAATCCGATAGTTTCATTAATGACTAAGAAAGGATTATAAAAGCAAAGTCAATTAGTAGTGAGACAGGAAAAATTAGGATTCCTTTATTTAAATCTTTGAAGGTGGAAAAAGTAAAAATATTGCCTGTCTCTGCATCTTGGCAGACAGACTGTGTTGTTACTTAGAGAGTTGTGGTCCCAATTCTTATTGGGGTAGATTATATATAGACTCATCAATTTAAACCCCTAAATTGGCTAGATGAACTTGTAAGAAGAAGCAGGCTCCCAAGGCTTTGTGTGGGCAACAACTGGAAGTCCTATATAGGCTCTACTTAATGTAGGACTGATGGTCCATCTTGTTTCCTTCTTATTGATAACTTTAGCCATTCAGACGTACCAAGTACTTCACTTGGACTCCAGTGATATATTCAATCAGAACAAAGTTCAGAAGTGTTATGCAGGACTAATCCTAACGTTCCGCACTGTGGAGCCATTTCTCTATATAGTACAACGTATTTCACAGTCCTTGAGCCCTGAATAAGGGAAATGTATATGTTGGGCTACTTTTCACCAAGCTCTCTCTTTTGTCTGGTTTGCATGCTACAGACAAACTGGTGGTAAGTTTTCCTGCCATTGGAGGCCTCAAGGAAAAAGTCTAACAATTTTCTGTCTGTCACTTTTATCCTCCAAGGGGGCAAAAAGAAATTCCTGTGCAAACTCTTCCTTACTGTAAATAGTTTTTGATAGAGACATTGCAGGAAACTAAAAATATGCACATTTCAACCTAAAAAGAGAAGGAACATAGGTGGTCTCTTTTTTCCTGTTGTTTTTAGAAAAATTGTGATTTTTTTTTTTAAATAAAGAGCTTCAGAGCTCTGTAAACACCCTGTAAAATAAAGTTGAATTATTCTACTGTTTTAATGAGTGATTCATCTGATCAGAGTTAATGCTGTTCATTTCTCTTGGCTCACCATGATCTGGAAGCAGGCATTAATTAGTGCTTTTAGTGCACTCACTCCATGCTGGGACTCTAGGTCTTACCCGTGTTTTTGGATTTTAGAATGACTGGCACTCATAGGGCACTTTTGTGACTGGGTCTGTCGATTGGTTGTTTAACATGGTCATTTCATAGAAACATTACATTGCTGGTAGAAGATGGAAGCAAAATATGTGTCACTTACTTTAAAAAAATAGTTTGTTAGCATTCAAAATAGTCACAAGTTTTCAGTCCCGAGAGGAGCTTTCTTAGGTTAATAATGTAGCGTAGATTGTATCATTTATTCTGCATCATAAATGTATCATTGTTTCTGAATGAGTAAATTTCCTATAGTAGCCATACATAAAACAGTGCATAGCGACTCCAGGAAAATAAGCCTAAATCAAAACTCCGAAGCTGGGGGAGAGAATATAATTTTTGTACTTTTATGGATTCAATAGATTTCCTTGTAGTTAAATCAAGTTCAACTTTCATTAAAGAATGTCTTTTAGCATAGGCCCATACATACACAGACTCGCTTTCATATGCACTGGGCTAACAGATCTAAACACTATTCACTGATGTAGCTAAAACATGACCCTTTGACCTTGTCTCAGATGCCACTGAAATGGGAATGAAAAAATCTTTTACCCACATTTTTTAGGAACAACATTTTAGTTTTATCTCAACTATGTATATAACTCTGACATGCTATTGTCTTTCTTATTTAAAATAAGAAATGTTTTAAATAAAACCATTTCATTTCACTGTTGAATAATGGAAAAGGAAATGAATAGAGCTGTTTTATCCTACACTAGTAACAGAAAATAGCTTTATATGTAAGCATCCTTTATAGTTTAAGGGTCATACCTTAAACTATTTCTTTTTAATCCTTTGTCATCTTCCAGAAAGATAACTGCCTTTGATCAATACAGATTTTTTTTTAAAAAAATTTGCTTCTAAACCTAGGATGTAGAGACTGGTGAAGAAAGTCACAAAAGTATTCACTTCATGGCCTGTCACCTCAAAGGAGTCCTTTATCTTGCCCTATAACCACAGCTGTTCCAAACAGCCTCTCTTCATTGTTCTCTTTAAATATTAGAGACCTTCACTACTTTCTTCATGCCTCCTGTCTCACTCCTCATCTCTATTTAGCTGATGGCCCTGACTAGTATTTATTCGACAGAGCAAAAGGAGGTTGCCAATATACAACATAGTCAGTGCTCAAAAATATTTGTTAAATTAAGATGCTTAGGATTTCTGTTTGACTTCATATAAAATATTTTGTCAGCCTGTACTCTAAAAAACTTCTGAAAACATACTTATACTGTTACTCTAGATAGCTATACAGTCTTATAAACAGTAGATATTTTGTACCACATATCTCTGTATGTTGTAAGAAAGTGCTATATTAACAGCATACAATTTTGGTATCACTAAATTTAAAATTCTTGTTAAAGTTGCTCATTAAATCATGGGAAACCTACTGGCTAACATTACTTTTTTCATTACTTGGAGATGACTTCTGAGCAATCAGACAGACAGTTGAAAGCTGCCTTTTGGCAGTAGGGATGGATTGATAATTGAAGTGCAGTGCACTCTTCCCTACTTTTTTTTTTTTTAATGATCCGATGAGAAAAGACACAACTCGTGTAGTTTACCAGGACAAGGATGACTGAGGTTGGAGTTGTGAAACATAAGCATCCTCACCTGTGGGTTTAGATGCATTCCTTTTATCTCAACAGCATAGAACTCCAATAAATCAAGACTACAGAGAGTCCTGGAAAAAGTTTGGACACAATTCTTACTACCTTTAAAAGGAACCATGTAGACATTCATTCAATAAGAATTAGGTCAAGTATTAGACTATTTTCCTGGGACAACCATATACGATATTTTTAAAATTTTTTTTGAGACAATATCTTGCTCTGTCATCCGAGCTGGAGTGTGGTGGCGTGATTGCCGCTGACTGCAAACTCTGTCTCCCGGATTCAAGTGTTTCTCATGCCTCAGCCTCTCTAGTAGCTGGGATTGCAGGTGGACGCCACCACCTGCAATCCCCAAAAAATACAAAATACGAAAAAATACAAAAAGCTGCTTTTTTGTATTTTTAGTGCAGACAGGGTTTCACCATGTTGGCGAGGCTAGTCTCAAACTCCTGAGCTCAAGCAATCCACCTACCTCAGCCTCCCAAAGTGCTGGGATTAGAAGCATGAGCCACCGCGCCTGGCCCATATGCAATATTATAGAAGAGAAAATTCAATGTAGCCATGTCGTCTATATGGCTATAAGTCATGTATGTCACATTTCCTTGAAAATTTGAATTACACTTCTTTATTCTGTATAGTGTAAACTAACAACCAAATCAGCTCTTATTTTGGCTCTGTGGAGTGACATTATTGAGGATATGTGAAATATGCAGTAGGTTGTCTATATAAATATATTAAATCTTTAATTTGTATATATTTTATACATTCCAAAAAGACCTCTTCTTCATTTTAAAACACAGAGTTGAAGGGACGATGACACAGAATAATCCATCAGTAGACTTGATTCCGAGCCCTGGCTCTAGCACTGACCCACTCACTGACCAGCAGAGCAACCTTGAGAATGTAATTTACATGCTCTTGTCCTTATTTATCTGTGAAAGGAAGAGATGGGGACACACTTATTTTTAAAAATCTATTCCAGTTCTACATTAGTATAATTTTAGACCAGAAACTCGCAAAATGTATGCAGGAAATGTTGTCAAAGGGGGAAATGGAGGCAAAGTCAGTAACTTTTTTAAGGCCTATTGTTTGGTATGGGATCAAATTCATTGGTGGGGTCAAATGAAAATCTCATGACTCCTTATTCTAAGCAAGTGCTACTTTCTACTACTTCTTAGAATAAATAAAATATTGAATGCAGTAAATAGCTGTGTGTAAGTGCTTTGAGTTCCATATATTGCCTTTTCCTTTTGTGCCTAAGTATACATCAGTAATTATCTTAATTTGATTTGATGCCATTTGAATAAAATGCAAAAAAAAAAACAGCATTTGTCTTAGTTTCCAACTGACTTCATTCTTTCCTGATAGCAGATTTTCTATGTAGTTATGTTTTAGATGGAATGGCTTAACAGATTCGTTTTAAGTTAAAATCATTGACTCAATTACAGAATATCTTCTTTGTGCATAATGATATTTTGAGGCATACTAGAAGAGGACAGGCATAATGTCTTCCCAAATGGTCTTAGTATCTAGTTTAGGAGATGAAATAAACTGATGGGAAACAAATAGAGAATGACATATGGTGGTTGTAGCACACGAGATTCGTAATTTGAACTCAGACACTTTCTACTAAACTAGGTATATATTCACTAGGTATTGTGTCTAGATTTTTAAAATAACACTTCCTTACAATGTATCTCATATCAGTTAGTTCTCCTAATTATTGTTTCTGTGGAGAAAGTCTTTGAACCTTATTTAGGTGGGGAAGAGTGTAGAGACAGTTGTAGCTTGAAATACATAGAACATACTGTTTATCATTTTAATTCTTTGTCAGTATACAGATTCAGTGGCATTAAATACACTCACAGTGTTGTGCAACCATCACCACTATCTATACCCAAATCTTTTCAGAAATTATCTCTAACATAAACTGTACCCATTAAACAATAACTTCCCCTTCCCTTTTTCCTCCTAGCCTTTGGTTATCTCTATTCTACTTTCTGTCTCTGTGAATTTGCCTATTCCAGATACCTCATGTGAGTGAAGTCACAGAATATTTGTACTTTTGTGTCTGAATTATTCACTAAACATGTTTTCAAGGTCTATCCATGTTGTCACATGTATCAAAATTTCATTATTTTTATGGCTGAACAATACTTGATTGTATGTATATATCACTTTCTATTTATCCATTTATCTGTGGATGGATACTTGAGTTGTTTTCAACATTTGGCTATTGTGAATAATGCAGCTACAAACACCAGTGTACAAATATTTGTTCAAATTCCTGCTTTCAGTTATTTTGAATATGTACCTGGGAGTAGAATTGACGGGCTATGTAGTAGTTCTATGTTTAACCTTTTGAGGAAGCACCAGACTGTTTTCCACAGCAGCTGTAATATTTTATGTTTTCATCAACAATACATAAGGATTGCAATTTTTCAATATCCTTACTAACATTTGTTATTTTCTATTCTTTTTAAAATGATAACCTTCATAATAGGTGTGAATTTGTGAAGTCCTAGCTTTGTGGCTCTGGTTTGCATTGCCTTAATGAATAATGATGTTGAATGCCTTTTTGCATGGTTATGGCAGCTTGTTTTTCCAGCATGTATACTAAAGCACACTTTATGACTATGTCTTATAGACACTTTACTTGTAAAGGTTTATACGCACGCTCAATGTCTTAATCAATCAATGTTTTTTTCTTGGGTAATTATATCTAGAAGTGGCAAGTCCAGACTCTGTGTTTTGTGTGTGTGTGTGTGTGTGTGTGTGTGTGTGTGTGTGTATGTGTGTGTGGTGTGCGTCTCTGTGTGTGTTTAAGGAATCTTCCATATATTTAACTCTCTCTAAAATAAACTATAATTGACTATATTTTTTAAAGGAAGCCATAGTAGCAACTACTAAACCCAACCAAAGATGTGTGAAAGTATTTTAAAGTTGTTATAATAATTAGGAGAAAGGTGTTTGGCAAAGGTCTATTGTGATTCAAATGACTATAAACTTGTCATATTTATATTCATAAGCAATGAATATAAAAGAAAGGGAGATATTATAAAGTTATTTTTTACATTTTCCAATTTCTGAGATATAAAAATACAAAGTTAAAAGACTTAATGTATTCCATGACACCCCCGGGGCTAGTCATATTATAGTTGGAAAATTTTACCAACATTATTAACTTACGTTCATTATTGAAAAAGAATTTTGGTGAATTTGCTGGAAAGAAAAAAAATACAGGAAATTGTCACCTATAATATTTTTCCCAATTGACTTCAGTTTTACTGAAGAAAAAAAGTAATTTCTTTAATTAAAATATTCATTTTGTTTAAAAGTTGGATAGATTACTTCATATATATCATTTATTGATTACCCAATCTTGATAAATCTGTGATACATAATCTTGAATTTATTTTAATGATTCTCTTAGATTTTTTAAACCGATTACCCAGAAGATTTAACCTTTAAGGGGAAATTTTCATGACCAGAGTTTAGTAATGAAAGTGTCTCATAACTGCTTGAACATACCCCTCTATCACAGAAACTCTCAGTCATCTATATAGTAAGAAGGTTTTGATGGGATTTTGAATGTATGGTCTCAGTGTAGTAACACAGTGAGTCGCTAACACCTTAGCATGAATCCTTGATTTTATTTAGCTACTGATTAAGGCAGAGCAGGGCTCTTACAGAATGGGCTTATCTACCAGGATATATTAGTTATGGATACAGGCTCTTGATTTGGACTTGAATCAAGACTCCATGACTTACTAATTTTTAGGAGTTAGGAAAGCTTCCTAACCTCTACAGGACTAGTTTCTTCATCTGCACAAAGGGGAATAACAAAATACTAACCTCACAAGGATATTTTAAAAATTAAATAAACCACTCCACTTAGCAGAATGCCTGGGAGATGTTACATGTTTAGGTAGTATTAGCTGTTAATCATATTGGTAGTAATTTTTGGTAGGGGTATGAGGATAGAAGGAAAACAGAAAAGTACAATTTCTAGGCACTTGCTGTTTATTTATGTCACAAGGAGCCCTTCAGGACAGCCAAGGATAAAACGGGCTTCCTGGGAGGAGACAGAGTGGGGAAGGTGAGGCTGAAAGTGAAGCTGGATAATGGTCAAAAACAAACGTCACGTGCATGATACTTTTACTGTGGTCCCTGAATATATGAAACATCAAAGAAAAACATAAATATGGAAATAAGCCTCTAAAATGGACTTTCCAGAATGAGTCAGAAATGCTTTCTGAAGATGATGAAGAGCTAAATCTTTATCTGTTTTCAGGTTTCAGTTCTTAGGGTGAGTCAAATGCTTAAAGTTAGTTAATTCTCATGAAAGTCCTACTTCTTGACTCTAGAATTACTAGAACAAAACTGTATGTGTTTTGGCTTCCTTTTTATTTAACTTTAAATTTCATTTAGATATAATTAGCATGCAATAAAATGCACTTATTTTAAGTTTGTAGGCCCATGAGTTTTGACAAATGTGTACATCTGTGTAACTACCCTCACGGTGAAAATATAGAATACTTCCATTATGTCCCCAAATTATCTAGCTTTCCTTTGCAGCCAGGTTCCCCAACCTGGCCTCAGGAAGCAACTTACCTACTTTCCAGAATTATAGATTAGTTTTCTGTGTTCTATGATTTTATAAAAATGTAATTAAATAGAATATAACCTTTCATATTTGGCTTGTTTCATTCCCTATGGGGATCTTATTAAAGTCAGATTTGTTCCCATAGAAAAAACATTACACCTTATGCAGATGTCTGTTTCTTTACTTGGGGCTTTGAAAACTACCTAATCATATAAGAACATTGAGTTATGGGGCAGAGATCACTATATGTCACTATATGCCTTATGCCCTTGCCTAGAGTGGGCACTTTCCCAGTGACTCATTCCAGGTAATAAACATTTAAGATTCATGGCTGAGGGTGGCTCCTTCAAAGAATATAATTCATGCCTCTCACTTCATTATGCTGTCATGTCCTTCAGTGAATCCTTCACTTCGATTCAGCTAAAAACATAGTAGGATGAGTTTTTATGGGTTGCTGGGTTTTTTTTTTTTTTGTTTTTTTTTGTTTTTTGGTTTTTTTAGAAGGAGTTTCACTCGTCACCTAGGCTGGAGCGTGATGGTGTGATCTTGGCTCACTGAAACCTCCACCTCCCAGGTTCAAGCGATTCTCGTGCCTCAGCCTCCCGAGTAGCTGGGATTACAGGCGCCCACCACCGTGCCCAGCTATTTTTGTATTTTTAGTAGAAAAGGGGTTTCGCCAAATTGGCCACGCTGATCTCAAACTCCTGACCTCAGGTAATCTGCCCGCCTTGGCCTCCCAAAGGGCTGGGATTACTAATTTCTTAAAGTATATCAGTTTTTCTTTTTTTTTTTCTCTAATGCTATAGATCTGCAAGAAAAATGGCTTGAAAATCTCTCCCCAATTATTACATTAGTCACTTGCCATGTCCAAATACAACAGGCCTTTATAGTATGCAAACTTTTTGTTAGTCTCTTTCGGGGATAAGAGAGTAACTTGTTACAGGCTTTGTTCTAGATAAGCACGTGTATATCAGTCTGGGATTTGTGAAAAAAATGTTTAGCTGTACCTTGAAAGTGGGGAAGGTTTTAATTACGAGGAGTGGGGAAGCATTCACTGGTGAGGAGAATAAGTACTAATAAAGGCCAAAAGGTTTGAGGGAGATGGAGGAAATCAGGGAGTTGATAGATAATTTGTGATCTACACCATACAGTCTTTCTTACCCATTGTGCTACAAGCAACTTAAGAACAAAGATGCTTTTTGGCTCCATTTGATCACCAGCATCTAGCACAGTTCTGGTTACACAGTTGGCACTCAATACATATTGGTTTAAAAATGAAAGGGTGCATGGCACCTCGCAGTGGGAACTAGGCCTAGTGGGAATGGCTCTGAATCTACAGTACCTACCTGGTGAAGAATCATGGTTAAAGAGTCTTTAAGTAACTAGCACAATTGTTTCTGACTTCTGAGAATACCAGCAACACTTAGGGGGCAGTATTTCCTCCTCTAACTTTTGAGGAGCACTGGACCTAGAGTATTTCATAAAATGAAAGAGTCCTCTTTTGCTCAAATTGAAACTTAATGTGTCTATTAATTTATTATACCTTTCCAATGAAAACAACTCTGTGGGTCCTTCAGAGAAATCTGTACATGAAGCTTTGCTTTCTTGGGACTGTTGAATTTATGCACATGCTCTCAAGACATTATGCTAACACTTAATGATGAAAATCACAGTAGGATTAGTTATCACCAGCAGTAGCTATTATAAATGTATGGGAGAAAATATGTTAAAATAGAGGAAAATATTCATCTCCATCTCCTCACCATGTTCTAACAAACTGGGTCTTTAACAGTATGACCACCTACTCTAATGTTTGTCCTACACAAAATCAGAAATTCTTTAAAGGGAGCAAGCCTTAATTTAGGAATTAATTATACTTTGTACGAGGACTATTGCTTCACTCTATGCTGAATCTAAATTCTTTTCTGAGGGAGAAAAGTGCGCTGATTGATTTATTTTGAAAAAATTGTAAGTTTTATCCTGAAAAGTCCTAGCACTTCTACAGTTTTGCTAGTCATTCAGTTATATTTTAAATATTTAAAATGTGAAAGTCACTGACACAAATCTCTCTGCAAGAAATATTTGCAGTAACTAACCTCACAAATCGGCAAAGTTTTGTTTTTAACAAGTATTTTATGTTATTTTATTTTATTTTAAATTACGGGATACATGTGCAGGACGTGCAGGTTTGTTAGATAGGTAAACGTGTGCCATGGTGGTTTGCTGCACAGATCAGCCCTTCACCTAGGTATTAAGGCCTGCATCCATTAGCTATTTATCCTGATGCTCACCCTCCCCCATCCCCCAACAGGCCCTAGTGTGTGTTGTTCCCCTCCCTGGGTCATGTGTTCTCATTGTTCAGTTCACACTTATGAGTGAGAACATGTGGTGTTTGATTTTCTGTTCCTGTGGTAGTTGGCTGAGAATAATGGCTTCCAACTCCATCCATGTCCCTGCAAAGGACATGGTCTCGTTCCTTTTCTGGCTGCATAGTATTCCATGGTGTCTATGTACCACATTTTCTTTATCCAGTCTATCATTGATGGACATTTAGTTTCATTCCATGTCCTTGTTAATGTGAATAGCGTGGCGTGAACAAACGCATGCATGTATCTTTATAATAGAATGATACATTCCTTTGGGTATACACCCAGTAATGGGATTGATGGGTCAAATGGTATTTCTGGTTCTAGGTCTTTGAGGAATTGCCACATTGTCTTCTACAATGTTTGAACTAATTTACATTCCCACCAACAGTGTAAAAGCATTCCTGTTTCTCCACAGCCTTGCCAGCATCTGTTGTTTCTTGACTTTTTAGTAATTGCCATTCAGACGGGCGTGAAATGGTATCTCACTGAGGTTCTGATTTGCATTTCTCAAATAATTAGCGACGTTGAACTTTTATTCATGTGTTTGTTGGCTTTGTAAATGTCTTCTTTTGAGAAGTGTCTGTTCATATCCTTTGCCCACTATTAATGGATTTTTTTTTCTTGTAAATTTGTTTGAGTTCCTTGTAGATTCAGGATATGAGCCCTTTGTCAGATGGATAGATTGCAAAAATTTTCTCCCACTGTATAGATTGTTTGTTCACTCCAGTGAGAGTTACTTTTGCTGTGCAGAAGTTCTTTAGTTTAATTAGATATCATTTGCCAGTTTTTACTTTTGTTGCAATTACTTTTGACATTTTCGTCATGAAATCTTTGCCCATGCCTATGTCCCAGATGGTATTGCCTAGATTATTTTTCCAGGGTTTTTATAGCTTTCGGTTTTACATTTAAGTTTTTAATCCATCTTGAGTTAATTTTTGTGTAAGGTGTAAGGAAATGGTTCAGTTTCAATTTTCTGCATATGGCTAGCCAGTTTTCCCAGCACCATTTATTAAATAGGGAATCCTTTCCCCATTGCTTGTTTTTGTCAGGTTTGTCGAAGATCAGATTGTTGTAGATGTATAGTCTTACTTCTGAGATCTCTATTCCATCCCATTGGTGTGTCTGTTTTCATACCAATACCATGCTCTTTTGGTTACTGTAGCCTTGTGGTATAGTTTGAAGTCAGGTAACAGGATGCCTCCAGCTTTGTTCTTTTTGCTTAGGATTGTCTTGGCTATACAGGCTCTGTTTTGGTTCTGTATGAATTTTAAAGTTTTTTTTTTATTCTGTAAAGAATGGCAATGGTAGTTTAATGGGAATAGCATCGAATGTATAAATTGCTTTGGGAAATATGGCCATTTTCATGATATTGATTCTTCCTATCCATGAGCATGGAATGTTTTTCCATTTGTTTGTGTGCTCTTTGATTTCCTTGAGCAGTGGTTTGTAGTTCTCCTAGAAGAGGTTCTTCACTTCCATTGTTTGTTGTATTCCTAGGTATTTTATTCTCTTTGCGGCAGTAATGAATGGGAGTTCATTCATGATTTGGCTCTCTGCTTGTCTGTTGTTGGTTTATAGGAATACTTGTGATTTTTGCACATCGATTTTTTTTCCTTAGATTTTGTTGAAGTTGCTTATCAGCTTAAGAAGCTTTTGGACTAGGATTATGGGCACACTTCAACTTTCTCTTTCTATTTGAATACACTTTATTTCTTTCTATTGCCTGATTGCCCTGGCCAGAATTTCCAATACTATGTTGAATAGGAGTGAGAGAGGGCATCTTTGTCTTGTGCCGGTTTTCAAAAGGAATGCTTTTAGCTTTTGCCCATTCAATATGATATTGGCTGAGGGTTTGTCATATATGGCTCTTATTATTTTGACATATGTTACATCAATGCCTAGTTTATTGAGAATTTTTAACATGAAGGGATGTTGAATTTTATTGAAGGCTCTTTCTGAGTCTATTGAGATATTGTCTTTAGTTTTGTTTATGTGATGAATTATGTTTATTGATTTGCGTATTTTGAACCAGACTTGCATCCTGGAGATGAAGCCAACTTGATCATGGTAGAAGCTTTTTGATGTGCTGCTGGATTCGGTTTGCCAGTACTTTATTGGGGATTTTCACATCGATGTTTATCAGGGATATTGGCTTGAAGTTTTCTTTTTTTGTTGTATCTCTGCCAGGTTTGGGTATCAGTATGTTGCTGGCTTCATAAAATGAGTTAGGAAGAAGTCACTCCATTTAAATTGTTTGGAATGGTTTCAGAAGAAATGGTACCAGCTCCTCTTTGTACCTCTGGTAGAATTCAGCTATAAATGTCATGCTGTCTTAACTAAACTGCTGCCTTTGCATGGCAGTGAGCTTTTCAGCTTGTTTGAATTTCTGCCAAACTTTAACAAATAAGTGTGAGAGCATGAATGGGAGATGTACAATCCCAGAATTTAAACCTGAATTTTCACATCAGACATTAGCGGTTTTCTTTTGCCGTAAGGATGAGCAGAGAGAGAAATTCTCCTTTGTAAAGCTGGTACTAAAATGTTATAAGATTCCATAGACTAGAATCATTTCTTTTGACTTATCAAAGTTCTATTCATTGCCAGTTTAAAGGTGAAATGTCCTGTCCTGTTCCAGAGTTAGGCTGTAATTGGGTTAAATTGACTTTTTTTTTCTAACAATTCATCATTATTTGTTGATTAGTCATCAAATTTAGAAAATGTTACTTTGTGAAGTCAATGGAAAATTATCCTTCTGACTGTGGTTGATCAGTGAACATACTGGAAAATATTGTTTAATGCAGTGCTAATATAATTCTCCTGAAATACTGCTTATGAAATTTTCTTTATTTTATTCTATTCAGAAAAATTTTTGTGGTTACATAGTAGGCTTGTATATTTATGGGGTACATGAGATATTTCAATACAGGCATACAATGTACAATAATCACATCAGCCATCATGTCAAGCATTTATCCTTTGTTTTTGTTACAAACAATCCAATTATAATCTTTTAGTTATTTTAAAATGTACAATAAATTATTGTTGACTGTAGTTACCCTGTAGTGCTATCAGATATCTTGACTTAAACAATCTATATTATATTCTTGGTATTTTAATAATTAAATTTAATAAAATGAAGACAGACCTCCAATTTTTCTGATCTGTAAAAATTGTACCTAGTATTCATAATCATGCCCTGTATTTTCTTTCTAAATGTATTTTTTTACACCTTTCCCTCTACCTTGAATGTGTCTTACTTTGTCAAATTCCAACTCATCCTTAGGGATCTAGGCCATGGTCTTTTATTTCTACTAATAAGTGATAACTACATCTCCTGAAATGTCTAATTGCATCTTTCTTTTGGCATTTTTTATGTTTTGCTTTTTACAATTAAAATAAAAAGTGGTATCTGCTCCTACTACTTCTGGTTAACATTATACTGTAGGGTGTGGCTAGAGCAGTTAAGCAAATAAAAGAAAGAAAGAAATGGTATCTAGATTGGAAAGGAAGAAGTAAAGCTATCTCTGTAAATAGACAACATGCTTTTGTTTATAGAAAACCGTAAGGAATACACACACGCACACACACACAAATACACACACACAAAATTAGAACTAATAAACTAGTTCATTAAGTTTGTAGGGTACAAGATCAATACACAAAAATCACTCATGTTTTTATACACTGGCAAATGAACAATCCAAAAATGGTATTAAGAAAGCAATTGCATTTATAACACCATGAAAAAAGAATAAAGTACTTAAGAGTAAATCTCACAAAAGTGCAAGATTTGTACACTGAAAACTACAAAATATTATTGAAAGAAGTTAAAGAATACCTAAATACATAGAAAAATATCTCGTGTTCGTGGATTGGAAGACTTACTCTTATTAAGATGACAGTAATTCTCAAATTAATCTATAGCTTCCATACAATCTACATCAAAACCCCCTCTGCCTTTTTTGCAGAAATTAACAAGCTAATTCAAAAACTCAAATGAAAATTTGAAGGACCCAGAATACCTAAAACAGTGTTGCAAAAGACTAACAAATTTGGAGGATTCATGTGACCTGATATAAAAACTTACTACAAAACTGCAGTAATCAAGAAAATGTGATATGATATGTAGCATAGATCAATGGATTAGAGTCTGGCAATAAACTCATATTTTTGGTAAGTTGATTTTTCATAAGGGTGCTAAGACAATTCTATGAGAAAAGCAGTCTTCTGAACTAATAATGGTACTGGGACAAATGGATGTGCACATGCAAAAGAATGACATTGGACTTGTCCTTTACACCATATGCAGAAATTAATGCCAAATGAATTATAGACCTAAATGTAAGAACTAAAACTATACAACTTTTAGAAGAAAATGTAGGCCTAAATCTTCATGAGTTTAGGTTAGGCAATGATTTCTTAGAAACAACATCAAAAGCATAAGTGACAAAAGAAAAAATAGAGTGTGATTGTTAAAATAACTGCCCCACAAAGATGTCGACATTTGAATCTTCAAAGCCTGCAATTATCTTACATGATAAAAGGGACTTTGTGGATGTGATTAAGTTAGGGATCTCAACATGGGGAGATAATCCTTGATTATCTAGGTGAGCCCAATGTAACCTCAAGATTACAAGAGAAAAAACAAGGCAGGAGAGTTGTAATCAGAGGAGGAAATGTAAAGATGGAACCAGAGGGTGGAATGATGCAGGGCCAAAAGCCAATACATGCAGCCTCTAGAGCTGAATGGACAAGGAAACAGATACTTTCCTAGAGCCTCCAGAAGTCATGCAGTCCTGCCAAATTTGAGTGAGATCCATTTTGCCTAGAACTGTAATATGATAATTCTGTATTAGTTTCAGCCATTAGGTTTGTGGTAATTTATTACAGCAACAATAGAAACCTAATATATATAGATAAATTGGACTTCATTAGAATTGAACCATTTGTGCTTCAAAGGACAACATCAAGCGAGTGAAAGGACAACTTCAAAAATGGGAGCAAATATTTGAAAATCATTATCTGATGAGGGACTCACATGTAGAAAATATAAAGAACTTTAAAACTCAACAAGAAAAAGATAAATTACTCAATTAAAAAATGGCCAAAGAATTTGACTATCTTCTTCAAGGAAGATACACAGATTGTTAATAGGCATATGGAAAGATATCCAACATTATTGTTCATTAAGGACATGCAATTCATGCACTAGGATGACTGTAATGAAAATGATGAACAATAGCAATGTTGACAAGGATGTTAGAAATTGATACCCTCATACATTGTTGGTAGAAATATAAAATGTTTTGGCCATTTTGGAAAACAGTGGTTTTTCAAAATGTTAATCATTAAATTACTTATGAGCCACCAATTTGTGTGTGTGTGTGTGTGTGTGTGTGTATATATATATATATATATATATATCTATCTATCTCCAAGAGATTTGAAAATATAGTTTTACACAAAATTTGTATATGACTGTTCATGACAGCATTATTCATAATACTTCAAATGTAGAAACAACAAAATGTTCATCCACCTATAAGTAGATAAATAAAATATGGGCCATTTATATAATTGAATATTATTCAGTAATAGAAAGAAATGCAGTAATAATATATGCCACAATATGGATGAACCTTGAAAACAAGTTAAGTGAAAGAAACCAGACATAAATGGCATTTCTTATATGAATTCATTTATATGAAATGTTTGGAATAGGCAAATTCATAGGAAAAGACAGTAGATAAGAGGTGCAAGGAGTGTCTAATGGGTGGCAAGAGAAATGGAAAGAGATTGTTATTGAGTATGGAGTTTCTTTTGGGATGATGAAAACATTCTGGAATTAGATTGTGGCAATGGATGCAGAATTCTGCGAATATACTAAACAAAGACTCCTGAATTGTACACAAAATTGTGAAGTTTATGGCTTGCAGATTGTATCTGAGTAGAGCTGTTATTAAAAATATGTTAAAAAATAAAATTCAGGGCAATGAATACTTTGAACAGAAACATGCAAGTATTTCCATAACTTAGGAGTGCTACCTCAACATGACTCGGGTTGTTATGAAAGACTTCTTTATAGAAGAGATATCTAAGTAGGAACATAAAATAATTTGTTTACTCATATTCTCTTGTAGCCAGTGACCTCCCTAACAACAAGAAGTGCATTTTTGGGAGACACAGTGTCAGATAAAATAGACAGTTCAAGGGTGTATAAATGGCACAGTGAAGCCAACAGGAATAGCTAGATGCCCTCATTATATATATTTTTTCAATTTTAACATGAATATGTTTATTACTTTTTTTAAAAAAAGTAATAAATATATATTCCAAAAATATCTCAGGTTTTTATTTTAAGTTTTATTTTAAGTTCTGGGGTACACGTGCAGGTTGTTTCGTAGGTAAACTTGTGAAATGGGTCGTTTTTGTACAGATTATTTCCTCACCCAGGTATTAAGCCTAGTACCCATTTGTTATTTTTCCTCATCCCCTCCAACCTCTGATAGGCCCCAGCGTATTTTGTTACCTTCTATGTGTCCCTGTGTTCTCATTATTTAGCTTCCATTTGTAAGTGAGAACAGGCAGTGTTTGATTTTCTGGTCCTGATGCCTTCATTATTGTAGGAGCACATAGCATAAATTCAGCTGCGTGACCAAAACTAAAAAAATCCAAGAATTAATAGCTATTTGTAGTTAAGTCTAAGGTACTGACCTCTGAAAGAAAGACAATGCAATGGACAATGACTACTAAGGAAGTTTGAACATCACTGGAAACGGACAGATGTTCATGATGAAAGAGTGCTTGGACAGAGCAAAGCATGTGGAGACCACTTATAGATGATTTTGTGTGGTTCAGCCCATGTCTGCTAGGTACTCAATTTCCTTATGTTGCTGTCCTCCTGCAAGCTTCTGTGACTTTGGCTTTTGAAGGGCTTTCTTTCAACCCTCATGGAGGGTGGGTGTGAGGAAATGCTTGGGGACAGACATACCCTAGAGCTGCCCTCAACCACTGCCAAATGAATGCTGGAGGATAAATATTCCCTGATTTTCTATTCTTTGGAAACAACAACTCTGGGAAGAGTGGTAGACCATTTCCCAGATGTGCCCAGTGGACTTGAGTCCTGATGTCTGCAGATATAACCTGTTCTTTGATGCCTATCATGTTGGCTGACTTGCATTCATTGTCTTGCTTTATTTTATTCTAAGCTTTCTAAGATCATCCTAGCAAAGACTCAGCTATACTCAAATCCCAGTATTTTGGGTCTGCATCTGAATAAAAAAAGTTTTAGATACCACTGAAACAGGAACCATGAGTGAAGACATTACAGAACAATCAGAATGACAAACTAAATCTCATTGACTAACATAGGTGGTCAGGTAGAGTGTGAAGACATTGTGTTGTTGGTCAGGGTTATGGTAGTAGTAGTATTAAGTGCAGTCTCGTGTTGACGGTTAATGCTATACACCAATTCTTTAGGGAGTAGTCAATTAAAATGAATCATTGAAACAAGCTTAATTTAACTAAGACCAAGTGGGAAATGGAGATATTATTGAGAAGAATAAAATAATAAATACTATTTACATCTGTCCAATATACCTCCTTTCCCGTTCTGGTAACAGACATCAGCCTCCAGAACTCAGGAGTAAACATGTGACCTAGGTTGAACAAGTTGTAGTTACTTCTCCTCCCATCTGCAATAATTGCTTCAGAGCTGACCAGTCAGAGGCCTTCCCAGAGACTGTATATACTGAGATGAAGGAAGAAAATGTTTCTTGCCTCTTGTTTTGCTAAGATTGAATGATGTGTAAGCTGAGAGCTCCCGGACTGAGGAAGGTGATACACAGTGGAAGACAATTGGAAAAAATGTACATAGGAATATTAGGAAAATATATTTATGTATAAGGGAAGGATGAAAGGGGAATAGGTAGAGAGAGGGAGATGGGTAGATCGAGTCTGAAAGTGAAAGAGAATTAAGAAATTATGGCAGCCTATTAGATGCCTTATACTTCCTAGTTATGGGAGCCGGTGAATCACTCTCCTTTTGGCTTCTGTTGGCTTACATTGAGTAATCAGTTGCACCTGAGAGACTCTTAACTGTCAATATCTCTCTTTCCTGCGCATTACCGTACGCCATACTTTCTTATAAGCCCTGTGTTTGTATTCTCATTTAATCCTTATAGCACTTTCCGAAATGTGTATTGTTATTACTCAATTTTATAGATAAGAAAACTGGGGTTAGAGATCAGTAATTTGCTCAAGTTTTTTTGTTGTTATCAGTAGAAGCAGGATCTTAAACATAAAGTACAAGTTCTGTGGTAACCCATCATTATTCTGGAAGCTGAGTGGTGCTAATGCTGCAGAGAAGCTATTGGGTGAACCAACATCTGGAGAGTTGGGGAAAAGGCAGCCATCCTATTTTACATATATTTTTGTTTCCTACAGGACCTCTATACTGTCTTTCAAATAGTCACTCAATATATTTTCATTTAGTGCCAAATTACCTATTTGGAATAAACAGTTAAGACTGTAAACCTTAGCAAATTATATTCAACCAGGAATAGACACTCCTGTATGCATATATGTTTCTAAAAGTATGTTAGAGTCTGGGCATTACAACTTAAGTTGATATTAACTGTTATAAGGAACATTAAGTAGGAAATAAAGTTTTGCTTGAATGGGGAAGTGGGATTCAGAAAAAGCTTTATTGAGTGTCATCCTGATATGAATAAATGTGTACCATTCAGGTTGAAGAGGAAGGCATTCTAAGGACAGGGAGCAAGTGGGAAGGGTATGAAGCCATGAAACAAAATGAGTGTTATGGAAACTGTAACAGCTTGGCTGAGTTGTGGGGTATTAATGGGATGTAGGCAATGATTAATTCATGGAGGAACTTCTATGGGATTATAAGAAGTTTGAATTTTATTAGTAGGGAAAAAGAAATCACTGAAGATTGGATATTCACAAAGATGGCATAAGAAGATAAACCTTTAAAAATGGAGGATGATTTTGATTTATGCAATAGGGGAGATTTAGGAGATTTTGTGATAATCCAGGCAGGAGGCTCTAAATTTCTGAATCAGTGCCATAGCAGAAGGAATGGAAAGGATGCGTATGAGAGTTTTTAAGATATTTAAGAAATATGAAATTTGGTTATCTGTACTACAACGACAGAACAGTGCTTTTCTCTACATAAAGCTCTGTCTTATTTATGGTTCTGCTACTTAAATTATATCTACATAACAAAATATAATCAGTCATCAAGTATTGATTGAACAACCATCATGTTCTCAGATTTAAGGTTAATCTGTAGCAAACAGATAGTTATTCACAAGTGTGATCATGTTTTACATTGTATAACATATTACATTAAAAAAATCAGTGACTTGATTGCCAGAAGAGAACACATTTGATTCACATTTGTATCCTCAGTACCTAGCACAATGTGCAGATAATAGAAGGTACATAGTAAATGCTTGTTCAATGGGTGAGTGAAATATTAACAAATTTCATGGAATCACTGAATTAAAAATTAAAGCGTTTTATAAAATATGGATGATTTTATTATTTAAATAAACATTTACAAGTTTCTCAAATATATTGTCATCAGAGGGATAACTGGCTAGGTGCTTACTTTTTACCAGACACTTTGTGACCGTGAAAATGCAGGAGATAGAGTAATCAGAATAAGTAACTTAATTGCCTAGTGCCTCAGTTTACGCATTAGCACAGTAGGGATAAGATTGTCTTCCCTTTACATAACTAAAATGTGTTGAGGATTATGTGGATTTAAAGTAATTAAAAATAAAAGACTAAAGGGACGACTAAGCTCTTCGGAGAAAATGCTGTTTACACATAAGGTAATCATTTCAAATTCTAAAGACAGCTAATAAAGAAGTTGTCTTTAAAAGTAATCACATATCATCTGGGGACCAGATTCCAGCCTGAAGACAGAAGGAGTTTTAGATGATTTTAATCCAAGATCCAAATACAGAGATTTAAATAAAGAACAGGTAGTTATTAATAAACAGACATAATGTAAAATTTATCATTTTCTCCATCCTCCAGAAAGTTAAAGGCAGATAATTAGCTTTATTGCTGGGTGTTAAGATATTTATCAATTTTTCAAGGTTGAGAGAACTCAACATACGTATTTGAAATATATTTCAAGAAAATCTTGATTATTCAACATCCCAAAGTCTGACAGCTGAAAGTCTCTGAAAATAAATGAGAAATCAATTAAATGCTTTTAATGAGAATTGTCAAGGTGAATCAAAGGCTCATATTGCCATTTAAATCAGGAGTTGCAAAGTTCTCTGTTCTCACTGGCTAGCTGCTTCTTGTCATTCAGAGCTCAGCTTTAATCTCATCTCCTGATAGACAGGTCCTTCCTGACCATACAGTCTAATCTAGCCATTCTCCCTCACGTCATTCTATCTTAAGTCTCTGCATTACACTACACTTGCTCATTTATTTACTTGCACATTGTCTGTTTCACCTCAAGCTCTGTGAGAATAGAGACCTTTTCTGTCTGGCTTACTTATCTCTCTCCAGTGTCAAAAACCATACATTATGTGTTCCCAGTAAAATTTGATTGAATTAATGAGTTATGAATCAAAATCATAATTTGGATTGTCTTTAGAAGAAATATCTTAAGCTTTTACAATTTGGTGTTATTTACCCATCAAAGAGAGTGCTGTGGCATTCACGATAAGATGTACATTTGCTCACTTGCGGTAATTAGAAGCTTATGCAGTGAGAGACTGAGTTGAACCTGACAAAGAGGTTGAAGTTGTTACTAATTCTGGATTAAGAGAAGATGTTTTGAATAATTCTATATCATCAAAGAGTACTGATGAATAAAGTACAATTTTATTGAGAATATAAACAAACCCCAAGGAAAACTGCTGCTTCCTTTGATTGATTTATCTGGGTAGAATAATGGTTATGTAGCACTGTAGCACAAGCCTAGCATCGATACATCCTGCTTTGATATTTAAGCTAAACAATGGAAAAGATTGTATGTGATTTGATTTAGAAGTAGAAGCCATAATGTTTGCTCTAGAATCAGTGCTGACACTCTATATTGAAAATACAAAATATTATAATCACTAAAAATTAATAAGAAACTAAGACATGGAGTCATCGAAGATGATTAGGTTTCCAAAAAGTCCGTACACTGAACAAGCAAGGTTTAGCATATAAATTGAGACATTTCCATCAAAAGGACTGAAAATAATTTCAGTGTAAATATCAGATTCAGCCACATGTAAAAGCCATTCTCATCACATTTTTAAAACATGAATTGATTGTGATTCCATCTTTGCTGTTGCATGTTTTATGAAAAATCTTGAATGAAATATAGAGGTCCATTTTCATGACACTATTATGGAGGACTGGCCGTTGGAAGAGCATTCCTTTCTTCCTCCCTCTTTTATGTCTCATATCCTACTTAGACCTTTAAGAGCAGTGTGTGCCATAATACTGTGTCAGGAATTAAGACATAAGTAATGAAAAAACAACAACACCATAGCTAATGTTTAGTGAATCTTTACTGTATATCAAACACTGTACTAAGAATTTTAAGTCTGTTATCTTACTTGGCACTAACAATAACAATATGAGATAGATAATATTATTATGTCAGTTTTACAATTGAATAAGCTTGCAGAAGTTAATTTACTGAAGGTCCATTTTATTTCAGAACTTGCATGCTTAACTGCTGTTTCTTTACCTACAATAATGAATGCAGCACTGGGCAGAATGAGGGAAACAGCTATGTAAAATAATTTTTGAAACCCAGTGTGTATTAGCCAGGTTATATGCTAGAAAGCGCTAACTAACAACAAAATTTCAGAGACTTATAATGGTAAACATTTACTTTCCTGCATAAATTCAGGTTGTTGCGCCTGTGTTTTCATTTTGGGACCATTGGCCACTGGGGCATGTTCTTTCCACGAAGAAGCAAAAGAGAAGAAGAGTTTTATACCTACTAAAGAAGGCTTTACTCTGAATTGGCAAATGGTCACCTCTGCTCAGGTTCTGGTTATCAACACAAGTCATGTGACCAAGTCCAAAATCAATGGGACAACAAAATATAAGGATTTAGAGTGGGAATATGCACTGTACGTATTTCATACGGTAGAACTTTCTATGTTCTTTCCATGTTACTCAGCTAAGTTCATTCTAAAGTGTATCCCCCAGATTATTTGATTCTTTTTAAAAGACTATATTTGAACATATTTCCATAAAAACTTGATTGTTCACAATTCCCAATTCTTATATCCTCAAATAATCAAAACAGTCATCCTTTACCAGAGCTTGGATTATTGAAAATGAGGATTGAGTGAAGTTAGCAGGCAGAGGTAATGTGGAAATGATGCTTTTTTATCTGACTCTTATTCTCAAATCCTGTTGAGAACTACTTTCTAAAAATGCTACTTTTCTCAAGTCAGTAAGTGAGCTCAAATGCAGAAAGTAATAAAGGAGAGGTTGGAGAGAGAATTCTCTTTCCTGTATGTTCATGAAAATACATGCTTAGGGCTTTCATGAGCTTGAAAGCTGGATGAAGGGATAAAAGCTTTTAAAGCAAATTATTGAAGAAATTTAAGGCATTTTGATAAGTTGTAAGTGCTTTCCTGATTTCACGTGATTAAAATTTTGCTTTGCTCAGTGTGGTTGAGCTATTCAAACTTATTAGCAATCATTTTTCTTTTCTAAAATGACACAAGTTAGAGAAATCTGGTAAGCCAGCCAACTACTGTTGATATATGCTCCTTTGATGTGTAACCTGTGGAGACGGCCATTGTCACCAAGTTGGCTAAGAGGAAACAGGCAGCATGTTATGTAGTGGAAGCATTATTTCCCATAATTGCAAACCATAGAGTAAGAAAACCAGTGCCTTGTTCTGATGTAAAGCCTCAGGAAATTGTAAATACATATTGTTTCAAAGAAAAAAAAATGACTTCCAAGAGACATACTGGCTTTTTTTTTCTTTGTGCTTTCAAATATATAGAGACTCCATGTAGTCTCCTCTTTTCAGAGATTACTGGCAGGTGGAATATTTCCCCTTTAAATTTCTGTTTCTACAATCTCAGATCTTCTGTTGATAGAGCTTAAAATAGTGGCTCGAATGGAATCTTGTTGATATGGTGACATTTTGTAAAGACTCATTGCTGTGGTCTAGATATTTGTATACCCTCAAAATTGATATGTTGAAACCTACTACCAAATGCAAAATGATTAAGAGATGGAGCCATTAGGAGGAGATTAGATCATAAGGGCAATGCCCTCATGAATGGGATTAGCAGCTTTATAAAAGAGGTGTGAGGGAGCTTCTTTGCTCCTTCACCACATGAGGACATAGAAGGCAAAAATCTATGAGGAGTGGGCCCTCACAAGACACTGAATCTTGTGTCTTGATCTTGGACTTCCCTGCCTCAGAAACGTAAGCAATAAATTTCTGTTGTGTATAAATTACCCAGTCTAAGATATTTTATTATAGTAGTAGGAACAAACTAAGACATTAATTTACATGTAAAAACTTGAGCTTTGGAGAGTATTCAATAGAGCTGGGTTCAAGTTTTTGCTCTACCATTTAATTGGGGTGTGAATTTGACAAAGAAAAACAATCTCTTTGGATCTGCTTTCACATCTGTAATATAAGAATAATAATTCCTCCCTCTTTGAACCTACTATGTAAATTAGATGTAAATACATATATTCACATAGCATAGTAACATGTAATAATACTAATAATGGGTATCCAATAGTTTTAGTGATTGCTATCACTTTTTAAAAAATGTTTTCACCTGGAAAATGGATGTGTAGCAAGGACTACCTTCCCTCTGTATAGCGTTGAGTCTACTGGATTCAATTGTAGATTTTAGTGTCTTTTGAGAGCAATCCTAACTTTCTGTAAAGATTGATGTATCATGATTTTTATTATTTTTAGATGTCTTCCAAAGCACAAAGAGAACACATATTTCATTTTAAAAGTGAGAATAAAACTTACCCTATCTTTTTAAATTATCATATCAGTCCATTGGCCCTTATTATAAATTTAAGATATATTATGGGATTTTAGCGGTATCATTTTTCCTGTATCTTGAAACACATTGCTGTTTCATCATTCCTAGGGATTATTTCTTTATTCATCATTAATGTTCAACTATCATAAAATTACTAAAAAATACAATTAAAAGGGAAGATAATCTGCAATTATTAAATGAGTGAAAAGAAACAGCAGCACTATAGACTTTGATTATGTTGCTGAAATTTCTAAGCAAAATCTCAAACCATGAATCTTCAGATTACCATATCCTAGATGAATTTTCTCAAAATCAAGAATAAGTGGATGAATAATATCTTTTTAAGGACAAAAATAAATATGGCATTCTCACTTCATTAGTCATTCAACTGGAAGGACATTATCATGTCATACTTTACTACAAAAACTTGATCCATTCTATTTTGATAAAAGGTTATCTTTTGTAATATTTTTATCCAAGAATTCATTTGGAAAAGAGGTTAGTATGTTTCAATATTTTTACAAATTGTAACTTTTCAATTGTCTTTCCTGTTCTGTAAATTATTCATAAAACTTAAAAATATATTTAAGATATTTGTATTAAAAAATTGAACCCAAATAGCAAATGGTGATGATTATTTTTCCTGGAATGCTAAGGGTAAGATATTCATATACTTTGACCTAACATGGTACTCCCAGAAGTTTGCCTTAAGAAAATCTTTCAACTAAAGCAAGAATAAATTCATTGCAGTACAAAATGTAAACAAGCTAACTGGATAACATAGGGAATGCTTTGATAAATTGTGATGTATCAACAGCATAGCACATCATGTAGCCTCTAACAATGATAGTTATGAAGATCATGCAAACTTAGAAAAACACTTCTGATGTTGACTAAAAACAACATTTAAAGAATCCAAAAGAACTTAATAAGTCAGTACTTTTTGTAGGAATTATGGTAGTGGATGAATTAAAAAGAAAAATATTAACTCTGCTGTTTTTCCATTATTTGAGAAGAAAGACAATTAGTAAAACTAGCAAACTTAATTTTGCCCTATTTTGGTGATGTCTCACTATCGTCATTGCTTGGCTGGGGAACTGAATTTAGATTTTGATAATTTCCATAGAGTAAGATGGAAATTCACCATACTTTTGGGACATTGTGTATTGGGACATCATTTTGCTCAAGCAGTTTATTTCTTTTTTTAAATTTTTTATTTTACTTTAAGTTCCAAGATACAAGTGCAGAATGTGTAGGTTTGTTACATAGGTATATGTGTGCAATGGTGTGCTGGGCCTATCAACCTGTCATCTAGGTTTTAGGCCCCACATGCATTAGCTATTTGTCCTAATGCTCTCCTTCCCCTCACCCCCACCCCCTGACTGGCTCTGATGTGTGTTGTTCCCCTCTCTGTGTCCATCTGTCTCACTTACGAGTGAGAACATGTAGTGTTTGGTTTTCTGTTTCTGTGTTAGTTTGTGGAGGATAATGACTCCCAGCTTCATCCATGTCCATGAAAAGGACATGATCTCATTCCTTTTTATGGCTGCATAGTATTCCATGGTGTATATATACTGCTTTTTCTTTATCCAGTCTATCATTGATGGACATTTGGGTGGGTTCTATGTCTTTGCTATTGTAAATAGCTCTCCAGTAAACAAGTGTGCATGTGTCTTTGCCGTAGGATGGTTTATATTCCTTTGGGTATATACCCAGTAATGGGATTGCTCAGTCAAATGGTATTTCTGGTTCTAGATCTTTGAGGAATCACCACACTGTCTTCTGCAGTGGTTGAACTAATTTACATTCCTACCAACAGAATTAAAGCATTTCTATTTCTAAACAGCCTTGCCAGCATCTATTGTTTATTGAATTTTTAATAATCGCCATTCTGACTGGCGTGCAGTTTTGATTTGCATTTCTCTAATGATCAGTGATGTTGAGCTTTTTTCCATATGTTTGTTGGCTGCATAAATGTCTTCTTTTGAGAAGTATCTGTTCATATCCTTTGCCCACTTTTTGATGGGGTTGTTTTTTCTTGTAAATTTGTTTAAGTTACTTGTAGATTCTGGATACTAGACCTTTGTCACATGGGTAGATTGCACAAATTTTCTCCCATTCTGTAGGTTGTCTGTTCCCTCTGATGATAGTTTCTTTTGCTGTGCAGAAGCTTTTTAGTTTAATTAGATCCTATTTGTCAGTTTTGGCTTGTATTGCAATTGCTTTTGGCGTTTGCATCATGAAGTCTTTGCCCGTGCCTATGTCCTGAATGCTATTGCCTAGGTTTTCTTCTAGGGTTTTTATGGTTTGGGGTTTTACATTTACGTCTTTAACCCATCTGGAGTTAATTTTTATATAAAATGTATGAGGTGTAAGGAAGGGATTCAGCTTCAATTTTCTGCATATAGCTAGCCAGTTTTCCCAGCACCATTTATTAAATAGGGAATCCTTTCCCCATTGTCAAGCAGCTTATTTCTACTCTTTACTCTACTTTTGTCTCCTGTCTCATATATCTTCCTCCTTTACAGAAATATGCACAGTAACATGATTAACTTTACCATCTTTCTTTAAGAATAGTCTAGGCTGGGCATGGTGGCTCGTGCTTGTAATCTTAGCACTTTGGGAGGCAGAGGCAAGAGGGTTGCTTAAACATAGGCATTTGAGACCAGCCTGGGCAATATAGTGAGACCACATCTCTATAAAAAAATAAACAAAATTAGGGGGGTATAGTGGCACATGCCCGTGGTCCCAGATACTTAGGAGGCTGAGGCAGGAGGATTGCTTAGGCCTGGGAGGTCGAGGCTGCAGTGAGCTGAAATCGCAGCCTGGGTGACAGAATGAGAATCTGCCTCCTAAGGCACTGATACACTGATGCACAGACTAGAGATAGAAAATATATCTTAGATTTTTGAGATGAGCTAAAGAAGTTATCAGTTAAATGAGTATTTGGCCCATAGTAAGCCATTTATACTATTTTTGTTATTATCAATACTAACATTTGTCTTCACCCACAGTAATAAACTAGTATATTTTTGCAAGGCTCCCTTCTCATGTATGCACCTCATTGGCTCCTTTAAATTTGTACTCTTCCAATACAGTACAGATTGACTTTGGAGATTGAACACTGGGGAAATATGGCTGTTTGTTTTTATAATGATTGATTTGACATTTGCACCATCATGCATACCTTAATTCTGAGATATGACAAAAGCAGGGAAATGAAGAGCCAAATTCATGTGGAAGGAATCTCTCTATTTTTAGTTGTTTTTAAAATCATACCAGTAATTCACATTAAAACTCCATTATGGAAGCAGTTTTAACAATACTGGTCTATACTGTAGAAATACATATTTAATTCTTTCTAGAGTAAGCTGATTTTTATGTTTTTTGTTTTTGCTTACAGCTTAAATATTTCATAAAAACTTTGATACTGGTTTAAAAATAGTATCTGTAATGAAATGGGAAAATAGAAATTAAGTTAGAAAATCTGTTTCAAATATATAGAAGCCAAGTTATAAGCATACATATAAACAGTCTCTGTGATTGACATTCAGATTTGTACTTCAGCTTCTAGGAAACTGGAGTTGGGGTTAAGGAGGAAGCAAACATGATGTAATTATGTAATTTATAACACTGATAAAGGAATATATATAATAGTTCTTCAGAGGAAGCCCAGATTTCTTTAGCACTGAATTCCAAAATGCATCATGTGGGTTTTTGTGTGCTAAATATAAATTGATAGGAAATGTCCTAAATTATATTTTTACATAATATCAGTATTAAATTTTATGTATATTTTATGTGACCTTCAAAATTAGAAGCACAATATTAAATTGTCTTTTAGTAAAGTTGATTCTGTGAGGGACAAAATTTATGTAATTGAAATTCAAATCCTTACAGTAGCTGATCTTGATCTCTGATAAAATTTAAAGTACCAAGGGAAAGGGTGGCTCACACACATGTTCCCTAAACATTACTTCTTGTCCTTCATGGATAGTAGATGGCAAAACATCCAAAGTTTTATTTTCTAATGATTACCTATGAGGTTGGCATGGCAAAAGTAATTTTTGCCTGGAAATACTTTAAAACTTGTATTAATAGTCAGCATGTTCGGCCAGTCAATCAGCAGTTCCAAGTGACATGGTGGAATTTCTCTCAGAGTCTACACAGTTTTAAAGATAGACTAGATGGTTTTGGTTATTTGCCAGAAAATATGTTTATGCTTTTGATAGAATTAATGTGTGACTCATTTCTTCAAATATTTAGATAATGGGACCAGATTTTTTTGCTTGCTATTTTATATGAAAGCTGTTCATTAAAATGATGAAAATCATATCATCAGTATTTAAAAGGAAATTACTCTTCACTGTAGTACTGGGATTTGATTTTTTTCTGTTTTTCAATTATCTAATAAAATGTCCTCTCCATTATTTCGTTTACTACAGTTGTCCATTTGCAAAGTTAATATATTGATTGCGTTTTGTAAAATGGACACAATGATTAGAAATTATCTACTCAGAAAAGTAATCTGGAAGAGTAAACTCAGAAGTCACTCATACTAAAATAAGCCATGGGTGTTCCAAAAATAGAAGACACCTACCTATATAAACTTTATACACACAGACCTATGTACACTTTATACACACAGACCCACGTATACTCATGCACTTATGCCCCTTAATGATAGAAGATAGAGGGTGTGGGTAGCCCAGGGCCACATAGCAGCTGGAATAGAGCAGTGAGGAGCACAGACTCTGGGGCCAGACTTGCTGGCTTCAAATTCCAGCTCTAGTGACTGGCTTCATAACTTTGGGCAGATTATTTGCTCTTTAGTGCCTCAGTTTTGCCATCTGTAAACAGAGCTAACAGTAGCAACTACCTTACAGTGTTGGTGTTCAGGTTAAATAATTAGTATATGTAAAGTATTAAGAAGTTTTTCTCATTCATAATAAGCACTGAATAAATTTTATCTATTATTTTTATTATTAGTAATAATAGCAGTGGTACTAGACATGAAGGCAAAGAACATTCTTCATTTTAAAGGCAGAAATCAGATATTACAATTGACCTGTCATGACTGGATTAACTAGAATTAGGGTACAATTCATAGTTAAGAATATGAAAGCAAAAAGAATATTTGAAAATTGTATTTAGTCCATCAAACTGGACTAAGAAATACAGAGTTGGAATATAAGGGTGGCTGAATATAAGGGAAGCCAGGGACAAAGCATATGAAAGTTCCGTTGCTGGGCCAAGCCCAGGAACCCAGGAGAGGAAAGATGCACTTGCAAAGCTGGCCAGTGTATAGGATTCTGGCATGGGGACCTTGGCAAGCAGCCCAGGAAGTAAGACCGCAAAGGAGTAGTAAAGTACCTTTACTTAGGCTTGTGATATGGATAGGGCCACAGTTGCTGATCTTCAGCAAGGACAATAGTGTTTGAATCGCCTAATACCTACTTGGGTTTAATCTGCTCTCTTCCTTGGTCTGACTCTAGCATGTAAAAAAAGCCACGATCCACAGAACCCATTTTCTTCTCCATAAGAACTTGCCATATATAACCTAATGTTTTTGCTTGTACTTATATACACCATGTGAAGTTTATTATCAGCATAACAAAGAGAAAAGAGAATAGCGAATAAAGACAAAAAATGTTCATTTTGATTCAAAGCACTTTTGATGCAGTCCATAGAATTGAAAGTATTTTTTTTTTCTATTAACTTTGAAGTTTTACTCTCTACTGTTTCACCTTTCTGGAATTTCTGAAAACAGCAGCATTCTACAATGAAATCACTTCTTAATTTTTAAAATAAGGTTAACAAATGCATGAGTTGTAAAACACTCCTTCCATGTCATTTCTTCCAATCAGCTCTTCATATGCTTTTAGCTGATTTTCTCCTGCTTATTAAGAGCAGCTGTGTTTAAGCAGCTGGAGCACAAGTTGGCCAGTAAATGCATGTTATATAGACATTTAATACCACTTGGTGCTTTATCAGGCTTTACAACCTCTAATTAGTTAAACCACAGAATACCCGAGCACATTAGGTAATTATTACTTTTCCCCCATTTCACAGATAAGGAAACTGAGCGTGAGAAAGATTTGTTTTCTATTAGACTCTAATGGTTAAAGACCAGTGTGTAAGATGAACACTGGGTTTGTGAAAAAACGTGCTGTCTAGTGATATGGCAAGTCCTCAGGGCCCTGGAAATGAGAAATGTAATAACATTGCTGCCAGTATTATCCAAAAGATTATAATGTGGCTGATAGCAAGCTACTTTTTCAGAGCTAGTAATAGTCTATGTATATTATGCTGGATTCTCTAACCAACAGTTCATACTCAACTGCTTGGAAAACACTCCCCAAAAGAATAATGCTCATTTCTTCAGTGTTGTTATCTTAATCAACTCTCATCTTTTCATTGATATTTTGATGGAACTTATATCTGTTAATGTTTCCAGGGGTGTAAAATGAGTCGGAGAAGCAAATTCCTTAATGGATATATTTGGTTATGGGATTACGCATTAAATTAGAGAAATAATCAGTTGCAGAGGGGTTGGTCGTTGGTATTGTTTCATAGGGATCTGCTAAAAAAAACAGAAGACTGTGGTAAATGAATTAGATTGTCTGTTTCTTAGCATAATTTCTGCCTTTAATTATTGCTTTACACTGAACTAGAAAGAAAATATTAAAATAACCAAAAAATAAAGAGCATTTATATTAAAATTCTAATCAAAGTCGGGTAAATTTGTTTCATATATGAAGTTTAAATTAGTCTGCTGTTCTGATTGGTTTACACTATTGGATTGTGCTGCTGAGGCCAGAATTTCTGGTTCCATTTATATATGGGCCAGTTAATTTTCCATTGTGAAAAAATATATTACTGTTTCTGAGGTCTGTATTCCTAAGTCCAGCTAGTTGCCTTCCCAGAAACTTGGCTGCCTCTCTTGAGTAGTACCATTGGAGGTAGAGAGTTCCTCCCAGAGGACCTAGAGAAGACATGCTGCCTATTTTAGGATTTGGTGGAATTTCTACCTGAAATATTTGGTCCTTTGTAAGCCAACTCTGCAAAAACCTGAGTATTGACCTAGGGGATACCACCAATTCATCCCTTAAACATTTTTGATGATCGATTCTTATGTTTGAATCGGGTCAGAATTTGTTTAAAATTATGCAATCAAAGTTTAATAGCCTTAATCATATTCAAGCAATTGTTATAATTAATAACATGATCCCAAATATTTCTGATTTAAGCAAGATGTACAGCTAGCAGTTAATCTAATACATAAAATATGGCCCATGATTTAGATAAAGTTTGTGTGGGGACATTAAAAATATACAAGCGGCTTTTATAAAGTAATAAGAGAGCACATGGAAGTCAAAATTGTTGTTCATAGTCACTGTACACGCACATACCTTGTATTTTGTAGAGAAGAAAAATCAGCAATGTAATAAATCATAAATGCCACAAGCAGTGCAACAATTTGGAACAGCAAGGGATGGGATTGAATAGCCTCAGATTCTATTTGGAACTTCTTTCTGCAGTAAAACAGACATGGAAGACATGCTATGTGGAAGGAGTAATAAGAATAAATGGTGGAGACCAAAAACCAGATTCTGTATTCTGACTGCATATACTTTTATTTAACAAATGAGCAAAGTATGTATGTGTGTGCATAAGAATGTACTGTTCAGGTGTGTTTGTGTGAATGTATGCAGTATTTTTTTAATTATACTTTAAGTTCTGGGATACGTGTGTGGAACTTGCAGGTTTGTTACATAGGTATACACGTGCCCTGGTGGTTTGCTGCACCCATCAACCCGTCATCTACATTAGGTATTTCTCCTAATGCTATGCCTCCCCTATCCCCCGACCGCCCCCCGACAGGCCCCACTGTGTGATGTTCCCCGCCTTATGTCCATGTGTTCTCATTGATCAATTCCCACTTATGAATGAGAACATGCAGTGTTTGGTTTTCTGTTCTTGTGTTAGTTTGCTGAGAATGATGGTTTCCAGCTTCATCCATGTCCCTGCAAAGGACATGAACTCATCCTTTTTTATGGCTGCATAGTATTCCATGGTGTATATGTGCCACATTTTCTTAATCCAGTCTATCATTAATGGACATTTGGGTTGGTCCCAAGTCTTTGCTATTGTGAATAGTGTCACAATAAATATACGTGTGCATGTGACTTTATAGTAGAATGATTTATAATCCTTTGGGTATATACCCAGTAATGGGATTGCTGTGTCAAATGGTATTTCTACTTCTAGATCCTTGAGGAATTGCCACACTGTCTTCCACAATGGTTGAACTAATTTACACTCCCACCAACAGTGTAAAAGCATTCCTATTTCTCCACATCTTCTCCAGCATCTATTGTTTCCTGGCTTTTTAATGATCACAATTCTAACCAGCATGAGATGGTATCTCATTGTGGTTTTGATTTGCATTTCTGTAACGACCAGTGATGATGAAGTTTTTTTCATGTTTGTTGGCTGCATAAATGTCTTCTTTTGAGAAGTGCCTGTTTATATCCTTCACCTACTTTTTGATGGGGTTGTTTGTTTTTTTCTTGTAAATTGGTTTAAGTTCTTTGTAGATTCTGGATACTAGCCCTTTTTCAGATGGATGGATTGCAAAAATTTTCTCCCATTCTGTAGGTTGCCTGTTCACTCTGATGATAGTTTCTTTTGCTGTGCGGAAGCTCTGTAGTTTAATCAGGTCCCATTTGTCAATTTTGACTTTTGTTCCCATTGCTTTTGTATTTTAGTCATGAAGTCTTTGCCTATGCCTATGTCCTGAATGGTATTGCCTAGGTTTTCTTCTAGGGTTTTTATGGTTTTAGGTCTTATGTTTCAGTCTTTAATCCATCTTGAATTAATTTTTGTATAAGGTGTAAGGAAGGGATCCAGTTTCAGCTTTCTGCATATGGCTAGACAGTTTTCCCAACACCATTTATTAAATAGGGAATCCTTTCCCCATTGCTTGTTTCTGTAAGGTTTGTCAAATATCAGATGGTTGTAGATGTGTAGTGTTGTTTCTGGGGCTGTATATTTTTAAGAGAATATATACCTTTGGTTGATAATATGAAATGGAAATACAGAAAAAAGTATCACTTACAAAGTAATATATCATTTAATCTTCTAACAACTCCATGAAAGGAAAATTATTATCCTCATTTTGCACATGAGTATACTGACTTAAAGAGGTTAAAGAACTTGTCTAAGTTGAACATATATCTCTAACTCCAAAATCTGTGCTTATTTGAATATGATAGTAGCAGCTTTGGTTTAGAGAATGTTCACGTTAGGTTGGTTTTGCCATTGAAAGTAATGGCAAAAACCGCAATTACATTTGCACCAAGAATATAATATATTGAGGATACTAAGTGGGTCCTATGTCTATTATTTCTTTAAGTAGAAAAGCATTCTTTCTTTTAATTTTAGTTTTTGTAATTAATTCTGTGGCATATTTGAGAAAGAAGATAACATTTTTAAGGTTAATATTTTATGGCATCTTATCTGGACACATTCTAATATTATATATTGATTTAAAAAAAACCTTTTCCTTTATTCATTAGATTTGATCAATGTGTGAGGTTACACTTAATTCCAGTTTAAATATTTTCCTATCTTCAACAATGAAGATTTATTTTGCCTAAACATTTTATTCAATACTTCATTAAAGTTTTTGCTCTATGAATGTAACCATAGATCTTTAAAAGCAGATTTACAGTTCCTCATGCTTAAGATGAACCTTTCTTTAAAAGTGACCTTTTTGAAATTAAAACATTAGAAGTTATTAATTGTACATAAGTGGAATACAAAACAACAAATGAATAATCTGTACCTGAAATATACTTAAGTTTGATTTATCCATTGGATTATTCTTTTAGTAAACTGAATGAATTAGGACACTGTGAGCTGTAGTAATGGAAATTCTGACAGAACTGGCCTAAATAAGAAGAGAATTTCTTATCTCCAGAATTTCTCAGTGCTCGATAATTGATTGTTGACTGAACCATAGCATCAGGACCTCTCTACTTACTGCCCTACCATTTTTGGTGTATAGTTTCTTCCTTTGGCTGGTTTCCATTGTGCTTGCAAGATGGCTGAGAACTTGACCTGGGACTGTGTTGGGTTTTTCTTCATAGTCAATGAGAGACAGAAAATCTGTTCCCCAATCACGAAATGTAAATAATTTTTTTAACCTGACTGGACCAGATTAACTGCAGTTGCCATGTTAATGCCATGCACTGGTGCAAGCCAGCAGTACTCAAGATCCATCCCCTGGAGGCAGTTGTGGGGAAGATGCATGAACAAAATTGTGGATTAAAATGAGGAGAATGATTATTAGATTTTGGCCCTGGACACTAAAAACACATATTATTTCATAATCCAGTATTAATGTGAGTTTCAACCTTAGTTTTTATATAAGATCTCTGATTATCAAAGAGTTGAATTTTGTTTTGTTTTTTTCTCACCCTGTCTTATGGTGCTGACAGAGAGTGTTATTTTGAAAAGCAAATAAAGGTATTAAAAACAAAAAACTCCACAAGGTTAGATATATTATTTATTTCAGTAATCAGCCGATTTTATATCAAAAATGACAATAAATGTGATAGTAAGTTCAAAACCAGCCTGGGCAACATACTGAGACTCTGTTAAAAAAAAAAAAGACATTAATTTTATGTTTTAGTAAGATGTGAGGGAAGAAATTACCCTACCAAAAGAAAGTTAAAAACTCTCCAAATAGAAGCTTACTTCATAAACATCAGTGCAAACTTAAAAAAAAATTGGAAGTACATGTTTTATAGCCAGCAAAGTAAATGTCATCAAAAGTTGATCATGAAAAAAATTCTGCATTAAAAAATATTCTGACCCCAGCAACAATTTACAATATAACAGGATTATTTTTTATAGACTATAACGATTGGCAGAAAGATAATTTTACCAATCTACAAATATTTCTTAACAGAAATTATTTAAATACTCTTTAACTTTATTCTCCTTAGAAAATATAAGCTTAATAGTGTTTGGGGCAATATCTATGAAATTTAAATTGGAATAAATGATCAGTTAAACAGACTTTAAGTGGTGTAAATCATCCATGCCACCTTCTCTAAAGACATATTTGAAATTTCTCTTTACTGTGAAGAAAATGCTCTTTTATCTTGGTGATGTATTTTTGCTAAAAATTGGTTATTAATCCGTAGTCCATGCAGTCATATTCAGTATTTAGTTGTACTTGTCAAAAAATGAATTCCAAAATAACTGCATTTTGTTATATTTGTATGATTCATTAAGTTTTATATGTTATATTAAAAGAATGACTGCTGATGAATGCTTTAAGTGGACAGGAATAAGGGATGCTGAAGAGCTTTAACATTCTTACTTGCGGTACTGGAGTAAAATCCCCCAGAACAGCAGTTGGTTGATGACTTTAGTCTATATAGACAGCATGAGTTCCATAAAATCCACATGTGATTTTAAAACTTCTAACTTTAATAACCTCGCTGTGTCATAATTCAGGCAAGCTGGAACATAATCCATATTATTAGGGCCCCAGCAGTACTGACTAATGAAGAAAAGAAGGAAAATGGGATTTAGTGGACACATGGGAGTGAGCCCAGGAAACCTGTAAGGCTAGATTCTTATTGGGAGCTAGCATGGGAGTAGCCCAGAACGTCCAAAAACATATCCAGGTGTTTGGAACATGCCAGCAAGCAGAGGAATACGAGGTTTTAGACAATCTGACAATTCATAGTGAATTTCAGCCATGCCTGGAAGTACAACAAATAAAATTTTGTACTTTTTGTTGATGAGGTGAATGTTAAAATCAAAATAAACAAAAACTATACATAGAGTTAAGGCCTTAGTTTAGTGGAACACTCTTAGATCAGGTTCCCTGGCCCAATAAGAAACAGGGGTGTTAGGGAAGTGGAATTGGAAGTCTAGGCATTTTCTGGGTCAAGCAAATGCAGATGATAGCAGCTACCCCAGAAGAGCATGTGTTCAGCCCTCCCACAAATGCTGTAGACACTGGATCTCATAATGGAAGACTTAATTTTACCTTACCTACAAGTGTTTTGCATATGAAGGCATTCTCTGTCATAGTTGGAATGAGCTCAGAAAGATGAAATTTAGTTTCTAGACAAACAGTATTGCTGCTTGTTTGGGCAAGCAAATGTTGAATGGTTGCTAGAGTGTGTCATTCAACATGTAGCATTTCTAGGATAATGTATGATAAGTGTTTTTCCTTCAGTTGTTATGTTCCTCATTTTAGCTTGCCATAAGTAAAGCTTACCATCTTATTCCATTACAGATACTTTTTGTCACAGGTTCTATAATAAACATGAATTGCAAATAATTACATATGATAGATGTTTGGATGGATATCTTCTAAAATATTTTAAAATAATACTTTATTGGGCTGGGCATGATGACTCAGGCCTATAGTCCCAGCACTTTGGGAGGCTGAGGTGGGAGGATCACTTGAGCCCATGAGTTCCAACCTGGGCAATATAGTGAGACCCCATCTCTACAAAAATTAAAAAAAGATAGCTGGGCGTAGTGGCACATGCCTGTAGTCTGATTTACTCAGGATGCTGAGGCAGGAAGATCACTTCCAGGAGTTTGAGGCTGCAATGTGCTGTGATCACGCCACTGCATTTCAATCTTGGCAACAGAGCAAAACCTTCTCTCAAAAAAAAGAAAAAAAAAAAGGAAGATGGATGACTAGATGCAACAAGGAGGAGAGTCTACCACCAAGGAACTGGGACACCAGGAAGACTAGCATACTCCAAGCAGATCTGCACACGGAAGGCATTGAGAGTGGACAGAGGGAGGACACAGATGCTGGGCTGAAGAGGGAGGAAGCTGGGAACTCTGCAAGGGGCTACCACATACTAGGACTAGTTCCTGGCCCCCAGTGACTCCTGGGGAATGAGTGTGTTAAGCAGGCATGGTGCAACCTGCTCATGCACAGACCTCTGGAACCCTGGCAGGAGAAGTCTCCCCAACCCCCATGGAAACTTGAGGGAAACTGGCAGGAAGAGCTACTTAGAGAAGTGACAAGTGCAAGACTCCAGCATGTGTGCAGCCCAGAGGGTTTAATGTGGGAACATGTGCCAGGGAGCACATCCAGGGACATTCATCTCCTAGGATTGCCTTGCTCCCCTGGGATACTCTAGCTTTAAGTGAACTGTCAGACCTGAAGAGACCAGGGTGATCTTGCCTGTGAGACAGGGCCAGTCTGACCTGAGCATGCTTCTGTCTGCTGACCTCTCCTGGGATCCCAGCCTGGATGTGCCTGCTTGCTGTACAGCCTTGGATGCCCAATTGAGGTGCCTTTCAAGGGCATACATCATAGCTCCTGTACTAGCAGACCATACCTTACCATCAGAGAGCTCTAGTAGAGCAGCCCTTGCTGACACACACCAGCCTACACATGTCCTTCTTCCACCACAGCTGCCCGTGTTACTTCACTGGCACACACTCATCCACAGTCATCACCCATCACTTTGCTTGTGTGCATATGTGCAGGCAAACCTTGCCTCTCCTTCCCTGCTGGCATGTGGATGTATGTGCACCCACCATGCCATTGCTGCTGTTGTGAGTGCACCACCTGCCCTGCATCACGATGCTGCCATTGCTGGCGCAAACACATGCACAGACACCAGCAACACCACCCCCACTCCAAACTACCATTGCTGCCAGAGTGAATGAACACAAGGACATCCGCACCCCCATTCCCTGCCCCACATTGTCACAGCTGCTGGCACGAACACCTGGACAGAAATTGCCAGCCCTACACCTGCCAGTGCCCTGTCCCCATGCCAGCACGGCCATGGGTATGAATGTGTGCACATGGACCCCAGTGGATTCAGCCCCCAGGGCTGCCTATGCCACCACTGCCAACAACCTTATGGAGACTGGTGCCCAGGACCCACCAGAATCTCACCCCATCCAATGAGCATGCACTCTGTCGTATGGCCACAACTGGTGGCACAAGAAGCAAGGAAGTCAGATCCTGCTGCTACTACTCAACAAAGAACTTTGTCTGGCACCACCCTCAGAGAATTGTGACCAACGGTTTGGGAATGCGGACTCACTCGGCCCCTCCAGCTCAGCAGGTTTCCAACCTCCAGCCAGAGAACAAAGCTGGGGGCCTGATAACAGCCCCCCAAAGTTAAAGTACACAGCCCAATAATACTGAGCTGAACCTTGGCCCTCAAAAACCTACAAGAAACAAAGCCAGTCAACTGGACCTACCTTATGCCACAATCAAACTGCCAAGGACATCAAAGAAGATAGAAAAGCAAACAAAACAAAACAAAATAACAACAACAATCCAAAAGGCAGCAACTTGAAAGATTGAAGGAACATCAGCCCACACAATGAGAAAGAACCAGCACAAGAACTCTGGCAACTCAAAAAGCAAGAGAGTCTTCTCACCTCCAAATGACTGCACTACTTCCCCAGAGCAGTGGTTCTTAACTAGGCTGAAATGGCTGAAATAACCAAAACAGAATTCAGAATACAGATAGGAGCAAAGATAATCAACATCCAGGAAAGAGTTGAAACCCAATCCAAGGATTCTACAGAATACAATAAAACTATACAGGAGATGAGAAAAAAAAAAGTGGCCATTTTAAGAAAGAGCCAAACTGAGCTGATGGAGTTGAAAAACTCAACAAGAATTTCAAAATACAATCACAGGTATTAACAGCAAAATCCACCAAGCTGAGGAAAGAATCTCAGAGCTTGAAGACCAGCTCTCCTCAATAACTCAGTGAGACAAAAAATAAAGAATAAAGAAGAATGAACAAAACCTCTGAGAAATATTGGATGATGTAAAGAGACCAAATCTGTGACTCATTGACATCCCCGACAGAGAGGGAGAGAAAACAAGCAATGTGGACAACATATTTCAGTATATTGTTCATGAAAATTTCCTCACTACAGACGCCAGCTGATATGGTTTGGCTCTGTGTCCCCACCCAAATCTGATCTTGAATTGAACTTCCATAATTCTCACATGTGGGAGGGACCTGGTGGGAGATAATTAAATCATGGGAGCAATTTCTGCCATACTGCTTTCATGGTAGTGAATAATTCTCCTGAGATTTGAGGGTTTTATAAGGAGAAACCCCTTTTGCTTGGCTCTCTTTGCCTGCTGCCATCTGTGAAAGACGTGACCTGCTCTTCCTTGCCTTCCACCATGATTGTGAGGCTTCCCCAGCCTCGTGGAACCATAAGTAGATTAAGCCTCTTTCTTTAGCAAATTGCCCAGCCTCAGGTATGCCTTTGTCAGCAGCATGGAAACAGACTAATACATCAACAGTCAAATTCAGAAAATGCAGAGAACCCATGTGAAATACTACAAAAGACCATCCCCAAGACATATAGTCATCAGATTCTCCAAGGTCAAAGTGAAAGAAAAAATGTTAAAGACAGCTAGAGAGAAGGGGCAGCCACCTACAAAGGGAACCCCATCAGGCTAACAGTGGACCTTTTAGCAGAAAACCTACAAGCCAAAAGAGATGAGGGCCTATATTCATCATTCTTGAAGAAAATAGTTTCCAACCAATAATTTCACAAACAGCCAAACTAAGCTTCATAAGTGGAGAGAAATAAGATTCTTTTCAGACAAGCAAGTGCTAAAGGATTTCAATACCACTAGAATTGTCTTGCAAGAGATCCTGAGGGGAGTGCTAAACATGGAAGGGAAAGAACATTACTCACTGCTACAAAAACACATACAGTACATAAACCAGTGATACCATAAAGCAACCACACAAACAAGTCTGCATGATAACCAGCTAACAACATGATGACAGGAACAAATCTGTATATATCGATATTAACTTTTAATTTAAAGGGGCTAAATGGCCCAATTAAAAGGCACAGAATGGCAAGTTGGATAAAAAAGCAAGATTCAGTGGTATGTGAGACCCATCTCACGTGTGGTGACATCATAGGCTCAAAGTAAAGAGATGGAAAAAAAAAATCTACCAAGCAAAAAAAAAAAAAAAAAAAAAAAAAAAAAAACAGAAAAAAGCAGGGGTTGCTATTCTAATTTCAGACAAAACAGACTTTAAACCAACAAAAATTTTTTTAAAGGTGAAGAAGGGCATTGCTTAATAGTAAAGGAATAAATTCAACAGGAAGACCTAACTAACCATCCTAAATATATATGCACCTAACACAGGAGCACCCAGATTCATAAAGCAAGTTCTTAGAAACCTATGAAGATACTTAGGTCACTACAAAATAATAGTGGGAGACTGCAGCATGCCCATTGACAGTATTACAGATCATTGAGGCAGAAAACTAACAAAAATATTCAGGGCCTGAATTTGACATTTGACAAAATTGACCTAATAGACATCTAAAGAACACTCCACCCAAAAACAACAGAATATACATTCCTCTTATCTGCACATAACACATATTGTAAAATTAATCACATAATCAGACATCAAGCAATCCTCAGAAATTTTTTTTTAAAAAAATGAAATCATACCAACCATGCTTTCAGACCACAATGCAATGGAAATAGAAATTGATACTAAAAAAATGACTCAAAACCATAACATTATATGGAAATTCAACAGCCTGCTCCTGAATGACTTTTGAGTAAATAATGAGATTAAGGCAGAGATCAAGAAATTCTTTAAAATTAATGAGAACAACGATAAGATACAATATACCAGCATTACTGGGACACAGCTAAGGCAGTGTTAAGACGGACATTTATAGCACTAAACTCCCACCAAAAAAAGATAGCAGAGTCTCAAATTAACAACCTAACATCACAAGTGGAGGAATTGGAGAAACAAGAGCAAACCAACCCCAAAGCTAGCAGAAGACAAGAAACAACCAAAATCAAAGTTGAACTGAAGGAAATTGAAATGCAAAAACCCACACCAAAGCAACAAATTCAGGACTTTGCTTTTTGAGAAAATTAAGATAAACAGAACACTAGCTAGACCAATAAAGGAAAAAAGATTCAACTAAACGTAATCGGAAATAAAACATGAGACATTACCACCAATCCCCCAGAAATACAAAAATCCTCAGAGGCTGTGATGAACACCTCAGTGCACACAAGCTAGAAAACCTAGAAGAAACTGATGAATTCCTGGACACACACAACCTTCCAAGACTGAACCAGGAAGAAATAGAATCCCTGGATACCAATAATGAGTTCTGATATTGAATCAGTAATAAAAAGCCTGCCAACCAACCAAACAAACAAACAAACTCCCAGGACAAGATGGATTTACAACCAAATTCTGCCAGCTGTATCAAGAAGATCTAGTACCATTCCTACTGAAACTATTCCAAAACATTGAGAAGGAGGGAATCCTCCCTAACTCACTCTATGAGGCCAGCACCATGCTGATACCAAAACCTGGCAGACACAACAACAAAAAAATACAACTTCAGGCTGCTATCCTTGAAGAACTTAGATGCCAAAACCCTCAACAAAATACTACCAAACTGAATCCAGCAACACATGAAGAAGTTAATCTACCATGATGAAGTAGACTTTATCCGTGGGATGCAAAGTTGGTTCAATATTTGCAAATCAGTAAATGGGATTTATCCTGTAGACAGAACTAAAAACAAAAATCACATGATCATCTTAATAGATGTGGAAAAGGTTTTTGGTAAATTTCAACATCTCCTCATGTTAAAAACCCTCAACAAACTAGGCATTGAAGGAATATACTTTAAAATAATAAGAGCCATCTATGACAGATTTACAGCTAACATCATGCTAAATGGGCAAAAGCTAGAAATATTCCCCTTCAAAACTGGAACAAGACAAGGATGTCCTCCCTCACCACTCCTGTTCAACATAGTACTGCAAGTCCTGGACAGTGCAATCAAGCAAGGTAAAGAAACAAAAGGCATCAAAATAGGAAGAGAGGAAGTCAAACTATTCCTGTTTGCAGACTATATGATTCAACACCTAGAAAACCCCATGGTCTCTGCCCAAAAGCTCCTTGACTGGATAAACAACTTCAGCAAAGTTTCAGGACAAAATCAATGTACATAAATCAGTAGCATTCCCATACACCAACAACGTGCAAGCTGGGAGCCAAATCAAGAATGTAATCCCACTCACAAAACTTAGAAAAAGAATAAAATAACTAAGAATACAGTTAACCGGGGAGGTGAGGGATCTCTATAATGACAATTACAAAACACTGCTGAAAGGAATCAGCGATATGAACAATTAGGAAAACATTCCATGCTCATGGATGGGAAGATTCAATATCGTTAAAATGGCTATGCTGCCCAAAGTAATTTACAGATTCAATGCTATTTCTGTAAAACTACCAATGACATTCTTCACAAAACTAGAACAAACTATTTTAAAATTGATATGGAAACAAAAAAGAGCCAGATTAGTTAAGGCAATCCTAAGCAAAAAAAAACAAACAAACAAAAAAACAAAACAAAACAAAAAAAAAAACAAAGATAGAGGTATCATGCTAGCCTATTTCAAACTATACTATAGGGCCAAAGTAACCAAAATAGCGTGGCACAATACAGAATCAGACATGCAGAACAATGGAACAGAATAGAGGGCCCAGAAATAATGCTGCACACCTATAACCATCAAATCTTCAACAAAATTGACAAAAACAAGCAATGGAGAAAAATTCTGTATTCAATAAATGATGCTGGGATAATTGGCTAGCCAAATGCAGAAGATTGAAACTGAACCCCTTCCTTACCCCATATATAAAAAATCAATTCAAGATGTACTAACAACTTAAATGTAAAACCTAAAACTGTGAAAACCTTGGAGGATTACCTAGGATATAGGACCTGGCAAAGATTTCATGATGAAGATGCCAAAAGCAATTTCAACAAAAACAAAAATTGACAACTAGGATCTAATTAAACTAAAGAGCTTCTGCACAGCAAAAGAAACTATCAACAGAGTAAACAGCCTACAGAATAAGAGAAAAATATTTGCAAACTGTGCACCTGACAAAGGTCTAATATCCAGAATCTATAAGCAACTTTACAAAGCAAATTTACAAGCAAAAAACAAACAACCACATTAAAAAGCGGGCCAAGGACATGAACAGACACTTTTCAAAAGAAGACATAAACATGACCAAGAAACATGAAAAATGCTCAATATCACTAATTATAAGAGAAATGCAAATCAAAACCACAATGAGATACCACCTCACAACAGTCAGAAAGCCTATTATTAAAAAATCCTAAAATAGGCTGGGCGCGGTGGCTAACGCCTGTAATCCCAGCACTTTGGGAGGCCGAGGCGGGCAGATCACGAGGTCAGGAGGTCGAGACCATCCTGGCTAACACGGTGAAACCCCGTTTCTACTAAAAATGCAAAAAAAAAATTAGTCGGGCGTGGTGGCGGGCGCCTGTAGTCCCAGCTACTCGGAAGGCTGACGCAGGAGAATGGCGTGAACCCGGGAGGTGGAGCTTGCAGTGACCCGAGATAGCACCACTGCACTCCAGGCTGGGCGACAGAACGAGACTCCGTCTAAAAAAAAAAAAAATCCTAAGATAACAGATGCCAGTGAGGTTGCAGAGAAAAGGGAACACTTATTCACTGTTGGCAGAAGTGTAAATTAGTTCAGCCATTGTGGAAAACAATGTTGCGATTTTTCAAAGAACTTAGACGTGCCATTTGACCCAGCAATCCCATTACTGCATATATTCCCAAAGGAATATAAATCATTCCACCATAAAAATACTTGGCTGGGCATGGTGGCTCATGCCTGTAATCCCAGCACTTTGGGAGGCCTAGGCGGGTGGATCACCTGAGGTCAGGAGTTTGAGACCAGCCTGACCAACATGGTGAAACTTCGTCTCTGCTAAAAATACAAAAATTAGCTGGGCGTGGTGGTGGGCACCTGTAATCCTAGCTACTCGGGAGGCTGAGGTAGGAGAATTGCTTGAACCCGGGAGGCGGGGGTTGCAGTGAGCCAAGATCGTGCCATTGCACTCCAGCCTGGGCGACAGAGTGAGACTTTGTCTAAAAAAAAAAAAAAAGAAAAGAAAAAAAAACTTGTACTCATATGTTCATCACAGCACCATTCACAGTAGCAAAGACACGAGATTAACCCAAATGCCCATGAATAGTAGAATGGATAAAGAAAATGTGATGCATATACACCATAGAATAGCCATAAAAAAGAACAAGATCATGTCCTTTGCGCTTTGCAGGAGGAACATGGATGGAGCTGGAAGCCATTATCCTAAGTGAACTAACACAGCAACAGAAAACCAAATACCACTTGCTCTTATAAACCACAGCTAAACATCAAGTATATATGGACACAAAGAAGGGAACAACAGACTACTGGGACCTACTTGATGGTAGAGGGAGGGAGGAGGGTGAAGATTGAAAAACTGTCTGCCGTGTACTATGCTTATTACCTGGGTGAAAAAATAATCTATACACCAAACCCTTGCAACACGCAATTTACCTATGTAATAAATCTGCACGTGTACCCTTGAACCTAAAAGTTTAAAAAAAGATTAAAAATTCATCTCAACTTTTCATCTAAGGTCTTATTGATTAATGTTTTAAAGTACTTTATTATTTGAGACTCCTGTATAAAATCTCAAACAATTTAATATAAAGCTCTTTTGCAGAATCATATGTGTATCGTATGTATATATTCAAATTTTAAAGAAAATATAAAATTTACAGATTATAGCTGCCTATTTTACTTCTTTAAAAAAATCAAACAGGAATGATAGAAAATTATCTAATCAGCATTCTGTGAGAAGCTCTATTGTTAAAAATAATCATTTCTCATCATAAATACACCCCCAAGATTTTATTATAATTGTCATTATTTAATATCTATTTCTTCTCTGCCCTTGGTGAAAGGGTTAAATTTATATGCACTTATAAAAAGGATAAGCATGTTTTCATTGACTGGCAGGAAACAGTTATTTCATAAAAGGCAGAAAACTTGTCAAGATGGACAAAGAGGATGTGCACGTGTGCTCTCCCTGAAAGCAGAGGCTAATTATGAAATCCACTACTTAAAAGCCTGTTTTATTTTGTCAATTTACATCACTTATTTATTTCTGAAATCCAGAGATGTTTACTTATTATTTTTGGAAACTTGACTGTTGTTCTTCATTTGTTGAGGTACAAATAATGTACTCCCCCAGAAAACTGCAGAGTGAGTCAGTCATTTTCAGTAAGCATTACTTTTATATTGAAAATATAACTTCCTCCAGATGCTGGGTTAAAATCAAAACTAGCATTATATTAGCCTAGACCTAAAATTTCTCCAGGATATCAAAGTGGACTAATTCTTTTCTTACCCCTGCCCAACCCTATCACAGGTTATTTTAAACCAGGATTGGATACTGTTTGAAGAGTAATGTTATTTTTAGAAAACATTACATTTGTATCCATAGGCATAGATGGGAATAGAGTCTTCACCCAACCATAGTCTTTTTTTCTAGGTGCTCTGGCATTATGGTGTCAGTCATACCTTCTTCCTGCCACACTCCCCACTTGCCTTCATTTTCACTGTCGACTATTCCACAGGATTCTACTTTTTAAAGTCATGATGACTCATATTTATTAGAAAGTAGACTATTCACACTGATATCTCAACTATGTAAGATAAGTGAAGTATTTATAATGACAAATGTGGATAATCCAAAAATCTATTTACCCATCTTATGGATCTGTTTGAAGCTCTTTTATATAACAATGTGGAGAGGTGAGTTTTGAATGTACAAATTAATAAAGGGAGGCCAAATCAAATGTTTGTTAAAGATGACTCATAAGTCAATCATATACATTTATAATACAAGTTATAGACATAGGGCTAAGGATACTATTCCTAACAAATCTTTTATTCACATTATATCTATAGTGCCTGACGTAGAACATGATGCCATATAGCAGGTACTTAGTAAAAGGTTTTTGATTGAGAAATGGATTTAGTTTGATGCAATATAACATTTGTGAAAATTTTTCTCCATTTTGAACTGTTGAATGTTGACTCAAGCTTTTTAACATTGTATCTGCCTCCCCTCCCTTTCCTACCAGATGTTGGAAATCTCTCACTTTCTCTGGTTCTTAAAGACCTGTCATGAAAGGGTCTTTTCTCACAATTGATTTGTCAGCCTAGACTACTGGGATGTTCTGTAGACCTAAGGAACTGTAGAACCAAACCTATTTATTTTATAATTGCAAATTACACCCTTAAATTTTCCCAGAGATAAAATGACACACCAATTTCTGACATGTTCCTGATTTTATCATGATCTTTAGAATCATTTGAATACTAAAACGTGTCCATCCTCAAAGTTCTGTAAATTTTACTTCCATTAGATTTGTAAATCTTGCCTCCCTTATAGTGCCATTTTTCTTCCTTGGTTAAATTAGTCCAGGAAACACAGTCATTCTGGGGATAGTTCAATTTTACTCCTGAATAATAATTTGTGAAATGTGTATTATGTACCTACTTTCTACAAAAATAAAATGAACTATGCGCCCTGGGGAATGGAAAGATTCCAAATGCATGGTTGTTCCCTCCCAAAGAAGCTATGCCATTGTGGAGCTTGCTGAGGCTAGTGTCAGAGAGTGTGGCATTCACTGGATACATGTGTCTTTGGATCAATCACTTTGTCTCTCAGTCTTTTCTTTATTAGCAAACTGGGGAGAAATCCTCGATTACAGAGCTATTGTGTGCATTAAATTTTTTAATGCAGAAATTTTAGCAAATAATCAAACACCACATAAAGATACTAAACATCCCAGAAAAGCTTACAGAAGGAGCGAGGAACTGTACCAATTAAACGTTTTAGTTTTATTTTAGTAAAAGTGCCATAGAGCTATAATAGCAACTATTTACTGAGCTTGTATTATATGCCAGGCACTTTTCATTTTAAACTCAGATAATTTTACAATAACTGTATGAAGTTGCAACTATTATTTTCTCCATTCTGCAGACTGGGATGCAAAGGTTAAAGAAACTTAACTTGACCAGGCTGTTCCAGCTGGTGTATTAGGGATCCAAACTTACATAATCTAGTTTCTCTGTTGTTCTGCTCAAGGTGATGAAATTTTGGAAGCTGAGTTTACTTCTGGCTGTAATCCAGAAAAATTGTCTTTAAAATGCAACCTTGGAAAATACATAGAATTCTAACAAGTGCAGATGAATTTCTGAGAAGATCATTCCTGACCCAGGGGATTGTGTGAAGAAAGGATCAGGAGTGGGAATGTATTGGGCAGGATTTGGAATGACTTTTGCAGATGTCTGGAGAGAATTGAAGAGGCAATTAATTACAGGTTCTGATAGTTGGGATAGATCAGATTGTGGAGTCTTAAATGTCACTGTCTGGAGTTTGTGTTTGATTAAGTGGGCAACAGAGTCCTATAAGCTGTGCTATGTGTCACTTGCAATGACAGAACCAACTTAGAAGCCAGGCACAACCTAAGGTCTGATGCTGGGAAATTTGAGTGAAGCTACCCACCCGAATATAGCCAGAAAAGCTTGAGCAAAAGAACTGGGGGTCAGGTGTCTGGAAGGGAGTCACTCAGTAAGAGTGAATGTTAAGAACCTAGCTCAAGATAGGCCCTAAATTCAGAAATGTCAAAACTTTTAAGCAAAGGAAACTTTAAAGCCCAAGCAACAATTTTGTTTGTTTGCAGCCTGTTTGAAGAACCAGTTTGCTCTCACTGATGGCTAGGGGGATGGAGGAGCTTTCTTAGGGTTTACAAGCAGGGCTTACATGGAAAGGAAGGTAAATGATAGAGTTGTGTTTGTGGAAAAAATAATTACCAAAGGGTCGAGATGGATAGAAGAGACTGAAGATAGAAGGAGCAGTTTAAATGAAATCTAGTGGAGTTTTTGTCAACTTAATTATTTAATTGTGGGAGGTGGAGAAGATCTAGTGACTAATTTTTGCTGATTCACTATTGCTCTATTTTCTTATCTTCATTTTTCTGGGAAAATGTCTCTTGCAGTGTAAATATTTTTAACTCTTAAAAATATGATTGTGGTGGATTGTTACTTACATTCCTGCCTCTTGAGTCTTCCTTCTGAGGATATGGGATGATTATGACTTTAAGTTGAACATACATGGCAACTTAATGACAACACTGAGTATGGCATCATCAAATATCCCCAGCACACATATTGGTCAGAATAAAATGCTGTGTCTTTCCCAGACTCAGGAGTGTATAGTCTTAGTTCCATTCTATGTCCAGTTTCATCAGTCTCTCTTATACACAACTTACAAACTCTCCACAGCCACACACTCTCAGTTCTTATAAGAATGAGACTCCAGTGACTGAGAAAGTTGCAGCATTGTTGAATATAAAGCAATGAAAATCAAAGTTTCTGAGTTCTAATTCTAGTACTACTGCTAGATAGTTGTACGACCTTGGTTAAAAATATTGGAGAGATATTTGCCTTCAACTTGACTAAGAAAGCCAGAGAAAGCATTGGTAATGCTTTTTTTTTGGTCAGTGAGAACACACACAATAGGAATTGTATCTCTTGTTGCCAGCTTGTACTTTGACAAAGGTAGCCATTCTGTTCTAATAATCTCCTTTCCCATAACGTTTATAGGCCACAACTCAGGATTCAGAATGTCATTTTGGCTTAGTTGAACTTATTTGCTTGTCTGGACTTTGCCTTATTCTGTAACTCCACTGGGAAAAATTAGAAAAGAGAAATATGGGAATAAGGAAAAGAGAGGTCAGATAGGTCCATAACAGCTAGTGGTGAATAACTTTTGTTCTCAGTTTCCACACTGATAAAAGAAAGCATTTGAAGGAAGTGATTGCTAAAGCCAAAGTGTAAAGACTCTGTATTCTAAGTCTTCTAAGACTCTGTATTTGAATGTAACCAAAGTTTAGAGGTAGTGGATTAGAATAGAAAGAGTCCAGTCTCAACCAGAGACTCTTAGGTGAAATGGAAAACTATTTTTTGTCATTAAAATTAGGAAATTGGATCAACTCATTATTCAAACAAAACACGTAACATTAAAAATTATTTATCATGAATACAATTAGGGAAACAGATTTATTAAAAAATGTACTAGTAATAAAATTACCCTGTTCTTTGGAAATTTTCCCAAGAATTATTACCAACTTCTAAGCTGTTTAGTATTCCTATCCACCAGATATTCATTCATCCAGAATGAGTTAGTTCTTATGTTGTCAGGGTAGTCTCTGAAGACAAGATAATTTTTCAAGGTTTTGCCATTATTTGAGTGCATCACACAAAAACATAAGAGAAAACGAACAAACATGCATTTCAAAAAATATCTTCAAAGTTATTTTTCCTAGCAGCAAAATTCATATCCATATATTTGCTTTTCTGGAAAATAAAACAGAGACAAACTACTAGGTATGTGATATACTCATCATCAGAGACAGTCAGATGGCAAATGCAGACTGCAGCTCAGAGAAAGGAACACAGCCCAAATCAATATCACCTCTAATGGAACTCCCACGCCAAAATCCAGGACATAGGCATCCAGAGAATCAAATGCTCTTCCATAATGGAGAGTGATTTCAGCAACTGAACATTCATTGAAAGAAAATGGATTTCTTAAATGATAACGGGGGGTGGACGGGGAAAGGAGGAAGGATTAAAACAACAAAACCCAGACGAAAATACATAGAACTGCTGTTTTCCCACCTGAAAAATAAACAGAATGCTTCATTTCATTTCACCTGTGACTTAGCTATTAGGAAAGTATAGGTAGTTAGATATTATCTTCATTACTGATAAATATTTATTGAACACCTAACGTGTGCAAAATATTGGCAAGTTTCAGAGATGCAATAAAATATAAGACAACATATATACTTTTATGCCATATTTTTTCTATTATGAACTATATCCTATAGTATTGTTTTTATAAGTATATATACACATACACACATATATAAATACATTACAGTCACACACATATGTATACACATACTTGTATGTATGCAATGTATATGTAGGAAAATATCAGGAATAAATATTTCAAAATGTCAGTAACATTAAAATAGAGGTGACATTTTCTTTTACCTTTTAGTGTTTTCCAAAAGCTTTCAAATGTCCACACTATTATTTGAAAAAATTAGCTATTTAAACATTAAATAAATAATAAAGATATAATTCATTTCAGATATTACTTAACAAGTTAATTATCTATTCATGTTACATAATAATAGAAATTGTTGAATGCCTAGAAGGAGTTCCAAGGAACTGACCATAATATACTAGTTGATTTCTAGACATCACATGTCATAGCCATAGTTATAATGTTTTTTAGACATCTATTCTGTGCCGAACACTTTTCTTGTTGCCAGAAGCAGTGAAAAAGTACACAAAATTCTTTGCCCTCAGAAAGTTCACATTCTAGCGGGGAGAGTTAGATAATGATAATAGAAGCCAATAAATATGCAGTACATCAGATGATAATAAATGTATAGATAAAATAAATCAACGAGGTGGCACAGAGTGCCAAAGCAGAGGTTAGGGCCGCCTCAGGTTAGGGCCGCCTCAGGTTAGGGCCGCCTCAGGTTAGACCTGCCTCAGGTTAGGCCTGCCTTAGGTTAGGGCTGCCTTTTAAAATAGGTTGATGAGTGAAAGTCTTCCTGAGAGGGTAATATTTGAGTAAATATCTGAACGAAGTCAGGGAACCAGCCAGCAGATAGCTGAGGGAAAAGCAATCCATGGGGAAGGAACGTAAGTACAAAGATGATGTAGCAAGAGCTTGCTTAGTGTGTTTGAGGTATACAAAGGAGTCACATGGAGACTGAAAAAAGGCAAGATTAGGGGTAGTAAGAGATGTTATTGTGCTTTTAGTAAGAAAGAAAAAATTTGACTATTACTTTGAATTTAAAATTTTTTAAAAAGCCATTGGTGGGTTTTTACCAAAGGAGTGACATGATCTGACTTTTTCTCTTACATTTTTTTTTTAACAGAGAGAAAGAAAAAGACCAGTTAGGAGGCTGTTGTAGTTCAGGGGTGAAAAGATGGTGATGGTTTGGACCATTATAAAAGTGGTGGAAGTTATGAGGTGTGATCAGATTCTAACTGTATTTTGACATTATAATAAATAGGATTTGCTGAAAGATTGGATACTGTAGTATAAGAGAAAGTATTCAGGAACTTCCTCAATATTTTTGGCCTGAACAATGGAAAGGACATAGTTGCAATTTCCTAAGGAGGGTTAAACTGTGGAAGAGCTTTAGCTCAAAGCCAGTTTTGGACATACTAGTTTGGAAATGCCCATTTAATATCCAGGTGGAGTCATTGAGTAGACAGTTGGATAGTCAGGTCTGGAATTCAGAAGAAAGCTTGAGGCTGGAGGGATACATACGACAGTCAAAGGTGGTATTTAAGTCTGTGGACCTAGGTAAGATCTCTGGCAGAGTGAGTGCTTATACAGTAGAAATGAAGGTCAAGGGCTAATCCTGGGAGAACTACAATATATAGGGTCACTGAATTGAGATAAAAGCAGGGTAATATGAAATGGCAAGGGAGGAGGAAAGAAAACTAGAAAAGTTGATATCTTGAAATATTATTTTTAGTCTGGTTTAAAATAAGCCCCAAATGATCATAAATCTTTCAGAAATAACGTATCCTTTCTTGCTGGAAAACAGAAAAATAACTGGAGTCCTTTTGTAAATACTATTGTTGATGTTATTTCTCCTACTGTTTTTCACTTTCCTCTTTCACATATATTAATTTCCTCTTACCGCTCCAAAAATAATAAAGATAAGATCTACCGGGAAAGGACAAATGGGAATTGATTTGTACCTCGTAAGTATTACATGAAAAAAAAAATTCTTAAATATGGCTACAAATTCTTTTGAACTTGTTTGTTTTGTGTTCCAATATGTCAAGGAATAGATATCCACATGTAATACTAAGGTCTTGGGAGACCTGGCTTTGCATCTATTAATATTTCTATTGCTTTTTATTTTGTGTGAATTCTTGGGAGATGCAGGATTGATATATAAAATGTCTGATAATGCAGAGATGTCTATCAGTGATTAATAAGAGATCAAATTGGGGGAAAGGTTGAAATTATTAATGTAGGATGGCATGGACATCCTTTATTTAAATAAAATGTCAGGGTGTTTCATGGAAACCCAGAAGAACAATATGTTTGTATTTAGGTATGGTGTGAAGAAGTGAGAACATCATGATATTTAGCCTGAAGTGCAGCTGCATGCAGTAGATATGTTTTGATAGAACAGAAAAGCATAGAAAGCAAAAGTGTTTATCCCCAGGCAAAGAACAGGCTTCAGTTATTTCTGAGCTGGTCATCAGAAATCACCCTAATAAGTTAAAGGCTGGTCTGTGATAAAAGGCTAAAGGAAAACCACCTACCTAAGCAGTCTGGAGGCAGAATTTAGAGCTATGCATTTCAAAATATTTTTTTAATCAAAAACAATATTATCCTCTTAATTATATTAAACAATTATTAAAGTTGATTTGTATTTTAACTTAATATTTACATATATACTAATACATTAATATTACACATATCTTTCTCATTTTAATAAGTACTTTCACCTTTATGAATGCCCTTCAAAAGTGTAAATTAATAAGACTCTATTTGTGCTTTAAAAAGGCTAGGTTGGTTTGCCTCCTACATGTTCCATAGAGATCAATTCAGCCTGGTGGCCGCAACTTGACTTGGACTCTGCCACTCTCAGTGTGAATGCTGGGCCAACCTCTGCTCTTTAAATTAAACAAGGGAGTGTTTTCCTGTGTGTTACCCGGTTATCAAAAATAAGATTCCCCTAAACAGAACTGATTATAACTGGTAACAGAAGCAAAACCATTGTCCCATCTGGCAATATTCATATAATTTCAGGAATTCTGCTTTATTATTAAATGCAGGGGCAGTGTTTACAAAGATGCAGTCTCATATAGTGAGACAAGAATTTGGTCTTTTCTTTTTTTCAGGATAGTGAATTTAAAAGTGAAAAAAAAAACAGTGAATGAATCATGTATTAACTTACATAACATCTAAGAATTTCTGTGATTTTCTTCACCAAATCATCTACTCTACTGATAGGTTGTTCAACAGTACTGTAGACTCATTTAGTGTCACATACACATTCTCTGCAATATCAGTGTCTGTGATAGTGGTTTTATATTTATAGAGTATGGCTTTTATATGCTTGATACTGTTGATTCCGAAATAAGTGAAGGAATATTAACATATTGAAGTGGTTTGCCAAACATATTGTACTGTATCCTATAGCCACAGCCACAGTGGGATTATAATCATTTTATTCACAAAGAAGTCACTAGTAAAGAAAATAAAATGCTATTTAGCCTTAAATATCTAGTTTAGAAATTGTCACTAAATATCTTTGAAAGACATTTTATAAAATTAACTTTACTAGAGTATATGAACCTGAGTACCTGGGAGTGTGAATCATTAGCTCAAATTAGGAAAGACGTGGGGGCAGGGGTACTGATTTAGTTATGAGTTCTTTTTGGAACTTGTTGAAATCATGAGGACAAAAGAACATCAATGAAGCAATACCCAGCAGGAAGTTTTTTTAAAGTATGCTAACAATTCACAAGTGAGCTTAGGAGTTGAGAAGGAGATTTGGGGATAGTAGCTGTGTTTGTCAGCTTGGGCTGCCATAACAAAATACCACAGATTAAATGGCTTAAACAACAGCAAAATTATTGTCTCACAGTTCTGGAGGCCAGAAGTCGCAGATCAGGGTGCAGCATAGTCGCTTTCTGGTGAGGGCTCTCTTCTTGGCTTATAGACAGCCACCTTCTTGCTGTGTGCTCATGGGGCCTTTCCTTAATGCATGCATATGTGGAGGGTTGGCAGTATGAGAGCAAAAGAGTGCTCTTTGGTGTCTCTGCTTATAAGGACAACCAGTCCTATCAGATCAGGGCTCTTCACCCTTATTACCTCATTTAACCTCAATTACATTCTTATAGGCCATATCTCCAAATACAGTCACATTGAATATTAGGGGTCCAACCTATGAATTTTGGAAGGAACTTAATTTTGTTCATAATAGTCAGCAAAGCCAAGGAATAGGTAGAATTGCTGATGCTTTGCATATTGAAAATATAAGAGTATAAGAGCCAAAGGAAAAGTCTGATAGTAAAGAATGATGAAGACTAAGAGAAACCATTGACTCTGGGTAGTAAAGTGCCATCATGAGAGAACCACACTGGAATGGTGGAAAAAGGACCTCCAAAAAAAACTGTTCTTCAGAGAGAGAGAGAGAGAGAGAGAGAGAGATAATACTGGTGAAACCTATCAACATGAACTTTTTTAGAATTCTAGAAGTAACTCAAAAAGCTGCAACAATCCAGAGTATTTATTTGAGAAAAATCATTGAATTTCAAAAAGAGCAAAGAACTTTGTGGCATTTTTTTGCTTTCTCTATGTTCATCCCACTCTCCCTTACCAACCAGCAGCTTCCTGAAAGCAGTAGCTATGGAAACCAGCAGGGTATCATCCATTGGTGAGAGACAACAGATTTGGAACCCCTCAAAAAACTCCATCCTCACTGATTTGTCACTATTTGACCTGTCTGGCAGATCCCTGAAAAAGCCCCATTCACAAGTTCTATGTTTTTTTACCTCACGTAGAGCTCATTCAGTGAGGAAAGGCCTATCACTCAGGAGTTTGTTGAAAAAAAATAAATAACCTCAGCTGCAGTTGTGAACATTGTTGCTGTCTGAAGTAGTGATACCATTTGGGCCAAACAATAGACTGACTACAACTTTAAAGGACAATTTAAGGAAAGAGAAGACCATAGGAGATATGATAATGTCCGCCATACTTCTGGAGATCTAGAAGGCCGCAGGCATGTGCACGCTGGCCACATTCAGGGTTGTGTGCATGCCCAGAAAGGAATTCAGAAGACCTTAATTTCTCACCCTTGACTGATCTCGAGGCTTTGCACAAACAAGAAGTGAAGTCTAAGACAGTTTTTAAATGTTAGAATTTTGAAAACACACCTCCAATACACACAGAGAGCTCCTATTCAAAAGCTAAGAAACTTACTGGTTCAATGCATTTAAGAAATCTCTGTCTCATCATTTGCTGCTCATATGCTAACTAAGCAGAGACTTCTATGGATGCATGTAACAAAGTATATAGACTTTCTGGATTAGTCCTTAAGCAAAAAAATTAGTCATTAAGCAAACAGCAGCAACAACAAACTATGGGGATGGAGGAATCTGTTTCTTAAATTGTCCCGTTTTCAACCAAAAAAAAAGAAAAAAAGTCGCAAGAAACAGGAAAGCAATGCTCATACAGAGGTTTAAAAAAAAAGTCAAAACAAACTATTCTTGAGGAAGTTCAGATGATGGGTTCAATTGAGAAAGACTTCAAGTTAGTTATTTTACATATGTTCACCAAACTAAAGGAAACTATGTAATAAACTAAATGAGAGAGCTCTAGACAGTAACCTGAGACCACATGAAGTAATAAAGAACGCAGGTAAAAGTTACTCTACACATGCATGTAAAAGAGAGTACAAATATATTTTAGTTTGTAACTTTTTTATCTGATTTAAAAGGCAACAGTATAGTTTTAGAAATTGGGTTGGTGGATTTATCATATATAAGGATGTAATTTGTGTGACAATAATAGCAGAAAGCAGGGGAGGGGCGAACATAGTTATATTGGATCAAAGTTTTTGCATGGAAATTAAGTTGTTATTAATTTTAACTAGATGGTTAAGATTTTAGATTAATCGTATTTAATAATAACAACCACATCTAAACCTAGGGATATAATTTTTATGCATTTACAAATGCTCAATTGATGCTTTACAGAATTTACAGTTATAGAATTTAACTAACTTGTTCGTGGTCATACCAAGAGTAAGCACAGAGCCAGATTTTAAATCCAAGACTTCTTATTTGAGAATCTCTGTGTTTAACATATTTTAGGCTTTGAAAGAAGTTTATAAAGCAGTAAGCAACTTTTATGCTTTTACCTGGGCAAACCTGGGAATGTCAAGTAGCTGTGAAAAATGCTATTTCTCTCTTAGCTGCAGCCAGTTTCTCTGACTGTCACCCTTACTTGGCATGACTGATTCCCAACTCCTGTCCTCCCAACTTTGTATTCCGTTCAGACCAAACCCTGGATGGAAACACATAAAACCTAGGAAAGGAAAACAGGAAGATGAGGAAGTTGGAGAAATCATGTTCTTAGGATCTCCCCTTCAGTTTTTGATTCTGTTGAGCACCAACAGTGATACAAAATAGAGGTGCAAGGATGAAAAACCAAGGGGCTAGTGTTCAAAGGTTTCAAAGCCTGTAATGAATGCATGTGGCAACTGATGACTGCAATTCTGCCCATTACCTTTTATTGTTGCCCTGGCCCTCTTCTGTATATACTGGATGCAGTCTTTCTTTCATGTATAGAAGAGTCTTAATTCAATCTTGTTGTGCTGTCACTGTCTTATCAATAATGAAAAAATTAGGTTAGGACTAAAGTAGAGCTGTTTTAGTCTAGATTTCCTTTTGGTAATTCATGTGAGACACCCTCATTAAAAACTGAATGGGCCTAAATAACATGCTTCAGGAAAATATACACTGGGGATAATTTTTTTTAAAAAACAACTTGTTTTGTTCCTTTGTGAATCATGGAGGACAAATAACCTTGGTTAAAATAAGTTACTGACAGCTTTAACATTAATTCATTCCATTTACTGTGTGCCTAAAATGAATCAGGTACTGTTCTAGGCATCAGGCTCTAAAGTGAACAAGATTTAACTCCCTGACTTTCTGGAGATCCACTGAAGGTAAAAAAGGGAATAACCCAGGAGCTAGAGAGACCAAGAAACATTCTCAAGGTTTTAAATTAATTTGAAATCCCAGACACTCAGCCCCTGTTTCTGGAGCTCCCACAACCCTTCTTTGATGGCCAGATCCCTGGTCAAAACCAAAGGGATTTTCCTGTGTGTCTCATTTTGGAGCCTTTCCATTTCTCATGTTCTTTGGATAGAGTTAGTGGCAAAGCAAAACTTCTACATTTGTATGGAATTACTTCCTGATGGTCCAAATACAGTCCTTGAATTTGTTTTCCCATAGAAATATGATGGTTCTCTTCATATTCAATATTCAGTAAATATTGTAGCCTGCTTCAATAATACTATGATGAGTAGATTCTGTAGGTAAACATATACCTGTATGTGTGTGGATATTACACAAAATTAGTCCACATTATTAGTTGATTAATAACTGTGTCTTCTAATCTTTCCCCAGAGCAACCACCTGACCCCCTTGAGTGTTTTCCAGCAGGACTCCTTTCTTCGCAGCATACCTAGTTACATGCTGCTCTCACACTGTATCTTATTAGTCTCTATTTCCTATCCTTACTAGATTCTCATGCCTGTTAAGCTATATCATTCTGCTTAAATCATGTTTTCCAAGTTCATGTTAAAATGAAGCTTCTATATAAAGTATTTTTCTCCCCATCTGTAACTTCTCTTCTTCTGAATTATCATAAAATTATGTTTGGATTTATTTTAGCATACCAATATACTACTTGGCATAATAGTTTTGTTTTTCTCCTAAATACAGTACTTTTTTCTCCATTCCACCATTAAACCAGTCATTTAAAAGGCAGAAATTCTGCTTAAAGCATCTAAATGTTTCCCAAAAGTGCTTAGCACAGCACTGCATACTGAGATGAACACTTAAAATACAACCTGTTCATAAAGTGGGCTACATTAATTCCAGCCAGGCATCTCAATAAACACTATTTTTAAATTGATCAGATGCACTTGAAGGGCATTGCTTTCACGCCCCCACACTATCTCCTTGATTTCTTTTTGTAGCCCACCACTGTACATGAGACTGCTGCTGTTTTTTTTTCTTATTATCATTATTAAATACTTGATGTTAGAATCCAAGCAGCTTCTTTTTTCCTTTGACCATGACGATTTCTTAAATGTCATTGATTGAAACCACAGAGTTGAAATGTGTTTTAGGGAATAAAGCTTTGTTGGAAGAAAGTCACCTGTGTAAATAAAACATTATAAGTAGAACCCTGCATAGTTTTCCTTTGCTTTTGGTATGTGCAGACCTTTAATCTATAGCTTTCATTCTTCTTTATAATGTATATCAAATCATGAACATGTTCTTTTTTGAGAAATAAAGTGTATTCTACCTCTCTCACATGATCCCTGCCCCTCTTTCTAATCTTTTGTGATCTATAGAAACATGAGATGTTTTCAAACCAAATATTGAGTCTATCTGACCACAAAATGGAGATTTCCTCTTTAGTGAAAGTGTGTGTTGATGGATTTTATGTTGTGCAATTTAAACTGCTTCTCAACCATTAAATATGGACACTTAAATGCATTTAGGATTTAGACATCAGCTTTTAGTGGCATCAGCCTTCCTATTTTGTTCTCTTTTTTTGCACAAGTATTAAACACAGCCAACAGTGACTTCAGATTAATTCATGGATATGAAACTCATTTGTCACAGAACCTGACAGATTTTCACAATACTAATAGAAGGCCAGCATTTTTCATTTAAATATTGAACTTGGTGTTGCATAGTTGAATAATGAAAATGATTCTTCTTTCTTAAAAAATTAAAATCAATTTTGGTTGGCACAGAATTTAGATAATAATTTTATACTCACTTACCTTGGTATCATTCTGTTAGTAAATTAGATTAAATTTAGAAAAGATTGTTTTACTTTTAAAAATAAATCCAGTCTGAAACTGCAGCCATCCTTGGTGATCTAAAGGGTTCTGGGAATAAGCTATTTCATATTGGCCCTGTAATATTACTGTCATGGTATCTACAGGTTTGATCCCATTAGACAGTCTTCTTTGTATTATCTAGTACAGACTGGATGGGAGAAACAATGTGATTGGCTTTGCTAATTAACCTCACCTCTTGTGGGAAGACAGAGTCCTCACAGCCCAGCACTTCACAGGTCATTAACCAGTTGACCTGGTATTCAGTGTACTCCTCTGGACCCATCAGTGACTACCCTCTGTACAAAAAATAAACCAACCAATAGCATTAACAACAAAGCAAACACACACAAAAAAACAAACAGCATAGCACTATCTTACGAGGAAGCATCTTTGCTGGAGAGGGGAGTATTAGGCTTGGCAGACACATGATTGACATATCCCATCCACCCATTCATTCAGAATTGGATTTGAAGAGGCAACAATTACCTCACATTGAGCTTTCCTGGCAATTAAAAAAATATGCAATTTAGGAAGCATATATTTTATTATAGTTGTTAGCCCATAACTACAAGTTTTAAATAGGAAAATTGTATATTTTACCTTAGGAAAGCAAGTTAGTAAAATGCACTTTAACCTGCTAATGGTTTTTTTAAAAATCAGGGAGCTTACACACGTAGTCTCATGACTGGTTAGGCATGAACACAATTTGACTTTTAATAACAGTTATTTTCTCACTGGTGATATTAATCTTAAAATTTAGTCTCTGACATACTTTCTATAGTCTTTATATTTCAAATGTGTGGACATTATCTTTAATTCTTTTGACTATATTTAGTATTAGAACTTTATAAGACCCGTTCTCAAAGCTTCAAGATATGCCTGAGGAGGACCAAAGAAGTTTGGCTAAATGTTTCCTAGTAAATATAATGGAAAGACACTGGATTAAACAAAGTTAATCAGGTTTTTTGCAATACATGTTCTCAAAGCCTTTCTATGTTACATATTTTGGGACTCTGGACTCTGGCAGAGAAGGTTAAGAAACCGACCCCTGCTCTTCTTTATACTTAGAAAGCTCACTGGACTAATGCTCTGTAGTTTTCACTTTGCCAAATGATATTTTAGTGCTTAATCTCTTAGATAGCATCTTTCAAAACATCTCCCTTGATGATTTATAGATTTTTATGAAGTCTGGTGACTAGATTAGATGATTTATGACTATACCTCTAGCAGGGTGCATGAGTGAACACAAGATATTTTTGAATTATCTGAGTATATTCATTTGAAGTGGCAAGAACAAGGGTCATTAACTTATTAACCATGTGGAAAAACTAGAAAATTGATGGTGTCATCTGCTCAGAAGTTATATTCAGTTCATTGCTTTGGATCATGCTTATGTCCTAAACTCTTTTATACTGAAGTGTCAACGATTTAACCAGCCATCTCCTTATTTCAAGGTTAGTGTTTACTTTCTGCTTGTACATCTTAAGACAATAAGGCAAATTATAATAATCCATGAGACAGTGAACTCCGTTCCTGATGTTGTTTGTCACACTTTCATAATTGCAATTATTATTTTCTGCATTTTTTAAATATTTTTCTACTTCCCATTCTTTTTGTTTTTTTAGAGTGCGTGCATTACTCTATAACCTAAAAGATAAAATACTTTTATAGATCTATTTTCTCTGCTGTTGTCGCTGGGACAGGGTCTTACTGTGTTACCTAGGCTGGAGTGCAGTGGTGCAATCATGGCTTACAGCAGCTTCGACCTCCCAGGCTCAAGTGATTGCCCCACCTCAGCTCCCAAGTAGCTGGGACTACAGATGTGCACCACCATGCCTGGCTAATTTTTCTATTTTTTTGTAAAGACAGGTTTTTGCCATGTTTCTCAGGAAGGTCTCAAAGTCTTGGGCTCAAGCAATTTGCCTAGCTTGGCCTCCTGAAGTGTTGGAACTACAGGTGTGAGCCAGTGCACCCAGCCTATACATCTATTTTCTAATTCAACACAGTGTCTGACACATCTTTGTATTATCCAGTTGTCAATATCCACAAATTAGTTAATGCCAAATATAAGAAGCAATTATTGCTTGTTAATTAAAATAAAACAATACTAAAATGTATATAAAGTAGCATTTTTATAATAGCACCTTAGAATTGTTTTGTCAAAATTTTTTTAAAATCTGATTTAACTGGTTTATTTTTACTCCAGTTGACTTGTAGGTACATAGCAATTTTTAAATGATATTATTATGTCTTCAACCTACTAATGACTTAAAATACTGTCTCTCTTTAAACTATACTAGAGTGTAAAGGATATAGTAACAGTCTTGACTCTGAATTTACCAGTAAGAGTATAAATATCACTAAAATTAAATAAAAACTGAAAAAGCATCAACTACACTAATCATAATCAACCTCTGACTTATATTGTGTACCAACCGATTCATCGAATTGCTTCTCAGAGGTTTTTACAAAACTCACAGGAAATTGTCTAAATACAAATCTTTTCAGAAATAAAGATGAGTTTTTAAATGTCTGTTAAAGGCATAATAACAGAAGATATTGTGAGTAGAATATCCTAAGGAGAAACATGTGCTTTTCAAAAAATAAATATTTTGGCTCCCTATAAAATACAATCTTAATTATTTATTATGACCATGTAGTCGCAGAATCATGGAACACAAGTGGTGCTTTAAGATTATGCTTTAAGGCTACATCATCCATTCTTTTGCCTTGAATGAGGGATAATTCGTAACAAAATAATAATTGTTTCTTATTCCTTATCCTCCTCCTTCATGGTTTTCCTATCTTTGTGTCTTTCTCTTTTCCTAACTCTTTCTCTCTCTGTGTCTCTATATTAGTCAGTTTCTTCTTCTTTCCCTTTTGTGTTAGACGAAGTAAGGAAAGTAGATGATAATGCGTTGAGAGAGCAGTTCAGTAATCCAGAACAGTATGTGGTAAAATGAGTGACAGCACCAGTATTTTACTTTCCGAAGAAGACAAAGGAGCCTTGTGTGATTCTCCCTATAAAGCAGAAGACAGATTCAGGCTGCTCAGGGGAGGAGCAGCCAGAGCCCTGGAGGACAACCTAAGAACAGTATTGGGAAGTGATTGCAAGGCTTAAGAAGAGGATAAAATGGAGTGGTTTCCAGGGGAACTCAAACACTGTAAGAAAATTAGAGATTGTAGATGAAGACATTTCTTCAAGCTCTCAGAGCGATTAAGAGGTAAAACTATAATTCAACTGTCCCCTCCCCACTTTTTTTCTGATTCCAAAGCAGATGTTCCTTCTGAAAATTTACTATGTGTGGGCTACTGGCAGAAAAGGCTGAAAGAATAGAGAATGTAAAGAGGAAAAAGGGAAGAGACAGTGATGTCTTTATGGGGACAAGAGCTTATGGGTAAGAGAGAGAACTGCAACATTAAGAGTTTGAGCATCAGTACAGAAAGGGTAAATTTAGAAACCAAACGAGGAATTAAATTAATATACCCCAAGCATGGGAAAATTATGTGGCCTCCTAACTGCTGTGACTGCTTTCTGCCTCTGGACATATTTCGTTTGTCTTGCAAAGTGTTTTGGTTTTATTTTTGGATTCTTCTTGTTCTCAAATTGAATTAGTGCCTACATTTACAGACTAGATTATACCCCAAAGTGCTCATTTTATTCCACTTTTGAAAAGTCTGAAAATGACAATACATGATTCTTATTCCTATATGGTCACAATTTTCAGTAGAGATCATAAATAATTACTCTTTTCAGACACACATTCATCACTTCACTCAGGGACTCACCCCAGCCTGCTTCAGTCATTTGTCTGCCTTGGTATCTAGGTGGATTTGAATTTTTTGAAATCTGAAGTAAGGAGCAAGCAATAATCTAATCTTAGATTGTAGGATGAGTCATTTGACATGTATTTACTGATCAGGCAGTAATCTAGGACATAAAATATAATATAGTGAAGAAACCAGAAAAAAATTCCTTCATGGTGATTGTGTTTTAATGTGCATGGCAGATAATTACCAATCAAATAAAATATATAGTGTGGTTGGGTGTAGTAGTTCATACCTGTAATCCTTGCACTTTGGGAGGTCAAGCTGGGAGGATTACTTGAGATCAGGAGTTCAAGACCAACCTGCACTACATAGTGAGACCCTGTATCTAAAAAAATACATGTTTTTAATTAGCCAGGCATGGGGGTGCATACCTGTGGTCCTAGCTTGGAAGGCTGAGGCAGGAGGATTGCTTGACCTCAGGAGTTTGAGGTTACAGTGAGCTATGAGCACACACTGAACTCCAGCCTGAGTGAAAGAGCAAGATCCTGTCTCTCTCTCTATGTGTGTGTGTATATATATACATATATATATATACACACACACACACACACACATATACATATACATATACAAACACACACACGTATACACACAGAAAGAAAAAATAGGGGAGGGACGGAGTGTGTGTGTTGGTGATAAATGCTTAAGAGAAAAAGCAGGAAAGGGGACAGGAAGTATCAGTGGCTTGCTATTTTAAATAGGATAGTTAGGAAAAGTCTTACTGTGGAAGTACCACTTGAGTCACTTTAAAATAAGTGGATGGGCCGGGCACGGTGGCCCACGCCTGTAATCCCAGCACTTTGGGAGGCCGAGGCGGGCGGATCACGAGGTCAGGAGATCGAGACGATCCTGGCTAACACGGTGAAACCCCGTCTCTACCAAAAATACAAAAAATTAGCCGGGCGAGGTGGCGGGCGCCTGTAGTCCCAGCTACTCGGGAGGCTGAGGCAGATGAATGGCGTGAACCCCGGGGGGCGGAGCCTGCAGTGAGCCGAGATCGTGCCACCGCACTCCAGCCTGGGCGGCAGCGAGACTCCGTCTCAAAAAAAAAAGAAAAAGAAAATGAGTGGATGATCCCTGTGGCTCTTTTAAGGAAAAGAGTTCTGAGCAGAGGGCAAAACCAAGGGCAGATGCCCTGAATGGATTTGCTAGTGTGTTCTAGGAACCTTGACGAGGCCAGTGTGGTGAGCATGGAATGAACCAGTGGGAGAAGTAACAAGGGTCCAGATTTGGAACGCCTTACAGGTGACTGCTACTACTTCAGCTTTCACTGACTGTGGTATGAACCATATATAACTGTAAATATTAGGCTGTAAAGAAAGTGAGTTTATGCCAAATCTACTCTAAGCTACACCATGAAGCTGGATATGATTTACCTTATATAACTATCCCCCACTTCTCTCAGATACAAGTAAGGGTAAACTGTGCTCTTTAAACAATCTGTATAGTTCACTGTGATCGATTGTTTGGAAGAAAGGATGCAGGTAGGTCCCAAAGATAACAGAATAGAAATGATCAGGTCTTAAAATGGGTGCTTGTTGAGTACAAATTCCTCTTTTGATTGTTGAGTGATGTTCTGGGTATCTATTCACTGCCTGTCAGCTCCATAGCCACCCTTCATTATCTGCTCCGCTGTAATGGAGTTAGACCCTCCAAGTGTTTCTCCTTTGTACATCTTAAAATTAAGCTTTGTCAGTAGAGGGCACTAAAGCAACATTGCAGAAGGAAAAGGGTTTCTTTTCCTGGTTCTGGTGTGATTTGGTTTTGCTTTTTGCTACTATTGCAAGAATGCCTGCATGGGAACATCCGGTGGCACTCTGCTTTAGCCACACACCCAGTGCATGCAGTCCGGGGCACCAGGTTCTTGCTGTGGCTGTCCCTGGTTTATAGATGGTCTCCTATGTACAGTTGGTCTCCTGCTGCTCTGCTGGTGAGCAAGCTCCAATGCTCTGACTCCATTTGTGTGTGCACCAACCAGCCCTCACCAGCCTGTACCCTGAGGGAAGTTTCCACTAGGCTAGACAAATGTGGATCAATTCTGGTCTGGACAATTCAGCAGACTTCTCCACTATCTACCGGGCTGCAGCCATACCTTCTCCAGTGATCTGAATCCTAGACTTGGGGAGGTCTCCCACTTACCCAAGTTGTTCCTTCTTAGGTACTCCGTTACCCCTGAGATATATAATGAGCCCTGATTTATATAATATATATGGGAGAGAGAGAATATGTGTATGCATACGTGTGTATCACTAATTAAGTGCTGGCACCCAGATACGTGCTGTATAATTGCTATGCTAATCACATAGGGTAGAGTAGACAAGGGGATTTTTACCTTTCAAATATCTTAGAGTTCAGTGGGAGAGAGAGAGAAAAAGAAAGAAACATATACACACACAATCACATCATGTGGTAAGACTTATGATGGAAGTGACAGAGTAAATGTAATAGGAAGGTCAAGTACATCTGATAGGGAGAGTTAGAGATGTTTTGAGTGTGAGAAAACGCTGCCTTTAAGGACCACCCAATCAAGAGTTGTTGTGTTGTTATCTTTGTATATAACACGAAATCTCAACACAAAAGATAATTTCTAAAGATGCTTAGTCTTGTTATAGACTGAAACACTTTGACTTACCCATTATTGTTCCAGAACTATAATTTACTGGGAATCACCTGGTAGTTGAATAATGAAGTCGACTTTTTAGATGCTTACTTAACACTCATGAAATTATGCACTGACCAGATTCTCCTAATTGTAGAAAAAAAAATAATTCACAAATTTGAAAGCTCATGTCAATTATTTAGTCATACTTTAATAAAATATTGGGGCAGGAAAAGCTCTCAATTTTATTTTATCACTAAGCCATATATATCCAGGGCACATATTTGCATATGGTTACAACGTGCTAGCACAGATTCGAAACATCATACATTTGTTTAACTACTGCTTCTTTTAAATAATTAGGACTTAAAAGAGTCTAGCAATTATAGTTTAAATTGCAAATGGAAAAACATAGAGGTTCTATTTATCTGAATCTGTATTGTCTTAAACATCAGTGCTGGTAGAATTACTTTGCATTTAGCAGTATTTTTCCTTATCATATAAATAATACATTAAGGTATAAAACTGCCCACCTGTGCTGTACATGGTTATTGTTCATTATGTTGTCCTTGGGAAGTCTGGTTCCTAAATATTTATTACTATGAACTCATCCAGTTGCTTTAATTCATAAGGAATATGTGGAAATCCTAATCTTGTTCTTTTGAAATGCAGTGAACCCTGGAATTAATGTGGTAGCTGAAGTAGGGGGAAGTTTAAACCACAATTCTTTTGCACAGGATCAATGGATCAGTTCCAGTGTAAACAAAGGTTGGTTTAGTCAAATTAGCCATCTGTCTCTGATGAATTTAAACAGTAATGTGACACATTTAGTACTGTAACAAGCTTTTGCTTATTTTTAAGTTTTTTTTTTTTTTTTTTTTTTTTTTTTTTTTTTTTTTTTAACAGAGAGAAGGTAACAGTGGATAATAGCAGCCCTGGGTTTCCTCTTTAGATTAACTCTTGAGCTGCATAGTAGCATCTTTCTTTCATGTACAACAGTTGGCAGAATTTTTTTTTATTATTATACTCTAAGTTTTAGGGTACATGTGCACAACGTGCAGGTTTGTTACATATGTATACATGTGCCATGTTGGTGTGCTGCACCCGTTAACTCGTCATTTACATTAGGTATATCTCCTAATGCTATCCCTCCCCCCTCCCCCCACCCGACAACAGGCCCTGGTGTGTGATGTTCCTCTTCCTGTGTCCATGTGTTCTCATTGTTCAATTCCCACCTATGAGTGAGAACATGCGGTGTTTGGTTTTTTTGTCCTTGCGATAGTTTGCTGAGAATGACAGTTGGCAGAATTTGTAACGGTTGCACGTTTGAAGGAACTTCCATTTCTAGATGCTACAGTTCTCAAATTTTTTCACAGTCACTTGACATCTGTTCAAAGTCTTTTTTTCTTCATGGATTAACCAGTTAAGTCTGCCATTCTTCCATAAAGTGGTCTATAAGCTTTAATTACATGCATGAATTTAGTGTCATATTTTACTTTTGAACAGACAGAAAGATGTCTACTTCTTTTGTTATGTGGCTAACTTTAAGGCAAGGTCATACATTTAGGGAAATTGGACCTCTGAAATCTCTTGATGGCAAGGCTATATGGAATATATATGCTTAGCTATTAAAACTATTGGTTATTTAACCCATTTCCTGTTTAGAAACAGTGCAGCCTGCTGCCAGTACTCATTTATCAGGGCAAAGGGGAAATGGTTTAAGTAAAATCCTTTTACTATTCATAGAAGTTAGTAGTAGTGCAATAGAGCGAGACTCCATCTCAAAGGAAAAAAAAAGTTAGTAGTAGTTCTGGATTGTCTTGCTGGATAATTTTCACTTCATTACAAACTCCCAATTATTTCTTACAACGGTATAAATATATTCTGGTACTTATTCTTCTCCATTGTTAAAACTGGTATGATGGTTGATTGGTGTGATTAACAAGTCAATAGAGGACTTGTAAACTCTTAACTCTTAAGTGACAAAATGCTTGGAAACTCCCATCTGCTGCAGCAATGTGAGACTCACAGTTACCTCCATACTTCAGAATAGACAGAACATAGGACAATTATTACTTATTCATTTCTTTGTGCTAATATTTACATCACCTTTGGACATACAATCCCCCAGATCACAGATGTGCTCTATAAATATACAACCACCATCTGGAGGAGAAATATACCTTTAAGTTTGTTTTTAATGATTCATTTGTACATATTTCATTTGGTAATTTGTATTTGCTTGACTGTGTCTTTGTGATAGATTGAATTTTCCACCCTAATTCTTCACCCTACCTTACATCCACACCCATTGTTTTGGGTCTTTGTAGTTTCTCCACCTAGAGGGAGGGTTCCATTTCTTGATTTGAGTTCAGCCATGTTACTTGGTTGGATCAATGAGATGTTAACAGATGTGGACACACTTAATGACTTTCAAGGTATGCCTGGGCTTGCCCTCCTGGGTTCTGCCATTGCCATGAGGGCTCAGTTAACCTCTTCCTCCAAGAAGTAAAAGAGACATGTGAAGCCCTCTTGGAAGGCAAGACTAGCTGACAGCAGCCTAGACCAGCCAATCCCCAGCCGACTGGCAGTCATGGGAGTGAGAATAAACAATTGTTGTTTTAAACCACTGAGTTTGTGGGTGGTTTGTTATGTATCACATTTGTGTCTAAAATTTTGATTGATTCAGTGGCTTTTATTATGAAGAACACTGCCTTTAGAACTATTGTACTGGAAGTTAAAGAAGATGAAAAATTTCAGTCTGCACCTATTTCATGTTTATTTGTGTCCTCCTTTTTGTTTGAATTTACTTATATCAAACATCACCACTTCTGAGTTCCATTATCTGCTTCTATTTTTAGCCTGTCACTTTATTATTGAAATGCACTCCTTCCCGACTCAGAGCCACTTCTTCCACGTCCTTTCTAACACAGAGCTGACTAAACCCTGGCCTGTAGTCTTGGAGAAAAATGGCAAACTCCTCACAATGACTGCCAGTTACCTCTCAAAGTCTTTCACAAAAGCAGCCCCTTTGCCTGACTGCTAATATAAGACATGACATTACTTCCATTCCATTTATACTGTTTGCATTTGACTTAATTTCCCAAAGTTAGGTGTTAACCTAAATAAACTAGTACCTAACTTACATCTGCATGCCCAAGAGAGGAAAACAAAATGGCTTCTTCCAGAACAATGAATTTGCCCTAAAAAGGACATCGTGTTTCTGCTCTTAGAACCATCAAAAGCAAGTAATTGTCCTGTTATATGAAAGAAATTGTGTAAGTGATATAAATGGAATGTACATAGCTGCTTTTTAATTTTTTTTTTTCATTTTGTTAGGAATTAAAATACAGACTGAATACCCAACACCTGGAAATCCTAACGTTGACAAATAGGTTCTGAAGAAACAGAAGTAAAAAACATGTTGACATATTAAAATAGAACTTTTCACAATTCAGTTTCTAATTTTGAGACACAATCTGGATTTTCCTAGGATTTAGCTGAGTGGCATTCAAAAACAGCTGCAACAGGAGCAGCAATATTGTGTTCCTTCAGCTGTGTCCAAACGGATCTGTGAGACATTTAGGTGCTTCAGTTTCTCTCCAGATAGTCTGGGAGTTACTGGGGAGGTTTTCCATTATATGTTTCACTGTAGTTCTAAAATTTGTCATGTGTTATCTGATATTGTCTACCTTTTCTGCTATTGGTGCCGCAATATACCAGACTTGGTTCAGAGTGCCAGGACAACCTGTGCTTTTGAAGCTACTGATATGGTTAGGCTCTGGGTCCCCACCCAAATCTCATCTCAAACTATAACCCCCACATGTGGAGGGGGGGACTTGGTGGGAGGTGATTGGAGCATGAGGGTGGTTTCTTCCATGCTATTCTTGTGATAATGAGCGAGTTCTCACGAGATCTGATGGTTTTGTAAGTGGCGGTTTCTCCTGGCTCTCTCTCACTTGCTGCTATGTAAGACATGCCTGCTTCCCCTTCCACCAGGATTTTAAGCTTTCTGAGGCCTCCTCAGCCATCCAGAACTGTGAGTCAATTAAACCTCTTTTCTTTATAAATTACCCAGTCTCGGGTAGTATCTTTATAGCAGTGTGAGAATGGACTAATACAGCTGCTATTTTTGTTGGCACCAAAGCTATTGAATCTAAAGCCAGCCCTTTTCATTGTTACTTGATCTTTTATTGAAGCTACCAGCTTCTCCCTCAATCACACCTCTACTCTGGGGTTTAAATATTATGAGTTCATGAAGACTGGGCTATAAATCAACCCGAGTAATAGATGTTTCCCCTATTTTAAAGCACTCTTACCTAACCAAAATTAGCTCACTGTCTTTGAACTTCTATTGAGCCCCATGTCTCACCCATTGGATACTTTTTTTCCCAGTAGTTTTCTAAGTTACATGAGGCTCCCTACACATATCCAGACCCATTTAATTACTATAGTGGAAAAGGTTTAGGCTGCTTAAACTAGGACCTCATGTAGATTATAAATATTTTATAGTGATGAATTTTACCTTTTAAGCTGCATTTATCATGATAAGGGAATGCCATATTTGTACTTTTTGCTTACTGTCTTTACTAATCAAATAACAATATAATAATTAATGCTATTTAACAAATAGATATTTGGGACCTACTGTGTACCATATCTTTTGCTAAACTCTGGAGCTAATAAAATGATAAGTCAGAAGTTACTTATTTTTTCTAAATAAGTGTCCAGTCTACTAAAGACACACATATCCATTAAAAATACACAGGAGTGATAGGAGGATACCGTGACACAGTCAGTGTAATGAGGTCACTATTCTTAAAATTCCAAATTAGGACACAGGCATGATAGCATATGCTGATTTCAAATTATATTCTAATATGTGGTGGTGTTTTGAGCCTTCTCCATATGTGTGTGGAGGCAGACAATACGTGTGGAAAGAGACATCATCTCCTATTTCTGTATCTTCCAAGCCTCTTAGTCCCAGATGAATTTATGTAAAATGTTTGATCCAATATGTGTCTTTCAGATTGGAATTTTACTTGTTGATCAATCAATAAATCCCAACATATATACTAAGAATCAGCTGGTGGGTCTTCCACAGTGCTGGATATTGTGGGAATGGAAGGGCAGACAAGAATAAGGAAGACTGGAATGTATGCAACATGATCTGTGCTCAGAGTTTGTAATCTAATTGGCGCATGTCTCAGACATATGTTGCTTTCTTTCCTGGTGTTTATTTCTCCTTCCTCCAGCACCCTGATATTCCTTTGAAGGATTCATCCTGCCACCATTCTAAGCTATGTGTAGTGGGAAGATTTGAGGACACCACTGACTCAATAGAACCATCTCTGGTCTCAGTGATTGACTTTAATGATGGATATGTGACCTAAATCAGGACAAGAAATAAATAATCCCAGGATTAAGTGGATGCTGTCAGAAAAGATGCTGACTTCAACGGAGCTGTAATATGGGGATTGGAGAACTAGGGCTGATGCAGCCATGTTGCTACCATAAGGGAAGGCATGATGTTTTGGAGGCCATAGGATGGAGCCTAAGATGCAGCCTATTCCAAGGAAGGAAGAACAGGAAAGCATAGCAAAATCAGATCACTGATAACATTGTTTGAGGCACTGGATAAAACCTAGAATTGAACCTAATCTGTACTACATCTGGATTTTAATTTGCTTGAGCTAATTATTCCCTTAAAAAATGACTTTGGATTAGTTCTACTGTTACTGGCAGCAATAAAAAGTTTTAACTGATACAAAGAAAAAAATATTCAGTGGTATGACTTGTGAAAAAGAGCTCAGTAGCAAGAAAATTAGAAGAAAGTAGTATCACTGAAAAGCACAGATTAATTCTAATGTGATAGTGCAAGGAGGTGAATATGATGTAGTGGAAATATACTAAACTTGATTTGCTCTATTGGTCCCTGGAATTACTGGACTGAAATAGAAGAGAGAGCAGGGCTAGAGGTATGGCCCTATGGGTAACTATTAAGATGACAGTTAAATTCATTAGAAATGAACTCACAAATAATAAACAGTAAAATGCAGTGGACTTAGTGAGAAAAATTTATTGTTAGGGCAAAATTGGTGGGTGAGAAGATAATGAAGGCAATAATAAAGAAGGAAAGACCAAGTCAGGACCTGTCAAGGTTATAAAAACCAAAGAAAGAGAAACATTTATAATGCCAATTAAAATGGATAGATCTAATGCATTTCTTTAATGCTAATGACTGCAATCGTAATTGACTTGGAAGATGAAAACTGGAAATTTTTCTCTGCCTTTAAAGGGCTTGGTAATTAATCATAAATATGTAGAGGCGAAGACTGCTGTTTGATGCAATTATAAGAGTCTGTAGCTCATCTCCCCTCACTTTGCACTGTTAGCCTCAAATTATGTGAAAGACTTAGCACCCTTATAAGGAGCTCCTGAGGTGGACTAGAGAATCTAGATGTGGTGGTTTCTGTTGAATAACCCTTATGGTGGTCAATTTTCTACAACATTTGCTTTGATCGTAGTAATATGTTTGTTGGTCTTTTCCTCATTAAATTATTTTCAGAATCTTTCTCCCTTGATTTTATAGACTTCTAAATATAAATGCACACAATTCTCTGAACCAAATAGAATACATGTTTTCAAATTTATATGGTTTTTACCTACATAGAAATAAGTGCTTCAAATAAGAAACCATTATTTCCTTAATTTCAAAGGGTAAATGCATTCAGTGTTGCAGTCAACATTTGACAAGTCTTTATCAACATGTCTTGGGTTTAAGGAAGAGTCTCCCCGACTAAGATGAAAGAATACTGCTTAGTTTAGTGCTATAGAATGACAACAGTGAACATGCTATGCTCCTAGAGATAAATTCATTTAATTCTCATAACAATTCTATGTGCAGATGTTATTATTATCCAAGGTTTACAAGCAAGGGATTGAAGTTCAGATAGGTTAAGTCACATATATAATAATAATACATTTTCTAATGGCTGCCTAAAATAGGTCAAATACTTCTTTTCCCTTTTAATATGAGTCGCTGCTAGTATTGTCTTTTGAAGGACCATAAAACACATACACATTTTATGTGATTGTGCGTCTTGTATCCTCATTTTGAGAGTGATCATATTTGAAGTCTTTCTAAAGGAGAAATACCAGATCCAAAGAATTATATCCTCTACTGGGAATGTAATGTTAATTAGGTGGTTTTTGTTTGTTTGTTTGTTTTGAGGTGGAGTCTCGCTCTGTCGCCCAGGCTGGAGTGCAGTGGCATGATCTTGGCTCACTGCAAGCTCTGCCTCCTGGGTTCACGCCATTCTCCTGCCTCAGCCTCCCGAGTAGCTGGGACTACAGGCGCCCACCACCACGCCTGGCTAACTTTTTGTATTTTTAGTAGAGACGGGGTTTCATCGTGTTAGCCAGGATGGTCTCAATCTCCTGACCTTGTGATCCGCCCACCTCGGCCTCCCAAAGTGCTGGGATTACAGGCATGAGCTCCTAGGTGTTTTTAAATCTTATACGGAAAATTAACTTTAGTCTAAAAACTTAAAGGTGTGCAGATTACATGAACTTAATTTACTTATAATTTAGGTAAGGTGAACACTAGAAAAAATATTTGTTTTATTTTACCTATCATTTTGATGTTGCTCATTCATGTTTCTAAGTAGCAAAAAATTCAAGTGAAAATGTGATTCGTCTAACTATTGTGGGATCTAGCCAGCAGCCTGCAATGCAACATGACTCTTTCTTTGTTCCCAGGCAGATTGGCAGGTCGAGAAGTAATAGACACACACAAGATAGGGGGTCCAGGGGGGTCACTGCCTTCTGGTCCTGCGATGCCGCCAATGCACTTGGTATACCGGCATTTATTATTAAGTTTAGTGAGGATGGGGGTAAGTTAATGAGGGATTTAGGATCGTTTGATTATGAGGTGAGAAGGTCACATGGGGATGAAGTAATTCTTTAGCATAACATCTGTATGCAGAAGTACAGTATACAGAGATAAGAATTTACAATATAGTGTGTATATCAGTAATTTCTAACAGAGCCTTAAAACAGAAACAGACTTTCCATAACCTATGATTAGCAAGATATTAATCAGCAGTAACAGTGGCAGGAAAAGCTGGTTACAAACAATCAGTAGAAACAGGACGTGAAGCTAGACAACTGGTTAGACCAGAAATTCTCCGAAGGGAGTATGCCTTAACCCTAAAGAGGCCTAGAAGAGCCGTGGCAAGATGAGGGCATTTATAGCCCTATCTTATCCATATGAACAGGCGCCCCTCATGCATCTGTTTATAGGCTCTCCACAAGGGTTGCATTCCATTCCCAGAGCTATGAACATCTGCTTTCCTGGGATAGGAATCTTGGTGATGTGAAACCTCCCTGACTACACGTCTGTTCATAGGCTCTCTGCAGGGGGAAGCACATCATGCACTGTTGGCTCATTCTGGCAGCCCAACCTGGCATTGTTTTTACACAATCCTGCATGCTATTTTGTATTTACAATAATCAGGAGGATTTCATCTTTTATTCCGTAGCAGTAGTTTCAGGGGGTCTCCCTACAGTCTAACCACTATGGCAAACAGGAATGGTGAAAAATGCTTGGAACTGTATAAATGTCATATTCATACATATCCTACAACTTCTAAAAAGTCTTCAGGAAAGTTTCTAACTGTGACATGCATAACGGCATTTAGCCAAACATGTAACTTACCCCTACCCATCAAAACAACTGCTTCTCCAGGTATAGTTCTAGCTGACCATTCTCAGTATGTTTCATGAAATAAAATAATTCAGCAATTTAAGTCAAGGGTTCAGAATGCTGGAGTAGAGTTCTTTGTTAATGATCACTAAGAATGTTTAAAAAAAATTAGAAAGAGAGATTTTTAATTTTACCTTTACAAGAATACATGTTTTTCTTTATTATTATTTAATTAAATCTTCTCTATTATAATAAAATAACTAAAAGTATATAATTGGATTGTTTGTAACACAAAAGATAAATACCTGAGGGGGGGGATACTTCATTTACTCTGATGTGATTATTATGCATTGCATGCCTATATCAAAGTATCTCATGTACTCCCATAAATATATATACCTGCTATGTACTCACAAAATTAAAAATAAATTTAAAAAGTGATAATTGCTCATGATAGAATTTCTAAGAAAGGATAGAGTTGATATCTGTCTATGATTTATAGAAGTTTTTCTGTGATGGTTATCTGAAAATAAACTCGCTAAAGTTATGCACCAATGAGCTTTATTGCAGATGTAGTTTATAAAAAAGTTTGTAAAAAAAAAATTAGCCAGGTGTGGTGGCGGGCATCTGTAGTCCCAGCTACTCAGGAGGCTGAGACAGGAGAATGGTGTGAACCCGGGGGGCGGAGCTTGTAGTGAGCCCAGATCGTGCCACTGCACTCCAGCCTGGGAGACAGGGAGACTCCATCTCAAAAAAAAAAAAAAGTTTAAAGTTTGTAAAATCTCCCTTGACACTATAGGAGGTAATGATCTATGTCCCTTTCCTAGAAAGTTTTCTGAAATTATTTTTTGGAATATATATAGTTTGTACCTGAGAGTAGATATTTAGATTATTTTCTTGGTGTAGTAGATAGATTGTTTTACAAGATAAAATATATTGATGATCTTATTCATGAGTTTCAAAATCAGATGCAAAAAGAGAGAATTTATTTAAGGCTATGTAAAGTTAGAAGAGAATTATTTGATTTGATCAATTTGGTCTAAAAAAACTAATGCACCCCAAAGCAAATAAATATTAATCTAATCAATACTTTCCGTTATATAGATCATTTAAAAACTGGTTAAATGTAGCTTTTAAAACATTTGTTTTACTTAATGTTGTTGCCATAATATGTCTATACTTTTTGTGGATTATTATTTTCTAGTCTTATTTGCAAATCTACTGGAAATCTATTCTCAGGCAATGACAGAAGAGACCATGATCTCCTTCTTTTATTGGAAGGTGGAAAGTTGCCACAAGTTTCAACAGCCACTGACCAAAGAACTTCCATATTTTGGATTCTTATCAATATGTATGATGACTGTTTGATGAGATAATATATCATGAGCTGTAAACAACTAGAAGATAAGCTCTCAGAGGGCAGAACAGAGTTTGTTTTGTACTGCTTTATTCTGCATGCTAACATCATGCTCTGCCTACGATAAGCACTGATTAAATTTGATTGAATGAGAGCATGGTGGGTCAGAGGTGTGACTGTTAGCAGTGCCGTGTTTAGGTACAGGAGAAAGGCTTCTAGAGGACTTAGGCACTGAGAAGAACAGGCCTGACCTGGCCTCAGTTCTTGTGAAAAGGATGTGGTGGTTTTATTTGGCCTTAAGTTTCATGTGTGCTTGCTCTGAAATGTGGATACAAAAAAGGTCAAGGGTAATCGTATTACATATTATAACATCTAAAGAAGGAGTCTTATTTTGTTAGCTTCATGCTCTTGCCAGCATTTTCTGTTTTTGCCTTCTGTTTACTCCTTGCCCTTAGTGTGTAAACATGCTCAAGTTTCTCCAGCATTAAAACTAAAGAACTTATTTGGCTTTTACCCACTCCTTTTATCTCTTTCCTCTCTCTCATGTCCAAATTATTAAGGAGGATAATTGGTAGTGGATGTCTTCAATTTCTCCTTTCTCATTTCCGCTTAACCTCTCTGCAGTCTGGCATTGCCACCACTGCTGTGCTCAAAATAGTTCCATTGAAGCCTCCAAGGCTGATATTATGAGGGTCAAATGCAGAGGGTATTTCTAAGAAATTCTTGCTGCATTTGAGGCTTCTCCTCATATCCACTTCTTGAAACTCTGTTCTCTTGCTCCAGACTTCAGAGTTTCCTCTTTTCTAACTACCCAACCTCACGCCACATCACTCCTGCTGTATACTTTAGCTTTCCCCAAGGTTCTGCCCTCAGTTTTTGGCTCACTTGTTTTCTCATGTACACATGCTTCACAGATTATCCTTTCCACTGCAAGTATTTTTAACACAACCTCTATAATAACTGTCTTTTCCTTTCTTTCCTACCTCCTGCCCTTCCTTTTTCTACTCCTTCCATCCTCCTTTCTTTTGTTCCTTCCAAGAATCCATCTATAAAATTCTTGACAGATACACAACAAAACAATGGCTGTTTCCTAGTGGGAACCAAGAGATTGTGTCTAGTTTCTTTTTATAGTTTTATTTATTTTCTGATTTATTTTACAATGAATGTGAATTAGCTTTAAAGTCAGAAGTAAAAAACAAAATTATTTCCAACTAGAAACAAACAGAAATAGTGATTATTCTCAAGAATAAATACCCTGTTTGACTCTCCCGTAATCATCTCACACACTTGACCTTACCCTCTGTGTGAATTAAGTGAAGGGCAGGAACCATGTCTTAATCACCTTTGTAGGTTGTTCAGTATGGTGCTTGGGACTTAGTAAATACTCAGTGAGCATGCTGATACTGTGATAAGCTCACTGCACTCTCTACAATTAAAATGACATACCAAAATCTTGGGAGACGTGGGTGAAAACTCAAAGCAGATGGGGCTTGGAACAACATTCTGGAGAGGAGAGTGCACCATGGTGATCTCAACAATTGTTCTACTTTTTTCTTACCAAAATCTGTCTATTTTCAGCAAAGAGAAGAGAGCCTGAGGAGGAAGTATAAAGTCAGACGCTTACAACAGACTTGCTGGGTTGGAGAGAGAGACTGTCACAGCCAGGGCTGCCAAGTAAATCAGGACTTGAGGGTGAAGAAGAAATCTCAGAGAACTAAACCAGAAATAATATGCAGTAGGTGATTTCCTCTGAAGGCATTTGCCAATTCTTACACTACACAAGTGTAGGGTGAAACTCCTTGAAATCAAGCAGAAACCTGTTCCCGGGAGACCAAATAGCTGAGCAAAGATATCACCGTCCAGTCGTCCTGGGGAGAGAGAAGTTAGAGTTTAGTGCCTAGGAAAGTGGAGTGGTCCTTTTAAATACCACTAGCTTACAGTTTTGATCCCAAAAGTACTATGATCCAAGAATAAGAGCAAACTGGAAGAAAACACCATCCCTAACAAATCCCAAAACTCACACTTAACTGAAGATATCAGTACCTTACCTGCCTTCTAGAATAAAATAAAATTCTATTTGGAGAAAAATCAGACCAACCAGAGCTTTTGTGCAATATCTTGTGTACTATTTATAATATTCATTTAAAATTACCTGGCATGCTGATAAACAGGTTCAGATGACCACAAATGAAAAAAACATATTTAATAGATTATTTAGATTTTGGAGTTATCAGGAACGCCTAAGTATGATTAATATTTTCAAGAAATAGAGAAAAAGATGGAGAATTTTCTTAAAGAACTGGAATCTGAAAAATGCAGTGATTGAAAATTAAAAATTCAATATATGGATTCATAACAGATTTGGCAAGTCAAAGGAGAGGGTTAGTGAACTGAAAGATCAGTGCCTAGAAATATCCAGATTAAAGCTCAAAGAAGGAAATGCCTAGAAAATGAAGAAGAATATTTAAAAACTGGTGACATGTGCCTACATATATATAATTTAGAGTTCTAGAAAGTGAAGAGCAAGAGAATGGGACAGAATCAATAAAAAATTTAAACTGAAGATTAAGCCACAAATCCAAAGTCTGTACACTCCAGGAGGGTAAATATAATGGAAAAAAAACACATCTGGACACACCATAATAAAACTGCTGCAAAAAAAGAGAGAGAGAAAAAAAAAAAACTTAAAATCAATTAAGCTTTTTTTTTATTATTTTATTTTATTTTTTGAGACGGTGTCTCACTGTCGTCCAGGGTGAAATGCAGTGGTGCAGTCTCGGTTCACCGCAACCTCTGCCTTCCGGGTTCAAGTGATTATCCTGTCTTAGCCACCTGAGTAGCTGGGGCCACAGCTGTGTGCCACCACGCCCGGATAATTTTTGTATTTTTAGTAGAGGCAGGATTTTACCATGTTGACCAGGCTAGTCTCAAACTCCTGACCTCAGGTGATCTGCCTGCCTTGGCCTCCCAGAGTGCTGGGATTCCAGGCTGAACCACTGTGCCTGGCCAGCCAGGCTCTTTTAATTTTGTTCATTTTGAGTTCCACATTTATAGAAAGTGACTGAAAAAGTAGAGAATATCCAGTGGCAAGTGTCCAGAGATCATAAAAGACCAAGAGACTGGACCTGGAAACCAGAAAACCATAAAAAAGTGAGAGATGTGGGAACGTTAAACCAGAAACGAGTAAGTGAGACAATTACCGTAGTCTTAAAAAATTTCGAGTGTTGTCAGGATGAAAAGGCAATTTTCTTGTTCTGTGTTATCCAGAGGACAGAGTTAGGATGCAAGCTGCAAGGAAGCAATTTGTGACTCAACATAGGCAAGTTTAACAAATGAAGCTGAATGAAAATGGAACAGTGAACTTCCAATCATTGAGATTTTTAAACTGGGATTTAGAGGACAAAGCTTCACAAATGTAGAAGGTATTCTTAAATTGAATGTGAGTTTAATGAGCACTCCTGTAAGACTCCTTGTAACTTGAAGGTTAAATAATTCTGTAATGTGCATTCTAGTGACTGATGGTTGTATTTTCATGACCACAACTCGCTTAAGAAATCATTCATTTAGTCATTAACTTAGCAAGTGTTACTGAAGACCCACCTCATGGAAGGCCCCCTCACAGGCATTGGAGCTACCAAGAGGCATAAGACACAGTCCCTGACATTATTTTGATTGTGCACATGAGAAAGCCTATTCTGGAGAGTTTATAACTTATTCAGGTCACTATAATGTAACTTAGTACGAGAGAAGACAGGACATATATTATTAAAATGGAGCTGAATAGTGTAAAAGATAATTCATCGCCACTAAATGGGTATTTTATTCCTTTTTACAGAGGAGATTACGTGCTGTTTGTCATATATTGAACAAAACTGCTATAAATATAACCCTTTTCAGGACACTCAGATGATCTTAGCATACTGTAGCTTAATTCTCTAGAAGCCATACTTGGAGCCTCAATGTTCTTATCTTAAATTATCTTTCATTTCTTCAATGATCTCTACTTTCTGTTTCAGTTGTCAGTGTAATGATTCCAGTTTTCTGGCGTGAAGTGATCAAATAAGTCTTTATGTAATGGTAGAAGAAAGATGTTATTAATAGTAATTTTTAAATGTATTTTCTGTGCCATTAAAGTAAAATCCTCTGCACTTATTTCCTGCCCCAAACATTTTCTCCTACTCAGTCTAATAGGTTTAACACTCCTTGATCCCATTATTTTAATAATCTAGGCTGAAGGGTTGGCTTACGTTGTAGTTTGAAATAAGGATACAAATCTTCAAAAATATGCTTTTCATACTAAAGTCTATTTTAAAAACTATCATCTAGTAGAAAAGATGCTTTACATTTAAAAGCACCTTTAAACTGGAGGAGGAAATAAAAGAAATACCACATACCTCAGTTGTGTTCTATCTGTCCTTGATTTTGCCCTCAAGCATTACTGGAAAGTATTGTCAGTTCCACTGCCTGAAGATGGTTTTTGGAGGAAAATAAATGTTTCAACTGTGACGCTGTGTTCCCATTTGATACACCTTTCAACTTGCAAGCTGCTGAAGGAAGAAATAGGGACATTTCGTTTCAGTGACAAACTAAGGCAAAAGCAGCTTCTAATATGATGGATAGCAAAATAAAAACAGATATCTCTGTTGTGATCGTGTGCTGAAGGCTTAATGAACTCACCCCTAGTCTAGCTATAGGCTCACATATAGGCAGGCAGACAGGCCTGGAGTCACCTGGAGACTGAGCCCACCTGGGGATTAGAGCAAAGTGCAGGTGCCTTTGCTTCATCTGTTTCCCTGAATGGTCCTTACCTGTTGTCATCCCTCACAGTTTCATTTGAATTTATATCGAGACAACCTGAAGATTCCATGGATCGATTACAGATGTTAACCTCTAAGTATTCTGAATTCCAGTCTCTTTGTCATCACTTTTTCCACTTCAGATAGATTTTGCTAAAAGCATACTAACACATAGAACTAAGGGCATTCTCCAAATCACTTTAAAATTATAAAAAATTAAAATTAAAATAATAGATAATAATTCAGGGTCAATATCAATTAAATTGTATTTAACCTCTACTTTTTGTGTTGAACTTCTAATGTATATCCAGAACTATTTTGGTGATTCTAATTAACGTAGGTTTTACCATAATAACTTTGTGTACTTACCGGGTGTTTTGTCATGTGAAACCTGAATAAGCGAGAAATATGGACTTGATTATATTTTCATTATTTTTCTTTCGTCCTTTTTGGCCTTTGCTTATTTGGCATGCCTAGGTAGGGAGCACAGGCTGTTTCCTATTTCAAGAGCATGTTGTTAATGTTTGATAACTATATAAATGTACACAACAATACTGATGAGCCAAAGAAATTAAGCTTTGCAAAGGGCAGCTTTAATTTGTTGATCTGGAGCTTGGAAATGTGGGTTATTTTGTGATTGAATAACGTTCTTGAATGTTTAATGTATGGCCCCATTTACCTTGATTAGCTCAGCAATTCGTGACACATTATTTCCAAAGATGCTAATCAATTTTAAATCAAAATAGATTGAATTGCCTCTAAAATTGTGGAGATTACCCGAAAGTGTCAATCTTTTTGGGAAATTGAAATTCTGGCATCTTAATGAATGCAGCCTAGTTATGGAAGTACTGTATGAGAATAATGGGTTTTCGAAATACTATAAAGTAGGGATAAACTTCTGAATGTAATAGTTACTTTTAAATTAATTTAGCACTAGAATTATTTTATCTATTACATTTGAAGGAAATACCTCTGCTATTATTGCTGATTCTATTCCTTGTATAACTGTTAAAATTTGAAACTTAGAAATATCACCCTCACTAGTTATTATCTACCTCATTCACTTCTTCTGGATTGTTCTAACTTTACAGTTTCAGACATTCTCTGTGGTCAGATGGTAGCAAAACTACTCAGAACTGCATGTATAAAATTATTTAAAGCAGAAAGAGAAGGCAGTTTCTTTAGAGAACACTTCCAACTGAACATAGCATTTCTACTGATATTTAATTGTGTGTGTGTGTGTATATATACACATATATACATATATATACATATATACACACATACACAAATATATACATATATATACCCACACATATAAATATATTCTAGATATTTAATTAAAACACAACATTATGTTGTTTTGATTAATCTATTTCACATGTTAACTTGCATTTCTATTGCAAGAGAAAAATCATTGGCATACCTGTATAAAGAAAGTGAAATGCAAAGTTTTCTAACCATTGGTTTATATTAGTTAATGTGTTTAATTTTAGTTCAGTGGAGTATTTAAAATAAGGAGAAATAGAAAAGGAAAATGTTTTCCTTTTAGAGTCATTCAGGGGCTTAATATATTAAGAACTAGAAGGACAGTTTTTTGTTTCGTTTTGTTTTGTCTGAAAAGTAAGTATAAACATGCCTATGGGCTGGGTGCGGTGGTTCACGTTTGTAATCCCAGCACTTTGGGAGACTGAGGTGGGCGGATCACCTGAGGTCAGGAGTTCGAAACCAGCCTGGCCAACATGGTGAAACCTCGTCTCTACTAAAAATACAAAAATTAGCCAGGTGTGGTGGTGGGCACCTGTTATCCCAGCTACTCGGGAGGCTGAGGTAGGAGAATCACTTGAACCCAGGAGAAAGAGGTTGTGGTGAGCTGAGACCGTGCCATTGCACTCCAGCCTGGGTGACAGAGTAAGACTCCATCTCAAAAATAAAAATAAAAAACAAACATGCGTATGGAGATAAAAATCACAATTTTTAATAACATAAAGATATTTTGAAGAGTGGTCATAGCATTTTGGAATTTGTATGATCCCATCTCATATTGAGCTCCTACCATTACTACCTTTGGTGCTTTGGACAAATTATTAAACTCTTTGAGCCTCAATTTTTTCATTCATAAAATGAGCCTAATTACTACTGCTCTGTAGAATTTTCTGTTTATTTGTTTGTTTGTTTTTTGGAGAGGGCAATGGCAAGGTCAGGATTTAATAAGATATATGTAAATAACTTAGCAGTGCATCACTGCACCTGGTAAATGTTCTTGTTAAAACTGCTCTTAATGCATGAATGATGAGTCAGGGAACTTTGCAAGGTACCCTGAGAAAGACTGAAAGAAGTACATGTGATATCATCTAAAAACTGATCCCCCACATCCAGATTCTAGTTTCTTATTCAATAATTGAATATAAAAAATTACAGTCATTGAACCAATGACTAAGATGCTCTGGAAGGAGGAAGCAAGTCTTCCCTTAAAAAGACTGGGGTCAGGGAATGTGGGAAATCAATTTTAATTTCTGTGTATGTGTGTGCCTTCAAAGTGGAAGTTATTTTCACTAATTATTTTATCCATGACAGGTTTTGCTATCCTTGGATTTAAATCAATGACAAAATATCAATGTCTTCAATAAGCATTAGAAAAGAAATAAAATTCTCGTGTAAGTTGAAATTCATCCTGTACTGATATTGTTTGACAAATTATTGTTCCTTAATTCTGAATGACACCATTCCTGTACTTTGAGGAAGGTCAATATTAGTTTAAATCTGAATTTATCTTTAACTCAAGTGAAGTTTATTCAAGTTTTTCATGTAATGAATCTAATAGATTGGAATCATATTTCAAGGAGTGGTCACTGGTTCCTTCAGTGTTCTAAAGTGTACATTCATTTCCAACACGTCAAGTGCTTAATTTAAAACACTTATTGATTCTTGATTTTTGCTTGGACGTGAGCTCATTTATTTTAATGGAATTGTTAATAAAATGTCAGCTTTCTCCTGTTCTGTGTTCTGTATCTGTTTTCTGACTACACTTACTTGTGATGTGTCATAGAAAAAAATGACTAATATAATTTCTCAGGCCTTGAAAAGTACTTACACTTTAATGTCCATATTATAGATTTTTACGTTAGGAAGTTCACATGGGTTCATAATATGCAGTTTTACTTATCATTGACATCAGCCTCTTCTGGGAAATTAATCTCATGAGTTGCTTGTAGTGGGATAATAGCAGCAACTGTGCTTTTGGATGATCATTTTCAGTGTTTTATGATTTTAGGCAGCATTTTTGTTGCAGGTATCCATTGCATTTAGCTTGATTTCTCAAAGTGTATATTTGTTGAGTCAGAAGGATAGAGTGACTTTTCAAAAGAGAGGAAAACATCATTAAAGAGAGAATAGTACATTGTGAATGCAAATCCTTAGAGAGCTCATAGTGGCTCCTGAGAATAAGTGAAGTAGGTGATTTGATGATGTGATGCTTCCTAGGGAATATGGCTCAGAGGTCTGCACTTCATAATATCTGAGATCTGGAATTAGTCTATCTGTTAAGCCAGGTGTATAGACATGGCATTTGCCAAATAAGAAATGACTTTAAAAATATGAGGTTGTTCCAAAATAGTTCCCCTTGTTCTCAAGCAGTGGCTCTACTGATTTATTATCTGGCTTCATGGAGAGGAGAGAGTTTATTATCAAGAAACATAATGACCTTCTAGCTCAGTGCACTTTATTTACCTGAAGTAATACTGAGATGGGGGAAAATGTCTTTGGACTCTTGGTTTATCTCTTAATTCCAAAAAAGAGGAGAAAATAGTCCTTACTCATTTGGATATCATTATCTCACAAATTATAGCTTATTAAGGTAAGAATGCCCATATATGGTGTAAACTCATAATTTTTTTTCCAAATGAAAAGATGACTCCAGAAGATTAAAACAATGTGACTTGGAAAGTAATTAGGGAGGGTAAAGAGGGATAAAATTTTTCCACTTCCCTCTGACAAAATAATCAAATAAAAACTTGGGAGAATTTAACCTTTGCCGTTTTTATACTTGCGTTTACTCATCATTTTTAAAAGAAAACCATCAACTATTTCCATTAAGCATTACATGTAAATTCAAACTCTCTAAGATAGAGTAACAATGTAATTGACCACATGAGTTGTATTTTTGAGTCATATGCTGTATACAAAATTGCAATTTAAAATAATTGCATGGAGGGGAAAACAAAACAGGTGACTTAAGACATGTGGACCTTCCATCCTATGAAGAGAACTGTGGAGAAACAAATAACAATCAGCTGCTTAAATTAGAATGTAGGTATGCATGAAATATAAAATAGATTAAGAACTAAAAACAAAATAAAAATATTTTAATTGGTAGTGTTTTTTATTTGTTTGTTTGTTTTGTTTTGTTTTTGAGACTGAGTCTTGCTCTATCGCCCAAGCTGGAGTAAAATGGTGTGATCTCGGCTCACTGCAACCTCCGCCTCCCGGGTCTAAGTGATTCTCCCTGCCTCAGCCTCCCAAGTAGCTGGGATTACAGGCACCCACCACCACTCCTGGCCAATTTTTGTATTTTTAGTAGAGACGGGGTTTCACCATGTTTGCCAGTTTGATCTCGAACTCCTGACCTCAGTTGATCTGCCCGCCTCAGCTTCCCAAAATGCTGGGATTACAGGTATGAGCCACTGTGCCCAGCCTATAACTTGATTTTTTAACAACCAAGGGCATATGGCCTCCAAAAGAGGCAAAAGTTGGAAAATGAAAACAGTAAAAATTATGATAGCCTAGCACTTAGCTAATTATCTATGTCTCCTGAATGTGTGTTTGACAGCTTCTAGTGTCACCAGACTTTATATAAAGCAGACTGATACTATAGATGGCTTATGGCTCCTAAGTAGCTTTATTGTCAGATTCCTGTAAGAGGCTTAAACATGTTAGTCATCCAACTTTCTTTTTAAAATGTTTCCCTATAAAGATATCTAATGTTATAGAATATTAGATAAGAAGAAAAAGCATAAAAGTAGACATAAAATAACAAAATGTTTTTTGGCAAATGCTTTTTGCATATTGTTGCAAATTATGAGCATATTCTTATCTATTTTGTGTGTGATGTGATATGTAGATCAATAATAAAAAGCTTAATGTTTTGTTTTATTCTAAGCAATTAATTAGTATCTTATAACAGTTTATACCAAGTTTTATATATTTATCAACACACATATGCATATATAACATTAACGTGTGTTTTTTTAGAAATTATTTATCTCTATATAGATATTTTTAAAATTGCATTATTGTTCTCTTCTTATTAAAAAGAAATTTAGCACATTTGTTCTCCTGCAGTATCTGTGAAGCCTGGTGAACTCACTACCACCCGCCCATCCTCCACCCTCACAAATTTAGCAAGTTTTTCTGGTTACAGTATTCTGCTTCTAGAAATCTAGAGTACCATCAGTCAGTTGCTGTGAAAGAATTATTTCTTTGCCTACCTTAGTAATATACATATACATGCCCAGTTAGCACACCCATACCTCTTCACTCTTTACTGCTCCAGTCACCTACAATATAAAAATCTCTTTATTTCTATTACATAACCACCCCCATGACCACACACGATAAAGCATATACATTTTTCTCTCCTCATCATGGGCACTCATCACTTTAATTTTTTACACTATTGATATTTTTAAAAGAAAGAAGAATTACAAAGTGAGGAAATTTAAGACACACAACATTTAAGACACACTTTTTCTTTATATTAAAATTTTCAGCTTTCTAGTTGAAAAAACAGTTTCATAAATAGGAACAAATGAACTCATGTAAATTAGGTTATTAAACATTTTTTGTCAGTTTCATGTATTTAAGTATAAGCTATTCTTCATGATGTTTGAGTAATGTCAGTTCACTCTAGCCTTATGCACAAATATGTGGGTAACTGAAGGACAGAGGTGTCTATGAGCTGCCCAAGTTCATTGAGTTGATTGCATGGGAGAATCTAAGAGTACATTGCCTCTATCTTTCTGGAATAGACTAATTTTATACTGAGTCATTTAACATCATATTTTGCATTTAATATAAATTTACATATATGTGATTTTTTTTCAAATCTCATCTGTGATTTGCATATTGCTTTTTTAAAATGAAGATTAAAAATAGTATTTTTGGAAGTTATAACTTACTTTCTAAATATTTTGCTGTAAATATCCTTTGTTTTCTTCTGCCATTTTGTACTTTTGCTATGAGTGTTCACATGATGGCATGCTAATATCTCTGCATTAACTTTTACTGAAGGATATATTTTAACATCATAATTTTCCTTCGGAGCTCTGGGGTGTTTTAAGCTTGACTTCTCTTGATTTTAGTCATCAAAAGACTCCCACATTGAGAGTTAAACTATAAAAGTCAGCTGAAAGCATTTTTTGCAGGCATGATATTTTCCTTGCACTAATTTAAAAAATTCAATCTAAGATTCATTTTATCTGACTGGTATTTTCAGTCTAAAAGGAGGATAAATAATCATATGTGAAAACATTTATTGACATATATAAACTATTTGTTAATAATACAACTATGCTGAGTCTCAATCTGTGATTCCTTCCAATTGTTTCTTCTGTTTCTCTAATGAATGTATCTATAGTGCATGGGGCAATTTTTTTATTATCAATAAAGTGTCCACTTTTTTTGTTCTTATGGATAACAGTATATTTTCTAATCATTTTCTAGCTTACCCTTGAATTAGAAGTCTTTCAGTTACATGTGGTAGAAAACTTAACCAAAATGGGCTTTAAAAATTAAAAGATCATAATTCTGCCTGCGTATCTGCAAAATAAGATTTTTCTAACTTGATGTACATCTTGATCTAAAGGTTCCTGATGTCATCTTTGAAGTTTGGCTTTGCTTATCTGCAGTGCTTCAGCTATGCCCGACCCTATGAACAGGGACAATGTCCAGGTCAGCTTCCCACATGGCAGCTGAAGTTCAGAGGAAGATTAGCATTTCTTCTGGTACTTCCCCTTAAAAAGATGGTGAGATTACTCTACTGCAAAACCCAACAAATATCTTCTTATGGCTTATTGGCTTCATCTGAGATACTCATCCCTGAATCAAACTCTGTACTCAAGAATATATTCAAGTCTATTAATCAGTAGTAATTTAGTACCTGGTTTAAACATGTGTCCCTTTGAATCTAAGGCTCCACACGCTAAGAATAAGTTCAAAGGAATTTGGCAGAGGAATATCTGGGGGCTACTGGTGAAAGAAATGGGGATTACATGCTGAGAAGGTGACAATAAATGTCTGCTACAGGTCATTTGTAAAAGACCATTTTACAACACTCCTTATGAAAAATGATCACTGGTTTGTTTTTAATTTCCTGTAAACTCATGGTTTTACTTGGTAAAATTTAATGCACAGGAAGGATATGGTTCCAGGATATGTGCTATAAAGGACTGATGAATATGCAAACAGGGGACATAAGCATCACCTGCAAGTCAGGTCTTATTTCCAGAAAACTATGCATAAATGGACTTTGTGCCTAAGAAAATGTACTAAGTCTTTGAACTGGGGCTAATGATTGAACTATGGTTATTTTCCACTGGCTTTAGAAATAAAGAGTCTCATTCTCTTTGATATAATTTCCTGACAGTGGAATGCAGGCAGTCTTTAACTTAATAACTGATTATGATTCAAAAATGTATTTGGTGTTTCAGAATTTGAAATAAACATGTAGATATTGGTTCTGTACTATTTGCAGATGAGAAAACTGAGGTGCAGAAAACTCAGTGAATTTGACCAGGGCCACACAGCCAGTAAGTGACAGAAATGGTATTTATACCTGTACAGTCTGTGTTCTTAATTGCTGCATATACTGTCCTTCAAAGTTGGGCCTTTTTTTATTCCTAAAAATATATTGTGGTACCTGATAACTTATGTTTCTAGACTTGCCCACCGTGGCTTATTTATCTTTTTGTACTGCTGAGCATATTATTCTGAGAGTTAAAACTAACCCCCTTAGTTTTAACTAGGGTGTTAGATTAGATTCACCTCTCATCTCTGTCTTAAGTACTTGTTGATATTTGGCACCCAGCCACTGGATAGTCATTGATTCTATTTTCAGTGTGTGAAGATTCCGGAAGAATCAGGAAGCAATGCCCCATTGATCTCTATACAAAGATAGCAGACATTCTGCTCACTGACTGCAGTGATGTCAACATGCGACACAAGCTTGGCCTATCAGATGTGAACTTTACATCTTGATATGTGCAGGGTATTCACAGGTTATTCACAGTAGTGGTAACCAAATGGAGAGTCCAGCAGCATTACTGAAAATTACTGTGATGTTGCCAGGGGAAGCATCTTAAATATTCATTGCTGTGGCATCATCTTTATAATCAACTAGCCAGCCCCTCATCCAGGCGTAATTCTCTAGTCTGCTGTGCAAGTCTAGGAGTCACTCTAAATGCTGAAATAAATTCCTTTTCTGCAAAAGCTCTTTACCATTACTTTCTAACTATGACTGGCAGAGCCACTTTTCTACTCTGTTCTTCAACTAATTTGTTTATTCAGTAAAGTTTATAAGAAAATACAAAGTGAGCATAGGAACAAAGGTAGAACTTTGTGTATATGAAGAGACAAAACATAGTTAATCTATATTTTAGAGATAACTAGGCTTAAATTACACAGAGCTTCTTATCACAGGAGATGGGACAGGGCCACTGGTCCCCTGCTGGCATAAGAATATCTAGAGAGGTGGGAAAGAAGAAAGAACTTAGCATTGTCATGATGTGACCCCCTTGTAATCAGATGTTTTGGCTGACAAGCAGTATCTAAGAGTATCAAAGAAATAAATGAGTTGTCTTTTGCTAATCATTGGAGAGGAGGGATAAAATAAGGGGAGGGATAGGAAGCACCCTTAGTTGGGACTATTATTCCTATGTGATCTTTCAAGTATAAAGGACAATTTACTTTATATGTGTATAAAATAAGACCCCGTCTGTATAAAATGGACTGCAAGGCATGAGATATAATGGAAGTATACTGATGGTAGAATTACTGGGTATCATTCTAGTCCCAGGGCTGGTGTCAATAGGTTTGTGATTTATGGAAAAACATCTCAAGAGTTTCCTGTGTTCTTGTTTGTAAAACAAAGATTAGAGACATCTAAATACCCCTCCTTCTCCAATTATTACTACAGAAAACTCAAAGGGCAGAATTCCAGGAGTTAATTTTAGTCTAGAGTGGCTTTCTGATCTAATTTTACTTGCTTCTTAAGTCCAACTAGGAGCTCACAAATGAAAGATGGCTCGTCAGTGTCACATTTCTCAGGAACTTGGGGGCATTGCCCATCTCTCTTTTAGACTTAAAAAATGAGGCCGGTTGTTTAAAGGAGAAAAAAAAATATGCCAAGTGGAGTTTTCTCTTCAACTGCAGCTAGTAATTGTAGTAAGTCTTCCCTCCACCTTTCTCAAAAACAAAACAAACGAATTGAAAACAGTAAAAGGCTGTCAAGGTGGTCACCTTGTTAAAACCAAAACTCCTTGTTGTTAAGTCTGCTGTTGGTGGCTTTGTTGTCAACTTCTGAGTTTCAACTCCCCACTCCGGTGTCACTACATTCTACATAATGTTTTAGCCTACTAGCCTATTCCTAGAAATCAACAAGATTTGTTGAGCTTTTGCATTATTTCAGATGTTACATATTCATCTTAGACTATTCCAATAGTATCTGAGTTCTTACACAAAGAGGGAAGGTACATAATAAATGTTGTTGAATTGATTCATATGTGAGTTACTTACTGAATTTGGAGAAACCATTTAATATTAATTTTTACAGCATTAGAAACAGAGGTCAATTAATTTTTAACTCAGAATATATGATAGGGAATGCCAATTTAATGTACTTTTAGTTTCTTAAATTTCACTCTCCAGCTATCATTTATTTATGGTTCTTAGCCTTAGGAACAATATGTATCCGAAGAAATGTTTACATTGTGATTGATTCTGCTATTACTGGTGAAATGCTTATTTACCCATTCATTTTTCCAGAATGGGTAAATAAAATTATCTATTTTTCTATGTGGGTAGAAAAAAATCACTAAAAATTGCTAGTGAAATGCTCATTTACCCATTCATTCTTCCAGATGAATGAGTGGGTAGGAAAAGTCACTAAAAATACTCGTGGGAAAGAATTAAATGATTCAACATTTTCCACATCAGGAGATCTTGCACAAAATATTAAATTGTCCCATGTATATATTAAAGTGATTGTTTAGAATATTTCTTTCATTGTAAGCACCACTAGTACATAAACTATTACTGCTTTGTTCACTACAGTATCAGCCATATAAAAAAATGAAAGAAAGTCTTCAATAAACATTTGAGCAATTAGACTGAATACTTCTCCTATATAATTTGTAATAGTTCCTATTTTATTAAGGTGATGCTTTCTTTCATCATGAGCTTTACTTCAGTAACACTGCTGTATAAGAAACATTGTTTCTGTAAAAGTCATCAGTATTTTAGATTTGTTAGAAAAAAAGCATAAGCTATTGACATGGAATGACTATATATAATAGCAAATGGTGAAACAGTTCTTATCTTGAAGATGAGGTACATGAAGTGTACATCAAATAAATAATACAATAACTAACTTTGTGAATGTAAGGATATTATTAAAAGTTTCCTTGAATACTATTTAGTCAATTTTTTGTGGCATTGTGTATAAACGCAGCAGAGTTTTGAAGTTCACCTCTGAATGCTGGTTGAGAGCTAGAAAAGATCGTGTGTTAAATGAGGATGATAAAACATGGGACCTATTTTCTTCCCATTCTTTCATCTAGCTCAAAGATGGCTGACACCCTCACAGTGAGAAAAAGCCATGGATTTTGAGTGGCTCTATAGGGAATCTACTTTATAAGAGACTGACATCAATAATTTCAAGATTATGCTGTCATCTCCTAAGAAAATCATTGAACTGTGGATTTAAATTAGTATTTCACAGTTAAAATACTATTAAGTATGGACCTTGGCATGGACTACGATAGATTTATGATGTCGATAGAACAAAGCATCTCTTAATAAGTCATTCAAATCTTTGGCATTTGAAAGGTGATACCATTTCAGTAAGTAAAATGGAGAATTTGATTTCTGATTTTATAGTCCCCCAACTCTGGGGTCTATTTGAGTCTTTATGAGTGATTTTGAACTACAGTTGAATTGAGATCACATTAAATGTTTATAATGAGGAAATTATCATGTATACCCAAAATTTTACTGAAAATTTCCTAATGCAGAAAAATGAGAAGAAAAAGCTACAATGGGTAGTTTCAAGGTCACTTTTTAAAAATTCTGACACTTATTTAATTTAAATTCATTGTTGGACATCAAAATCAGATATAAACAGGAAACGTTTTACACTCTAACATGTTTATGTGTCCACATATGCCACCTGAACTTAGAAAGAAAATAAAATACTAAGTCAGTTGATATGCATGGTGTTCAATGGGCAGTTTTCAGTAATTCTCATGGTGCCCCATGAGACAGTAGCACATGCCAGCTCTGTGATCCTTGACAAAGACTTTACTGAACCAAAGTTTACTGTTTGTGGGTTATTGTGCTTAGGTATGCAAAATGGCTAGAGCAATTTGGAATATGTAGGCCTGCAAGTGTTTAACATTAAATACACACACACACAAACCCCTGTTTCTTTGAGCGGTAGACCTGACTCTGTGTTGCCATAAGTTGTTCACCTTCACCATTCCTTTTTCACTGTCTTCCTGCTCTTCCTTTCTCCTCAATTCAATGAAGATAGACTTCCTGCCTGAACTGGCTGCTTTACCAGTTGCATTGATATTTCTAGTTTAAAAGTGTTTTTGTCTGTGTATCTGTCTTCATTTGCTACCTTTCCTCTCTTAGGTGTGTGCAATATACAAAAATTTTAAATAATAACTTGAACGAAACAATTTTTATACTCAGGAAAATATAAGTCCTGTTTTAAGTCCATTAGAATTGAAACAATAGGAAAAGGGCAACAAACAAACAAAACAACCCTCTTGCACATTAACTGTTTCCACAAAAAGAAACTTTAAAACAGTTTAGTTATTTAATAGATACTTTCTGTGTTATAAACAAAACAATCTCTTCCATGTATACTATTTAAATATAAAATAATTTTAAATGTTTATTTAATAGATTCAGTATGTAAATACAAGAACCTCTTATGTGTTAGCTGTTTCCACATCATATAAATTTTTAAATGTCTAATTATTTAATAGATATGTTCTGTATTAGAAGTGGTTATGTTTTTTTCTATAAACATATTTAATGCTGAACTTATGACACAGTCTTTCAAAATTCAATTTCATTTCCACCAGTAATGAGGTTTCTTTTGGGCCAAAATGTAAGTTGTCTTCCTTCATTCATTAATTCATTATAGTAAGGTTTGTTTACTGAAGGTCTTCTTCCTGATAGGTACTGTCCCAAGATCTGAAGGAACACTAATGAATGAAATATAGTTTTTGCCTTCATGGAGTTAACATGTGTAGGTCGGTTGGTAGACACAACACAAACCAATAAAAATAAGAAAACTGTGGATTACAATATCTGCCATAATAAAGTTGAGACAGGGCAACAGAATAGAGAACAACAACTTGTAGAGGTAAGGCTGTTTTTGCCAAGATACTTAATGAGGCCTGTACCAAAGAAAAAACATTTGAGCTGAGATCCACACTATGGGAGCAAAGCACTCCCATTCTGGGCTGAGTAAATGACAACTGCAAAGTCTCTCAGGCAGGCATATGTTGGAGCAGGGCAGAAAGAATCACTATTGATGGGAGGTTAACTGTGATGAGATCAGAGAGACAGGAGCCAGCTCCTGTAAGGATTTATTGACAACCACAAGCAGTTTGGATTTTATTGTAATCACAATGGAAAATCACTGGAAGGCTTCCCATTTATCCTTATATCACCTAGGTGATATCAGTCTTCCATTTCAGGAAGAAAAGGGAGGGGAGGAATAACTAAAAACAGCAACATGACTATTCAAGGATGTTCTGATTACCTCAGATTTTTTTTAAGACATTGAGTTAAACAATCACAATAAATAAAATTAGGCAGAACTCTCAAGCTAATATCCAAAGGCTAAAGGCCAAGATAAGTTAAGGTTTGTAGAATTGCTTAAAAGGGCTTTTCATGTCTTATTTAGAAAATGTTAAACAAGGAGAACTCTCTTTAGTTCTCACTGTATATTTCTGTCTTAGTTTGGGTTTCTATAATAAAGTTCTATAGACTGGGTGGCTTATAAACAACAGGAATTTATTTCTCACAGTTCCGGAGGCTGCAGGCTTGAAATCAAGGTTTTAATATGGTTTCTGGTGAGGGCTCTCTTCTAGGTTGCAGACTGCTGTCTTCTTGCTTCATCCTTATGTGGTAGAAAGGGTGAGGGAGCTCTCCGGGGCCCCTTTTATGAGGATGCTAATCCCATTCAGGAGGGCTCTGCCTGCATGGCCTAATCACCTCCCAAAGTCCCACCTCCTGTTACCATCACAATTGAGAGTTAGGAATTCGACGTACGAATTTTCATGAGACACAAATATCAGACTATAGCATTACACACCTGTCCCCCCAAAATTCATGTTCTTCACATACACAAAATAAATTAACATCCCCACAGCCCTAAAAGTTTTAACTCTTCCCAGCATCAACACTAAAGTCTAATCTAAACATCATTTGATCAGACATGGATGTAACTCAAGGTACGATTCATCCCTAGGCAAATTGCTGTCAAGCTGTGAATCTGTGAAATTAAACATGTTATGTTTCCAAAATACAAACATTGGAGGCAGTCATAAGATAGACATTTCCTGTCCAAAAGGGGGATAGAGAAAAGAAGACGTAATGGATCCTAACTCCAAACTGCAAGACAAATTTCATGAGATCTTAATCCTTAGGAATAATCCTCTTGATTTGATACTCTGCTTTCCAGGCCCACTGGGGTGAAAATGTCATCCACATGGCTTGGTAGGAAGGCCCCCCACCCCAGTGGCTCTCTGTCTAGGTCCCACAGCTATTCTGGGCTGCAGTCCCACACCTGTGGCTGTGCCAGGTCGTCATATCCTTTGAAAGGTAGGTGGAGGCAGCCATGCCCCCAGTGCTCTGCTGGGCACAGCTCCTTTTGCCTACATACTTCAAATAAAAGAGCTCCCCACACTTCCCCCTTCTGTGCTTTCATACCACTTTCCTTCAATGATCCGATCCACTTTCATGGATAACCACTTATGATCTCCAAACTCATTTTTTAACTCATTGTCCTTAGTTCCAGAATAAACATTTCAAGGGTTTTACAAAATATACTCACGCACAATACTATCCCATCCCATCTCAGCAAAGGTGCTTCTAGCATTCTATCTTTTTTGTATTATAGTTTACTTAATTACTCAATGTAGACTAAATTCTGTCATCTAGACATGTCTGTTTTTCACGGCATTCTGGTACAAATGGCAGCTACTTTCTCATGTTCTCTTGTGTGTGTGAAGTGTGTGAACGTTGAGTAACCCAACTTTCTTCATAGAAACCTGTCTGTATCTGCAACCATCTTAACTCTTTGCCTATATTCTCATAAGAAGGTGTGTTCCTTGGCCGGTTGCAGTAGCTCACGCCTGTAATCCCAGCACTTTGGGAGGCCGAGGCGGGTGGATCACGAGGTCAGGAGATCGAGACCATCCTTGCTAACACGGTAAAACTTCGTCTCTACTAAAAATACAAAAAAAAATTTAAAAATTAGCCGGGCATAGTGGTGGGTGCCTGTAGTCCCAGCTACTCGGGAGGCTGAGGCAGTAGAATGGCATGAACCCGGGAGGCGGAGCTTGCAGTGAGCCGTGATGGCACCACAGCACTCCAGCCTGGGCGACAGTGTGAGACTCTGTCTCAAAAAAACAAACAAACAAACAAAAAAGTTGTGTTCCTTTATGCACAAGACTTATTTTCATGTCTGTGTTTATCTTATTGCCTCCTATATTGTTCTAGTCAGGATATCTAAGCTACCCACTAGATTTCATATCCATATGGAAATAACCACCAAAAACAATCAATGCAACAGCAACAAATAACCTTTCTTACTTATACGTGGAGACTTTGTTTTTATAACAACAATGGGAGTAAGTGTTATTCTTTTTTCCCTTCTGTTTCTCATTCATATTTTTAAAAATTCAGAAAAACTACTGGTAGCAAATATATATATATACAGAGAGAGAGAGAGAGAGAGAGAGAGAGAGTCAATCAGCAAATTAGGAAATATGTGGCTGCCACTAATTAACTCTACATTACTCAGATATTTTTACAGGAAGCATGCTCCTTAATAAAGGACCAGTATAGTAAAAATAGAGCAAACAGCTATATAAGAAATAGTGTAAGGAACTGGAAATATTTAGTCTGGAAGTAAGATTTATAGGAGAGATAACTTTCTTCGAATATTTGAATTGTAGCCTTGTTGAAAAGTAGCTATCCTTATGTTGGAAGTCTTCCATAGAGAATGGAAATGATTACACTACTATATCAGGAAGACTTCCTAACAAATAGAGCCATTCAAAAATAGAATTCTTTTTCACTGATGTCAGGAAGTACCCAGTGATATTTAGATAGAGGCAAGACTTGTCAAGAGAGGCATAGTGGGATTCATGTATGAGGATGAGCTGGACTACATTAAAGTTGCAGTCGTTTTTTCAGTCCCTGCTTCAGTTCTCAGATTCTGTGTTGCAGCAGAGTATAAAGAGTAACCCAAGCAATCAACTGAAAGATCTTAAGCCCAAATTTAATTTTCTTCAGTTATTGACATAATCTCAGCAGAAACAAAATTTTGTATGAATTGTTTAGGCAGTTCTGACACTGAAGATAAGATCCATAGAAGTATTATCTGGGAGGAATTCTTTAAGTATAAAGAAAAATACTAAGAGAATAATGCATTACCTATATCACTAGGGACAAGTTGAAATCACTATTCAAAACCTTTCTTTTTCTAGTGTCTGATAATTTATAGCCAACATGTTATAGCTACTTGAAAGGGACTAAAAGTGAGAGGTTTATCAGCTCTTTTTTAGTTAGGATCAAACATGGCTATGTGAAATCTTGTTCTCTCTCCTTTTCAGGTCTGGTCTGTTTTGTACACTCTTTACAATTGATATTACATTGAGCTTATTTTCCCAATTTATTTTTATGCAAATGGATTTCTAAACTGATGTGTCAGTCCTGCTCTCCTGGTAGTTCATCTTCTGAATGTTTAAATCACCATTGAATGTATTTTTTTTCACAAACCATGTTCATAATTCTGTCTTCTAAATCCTCTTCCTTATTCCATTACCTAATTTGAAAGTAACCAGTCTCCATTATCTCCTAGGTTCCTATGGCAGCTGGATAGTCCTTTGTTATAACCATGATTCTACATTCTCTGCAATTTATCTCTCTGTTCTCTTTTATATTTTCATTTATGATATTAAGTAGATTTGATATTATCATGTATCCTCATTTCAATCCATTATATGCTCAACTGCCAACAAGTGCTTCTTATCAAATTCTAGTGAAGTAACTTGGAAGAGCACAATGATGGTACATGGTAATGTGCAAAAAAAAAAAAAAAGTAAGCAGCCTTTTTGTCTCTTCTTCCACTACCTCCTAGTGACCATAAAAACAGAAAAAAAAAAGTCTAAACTCACGCTGGCATCCAGAGCCATAAAATAAACTCTGGATTTTAGAGATCTAGGCTGGCTCTGCTGCAGGAAACCATCCAGGGACCTCAGTTCCATCCTTTGTTTGACTTCACACCTTCTGACCTCAAATGATCCTCCCGCCTCAGCTTCCCAAAGTGCTGGGATTACAGGCGTGAGCTGCCCCGCCCGGCCTGCATTCTTTTTTCATACTAAGTGTTGGAAATTCCTGTGTGTATTTTATATTTGCAACACATCTCAATTAGGACTTGTCTTCAATAGCCACCTGTTTGGCTAGTGGCTACCATACTGGACAGCACAGGACAGGCCTGGAATGGTGGCCACTGTTGCAGAGGCAGTGACCTTAACACATTGTTCTCACATGCATAGTGAAGCCTAGTCAAGTGTCAGAAACTTCCAGCCTATAAAGGAAAAGAGAGAGAAACATACGAAGTCCGGGGCAAGCAATTTAATTTAAAATACTGAGAAGAAATTTGCACACGACACTTGCATTTGTGTACCATGACAAGAAGTCGTTCATGTGGCCATATCTGGGTGTGAACAAGGTTGGGAAATAAAGCTTCTAAATGGGTGTTTGTAGGAAAAATAGATTTTTTTAGAGGAAAATTAGCTGTTTTTTTAATCAGTTCCATTTTTTCATATTTATTTTATCTTATGTGTCAGCCTTAGTTATGCGCCTTTGCTCAAACTGGTTAGCCCATTTGGATGTCTTCTCTGACATCCAAACTCCATTTGCCTAAACACTTTGTGCTCAAAAAATTACTTTCTTTATAGAGAAGATGCTGATCATTCCAGACAATAGGAACTTACTGAACTCTCATAGCTCTTTATCTATGCTCCTGTCATCACTAGTAACTCTGTATTTTAGTAGTTATTTATGTGCATGTCTTATCTCTCCTACAAACTTTTTGTCCACAGAGAATAGGACCTGTGTCCTATTCATAATTTTCTCCTACTTCACTGTGAAGAATGTGCTTTGAGCATCATTTCTTCTCAGTACTCATTTGGTGAATGTGTGAGTAAATTGATTATTATTTTTCTAAATTTAGGTCCAACCAAGTAAAAAATCAATAGACAAGACTCATAATGGATATATGCCGAACACATGAAGGTCTTACCATAGATTATGAATTATTCCATAGATAAATTAACTCTGGATTTCAATTCAAATTATATTTTTTATTGATTTTGTATTAATGTTGCAAGAAATGGCAGTGTAAGTTGAAATTTGGGGGTTAACTGAAAACTAAGGGAGAATTAGGACACATTTTGCAAATAATGACATAAAAATAGTGTATTTTTTACTAGAATGGATTATTAAAAACTTGATCAATTATACATTAATTGGTTCATTTCTTCATTTGACAAACACTTGAGTACATAGTGATGCAACAGGCATTTTTTAAAAAAATATTTTGACACATCTTAATTGTACTTATTTATGAGTATAATTTGATGTTTTTATACAGATCTATGTTGTGTAATGAGTCAGTCAGGGTAGTTAGTGCATACATGACCTCACGCAGTTATTTTTTTGCGGTGAGAACATTCAAAAGCCCCTTTTCTAGCTATTCTGTAATATACAACATTTTACTGCTAATCTTAGTCATATCACTATGCAATAAAACACCAGAATTTATTCCTCCTACTTGTAAGTTCGCACCTGTTGACCAACCTTTCTCCATCTTTCCCTTCCCTCTCCCCTTTCTGACAACCACTGTTCTACTCTCTGTTTCTGTGATGTCCACTTTTTCTTTTTTAAAGATTCCACATATGAGTGAGATTATGTGGTATTTGCTTTTCTGTGTCTGGCTTATTTTACTATTTTACTTAACCTGATGTCCTGCAGGTTCATCCATGTTATTGTAAATGACAGGATTTCATTCTTTTTCATGGCTGAATAGTAAGTCCATTGTGTATACAGCACATTTTTTTTATCCATTAATTTGTTGGTGGACAGCTAGGTTGATTCCATGTATTGGCTATTACAAATAATACTGAATGAACCATGGGAGTGTGGTTATCTCTTCAGCATGTTGATTTCATTTACTTTGTATGTGTAGCCACTACTAAGATTGCTGGATCATATGATAGTTGAATTTTTAGTTTTGTGTGGAACTTCCGTACTGTTTTCCATAATGGCTGTACTAGTTTACTATCCCACGAACAGTATAAACAGTTTGTTAGTGTTCCCTTTTCACACATCCTCGCCTGCATTTTTTTTCTTTTTTTTATGATAGCCCTTCTAAATGGAAGGAAGCTGTATCTCATTGTGGTGTTGATTTGCATTTCCCTCAGGATCAGTAATGGGCATTTTTGAATATACCTGTTAGCCATTTGTATGTCTTCTTTTAGAAAATGTCTATTAAGATCTTTCTGCAACAGACATTCTCGAGACTTCGGATATAGCATGAAGAAGTCAGACATCATTTTTGTACTCCCTCTTGTAATATTACAATATAATTCACTATAATGTGATGGAGAAGAAGAGCATTGAAAAAAAATATATGTATATGTAAAATTACCCACCAACTGTTGTAAATGTTATCAAAACTGGTCACCTATAGCAGGTTCCTAGTCCATAGCTCAGTATTCAAAATTAACATCTGCATCCAAGGAATAATAATGGAGAAAATTAACAACGGCATACAAAGAATAATTATGGTTTAAAAAACCATTTTTAGAATGAAAATATGGCAATATGGATTACTGAGCAATTAAAACACCAAAGTTTTGAAAGAGTTCATTTAGATTTTTTTAGAGCAATTTGATCCTTGGTCTCCCTTCACGTTTAACCCCAGATATATTCGTTTTATTACAATGTAATCAATAAGTATTGTGTCACCTAGCTGTATAAAAAGCATCATAAAGTTGCCGTGTATTCTAGGTTATTAAGGAGATATTAGGGTTACACATTTTGTACATCTATTTTTGGTACTAGGCTCTATAAAAGATGAGAACCCTTACTTAGAGAGGGAAGCTAGGACTAAGCATTCACAAACTAGATACAGGTTAACCACATTTTAAAAGAATGTCACAGATACATAGTGAAAAAGGAGAAAGTAAATGTCATCTTGAACATCAATACCACTCAACCATATTCCAGAGAATATGCATTGGTATTGGCAACCAGGAAAATTGTATTGGTATTGACAACAAAATAAAGGGATAAGAAGCAAGGGTAAAGTTAAGATAGTAGAGGAGGCCGGGCGCAGTGGCTCACGCCTGTAATCTCAGCCCTTTGGGAGGCCGAGGCGGGCAGATCACGAGGTCAAGAGAGAGAGACCATCCTGGCTAACACGGTGAAACCCTGTCTCTACTAAAAATACAAAAAATTAGCTGGGCGTGGTGGCGGGTGCCTGTAGCCCAGCTACTAGGGAGGCTGAGGCAGGAGAATGGCGTGAACCCAGGAGCTGAGATTGCGCCACTGCACTCCAGCCTGGGCAACAGAGCGAGACTCCATCTCCAAAAAAAAAAAAAAAAAAGGTAGTAGAGGATAATGTAGTGAGAGAGTGGTGAATCAATTAATTTTGCTAATCATATCACTTATCTAGGACTGCTTTTACTAAGCCACCTAAATATGCCTTTTTTTTTTTATGATACCTAAAGCATGTTTTACTCTCTGACCTCTTGGCTTTTCCTATAACTAATTTTGGACATGGAACCCAGCTATATCCACTGTACTGATCATCAACAGATTTTAAAACAGATTTATATTTCAAGTACATATTTTTTAAAAAAGTAAAATGGTCTAAATTGTCTCATTGCAGTCCATACTATAATGGAGAAACATCAGGTAACCAAGTGCTACTTTGAAGGATGAATTTGAATTTTTAAATGTTAAACGGGGCATTTGTGTATGTGTGTTTAAACTTTTTCTGAAGCAGGATGATTTTAATAACATAATATATATTAAAAAGTATCGTTTAGCTGGACACAGTGGCTCAAGCCTATAATTCCAGCACTTTGGGAGGCAGGAGGAGGATCACTTAAAGTCAGGAGTTTGAGACCAGCCTGGGCAACAAAGCCAGACCCCTTCTCTACAAAATAATAATTAAAATAAATTACTCGGGCATGGTGACAAGCATCTGCACTCCCAGCTGCTTGGGAGGCTGAGGCAGAAGGATTGCTTGAGTCCAGATGTTTGGAAGCTGCAGTGATCTATGATCACGCCACTGCACTTCAACTACAGACTGGGTGACACAGTGAGACTCTGTCCCCCCCAAAAAAATACAAATAATAAAACAAAAAAACCCCCAAAGGATTATCTTTGAGATTTAAAATGTTATACTGGATTCACAAACTATTTCAGTTCTTTGTGTAGTATTTAATAAAAACCTTCTCAGAAAGTTAGTTATTAGAGTGGGCTTATCAATATCCTAAAAGGTATGGCTTGAGATACAAATCTTCATGATAAAACTGATGAGTGGCATTTCTCTGGCTAGGTTCTTTGGTTTATGTTTTGGTGTTTTACACATGAGACAGAATTTAGTTCTGTGAGGGAGCCTTAATTTCATCAGTGTGATCATTGAGTATATGCATTTATTCTTTCTTCATTTGTTGGTTTATTTGTAATTTTTAGAAATGAGGGTCTCACTCTGTCACCCAGTCTGGATTGCATTGACATGATCGTAACTCAAACTCCTGGCTTAAGGGATCCTCCTAAAAGTAAGGGATACTTTTTAATATATATTATATAATTACAAACATTCCTGGATGCTTCAGAAAAAGTTCCTTAGCCTCCTGAGTAGCAGAGGCTACAGGCCCAGCTATTTTGTCTTTTTTTAAACCTTTCAAATGGACCTTTTAAGTCAACTTATAAATTAATATAGCATAATTAATTCTATGTATCCATAACTCCAGTAATTATGAGGCTCTCATCTTATTTCTTCTCTTTCACTTTTTTGCTAGATAATTTTACTGGAAATCTTGCACATGTTATTTCATGTATAAATACTTATATAATGTATTTCCAACTAATATAGACAATTGAATGGTGTGTTAGTTTGCTAGGGCTGCCATCAAAAACTACTATAAACGAGATGGCTTAACAGCAGAAAAGTATTGCCTCACAGTACTGGAGTTTACAAATCTGAAATCAAGGTTTCAGCAAGGCCATGCCACTTCTGAAAGTTCTGGGGAAAGAGCTGTTCCTTGGATTGTAGATAGCTGTCTTCTGGTGTCTCTCCACATCATATTACTTTTACTTGTGTCAATCTTTGTATCCAGATCTTTCCCTTTATGACATCAGTCATACTGGATAAAGGCCCACTCTAATGACCTAATTTTAACTTGAGGTTAATTGACCTCATTTAACTTTACCTCTGTAATGACTTTCTATCCAAATAAGCCCACATTCTGAGGTATTGAGAGTTAGGACTCAAATATATCATTTTGGGGTGACACAGTTCAACTCATAATAAACATTAATCTATCTAACACCATTATTTACAAAATCCTTAACACTATCTAATACCAGTTCTTATTCAGGTTTCCTTGATTTGCTCTAAAATATCTTAGTAGATATTTGAAATATTGGAGCCAAAGAATATCTGCTCATTATATTTATTTGTGATGTCTTTTTCATTCTGTAAAGGACTCTATCTCATCCTCTTTTTTAGAAATGCCCTTCAGTTGTCAAGAAACTGATTTACTTGTCCCATAGAATGTTGTGCATTTTGAATTTGACTGAATCATTTCTTAAGAAGTCATGTAACCCATTCTACTATCATCTCTTACCCGTAAACTGGTAGTAATATTCAGAGGTTTGATCATATTTAAGTTCAGATTTTTTAAATGTTACATCATATCATGAAGCACATAATATCTGACTATTCCACTTTCAGTGAGGATAAAATTCATCGGTGGTTTCAGGGATGGTTACCCTTATTTTTGCATTATAAAATATACATTAATATGTAATCTAACAAAATTCACTGATGATCATTACCTAGATCTATTATTATTTCACTGGGGTTTCAAAATAGTAATTTTTATTACCCTTTTTGTATTTTTAGCTATAATCTTTAATAGAGAAGAACTCTCCCAAATTATTCAGAAAAAGCAGGGTGAATGTTTGATATTTTTTCTTTTTTTAACCAACTTTGAATATAAGTTGCTTCTAACTAACTACAGTTGTAATGAATTGGTTCTATTAACTTTCGTTAGTCTCCTTGTGAATATATGGATTTTAAAATGTCTGATGTGTTTTGATCAATTGTAGTCATGATTATTTCTAATGCTAAAATTGTTGCATTCTGGACCCATTGGAACCCCTTCTGCTTGGTTCTGGCAACTTCCAAGCCTGTCAGCACATGCCCCAGGTTCATCTTTTATGTATCCTCCCAAGAGTCCAAAAGTCAGCTATTTCTCTGGGAAGCACTGGTTCAAGTGAGAATTAGTATTTGGATACCACAAACTTGGTGCTAGTTGTTAAATTTTGAATTTTAATGAAATTTCATTTCAGATTTTCTGGCTCAGCTATCTAAATCAGTATATATTTTTCATGACCAGTTTTCTTTCTGTTCTTTTGTAGTGTTGATTTTCTTATTACCAATGTATAGAGAAGACCCCTGGTTACAACTGTAATCATATACAAAATAACCTAAATAGGGAAAGAATTCCTGTTACGGGCTGAGGCCTCTAAATGGTCAATTGTTCAGTCACAGGATTAATTTACCTTTTGAAAGACTTTTAAAATATCCAAGGAGTTCAGTCAACAGGAGCAGATGAGGAAATGTGTTCAACATAGTTTTGACCGAATTGAAGGGGTATGAGCCACACAGATTTATGTGTGGGGATTATACATGTTTTCAAGTATACTTTATCATACTGTTTTGTGAAAATATGCAAATGATTTTTCAGGGGAAGTAGACATGCAGATTTTTTTTTAAATCGCTTTAAACACTTTTAGTATTGGTGTATTTTCCAACAATGTCTACTACTAAATTTCACATTTTCTTTCATCTTCAAATTAAATATAGACACATATATCCCTGTGGTTATCTGGACAAAGATAAATGCCTGGACACAAAATGAGAGAATGCACAATTATAGTAGAATAAATTAGATCCGATTGAAAATGAAAATCTGTTTATAAATTCTCAAGCATGGAATCGCAGTGCCTACGAACTGCCCCTTCTAGGGAGACAGAGCCTGGATGTCGTGATTTAGTAAGTACAACAACTCATCAAAAGATAAGTTCTGCTTCTGTTGTGCCTCTTATTTCTCTTATTATCTTTGGAATAGCCAATCTTTGCTCATCTCTATTGCTGGAAGCTGTAGGTATATAAGCTGATAGTGGTAGGGAGCTATAGGACAACTGCACTGTTCAGATTCTAGCAATGCACATAAAAATAAATTAATTGCCTATTTACAATTTATGAAATACTTTCTTGGTCTAGAAGAATAGGGAATAACAGTGTTTATGTATATTGTGACTATTGGTAGAAGGGCATTAACCTGGTTAAATTTTAATTCTGTATCAATGGGGGGAGAAAGAACTATATTTGCATAGACATATAAACTAGTTTTCAATGATTTTCCAATGTTAACAAATATATAGGCAAAATCTACAATAAAGGATAAAGCTCACCTTTATAGCAAATCCTGGAGTATTGATATCTCCAATATGCTAAGATTTGCTCGGGATTTAAGATATCTCAGTCTAACAAAGACCAGTAAGTGGGAAGACAGCCAGGTACATTTTATGCAACTTTGTTCCATTATATTATATTATGGACTAGTTCCAGCTGAAATAATTAGGAAGAAATACGCCTAAAAAATGAACACACACCTTTGGTTTCAAATATGGACTAAGATTAGCTGATTAGCTATCCTGGAGTGATATGAACATATTGGCATATAATACAAGGAAAATAAATATTGTAGAATAAAAAAAATGCCAGAATAGCTAAGTATTAAAATATTGAGTGACTACTTCCCTGCTACATGATTTATAAACTGTAGTTTCATAAATTATAAATGGTGATGTCAGAACAATAAATAAGGAAACTGCTTTTATAAAAAGTTTTCGGACCAAAATATGTAATAATACACAGGGTATATATATATGCCAAAAACTGCTATGCCAAAATCCTTCTCATTAGTACTATATGCTTTTCCTTTTCAGTGCAAGAATTGAAATATTTTTTCCTAATATTTTTATTTTGTTAAGCATTGGGCCCCTTTATTTCATATACATTGCTAATGTGGAAATACTTGTTCCAGTGCATTCGATAACAATTTAAGTAATGCCATTATTTTTTTCCTGACTTGAGTGTGTTAGAAATATAACCTTTGTTGGTGAATTCCTGAAGGAAAGTTTTCGTGTGTTCACTCAAAAGTATGATTTCTCTTGTACCTATAATGATGGGAAAGACACTGTGAGCACATGTATATACTAACAGTAGATTAGAATGAGGATGCCTTCATAATAGCACAGTCTAACAGCAAAAATCAAGATCTTCTATGCCTGCCTTGTTCCAGTAACAGCTTCATGAAAAAAAAATATTTATCCTTTGCTCAGCATTTTGTTGTAGGAATATTAGCTCAGTGAACAAGTTGCAATGCATATAATTAGAGTTGATAAGAGAGGGTAACTGCCTCAGAATAGTCTATGGAAATGAAAAGGATTATATTACAGCAAAGAAAGGTACATGAGGAAGATTCTGGTATCTGGATATTGATAGAAAAGTTAGAGATTTATAACTAACATGCCAGGTTTCCTGTCCAGTAGACCTAGTTTCATCTCTGCTCCTTCTGCTGTTTGCTTTCTGCCTCCCATGTGGAGCCTGTTAGATGATTACTTAACTTTCAGAAAAAGTACCCAAAATAGAGTATTATACCTAATCCTTACTTAAAGGAATATTTATTAGAAAGTAACATACAAAGTGAATTTTTGTGAATTACATTGTATTTTTCCATTGACTTATGTTAACATTTCAGACATAGTGTTTGTGATTTATTTTTAAATTTCAGTAGCCTCTGACAGTGCAAATTTTATTGCCTCCCAAATTTGTAGACGTCAGAAGTTACTGATTGGGTAACAGAAATTTCTTAGATTATAGATAATCACAATTTAAAGGAAATGTTCTGATAAAGTAGTTATAAAGGGAAAATACCCCAATAACACTAATAATTACACACTAATATGTTTATTTTTAAATTTTATTATTATGTTACTTTAACTAGAGCATAATCTATTTATGTAATGTTCAATTTTTAAACCCTCTATTAAATTGACATACAAGCAGACTCAGTAAATTATCCAGGATCTCTCACCAAACCAATCAGCGGTAATGTTTAACGAGTCTATTAACTGAATTTGTATATTAAAAGACTCAATATTGGCCAGGTGTGGTGGCTCATGCCTGTAATCCCAACACTTTAGGAGGTTGAGGCGGGCAGATCACTTGAGGTTAGGAGTTCGAGACCAGCCTGGCCAACATGGTGAGACCCCTTCTCTACTAAAAAATAGAAAAATTAGCTGGGCGTGGTGGTGCATGCCTGTAATCTCAGTTACTCAGGAGACTGAGGCAGGAGAATTGATTGAGCCAGAGAGATGGTGGTTGCAGTGAGCCGAGATTGGGCCACTGCCCTTCAGCCTGGGCAAGACAGTGAATCTGTCTCAAAAATGAAAAAGACTCAACATTGAAAATCTTAACAGTAGTTAAATCTCATTCTCAATGAACATTTTTAATGGTTTCTAAATTTATGAACATAAATAACCTGTGGAAAAAATAACTGATGTGAACTTCAGTCCTTTTTCAGGGGTCTCCAACCCGCAGGGTCACAGACTGGCACCAGTCCATGGCCTATTAGCAACTGGGCCCCACACAGCAGGAGGTGAGCAGCGTGTGAGTGAGCATTACCACCTTAGCTCCACCTGCTGTCAGATCAGCACAAACCCTATTCTAAACTGCACGTGCATGAGAGGGGTCTAATTTGCCTGCTCCTTATGAGAATCTAATGCCTGATGATCTGAGGTGGAACAGTTTCATCCCCAAACCATCCCCCTGCCAACACCAGTCCATGGAAAACTGGTCTTCCAGAAAACTAGTCCCTGTTGCCAGAAAGGTTGGGGACCATTGTTTTATTTTACTGAGCATATATGTATAATATATTATATATATTATAGTAAAATGTATAGATTACTGAGCATATTATACATATTATAGTAACATATATGTATGCTCAGTAATATATATATTATAATTAATTAAACAGTATATCAGCATACTTAATCTCTAATTCCAACACCAATCAGATATCTTTCTTTTAAAATTTCTTTGGTAAATTCTCCACATTCATTTTTCCACAACTGAAAGTTAAAATTTTCTATAAAAAAGGTGGGGAATCAGGGGCCTGGGCAAGGTGGCTCATGCCTGTAATCACAGCACTTTGGGAGGCTGATCCAAGGGAATTGCTTAAGACCAGGAGTTTGAGACCAGTCTGGGCAACATAGCCTGACCCCATTTCTACAAAAATATTTAAAAATTAGCCAGGCTTGGTGGTGTGTGCTTGTAGACCCACCTACTTGGGAGGCTGAGGTGGTAGGATTGTTGGAGACTAGGAGTTAGACATTATAGTGAACCATGATTGCACCACTGCACTCCAGCCTGGACAATAGCATGAAACTCTGTCTGTAAAAATAAATAAAATTTTGTAAGCATATGGATAGGTACAAAAGATATTATTTTTCCTTCTTCCACCTGCTTGTGGAAAATTTATCACAGCATTAACTCATTCATTCATTTGGTTCAAAAATTTTTGGTCCATTATAAAAATATGACAAGCAAATAATTATTAATATATTCAATGTGTAGAATGAAAAAATATATTTTAATTATTAAATGTACTAAGTATGTGAAGAGGCAATTTACCCAAAAATGCAAATATCCAATAGCTTTGAAAAAAATTCAATCTCACTAATTTTCAAAGAAATTAAAATAAAATTAGGGTGAAATAATTTTTCGAACATCAAATTAAGAAATGTTTTTAAATAAGAGATAACCTAGTGATTTTGAAAGAACAATGAAATGGGTATTTATGTACACTGCCACTGAAAATGAAAATTTGTTCTTCTTTGAAAAGCAACTTGGAAATATCTGTGTGAAGCAATGATAATTTCTTTCCTTCTATTAAATGATCACCATCCTCAATAGACATGCACTGTGAGAAATACTCGAATAGTTATTCAACAGCATTAGACATAACAATAGCGTTTAATCACCACAAATAACATTCCTTGAAGGTAGGTCTATCACATTTTGCAGATAGAAAATTGAGGCTACGAGGAGTAAATAAAACTGCTCAAAACCATGAAGATGGCAAATAGGGGGTATATAATTTGAAAATAGAGTTGTCTGAGGCCAAACCTGGTTGATTTGATTTATTAGACTATTACCTGTGGGGGAATTATAAATAAAGTAAAAGCAGCATGATTTCTAATTTTCCATAACAATATTGCCAAATTTCTTTCTTTTATTTTTTTTTTCTGGATTTAGGGATACAAGTGGAGTTGTGTTACATGGATGTATTGTGTAATGGTAAAATCTGAACTTCACACAAATAGTGTACATTGTACCAAATAAGTAGTATTTTTCCCCTCATGCCACCCAACCACCCACCCACCTACCTTTTGAAGTCGCCAGTGTCTATTATTACACTCTGTATGTCCATGTGTATGCATTATTTACTCCCACTTATAAGTGAGAACAGGTGGTTTTTGACTTTCTGCTTCTGAGTCATTTCACTAAGGATAATTGCTTCCAGTTCCACCCATGTTGCTGCAAAAGAGACAATTTTATTCTTTTTATGGCTGAGTAGTATTCTATGATGTATGTATGTGTGTATATACCCATACAAATATCTAATCTATTACCTAATGTATACACACACATACATACACTATAGAATACTACTGAATAAATGTGAAAATGTGACGTGTGTATATATATGTGTGTGTATATGTAAAATATATATATACACATATACACAATATATATTTTACATATATATATATATATAATCACATTTTAAAATTCAGTCAACAGTTGATAGATGCTTCATACCTACAGCCAACTGATCTTTGACAAAGTGAAAAAATATACACTGGAGAAAGACACCCTATTCAATAAATGGTGCTGGGAAAATTGGATAACCATATACAGAAAAATGAACATGGACCCCTCTCTCTCACCATATACAAACATCATCTCAAGTTGGATTAAAAAACTAGATGTAAGACCTGAAACTATAAAAATTCTAGAAGAAAACCTAGGAAAAACTTTTCTGGGCATTGGTCTAGACAAATAATTTATGGCTAAACCCTCAAAAGAAAATGCAACAAAAACAAATGGGACTTAATTAAACTAAAAAGCTTCTGCACAGCAAAAGAAATAATCATCAGAATAAACAGACAACCTAAAGAATGGGAGAAAATATTTGCAAACAATGCAAATGTGTTTCTAAAGGCTTTGTTCTGCATGCTTTGAGGGAATGTAGCTTTGGCTGTTAGCCTTAATTTTAAAATAGTAGGATAGCAGCCAAACTATGGTGATTATAGAATGAGTTTCAGGAAGATTAAGTTTATATACCAATCCCTGCACAAACATTTCTATAAAACTCAATTTCATGTGTTACACAATGTATTAGTCTGATCTCATGCTGCTATAAAGATCTTTCCAAGACTGGGCAATTTATAAAGCAAAGAGGTTTAATTGATTCACACAGTTCAGTACGGCTGGGGAAGCCTCAGGAAACTTACAATCATGGTGAAAGGGAAAGCAAACATGTACTTCTTCACATGGCAGCAGGAAGGAGAAGTGCAGAGTAAAGAGAATTAAAGCCCCTTATAAAACCATCAGATCTCATGATAACTCACTTACTGTCACAAGAAAAGCATGGGGGAACCAACCTTATGACCTAATCACGAGGTCCCTCCTCCAACACTTGACGATTACAATTCGGGTTATAATTCAAGATGAAATTTTGGATGAGGACACAGCCAAACCATACCACACAGCAATCTATATCTATATATATCTCTTGAATGACTGCTAGAATGACTTTCTAGAATTTATATTTATTGAAAAATTATAAATCAAAAATTGCATTTGTTATATGCATTGGTAATGACAAAAATAAGCCAAATGTTTAAATAATATACTTAATTATCTATGGGAGAGAAAAATACTCCAAAGTGGAATTTTAAAAGTATTCGATAGTTACTTTTTGGGAAATAATATTATTCAAACAGATACTTAAAAACTATTTTAGATGATTTAGGCCAGGTCCGGTGGCTCACACCTGTAATCCCAGCACTTTGGGAGGCCGAGGTGGGTGGATCATTTGAGGTCAGGAGTTCAAGACCAGCCATGGACAACACGGTGAAACTTCATCTCTACTAAAAATACAAAACTCAGCCCAGGCAGTAGTGGTGCGCACCTGTAATCCAGCTATTCAGGAGACTGATGCAGGAGAATTGCTTGAGCCTGGGAGGCGAAGGTTGCAGTGAGCCAAGATCACAGCATTGCACTCCCATCTGGGTAACAGAGTGAGGCCTTGTCTCAAAATATATATATATATTTTATATTATATAAAATTATATATAAATATATTTTACATGATTTTGTTATAACAGTCCCAGAAATATTTTTAGTTAATAATATTGTACATGTCTATTCAATTCTTTCAGAGATGGGGAATAACTGGATGGCTTAAGTACTATATATCTGCTTATTATTACAGGTCTTACCTTAAAGATTGCAAAGATAGTTTAAAATGTAGAATTAACAAATGTTAGGAAGCCACATTCATGATACCTATGCACTGTATTATTTTGATACTGGTAATAAGTATTATTAGAATGATTTTTTAAATTTTCTTCAAGAATATCAACAATAATTAAAAGATAAATGTAGCATTAGAGAAAATAATAAAATGAAACAAAATTTCCCTAGATGCATGTAAAGTAAGTATTCTTCTGGTTTTTGGCTTGATACTTTTAAGATATAACTGTCTCACCTTGAATTATGAACCAAAAGACTGTATATATTGCACAAGTCTGTCATGGAAATAATACTTTTATTGTTGCTCATATAATTTAGCAAGGTCATGGGTGGGGTTTGGGACAGTAAAAAAAATTTCTTGTATGTTCCTGATAATATTATAGACTGAACTATATTTAATGCAGTGCTTTAAAATACTTAACTGTCCTGTCAAAGTAAAAATAAGCACAGATAATGTGATCTGAAATTGATCATATTTTAACTTGTCTATGGTGATGAAAATTAACTTATAAGATTTATGATCTTTTCCTCTGCTAAAGTACAAAACAGTTTCTCTGAATTTCTTTTGTCATTTTTCTCATTTTCTGTCCTGAATCATAATTTTAGATATATATATGTATATCTATATGTATATCCACACACACAAACACACACACACGTATATAAAATGAGCACTCATTATAAACTCATTGAGAGTGTGATATCTGTCTGATTAATATTTGCATTGTCTGCAGAACAAAGATTGAACATTGTACTTAAACAGAGACTTAAATCTTTGTCTAATGGATGATTGAGTGAATATATCATCTCCACCTTCTGTTTATGTCCATTGTGTTAGTTGTTGACACCAAAAACCATGGCAAATTTGATACGCACTTTGGGTTCATTCTGCATCGAAATCAACTTCAACATATTAATAGTGGAAAATTAAAGATTAATTAAAGTTGTAAGCAAATGCACAATTGGGTTCATTTGAGGGTTCTTGGAATGAGGAAGCTTTGAAAGAAAAGAAGAATTTATATTTGTGTTACATGGTTCAAAGAGAATAAATGTTCTCGAATGGTCACAGATTGCTGGAAGCTCTGTAGACAAATATATTTGCCGACCAAACTCAGATTCTAGACAATGTCATTGCCATAAATAGAAAAATAATTTATTTAATTATAGAATGAAAAGTGTGTATTACCAGGATGTATGAAAACACTACCCCAACACTGTGGTCAAATGTGATAACTTTATGTTAGAATTTTTTTTAGGAATAACTATTGGACACTTTGAAAATTAATAATAGCTTTAATGTCTTTTTTTTTTCAATCAGATTTGTCACATAACTACCGTGGCGTACACGTAAAATAACAATTGTCCAAAGTTAGTATTTATTGTTGACAGGTATTTATCATCCTGGTGGTATTCTTGGGGAGAAAAAAAGATAATTATTTCTTAATCATGGCTGTATATCTGGGATACCAGTTCAGCTTAAAAAAGCAAAAACAAAACAACTACACCTTCTCAGGCCTCCATTTTGATCTTCATGGTTTTTATTATGAGTTCTGCATACTTTGGCTAAGGAGTAAGTCTTCTGCTTAAGCAGAGATTCTGGGAGATAAAGTACTATCTAGTCTTTCCTTCGTATAGGCATTCTTAATCTTTATTGTTGATATCTTGGTGCCTCTTTCATATGGCTTCAAATAGGATAAAGTTCAACACGCCCCTTATTCTCATAGAGGAAAGGAAATCTTTAAAATGTTTGTGGTTTTACGGCAAAATCTGTACTCCTAAGACCTTCAGAGAAACTCTCAGGAGGTGTTGGTTTATTGGTGTTCAGTGGTTTTAGGGCCAGTTGTGCTCTTCTTAATCGATTCTGTAGAAGGCATTTGGTCACAGCTTGAGGGTCTCACACATTGCTTTAGGATGTAGACTTATTAATGAATTTCATGTTTAGCTATAAGCCTTAGTGATAATTTTAGGATAACAAAAAAAATTCTGCTTAACATTTTGTTATAATTATTTCCTAAAAATCCATTTGTCCTTGGCATGTGATTAGATTTGTTTATCTATCTAATCCTCTATCTGTTTGTCTACCCACTGTCCGAGTATCAAAGGCCAATTCTTCCAGTTCTTCAACAGACAAAAAAGAGGACTTTCGACAGCAATCTTGTCACAGGTTCTGTGAAATGTTGTTCCCTCTTATTGCATATACACAGCTCATCACTGAAAGAGATACCTACGCCAGGCCTAGCCAACTGATTCCCGTAAGAAGGTTAATTCATTCTACTGGAGGATCAGGGAATCATACAACCCTTGGAGGGGATTCTTCAGAGTTCCCTGTAACTAGATGACATTTCACTTATTACAGCTGATATAATATTTTTTATTATCACTTATGTTTTTAGATTTTCAAAGTTTCTTCCTTTGTAAATTCTTACATCATATTCCTGTTCTCTTAAAATTCTACAATTTAACACCTTTAATGTTACTTCTATTATAGCTTTTTAGCACCTCCTTTTATGCTCGCCAATATGTATACGATTGTGAAAGTAAAACTTGGCAATTACTGAGTTAATGTGATGTGTGTAGAGGAGACAGACTACACCACCTGATTTGATTTCAAAATGAATCTTCATTTAGTCCTCAAAGAGTTATTAAATGATGCTGTTAGTCACTAGTTATTGAACAGCGGCTTATTTTCTTGAAATGTATTCAGAATAAGATTCTTTTCTCAAATATTTCATTTAATTAGGTTCTTTGATAGTATTTGCTTTAAATAAAATGTTTTCAAATTACTGAAAGTGATTTCTCTATATATGCATACTAGTGCTGGGGTAGTCAGTAGAGTTCAACTTTTCTGCAAGTAAGAAAGTGATTTTGAATAAATAACAGTAACAAGCACAGAAAACTAGAATGCAAAAATACTTTATATGAGCTAACCCCAAGAGTTGGAATCTTTACACAGTTTATTAGCAAAAAGGCTGACTAATCTCACTATTGTAGGCATTCACTTGGGGAATAAATTTTATTCTACTGCTGACACACTATATCTCATTAAGGCAGCAATCACTGTCTCAATTTTGTTGTTCAAATTCAAAGTAGGTGCATATAGTCATTCTTTATTCTTTGTTAGAATCCTGTAGAAAACAGGCTTCCCACAAAAGTATATATGAGTATGAAGACTACCAAGTAACTTCTGATCTTGAGAGTAACCTTGTTTTCAGAAAGTGATTCACTAGTATGCAAAGGAATGCTGATGATTAGTTTGAGCTATGTAAGGAAAAGAAACTCATGGGGAAAAAGTGAACTGAAGATATATTGAAATGTAATAAACTGTGAAGAGAACCAAGTGCTACCCAGCTCTTTCATTGAGTACTTGCATGACATTGGCAGCATTCCATTTGCTGCCTTGATTTTCCCTTTATAAGATGGTGATGGCAACAGTTCTGAATGCTTAGAGTTTCTATCAGATAAATAGCATTTTAAAAACCTTGAACAATTTAAAATTTTATCATGCAAATTTTATATAGTCCATTTACTGTTTGGATTATCAGTGCCATTTGCTTCTTTTCTTTTGACTACCTGGTTTATGCATTTCACAGACCACTATGATCTCCCCCAAATAAATGGGGAGCAGAAAGTAAAACGGGCCACCAAAAAAAGGTAGCATGTAGGAAATATCTTGTTTATTCCTGTCAGTTAGTTTAATTAGCTGTCAATTTTTGAGTACGATGTTCAGGGATAAAACATAAACTAAAAAGCCTATTTCATTTAGTAATAAATGAGTGCCACGAAAAAGTTATCATAAATTCAGTATACAACCATAACTTAATGAATTTCATTTATAAATTTGGAGAGAAAAACATTTAAAATGTGTTTGAGAGTGCTAGTTGTGATTAAGATTTCAGTTCAAATTTTTTTTTGTGTCAGAGAAGCACTAATTTCTCTTTATCCATTTATATGTTTATTAAATCTTGTCAGTCCTCAAAATTATTATAGACTAACAAGGAACTTAAATTGTCCACATCTTTTTTTTAGAAAAACCTACATCATCATAAATACCAGGACTGATATGCATAACTGAGAGAGCCCTCAGAATGGTATACAAGAAGATTAATTTTTTAATTATGTTGTTTAATTTTAATTATGTTGATTAGTTTTTTAATTATGTTGTTTTGCAAATTATCAGATCATAACTTTGTCTTACCTGTTATATGAGGAACACTTCCTCTTATCTAAGAGGAAAACTATAGTAATTTGTCTGTTTCTCCTGGTTATGACAAACATGTTTCCCATAGCACATTTTTCTTTACTTTTCTAGTGAACCTCTGTTGTGCAGAGTGTTATGAATTATCATCCTTGATTCCTTGATTTATTACATACTCTCAATAGTTCCATACATGGCCTGCTTTTATTTGTTTATTGTTTACTAACTTTTGGATTTACTTATAAATCTCTAATAAACAATCAATAATGACAGTTAAAATGAAAACTAAGATCTTATTTGCATTTATGAGGTGTTTCTTCATCCATTCCTTGCTTATGCTCATTTTTCATTTGCTCTTTTTTATACAGTTTTAATTCATCAACATATATCCCTTAAAATCTATTATGCTAATCATTGTTAACTTTATAAAAGAAGTGGCATTCATTTCTATGATACATTGTTAAGACTAAATCAGTCACAAAGCACACAAAGTAGTAGAAATATAGGAGGTGGGATGTCAAAGAGTATAATAATTTCCCTGAATCTGGTGCATGAACAAAATGCACAGACCATTTGCTTCCTTGGGAAAGGTAGCTAGTCAGCTTATGTCTCTTGCTTTGCAAAAACTGGTTTTGTAAAGAGATTTTACTTACTATAGTTTGGATATTTATGAAGTTCTATTCGTTCTCTAGCCTAAGTACATCATCTTAGTTTGAAATCTCATATGTCGACTCATACATCTGACAATACCCCTTATAGGGTGACCTACTCGATTCAATAAAATATTCATTTAAACTTAAAATGCCCAATGATCTAACCAGGGTCGAAAACAAGTGACTTGGAGCATTGAGATAACCCAGAGAGCCCCAGGGCTGTGTAGCATTAAATAGTTCCTACAAGACAGCCTGCATTCAAAAAACCATTCCTAACCCACCAATAATTTTATTTTCCTACTGCTGCAATGCTTCATAGGCAAGAAAATTCTGGTATGATACATAAAAATAAATGATAATTTAAAATCTAAATCATTTCCCAAAAAGCCACATAAATATAGACTTGTTATAATGGACATTTTGGGGGTTATTGCCAAGACTAAGAAAAGGAATAATTCTTGGAAAATCTAAAAAGAAAAGTTAATTTTCAATAAATTAAGATTTATTAAACAACAAGGAGGTATTATGCATTATCTATGTATGCTACTGCTTCCAAATTTAGAAATAAGCAACCAATAAACTTAAAAGTTAACATTAAGAGATGTCAGGCTCAAATAATTACCTGATATTCTTTTCCATTCTTCCATTCTGTAAAGAAGTCATTTAGATGACATAATAATAAAGCCAAAGTGCTAGGAATATTGAATATTAATAATTATGACTATTCAGTGAAGTTAGTGATAATGAAAGTTTTCATTTTCTGTGAGTCTTCTCTGTGCCATAGTCTTTCACTTTATTTCATTCAACTCATACAACTCTGTTGCTTATGGTTTATAATTTTTATTTTACAAATAAGGTGTAGAAATATTTGGTAAGCTGCCCAAGGTGTGAGTTTTATTAATGTATGACTCATATTCCTTATTGTGGAAAGATACTAAATCTTCTTTAAATCAGATCCAGATGGATTCTAGTTTTTTATCTGATTGAATGTGGTCTATAAACTCTCCATTGGGATTATCCACAGTAATGTTGATACAGCTGAACATACATCAGGAAGATATGAATAAAGCAGTGTTTCATAAAATACCTATGTCCCTTGTTTTGAACGGGTCCTGTGATACTGCTTGTTTACTCAAGGTTTGGCTAAGGAAAAGTGATTGCAATGAAATTAGGAATCATTCAAAATGAGCAGTTATTTTTCATAGCTAAGGGAAGAGATTTTTGTGTTTCTGATACTGTGAATTGATAATAAATGCATAAACTATCTGAAACTTATTTATACATAAGAATGATAAAGGAAAACAACCCACAGTATTAATTTGCTGTCCCCTTGTGTATTAGTCTTTTTTCACGCTGCTGCTAAAGACATATCTGAGACTGGACAATGTACAAAATAAAGAGGTTTAATTGGATTTACAGTTCCACATGGCTGAGGAAGCCTCACAATCATGGCAGAAGGCAAGGGGGAGCAAGTTATGTCTTACATGGATGGCAGCAAGCAAAGGAAGAAAGCTTGTGAAGAGAAATTCCCATTTTTAAAACCATTAGATCTCGTGAGGCCCATTCGCTATTATGAGAACAGCATGGGAAAGACCTGCCCCGATGATTCAGTCTCCCACCGGGTCCCTTCCACATGTGGGATTTATGGGAGCTGTATGATGAGACTTGGGTGGAGACATAGAGCCAAACCATATAATTCTGCCCCTGGCCACCCCCCAAATCTCATATCTTTACATTTCAAAACCAATCATGCCTTCCCCACAGTCCCCTAAAGTCTCAGCTCATTTCAGCATTAACTCAAAAGTCCAGAGTCCAAAGTCTTATCCAAGAGAAGACAAGTCCCTTCCACCTATGACCCTGTAAAATCAAAAGCAAGTTAGTTACTTCCTAGATACGATGGAGGTACAGGCATTGGGTAAATACAGTGATGCCAAATGGGAGAAATTTGCCAATACAAAGGAGCTACAGGCCCCATGCAATTCTGAAATCCAGCAGGGCAGTCTAATCTAAAGTTGCAAAATGATCTCCTTTGCTTCCATGTCTCACATCCAGGTCATGCTGATGCAAGAGGTGGATTCCCATAGTCTTGGTCAGCTCTGCCCCTGTGGCTTTGCAGGGTATAGCCTCCCTCCTGGCTGCTTTCACAGACCGCCATTGAGTGTCTGCAGCTTTTCCAGGCGCATGATGCAGGCTGTCCGTGGATCTACCATTCTGGGGTCTGGAGGACAGTGGCACTCTTCTCACAGCTGCACTAGGCAGTGCCTCACTAGGGACTCTGTGTGGGGGCTCCAACTTTACATTTCCCTTCCACACTGCCCTAGCAGAGGTTCTCCATGAGAGCCCTCCCTGCCCCTGCAGCAAACTTCTGCCTGGACATCCAGGGATTTTCATACATCTTCTGAAATCTAGGCAGAGATTTCCAAACCCAAATTTTTGACTTCTGTGTCCTGGCAGGCTCAACACTAAGTGGGAGCTGCCAAGGCTTAAGGCTTGCATCCTTTAAGCCATGGCCCAAGCTCTGCATTGTCCCCTTTCAGCCGCAGCTGGAACAGCTGGGACACAGGGCACCAAGTCCCTAGGTTGCACACAGGGACCCTGAGCCCAGCCCAAGAAACCACTTTTCCTCTTAGGCCTCTGAGCCTGTGATGGGAGGGGCTGCTGTGAAGACCTGTGACATGCCCTGGAGACATTTCCTCCATTGTCTTGGGGATTAACATTTGGCTCCTCCTTACTTATGCAAATTTCTGCAGCTGGTTCGAATTTCTCCTCAGAAAATGGGATTTTCTTTCCTATTGCATTGTTAGGCTGCAAAATTTCCAAACTTTTGTGCTCTGCTTCCCTTATAAAACTGAATGTCTTTAACAGTAGTCAAGTTACCTCTTAACTGCTTCAGTGCTTAGAAATTCCTTCTACCATATGCCCTAAATCACTCTCTCAAGTTCAAAGTTCCACAGATTTCTAGGGTGGGGCAAAATGCAACCAGTCTCTTTTGCTAAAACATAACAAGAGTCACCTTTGCTCTAGTTCCCAACAAGTTTCTCATCTCCATCTGAGACCACCTCATCCTGGACCTTATTGTTCATATCACTATCAGCATTATTCTCAAAGCCATTCAACAAGTCTCTGGGAAGTTCCAAACTTTAGCACATTTTCCTGTCTTCTGAGCCCTCCAAACTGTTTCAACCTCTGCTTGTTACCCAGTTCCAAAGTCATTTTCACATTTTTGGATGTCTTTTCAGCAGCGCCCCACTCTACTGGCACCAATTTACTGTATTAGTCTGTTTTCATGCTGCTGATAAAGACATACCTGAGGCCGAGCAATTTGCAAAAATAAAAAATAATAAGAGGCTTAATTGGACTGACAGTTCCACATGGCTGGGGAGGCCTCACAATCATTATGGAAGGCAAGGAGGAGCAAGTCACATCCTACATGGATGGTGGCAGGCAAAGAAAGAGAACTTATGCAGAGAAACTCCTGTTTTTAAAACCATCAGCTCTCGTGAGAGCCATTCACTATTAGGAGAACAGCATGGGAAAGACCTGCCCCTACGATTTAGCCATCTCCCACGGGGTCCCTCCCACAACATCTGGGAAGTATAGGAGCTACAAGATGAGATTTAGGTGGGGACAGAGATGCAAACCATATCACTGTGTGAAATTTGAATAGCTGTTTTGGACTGTAGAAATCTCCATGAATTTTGCACCAAGCAGGAGAGCAAAATTAACCGATGATATTGAATCCATTAGCAATTTTAAGAAAATCTTCAGTTAGTGAATCCTCCCTAACATTAACAAACATCTCTGCACTTCTGATGAATCTTTCCCCTGCTTTTAAAGCACTAATTTAGCAATTATTCATTTCAATTATACCATTGTCATCAAGGGCTGCTCTATTGGATGGACTTGACTTTATTTTGCAACCTTGTAAAATATCCCTCTATATTTGTATGAAAACTGAAGACCAAATGTATTTCACATCTAGTTGTGTCCGTGGAAGTAATTCCTACATATATATGTGTTTTTTTAATTCCTGGCTTATAATTTTTATATCATAATTCTGATATGGCTTTATAGTATAAAGCTAAAACTTTGTAAAAAATAGCTATCTCAAAAAATATCAAAAAGTGATAAATCTGTGAAGGAAATAGAAATATGCATGTAGCCATATACCTACTATTAATTTTGAGGTTTCTCCAACTTATTTACCCTTGAATATGTTTTACTAAATTAATTAGACAAAACTTATTTTTAAAACTATGAAAATGAGGATGAAACAGTTTCTGATTAGAGAAAATTTGTATCTCAAGAGTTTTGACACCACAGGTACTTTTTACCAATACTGGGTAGACAAAAGTAAAAATTGCTGAGGAGTGGGAATACTCCAGCACTTCTTGGGGGCTAGAATATGTCCTCAGCTCTTGTCTTTATAATATCATGCTGTTTAGAAAATGGAGACTCAATAACTACTACAAGATGAAAATAGATGCCAACCACTCACTGCCTGCTGAGATTTGCCAGTGTGAGTGGAAAGTAGAGAGGAGTACTTGTGGGAAAATGAGGTAAATATGAATATGTTAACAGATGGAAAGCCACTGTTATTTTGACTTCTGTGATGTACTCATGAGCTTTCAGCTTTGTCTGTCACCATCTGTACTTCTCTTTACATACATGGTGGACCTTGATGCTGTGTGAGACAGGATTTAGAGCAGTTTTCTGTTGCAACTGTTGGAAATGTAAGGTCTCAGATAAATAATTAGAGTGAGTCTTAAAATTGAAGCCTCTCAAAGTTGAAAGTCAGCTTTGAACATGAGAATGACGGGACAGGACGAACGAAAAGAAATAAAAAAGGCAAGTCTAGTGATCATGATTATGATGATTGTTTGTGTCTCTTTGAATGAAGCAGGCTCTTGCTCATCAAAGTTTCTGATTGAAAGCTTGACAAAGGCAGGGAAGTTAGTGGAAATGGAAGAGGAAGAACAATATGGAATATCTGAAATATATGATCACTTAAAGTAAAAGTAATGTAGAATAGCAGTAAGTACAAGTTACCAATTTTAAACAATAGATATTAAATGTTTTGGAATTGTGGAAAAGAAAAGATAGGGTCAATAAAGATACTCCAACTGATGTTTCTGAGTGTCATGATCTAAAAAAATATAAATGAAAAACTTTTTTTAAAAAAGATTACTTATTTTTTAAAACTTGAAAGTATGTCATAAAATGTCAGTTCAGTAAAATGTTTTCACTGTGGTATTTTAAACTTGAACAGGAAAAATAAGTGCATTAGAAGGGCATGGTATGGGGATGTAGAAACAAAAAATTCAAAACGTCTCTTTCCTTCCTTTTCTCTTTTTTTTTTTTTCATTACTCCACCATCCGATCCTTCAGAAAATCTTCTTGCCTATATTTTTAGAATATATCTAGAATCTGACCTCCAGAATACATCTAGAATTTTTATCACCTCTGCTAGTGACATCTTGGTACAAGCCAAATCTCCTAATAAGTCTCTCTGATCTTACCTTACTTACTATAACTTATCAACATAGGAGTTAGAATGATAATTAGAAGGTGGTCAATAATATTGAGTGAATAAATGAATGAATGAAGAAGGAAGAGAGAGGTTTCATGTCTTTGACACAGGTTTCCTTGTAGTATAATCTAGAAATTTAGATTCAATTCAATTTTGTAAAATAAACATTAGATTTTAAAATTAGATACATCTGCATTTTTCAGAGTCAGAATGAACTCTAGTCCATTGCTCTCTGTGCTGAATGAGGCAGCTGAAGCCCGGTGAAAGACAGAGGTTATGTGTTCTATGTCATAGTTTTACTTAGACCTGGAACTAATTTCCGTTTGGTGTTTCCTCCAGTATGAAGATAAAAACTGTTGAGAAGAAATTGAATGATGTCCAGAGTCATGCAAAATGCTGCTTTTTGAATGGCCCTGTAGCAGAAACTTTGTAATTAATTCTTTGCAACCTTTTTTATATTAGGGAAACTTCCCTCCATTCCTCTTTTCCTAAATTTCTATCATCCTGGGACCATATAATTTTCTCCCACACCTGGGAGCCTAAGAATCAAGAGCTAAAGCCTCCTTATTTGTTTTCTTTTCACCTGGAAATTACAATGTCTTTAAGAACGAACTGTGGAGCTACATTTCACTCACTGTTGTCAACCCATGATAAATTCTAACTGGAAAATCTAGCTTCAAACTTCAGACTGCTGATTATTTACAATATCTTACTAAAATGTCAAATAAGACTTCTATATCACGGTGCCTGTGTACCTGTAACATTACTGAATTGGGGGTAACAATATCCTCCTGTTTTTAACTGTTTCTTTACTTCTGACCACTTAAATAGTAACTCAAATATAGGACACTTTGGATAGTTGGGATTTTTTATTTTTCAGAAATAATCTGTGGTGCTTCTAGTGAAAACTGCATTTTTTTGTAGCATTTTAATTTTCACCAATGGAGAAATAAGGCTGATACGGTATTTTTCCTGCCAAATTTCCAAGTCAAATATAAATCATTTCTGGCCCATAAATGTTTTTGTCTTTGAATGCCTCCTACCTAGGATGGAGAAACTAAGCAAAACATCATTTCTCGTATGTGACTTAATTTAGTGGATCATAAAAAGTCCTTGAGCCATTTGGTCACTGATAAGTGATTGTATGACTATGGTATAATTTGATTACTTTTGTCTGTAGGCAAAGATTGGATATTTTTGAAGCAGAGCTACTTTAAATCTGTATCAAGACACAGAGAAACATTACATTAGCAGTTCAGGATATTAGTGTCTATAAGAACTCATTCCTCTTCGCTATTAATATGTTGAACAAAATACCTTGCATCTATAAAACTTATTTTCCATCACGAGCAGACCATATCATTTGCAAATTTCATTTCCCGTAAACCGGTGTATCATGTAAATGTTGTCAAACAAAACTCTGATAGTCTACTCAGTTAGATGTTGGTTTAAAAGTTTCTAAGTTGAAATTATTTTTTTCCTCTCTGGAAATAGTACTGATTCTTTGCCAAGTCAGATTTCCTCCTACGCTTATCACTTTATATGTGGAAAATGGAGTAAAAGAGTAGGAGGAATAAGGCTAGTATCTTTTCTTAGCATCACAATAACTTAGGCAAGAACTGGATCTGGTTAACTCGTATTTGCTGTGGCAATGTCATTATTTATGTACTGTTTAGCGATATTACTTGTTCTTAAGTGTTAGCCTGTTCTTATATAAAGACATAATTTCTCAGGGTTTTTTGCCCCTTCTTTATCCATTTCTACTCTCGTACAAGATGAAGATTACCATTATAATAGCAAGGTAATTATTACTATCAGAACAATTCTCCAGGGTGCTTCTCCCTATCAGTGTAAAAATGAATCATATAATCATTCTATAATTTGAGAATTTTTACAATAGCACGTTGTCCTATTACAGAAGAATTTACAATATCTCATTCTTCATAGAGATTCATATTATAGCACACCACAAAAATATTTTGCTGAATCTTCAATGCTAGGTTTCAGAAGCCACTAGAGGTATTTAAGGACCACTTCTGGTGGACTAAGTTTATTCTTTCTTCTTCTGTGAACAATAATTAGAAAATGAAGTGCATCTTCATCACTTTTGAAAAAAAAGGCAAAAATGCAAGAAAATAGTATTTTTAAAAATAATATTAATGTCTAGTAAACAATATGTTGTATTTTAATAGGAAAAAATATGGAATTATTGATATTTGTTGCTTGAAATCTTAATTCTTGTAATTATTTTTGCCAAGTCATAAAAGCAATTGGGAACTAAATGTTATTGCTATTGGTGAAAATTGCTTTATTGTAGATAAATCGTTAAGTATTACTTTTATAGTATTATTGCTGCTTAGGCTTAGAAGACATGCTAGGAACAATTTCCTTGGCATATTAAAATAGTCATCCAATGCTTATGTAAAATACCACTAGAAACTATTTTAACATTATGCAGTTCTTGGCTTAACTGTAAGCTAAGAATTTGTAAACCTTGATATGTTTAGTTCTTCTCTCTGAAAATGTTTGATTTTGTGTGATTATGAATTAATTTTACACATGCCAAAGTTTGAGCTATACATTAGAAGTTTTTAAATAAATATTAAGGAAAAACTTAGGTGTGAAATAATTTCTAAATAATCGAAACATTGATTTTTTTGTAAAGGAACCACATTATTTATGATATTTGTGCCCAGTTTAGCATATGAAATTTGAAAGGGATGAACCTGGAGGAAGAGAGAATAGAAAGGATATTATTGCATAACCTTTGGAAGGTAAGATGTGAACCTATACAGTGGCAAGGAAAGTAGAAATGGAACAGACATGATTGACTTAAGAGGTATTGTAGGAACTGGAAGCGGTAAATTGTTGGTGTAAATATAACTGAGGTTTTGTGTGGTTAGCTGGGAAGGTGATGCCATCACTAAGGGAATGAATATAGGAGATGTTATAAATAATTAGTATCTGGAAAAGCTTGTTTTTTTTTTCCTTACTCATCAGATATTGAATGATTACCAATGGTTATTTAGAAAAACATTTCACCAAAAGTAATCAATAAATGTGTAGGTCACTAAGTGCCTCTATGAAATATCCCTGTAATGAAGGTTAGATGCCAAGAAGAAGCAGGAGATCCTTCATTAGATTGCACAGTTTACACCTTTGGGTTTATGGACTATAGCATTAAAAGTATGTAAGTAGTCTTCACTGTAAGTCCTTGGTTTTGAAGTGATTTAAGCCTTCTTTGAAAATTAAGCAATTATGTTCAGACTGAATATTATTATTTAAATCATCATCATTTCACCCTGCATCTCAAAAGGGAAGATGTTATCTATTTCAAATTATTTCTGACTTTATATCAGGATTTAGTAAGGTTAGATGCCAAGAGGAGGCAAGAGATCCTTCATTAGATTGCACACTTTGCACCTTTGGGTTTATGGACAATAGCATTAAAAGTATGTAAGTAGTCTTCACTGTAAGTCCTTGCTTTTGAAGTGATTTAGGCCTTATTCAAAAATTAAGCAGTTATGTTCAGATTGAATATTATTATTTAAATCATCATCATTTCACCCTACATCTCAAAAGACAAGATGTTATCTATTTCAAATTATTTCTGACTTTATATCATGATTTAGTAATTATTATATGCAAATCACCTTGCAAATTAAGTTTGAGAAAAAATTTAACATGTTTATAAGATTGTTACCACAAAGAGTCTGCTACTGTTACTCTCGGAACTAATTGTTTTAAAATAAGCATTGTGGATATTTTCTTTTGATGGAACTATTGCAAAATCTGACTTGCCCACGAAAAGCCCAAAGTGAGGCTCCTCATAAACTACTTATCATTTCAAAGGCTTCAAGATGTCAAAAGATTTCTAATTCTTCAAAGCCATGTCTTTCACTCATCTATTTAGCGTGATCTGTCATCCATTGGTCAAACATTCTCCACTTAATCTCTAACTCACAGGAGATTTTTCTCAATGTGTTTTCCCTCATCAGAGAAGGGTCACTAGGAGAGATACTGCTCTTGTATATTAAAACATATATAAAATAATGTTTGCAACCAGGTGCAGTGGCTCATGTCCGTAGTCCAAGCACTTTGGGAGGCTGAGGTGGGTGGATCGCTTGAGCCCAGGAGTTTGAGACCAGCCTGGGCAACATGGTGAAACCCCATCTCTGCAAAAAAATACAAAAATTAGCCAGTCATGGTATCGGGCACCTGTAGTCCCAGCTCTCAGGAGGCTGAGGTGGGAGGATCACTTGAGCCAGGAGGTGAAGGCTGCGGTGACCTGTGATAGCGCCATAGCACTCCAGCCTGGGTGACAGAGAGAGATCCTGTCTCTAAATAATAATAATATTTTCAAATACAATTGAATTTTTAATAAAAATATCATGGAATACAACATTTGATATTGAATAACCTTTTGTTTTGGCCATCAATGTGTTCTTTTAGAATACATGCAATATGTCTGCATGTTAAAAATATGTCTCCTTCAAGTAACACAAGAAAGCTCTGCACTGAAGTTTGGCTAATAAATCATATTGAAGACTAAATTTCTACTAGTCAACTGAAACTTTTTAAGGTTAAACTTTTATTTTCTTTAGAAAAAGTATGTAAGGTTGAGTTTTGCCTTTGGCATTGTGAACTAGAATACAAGAAGTCTTGTCCATTTTAAGAACAAAAATAATATGTTCCAGCAGCACTGAGTCTATTTTTAAGTACCTTAAAAGCAGCAAGATACGGTGGGAAGGGCAGTAGTCTGGGAATAAGAAGGTCTGAACTGAGTTCTTTTACTAATTAGCTGTTTTGGCATGGACAGGTGCCTTAACCTTCAGGGACAAAGTTTTCTCCTCTATAAAAGAAAGAGGTTTGCTTGATGATCTGACAGGGTTCTTGACACATGTAAGTGGGAATCTCTCTGGGATGTCACAGTTTTTTTTCTCGATTAAAGCTAGGCAATATCCTTCTCACATATTTATTCTATTAGAATTTCTCTCTTATGAATGAATGAATATCATTCTTATATCTCAGACAGAGGGTTAGCACAAAGAAACTGAAATTGTCATGCTGGAGGGCCTTTGGTCAAATATTACATATAATTTGGCATTCAGGAATAACTTAAGTCCAAGATAGAAATCAAAGTTGAGAACCAGTAATTACTTAAATCAGGTAAAGACAAAAGCTTCATAAAGCAAAAATCAGAGTTAGATTCATAAATGAAAACGTGGGTAAGGACTTGGCAAAATCAGAAGAATCAGCGTATGGACTCTGGTTGAGACATTAATGAAGTGGGAGCTTGCTTTCCATATCGTGCATTCAGTCTTCCTTCCATTTCACAATGAATTACTTTCTACTTGACACTACTTTAGGTTCCAAAGATATTAAAATTGAAATACATGTTTTCTAACATCTTGAATCTTAAAGCTCTTACAAATAAAATGACTAAAAACTGAAAAAAAATGTATTTATTGAATACTGATTGAATATCAATCCTTGTCTCAAGCACTTTACATGAATTATTTCATTTAATATAATAATTTTGAAATGTGGATGTTATTTTTATTTATTTATTTTGAGACAGATGCTCACTCTGTCACCCAGGCTGGAGTGCAATGGCACGATCTCGGCTCACTGCAACCTTCACCTCCTGGGTTCAAGTGATTCTCCTGCCTCAACCTCCCCAGTAGCTGGGATTACAGGCGTGCGCCACCACGCTCGGCAAATTTTTGCAGTTTTAGTAGAGACGGGGTTTCACCATGTTGGTCAGGCTGATCTCGAACTCCTGACCTCCGGTGATACACCCGCCTCGGCCTCCCAAAGTGCTGGGATTACAGGCATGAGCCACCACGCCCAGTGAAATATAGATGTTATTATTAGATGAAAACATTGAATATTAAAGAGATTTAGAAGATCGTTGATGTCAGAACTGGCTTTCAGTGCTAGATTTGACTGTGTACAAAAGTCATGTTTTTATATTTTCAATTATATTTTCTCTATTACATACCCATACACGTATGTCCATATTTGTTACTGAAAATTTATAAAACATGAATTAGGGAAAATAAGACTAATTTAAATATATATAATCTCATGCTAAATGATAAACTCTGTGTCCCTCAGATTTTTTCTAGGCACAAATTTATATAAAATGTATCCATAAAAAAAAAGTTTCACTGTGTTTGTTTTCTATTTTTTTTCTTCACTCAGGAATATATTTATAGGCCAGTAAATACTTTTGAGATCAAATTCAATGACATCATATGATATTTGATTAACAAATATATTCATTTCCTTAACAAATTTCTTATCAGTAAGCACTTATTTTGTCTCAATCTTTATTTTACAAAAAAAAACCTAAGTTGTTTACGTGTGTCTCTAAAACTTATTTAACATTATTTTATTGTTTAGGATATTCTAGATTAAATTTATAAACATTTATGAGAGTTTTGTTAAGTTTTGTTGAATTGTGCACTCGAATATTTTTGACATTTTATACTCCTAGCAAGTGTGACTGCCCTTTTCTTCATGTCCAACACTAGATTTCACATATATGTGCATATTGTTATACTTTTGATAATTTGGCAAGTTGTTTATATTCATGGATCTTTGCCTAATACTCAGCTTGAACATTTTTATATATGCTTTTTAGCTATTAAAATTTGTTAAATTGATTTTAAATTGATTTTTTTTACTTTAAGTTTATTCTTTTATTTTATTTTTATTCTTAAACTTTTAAGTTCCAGGGTACATGTGCAGGATGCACAGGTTTGTTGCATAGGTGAAAACGTATGTCATGGCTGTTTGCTGCACAAACATGTCAAACATGACAAACATGATATATGATCAACCCATCACCTAGGTATTAAGTCCAGCATGCCTTTTCTGTTCTTTCTGATGCTCCCCGATCCCTGACAGGCCCCAGTGTGTTTTGTTCCCTCTACTACTGTGTTCATGTGTTCTCATAGTTCAGCTCCCCCTTATAAGTGAGAACATGCAGTGTTTGATTTTCTGTTCCTGCATTAGTTTGCTGAGGGTAATGGCTTCGAGCTCCATCTATGTCCCTGAAAGGATATAATCTCATTCCTTTTTATGGCTGCATAGTATTACATGGTGTCTGTGTACCACATTTTCTTTATCCAGTCTATCATTGATGGGCTTTTGCGTTGATTCCATGTCTTTTTATTGTCAGTAATGCTTCAATGAACATACACGTGCATGTATCCTTATAATAGAATGATTTATATTCTTTCGGGTATATAGCCAGTAATGAGATTGCTGGGTCAAATGATATTTCTGCTGTCTGCATCTCTGAGGAATTGCCACACTGTCTTCTGTAATGGTTGAACTAATTTATATTCCCACCAACAGTGTTAAAAGTGTTCCTTTTTCTCCACAACCTCGCCAGTATCTGTTGTTTCTTGACTTTTTAATAATTGCCATTCTAACTGGCACAAGATGGTATCTCATTGTGGTACTGATTTGCATTTCTCTAATGATGAGTGAAGTTGACCTTCAATATGTTTCTTGGCCACATGAATATCTTCTTTTAAGAAGTGTCTGTGCATGTCCTTTGCTCACTTTTTAACGGGGTTGTTTTTTCTTTAAATTTGTTTATGTTCCTTATAGACTCTGGATATTAAACCTTTGTCAGATAGATAGATTGCAAAAATTTTCTCCCATTCTGTAGGTCATCTGTTTACTCTGTTGATAGTTTCTTTTTGATGTGCAGGAACTCTTTAGTTTAATTAGCCCCCATTTGTCAATTTTTGCTTTTGTTGCAATAGCTTTTGGCATTTTCGTCATGAAATCTTCACCCACGCCTAAGTACTGATGGTATTGCCTAGATTTTCTTCTAGAGTTTCTATAGTTTTGCGTTTTACATTTAAGTCTTTAATCTATTTGAGTTAATTTTTGTATAAGGTATAAGGAAGGGGTCCAGTTTCAATTTTCTGCATATGGCTAGCCAGTTCCCAGCACCATATATTAAGTAGGGAATCCTTTCCCCATTGCTTGTTTTTGTCAGGGTTGTCGGAGATCAGATAGTTGTAGGTATGTGGTCTTATTTCTGAGTACTCTATTCTGTTCCATTGGTCCATGGGTCTGTTTTTGGACCAGTACCGTGACGTTTTGGTTACTGTAGCATTGTAGTATAGTTCAAAGTGAGGTAGCATGATGCCTCCAGCTTTGTTCTTTTTGCTTAGGATTGTCTTGGCTATACAGGCTCATTTTTGGTTCCATATATATTTTAAATTAGCTTTTTTTTTCTAATTCTGGGAAGAATGTCAGTGGTAGTTTAATGGGAATAGCATTGAATCTATAAATTGCTTTGGGAAATATGGCCATTTTCATGATATTGATTCTTCCTATCCATGAACATGGAATGTTTTTCCATTTGCTTGTGTCCTCTCTGATTTCCTTGAGAAGTGGTTTGAGTTCTTCTTGAAGATGTCCTTCAGTTCCCATGTTAGCTGTATTCCTAGGTATTTTATTCTCTTTGTATCAGTTTAGAATTGGAGTTTATTTATGATTTGGCTCTCATCTTGCCTTTTATTGGTGTATAGGAATGCTAGTGATTTTTGCACATTGTCTTTTGTATCCTGAGAGTTTGCTGAAGTTGTTTATCAGCTTAAGAAGCTTTTAGGCTGAGACAGTCGGGTTTTCTAGATATAGGATCGTGTCATCTGCAAACAAATATAATTTGACTTCCTCTCTTCCTATTTGAATACCCTTTATTTATTTCTCTTGGCTAACTGCCCTGGCCAGAACTTCCAGTACTATGTTGAATAGGAGTGGTGAGAGAGGGCATACTTGTCTTGTGCAAGTTTTCAAGGGGAAGGCTTCCAACTTTTACCCATTCAGTATGATATTGGTTATGGTTTGTCATATATGTCATACATGGCTCTTAATATTTTGAGTTATGTTCTTTCAATATCTAGTTTATTGAGAGTTTTTAACATGAAGGGATATTGAATTTTATTGAAGGCCTTTTCTGTGTCTATTGAGATAATTATGTGTTTTTTGTCTTTAGTTCTGTTTATATGATAATCTTATTCTTTTTTTATTGGAGTATTCATTTTGGGAATTTTCTTTGTAAGCCTTTTTACATATCATAATATTAATCTTTTCACTCTTTATTTTGCAGTCCCCGTCTTTTGCTTTTCAATTTTCTTCATAGTGTTTTTTACATTTAAAAGAGGTTAATATTAATTTATTGAAGTTTATTGGTGCTTCTCTTTTTTACTTCTGCCTTTGTTTTTAAAAAATTTCATTTTAAAACACGAAAAGCCTTGCTCTCTCAAAAATTGCTTTAGAGTACAATATATTCTCTTAGGCACTGCTAAGGCTATGATAAATCCAAGTTGTTTATTAGTATTGTTATAGTTTATGTAATAAGTGAGAGTTGTTACATCCATGGCATATTTTTGGAACCTGTCATACTCTGTGACTTGGAGGGAGACCCCTAGCTCTAACTACTCAAAATGAGTGGAATTAGAACCACAGAGCAGGGCTGCCAATGGACTGAGCCAGTGGGGTCTGTGCCCCTGTGACCTCACACTTGCTCTGATTGGTGACTCTTCCTATTGTAGCTGCTTCTTCATATCCTTCTATTTATCCTCATAAACTCATGGCACACCTTGCGCCCAGGTGTCCTCTATTATAAATAACCTGGATCATGCAGGTTTTTCCTCCCATTGGGCATTCATGTGCTTCTACTCGCATTTCCCCAAATCAACCTCCTGGGTTCTAACCCTCAGTTATACAACTGTAGAATTGTCTTTTTAATTGGTTGGAGAATACTATCAACAAGAAGTAACATTTTTGAGTTTTTTAAAAAAAAGCCAGACACTCCTGTAATCACCCTTCATGTATAAACTCATTAAGTCATACAACCATTCCATGAAGTAGGCATCATTATAATTTTCTCCATTCAACAGCTGAGGAATTGGAGGCTCGGGCTTTTAAAGTTATCCAGCTGGTAAAAGAAGGAGCCCTCTCCACAGCTTCTTGCATTAAACATCTTCACCCCTTCCCTCTATGCTTCATGATAGTCAAGTTCCCCCACCTTATTTTCTTCTTTCTTTGTTGCCACCATGTCTAGGACATGGCTGGCTAATATACTAAATCCACTCCAACCATTTCATTCTAACCTCCACTGGCATTAACTAAACCTACATTACCTTGTCGTGGAAGCAGACAAGGTCTGCTTGTGGTCCCACGAGACAGTGGCCTCATAAGATTAGAATACAGTATTTTAGTATACCTTTTCTTTGTTTAGATATGTTCAGATACACTAATGCCATTGTGTTATAATTGCCTGAAGTATTCAGTACAGTAACTTGCTGCACAGATTTGTAGCCTAGACGTGATAGGCTATGCCATATAACCTAGGTGTGCAGTAGGCCAGACCATCTAGGTTTGTGTAAGTATAGTCCATGATGTTTGCACAATGACAGAATTGCCTAGTGATGCATTTCTCAGAATGTGTCCCTGTCATTAATCAACACATGACTGTATATACTATGAATATGACCATTTATTTTATAGCTAAAATATGTATATAGGAGTAACTCAAAATGCAATAACTAATAATGAATTAATTGTGCTGGGGTAGTGGATTGCGTATACTTTTTCTCCCTTTTTCTGGATTATCATTAGTTTTGTTATGTTACTCTTACAATTAAAAGGAAGAAAAAGAATCACATAGTTCACATTATTGTTTTCTATTTATTTCCTGTTCCCCACTGTATTACATTGCCTTGAATGAAAAGCATTTTATCCAGTATTCCCTGAAAATATAATAACACCATAAACATTCTATTTGTACAAGCCTGGTCTTGTAACAAGCTTAAAGTTATTTGGAAAGTGATATAAACGATTTTTCAGCTATTAACTTCCAATTTAGTTAATTATTATTATTATATAAAATTGGAACTCTTAAAGAACACAAGAATTATTTTGCTTTCCAAGCTTTCCATGTTTTTTTGCTTTCATAGAGTTTTTTACTAAATTAATTCCCAATGAGTAAATATGCCACTAAGAGGATTGAGGCAATGTTGAAATTTAGAATTATTTGCACACTAACCAAATAACAACATCTATTATCAGTTATTTTATTTGAATTGAGTAAATCCATGTAAGCAAAACTAGATGTTTTTAAATTAAAAATAGAAAGCATTTTGCCAGAGAAGACTAGTTCTAAAAATGGGGGAAAATGCTGTCATGATATAATTGTTCCTTGAATAAATAAACATTTTCCTAAAATTGTATTTCTTAGATTGGTTCATATAATGATTTTTCTTCCACGTTTTGATTTACTTGATTTTAAAACATGTGTAACTAGTTTAATCTAGAGTAGAAATAAAGTGCTGTTTTTTAAATGTCAAGACAATTTTACAACTTTCTCACTGCTAAGTGATTTAGCATAGACTGTGCAAAAATGGTAAGGTGACAACATCCAGAGTCTGTCAGTGAAAAAAAAAAAACTCCATTAATACCATTAATCACAAGAACAGAAGAATGCTCATGAATATCTCCCCCTCATCTTTAATTTTTATTCTAACAGCCATCTACCACGTACCTGGCAAGATACAAAAGAAAAAAAACAGACACACTTATTCCTTGCACTATCAACTCACAATATTTGAGGACACTAAAACAGTGGTGAGTATAATTTACAACCTCACCTCCAATACCACCCCAAGTAGAGAAGTCCATAATCTTCCCATATTTCTGCCCATTGCCACCAACCTTCAGATAACACTTATAAGTGAATCCACTGTTTCTGGTAAATCATAATATGTAAATTCACTCCCTGATAATTTCCTATAAACTTTAAGGGAAAAATAGTCTCATTACTAAGTATAAAATCAGCATCACTTCCGTGCTTTCATTAATTGATGACAATTTGGCCACTGGAAATAGCTACTCCTGGGATAATTTTTCATTCTTAATTTTGACAGAAATGGTGGGTAATCCTTTAATGGAAGTCCCATTAAACCTATCCCACAGGGATTGTAAATTAGTTCAACCATTGTGGAAGACAGTGTGGCTATTCCTCAAGGATCTAGAACTAGAAATACCATTCTACCCAGCAATCCCACTACTGGGCATATATCCAAAGGATTATAAATCATTCTACGATAAAGACACATGCACACATATGTTTATTGTGGCACTATTCACAATAGCAAAGACTTGGAACCAACCCAAATGTCCATCAATGATAGACTGGATTAAGAAAATGTGGCACATATACACCATGGAATACTATGCAGCCATAAAAAAGGATGAGTTCATGCCCTTTGCAGGGACATGTATGAAGCTAGCAACCATCATTCTCAGCAAACTGTCACAAGATCAGAAAACCAAACACCGCATGTTCGCACCTATAAGTGAGAGTTGAACAATGAGAACACATGGACATAAGGAAGGGAACATCACACAGTGGGGCCTCTCATGGGGTGGGGGGGCTGGGGGAAGGATAGTATTAGAGAAATACCTAATGTAGCTGACAGGTTGGTGGGTGCAGCGAACCGCCGTGGCACGTGTATACCTATGTAACAAAACTGCACGTTCTGCACTTGTAACCCAGAATTGAAAGCATCAAAAAAAAAATAAAAATAAATAAATAAATAAAAAGATGAAAAAAAAACCCTATCCCACAGGAAGCCTCACAAAATCTCCTAGCTGCCACTGTGATGGAGCTGACCTTACAGTGAGCCTGCCTGTGGGGTTACTGACTGTTTCAACTCCTTGGACATTTTACCTTTCTTTTATACAGAGAAGAGATGTGGAGAAGGGGATAGCAGATACCCAGTTTCTGTATTTTTATAGATTTTAGCTTTCAGGCTGCCCTTCTAATATAACATGAAAGTGCTGACACCAGTTAGAATGGCGATCATTAAAATGTCAGGAAACAACAGGTGCTGGAGAGGATGTGGAGAAATAGGAACACTTTTACACTGTTGGTGGGACTGTAAACTAGTTCAACCATTGTGGAAGTCAGTGTGGCGATTCCTCAGGGATCTTGAACTAAAAATACCATTTGACCCAGCCATCCCATTACTGGGTATATACCCAAAGGACTATAAATCATGCTGCTATAAAGACACATGCACACGTATGTTTATTGCGGCACTATTCACAATAGCAAAGACTTGGAACCAACCCAAATGTCCAACAACGATAGACTGGATTAAGAAAATGTGGCACATATACACCATGGAATACTATGCAGCCATAAAAATGATGAGTTCTTGTCCTTTGTACGGACATGGATGAAGCTGGAAACCATCATTCTCAGCAAACTATTGCAAGGACAAAAAACCAAACACCGCATATTCTCACTCATAGGTGGGAACTGAACAATGAGAACACATGGTCACAGGAAGGGGAACTCACACACCAGGGCCTGTTGTGGGGTCGGGGAGTGGGGAGGGATAGCATTAGGAGATATACCTAATGTTAAATGATGAGTTAATGGGTGCAGCACACCAACATGGCACATGTATACATATGTAACAAACCTGCACATTGTGCACATGTACCCTAAAACTTAAAGAATAATAAAAAAAGAAAAAAAAAGAAAATGCTGATTTCTTTCCAAATCTAATCCAAAATAATGTTAAATAAGCCTCTTGACTTAGCAGTTTTTGAATATTTATATTATGCTATTATGTAGGTCATCGTATATAATTTTCATATTTCTTTGGAGTATATCATGCATATAGCAATCAGATAGAATAGAATCATACTTATTTCTAGAGTTTTCCCATTCATGTAAAACCTGAAAAAATATTTTTTTCAAATTTTCAGCCCTCAGTATGGAGCAGGTTTGACATTTTAAAGGCAATTTAAATGATTATTATTTGCCTAGTAAATTCTCAAGATTCCTTGTATGCTCACACAGTTTGCAATGAGATGAAATCATGTGAAAAGCAATGCACCTGGCATTTATATCCATTATATCCAAAAGAGGTGTCGAATTTAACTAAAATATACTTTAAAAAATTTCCTCACTGGTTTAAGCTTGATTTTAATACTATTTAACTCCTTATTTAAACAAAAAAAAAACACCATAAGAAATTCAATTTATGAGGTCTGAAGAAGTTTTGCTGGGCACAGCTAAGGATTCCAGCCTATCTTTGTGTTCGCTGACTTATTAAGTGTCGTTTAGAATTGGATTAATTTTGGTCTCAACTCTTAGTCCTCATCACAATCAGAGTTGGTATTCACATAAGCCTTTCTTTGAATAGGCTTCAGAAACAAAGACTACTTATTCTACTCAGCTCTGATTAAGAATTTTATAGCACACAGGGACAAATAATTGGGGTCAGACTTTTCAACTGCAGCACAGGATGAAGAGCAGCAAAACCAACATGTGTCCGTCTACTTTGAAGCTGCCATAATTATATTCAGTTTTTAACTCCCATAAAGAAGAAATCTATTCATTACTCTTTTCTTTCTTTGAGACATTTTTTACGATTACGGATAGTCAGGACCTTAGATAACTGGAAAAGGGCTCACGAAGTTGGTTTGAGGCTATCCTAAGACTGTCTATGTCACTGTTACTCACCTAGAAATGCTTGGATTGTTAGAGGATTGCAACACTGTACTGATTGCCTTCCACTCCTCAGCTGTCTCTGTCCTGTACTTACCTTGTAGAAATGCAAAACCCACATCACTGTCAATGTGTCACTTCTGTAAGCTACTACTTTCCATAACTACCCATTATTATAGGATAAGGTCTTGTTTCTTCAACTTCTTACCCAGTGTTTCCCATTTTCTGCTCCATCTTCATACAGACATTTCATTAAGTAATGACACTGTGTTAACTGAGTTTTCATTTTACTGTTGTTTTAAGTACAGAGTTAAAATGTATGGGTCATTTTGTATAAGACCAGTCAACAAGGTTAAAATATTAAATAATACAAAATGATATATTGGCATCAAAAATGCACTAGGCTCTGTTTTAAACACACACACACATACTTATTGAATCATCAGAACAACTTCATTTATCCCTCATTTTACAGAGAAGGAAACGGAGGCACAGAAAACTAAATGATTTTCCCAAGGTCAAAGAGCTGGTAGGTAGAAGAGTGAGGATTCATACCCAAGCAAAATGGCTCTCAGAGACTTTCAATGTACCCACTACATTCTGCTGTCTCTTTATCTACTTCTGGGTGTTGAAAATTATGACAAGCTATCAAAACCTTTAAAGAATGTCCTCATTCATGCAATTGTAGGGCATATTAATGAACGGAGGAGGGTGAAAGGTGACAGTCTCCTTCCCCAGAGGCCTTATCAAGAACTTTTATTGGATATCATGCTACAAGATTTGTGTCTCTCTACTTTCAGATTTCCTTTTGCTTGAAACTTTTATAGTTATTTTTTCATTCCTGCAGCACATGCAGTTTGCATTCTAGCATAGCAATCTCAGCTACCCATAGTCAGCCATTGGTACATAATAATGCTTAGTCTTTGATGAGGGTAAAGGAAACCTTTCTCACATACTAAGAGGCTCTATTTTTCCTCCTCTAACTTCCAGCCTTATTTTGGCTTCTCCTTTTTAGTGTTTTGGCAAGCATTTGTCATAAATCTTTGTGACTTTTGTTGAGAGAGTAGTAATTTATGATTCTGGTTCCATTTTAAAGAATAGAGTTACTTCCTTAGTGGCACCTTCACTATCTTCCTTAGTTACAATTACTTCAGTTCACTGCCTCTGAGCTGGTGGTGTGTCTCAAACACTTGGCCTTGTTTTTTCTAGAAGTAATTCAATTACCCTTCTTGTTCTCTCTTCAACTCCTTCTTTTACTTACATTGTGCCCGGTAAAGTGCAAGGGTCAGAAAGCAAAACTGAAGGTACCTGCAGAATGAATGAATGCATATATAATTTTGTATTATAATATGTTATTAACATGAGAGTAATATATTATCAATATATTAATATCCAATATATCATGTGTATGTGTATGTACAGAAAGCCTCATCCACCCCGCTGCTCTAAACATCTATTTCAGAGGAGGATTTTGTAGACTTCACTTTGAAATAACAGTCCTCTTGAAAGGTATCCCTGTAATTCAAAGAATGAGAACGCATTCATTACAATGTGAGTTGAAAGGCGGCATCAAGTTATCCCATGGACATCCCTGTATTGTAAATGAGGCACAGCTTTGTCACAGAGAGGCTGGAATTGAAATTGGAAAATTGGAAAAGAAGTTTCTTCTCTGTTTCTTGAGGATAAACCTGGTGATGTGTTATCTCCCTGTCTCTCTCATCTGCTTATCTCTATTTTATCTCTCTCCATCTGTCAATTCGGTTTTCACATAGACCCAAATAAGGATGTAAATCCCAGCCTCAGTTATATAACAAGAATCACTTAATTGTTCCTAATCCAATTTTTTTTTTACTTTTATATTCCGTGTGGGGGTCCTGCAAATCTTTGTTACGTAGATAGACTCATGTCACATGGGTTTATTGTACAGATTATTTTGCCACCCAGGAATTAAGCCCAGTACCCCATAGTTATATTTTCTGCTCCTCTCCCTCCTCCCACCCTCCACCCTCACATACACCCCAGTGTCTGTTGTTCCCTTTTTGTGCTTATAAGATCTCATAATTTAGCTCCCACTTATAGGTAAGAACATGCAGTATTTGGTTTTCTGCTCTTGTGCTAGTTTGCTGAGCATAATAGCCTCCAGCTCCATCCATGTTCCCACAAAAGACATGATCTTGTTCTTTTTTATGACTACATAGTATTTCATGGTGTATATGTACCTTGTACAATCTGTCATTGATGAGCATTCAAGTTGATTCCATGTCTGCTATTGTGAATAGTGCTGCAATGAACATTCACCTGCATGTGTCTTTATGGTAGAACGATTTTTATTCCTCTGGATATACACCCAGTAACGGGATTTCTGGATCAAATGATAATGCTGCTTTTAGCTCTTTGAGAAATCGCCATCCTGCTTTACACAATGGTTGAACTATTTTCACTCCTAGTAACAGTGGATAAGTTTCCCCTTTTTTCTGCCACCTTGCCAGCGTCTGTTATTTTTTGACTTTTTAATAATAGCCATTCTGACTGGTGTGAGATGATATCTCATTGTGGTTTTGATTTGTATTTCTCTAATGATCAGTAATAATGAGCTTTTTTTCATATGCTTCTTGGCCACATGTATGTCTTCTTTTGAAATGTATGTGTTCATGACCTTTGCTTACATTTTAATGGGGTTGTTTGTTTTTTTTCTTGTAAATTTAAGTTCCTTGTAGACTCTGGATATTAGACCTTTGTCAGATGAATAGATTGCAGAAATTTTCTTTCATTCTGTAGGTTGTCTGTTTACTCTGTTAATAATGTCTTTTGCTGTGCAGAAGCTCTTGAGTTCAATTAGATCTCACTAGTCAATTTTTCCTTTTGTTGCAATTGCTTTTGGTATCTTTGTCATGAAATCTTTGCCTGTTTCTATCTCTAGGATGGTATTGCCTAGGTTATCTGCCAGGGTTTTTGTGAGTTTAGGGTTTTACCCTTAAGTCTTTAATCCCTCTTTATTTAATTTTCCTGTATGGTATAAGGATGGGGTCCAGCTTCAGCCAGTTATCCCAGCACCATTTATTGAATAGGGAGTCATTTCTCCACTTTTTTCTGTCAGCTTTGTCGAAGATCAGGTGGTTCTAAGTGTGTGGACTTATTTCTGGGCTCTCTATTCTGTTCCATTCATGTAGGTGCCTGTTTTTGTACCAGTATCATGCTGTTTTGGTTACTGTGGCCCTTTAGTATAGTTTGAAGTTTGGTAATGTGATGACTCTGGCTCTCTGGCTTTGTTTTTATTTTTTTGTTTGTTTTGTTTTGTTTTGTTTGCTTAGGATTGCTTTAGCTTTTTTCGTTCAGTATGAGTTTTAAAATCGTTTTTCTAGTTCTGTGAAGAATGTCTTTGGTATTTTGATAGGAATAGCATTGAGTCTGTAAATTTCTTTGGGCAGTATAGCCATTTTAATGATATTGATTATTCCTATCAATGAGCATGAAATGTTTTTCAATTTGTGTCATCTCTGATTTCTTTGAGCAGTGTTTGGTGATTCTCATTGTGGAGATCTTTCACCTCCCTGGTTAGCTGTGTTCTTGAGTACTTTATTTTTTTTCTGGCAATTATGAATGGGATTGCCTTTATGATTTCGCTCTCATTTGGCTGTTGTTGATGCATAGGCAGGCTGATGATTTTTATACATTGATTTTTTATTCTGAAACTTTGATGTTTTTCAGCCAAAGGAGCTTTTGGGCCAAGATTATGGGGTTTTCTAGATACAGAATAATGTCATTTGCAAAGAGAGATAGTTTGACTCCCTCTCTTCCTATTTGGATATCCTTTATTTCTTTCTCTTGTCTGATTGCTTTAGTTAGGATTTCCCTTAATTCAAATATTAATTTAAATATTTAATTCAAATACTTGTGAGAAAGAGAATTTGATTAATTTTTCCTATCCCTTGTGTTATTTTATCCTGGATCTCACATCCACCTTTGGTCCATCTCAGGTCCAGTCAGCTCTGATTTATGTCTGCTGATACCAACAAAGCAACAGAGGCTCTGTGTGTGTGTGTGTGTGTGTGTGTGTGTGTGTGTGTGTGTGTGTACATAGTAAGTGAGAAATGAATTTTAAAGCTAAACTACCCAGTTTTTCTTTCATTAATTGTTCTAGAGAGGTTTGTGAGTATTGTAATAACATTCTTAGATTATACCCATTGGTAATCCATCCTAATCAGTCCTCTCAATGAGTATTTGGCCATTAATTATACTGTGATGAAGTAAAATACTATATTTAAAGTTGTATCCATTACAAACTAAAGTAATGCCATTACATAAGGAGTAATCAGAAGAACCTTTGAGCCTCTACATTATTATAGGAAAGCAATCAAAACAATAACAAAAAGCAAAAACAAAAATATGATGATTAAATGAGATGAAAGGTGCCTGCCACAATGTTTGACACATAACTGGTGATTTTAAAATGTTATCTATTATTTTAATAATACTAAGTATATGACCCTGTTCCCAGAAGTTTGCTTGGAAATTAAGAACTCTTACATCCAGATAATCCCCTACCCCTCTCTTTACATATGTGAATTTTCTCATTTTTCAAAGTTCTCCTCAGTCACTACTTCCTATGTGAAGGTAGAGCTTATCAATCAAGGCTCACACATGAAACCCAATTGACTTTATTTTTCATCAGGTGCTTCATTTGCATGATACACAATATTTATATGTTGTAAGATGTACAATTATTTGTAATCTTGCATATTATTTATTTTATTATTTGCTATTTTATTTTTTGTATGTCTGTGACCCCTCATTCTATACCTAAATTGTGAATATCCTGTAAACAAGGGCTAAGACATATAGTCCACACAATATCCATCATTGCACTATATGTTTGGGTGCAAGCATTCATATGATTTCTAGCAGGAAATTGTAGATAGCTAATTTTAAAAGGAATTTTTTCAGTGGAATGGGACAAGGAAATAAAGTAATTTTAATAAAAATTTAATTTGAGATATAAATTTGCTAAAAACTATTTTCTATGACAAAATGTTTGTTGCCCTCAGTTATATAGCTGGGTTTTTAGGAATTATAGGACTACTGAATAACTGAATGATCTTGTTCCTTTCCAAGTCTTAGATTTTAGTTTATTTCTGCAATACACACACATGCACACACACACACACAAAGATTTCTTTTCTAAAATGATCATTAACTCCTCCACAATTTTTGTGGCAAGCCACAATGATACATAAATGTCTCAATTTTGCTAGTAAAGTTCAATTTTGAAACTCTATGTGCTTTGATCATCTGATGTTTATATGTTGCTAACGTGTTCAATCACTTCCATATGAGAGATGGATGAAGAAGAAGTCCAAATAATTATTTAGTTTTGAAACATTCTAGGCAAAAATGTCACTTATTTTAGTCATTTGTTTTTTTATGCTCCATTTAAAAAAAAAATGCTTCATTGTTCGCATGACGTCAGTGTTTCCAAAACTTCTACATTGATAGTAATCATTGGGAACACGGAGCTTCCTGTCTTTCCCTGGGAGATTCTGAGTTAGCGACTCTTAGGTGGAAGTTGTAATTTTAACAACAGTTTGTATTTTTAAATGTAACTTATATTCTGGCAGAATTTTAAAAAATACCTAAGGCAATTGTTAACATCCAGGAAGTTTGGAGAAACATCCGTATGAAGCAGTTATTCTTTTTGTCTGTTTCCATCATTCCTAGTTACCAACCTTTGTGGGCTTCACCTAACATAATCACTAGTTGTATTGAGAACACCTTTTTTTTCTTTCTTTTTTTTTTTTTTTTTGGGACGGAGTCTCTCTCTGTCGCCCAGGCTGGAGTGCAGTGGCACGATCTGGGCTCACTGCAAGCTCCGCTTCCCAGGTTCCCATCATTCTCCTGCCTCAGCCTCCCGAGTCCCTGGGACTACAGGCGCCCGCCACCACGCCCAGCTAATTTTTTGTATTTTTAGTAGCGACGGGTTTCACCGTGTTAGCCAGGATGGTCTCAGTCTCCTGACCTCGTGATCCACCCGCCTCGGCCTCCCAAAGTGCTGGGGTTACAGGCGTGAGCCACCGCGCTTGCAAGTTGGATTTAAAGGTACGAAAGCAATTAGAGTGTATTAAGCTTCTTTTAATGGCAAAGAAAATCACTCACCTGAAAGTATTGTTAGCTGTTGAATTGTCTTCATTGCTTTTAAGATATTTCTAATTAGAACAATTTACTGTCCTCAATCAATTATGTAGGGATCCTACAGATTTTATTTCAGGGACTATCCTGAAAGCACATTACTCATCTATGGGTTTATTTTGTTATTGTTGTTTCGATCCTTTCAAAGTGCACTTTGAAATTAAATTGGGTTTCTGGGAAAAGTGGAAAGCTTTGAACTTCAGTAGTATCGTTCATGTCACGTAAAAATAAAATGGGGATCATATGTTGCTCAGTTCTTTTCAATACATACCTACCTCTGGTCTTTTTTTGTTTTTATTTTTTTCGTTTTTATTTTTTTCATTTTTGATGCCTACTTATGGTTCACTCTGTAATCCACAATCTTTACAGGTATTCTTGGGGCTTGAATATATTTGAACTGCTGAGCACAGAGCCTGTAAAGGAGAGGATGCTCACAGTGGGAAACCATTTTCCTGAGAAATAAATGTACTACAGAAAATTTAAATTGCTTCCATTTTTTCACAGTGCTATTCTGTTAGTAAAACTAAGACATGTTCTTCGTTGTTATTTCTAGGTTTGAATCCCCTCTGTTCTAAGAGCTTTACAATTCTCTTTCTTATTTCTATTTTGAGTAACAAGTTTGACCAAATGTTCTTCCTGGTGCAGCTGCCTGGACCCTACTGTTTTGGCTTTGTGCTTCCATCTCACAGTAGATACACACACACACACACACACACACACACATACATTTTTTTAACTTGGACTACATGGAATGATGAGAGTATTTAATTTTGACTCTTTCATTGAAGTAATTAGGAAACTCTAGGGTTATTCTGATTTGACTCCATGTCTAGCCTCCCTGGTCCTATCCTCTTAGCTGTTAATGATTGCCATTTGTGTAAGATGAGTTCTTAAAACAGAGTTGTTACTAATAAGCAGTTTTACACTTGTACAAAATTTATTCCCTCGGATTTCAAAAAACAATATTTGAAGATATTCTTTTAAAAAAATCAAACTGAAAGGAATTCCTTTATAGGATGTAAAACTCTGTGAAATAAATAGCAATCTATACCTTTCTTATTTAAAGGTTTATAATTAATGTGTTTGGACAACAATGCACAACATTAATATATGCTCTCAGGCTTGAGCTGTCTGCATTTCTGATGATGGGACTTATTGGCCTGTGTGGTTTTAGAGTCATTCCAAGGCGAACAATGGATCAGGGATACTCATATTATCCTTTGTCATAGTCTATTTGACAATCACCACCTAGAACCAGGGGCCCCCTGGGTTCTGTTTTCAGTACACCATGGCATGCCATTATGTAATATCCCATCTTCTAAAGAAGACACATCCTTGGATGAGCCTCATGAGTTGCCAAAATATTACTGTATAAAATTATATATATTATCTCCCAACACTTACTATAACTTTCTTTTTCATCTTTCGTTATGAATTTTGCAAAAATTTATATATCTTTTTCCCTTTTTTATAGTAATTCTTTCCCCTCTCTTCTCTGTGTCTCATCTAAATAAGTAAGTCTAATGTTTTTCTAAAAATAGAAAGGCAAAAATACACCAAATTGTAAATGTTGTAATACAGTGCTTATGTTTTACATTTCTTCTCTCAGTTATAACCTTTCTTTTGTTTCTACTTAATCCTCAGACTATTTTGAAATCATTTCAAACCTTCTTTACTCTTTTTTTCCTTCGTGTATCCATGTTTACAGGCAGAGCAGGAAAAGTATTTACTTATGACTTATCATCATTTAAAGAATCAAAGTTTGTAATGCCTAAAACAGGAACAAGATGTCCTCAGAATATTTTCTGTATTAGGCATATCTAAAAAGAGAATTAAATCTTTTAGGAGTCAATTTTAATAATGATGATGACTGAGAATGAAGAAAATGATATCACCTTTCATCGTTAAATATTAGAATCAGATCAATGAAAATATTTATTTTGAAATTTTGAAGTTAAAAATAACAGATACAAATTAAGGTAGACAGCCACTACTATATTGAGAAATCCACTCTTTTTTATTATTATACTTTAAGTTTTAGAAATCCACTCTTGATCATTCAAAAATAAATTGCCTGGTTTGAAAAATTTAATTCTATTCTTCTTTTCCTATTTCTGGTCACTACTCTGAAAATAATTCTACTTCATAGCATTTTTATAGAACTTGGGAGAAGCAGCTACCATAACACATAAATCAGTACATTTCGGTATTAATTCCATAACAATTTTGATAAGACTAATAGTGTTTGAGACAGAGAATAATGAAAGAAAATGCAGTTAATTTGAAGTTTTCCTTTCAATATGTAATTTCACTTTAAGAGTTTAATATATCCTGTTACAACTGTCTCCTACTGATAAAAATAAAAAAAACCCACACCTGCACAAAGGAGAAAGCAGAAAAGAAATAAAACAGGAAAGAAGGAAGGAAGGAAAGAAGGAAGGAAGGAAGAAAGAAAGAGAAGGGAGGGAGGAAGAGAGGGACGGAGGGAGGGATGCAAGGAAGGAAGGAAGGAAGGGAAAGGAAAAGATGGAAGGAAGACGACTGATTGAAAAATCTATCTCTCAATTCTGAAAAAAAAAAAAGTGAAACTAATGGTTAAACACTAACCACAATATGAGAGGAATTCTTCATGCTTTAAAATAGTACAACCCAGCCTCCTAAATTCTTGGGGATGCAGGACCTGTACTATGGAGAAAACCAGGCCACTGTCTTATACCCCAAACCTCCAGGACCTATGCCAGCCTTCGGAGGTAATCCTTCTTGAGAAAGTAAGAGTCGTTTTCCTTTCACCCATCATCAGTAAGTCAACAATTCAAAGACATCAAGAATAATGGAGGGGGAATTGATGGCATCACATTTCCTTCTGGAGGTGTATTTCCAGCATAAAATGTTCTGCAGAACAGTAGAAATAGGCTGAGCCATAGGCATTTAGAGATTTTTCTGGTCAAAGAATTATAGACGGCCTTAATTTCACTAGGACATAAATACTTCTCTCCCTAGTTAAAGAACTATTGAAGGGCAGAAGAAAATATACCTTCATCCCACAGAACCATACTAGATAAATTTCTGGCCATTGCTGGAAATTGAACTGGAAGCGCTGCATCTCAACCCTGCCATGAAGTGGTATATTCTTTCAGTCCCAGAGGACAAGAGTGCAAAGATTAATTCACACATTCCTTTCTTCAGTTAGAAAATTTTTTCTTGTTTGTTTATTGTATATATTAAGGGTGCACCTTGATGATTTGATATGTGTTAATGTTGTGAAATAATTACCACAACCTAGCTGATTAACAGATCCATAAACTCTCATAGTTACCTCTCAGTGTGTGCTGACAACACTTAGGATCTATCCTCTTAGCACATTTCAAGTATACACCAGAGAGTTGTTACCTATGGTCACAATGCTACACATTAGATCTTCAGAACTTACTCATCCAGCATAACTGAAACTTTGTACCCCTTCACCAACATCTCTCCATTTCCCCCTCACCGCAGTCCTTTGTAACCACCAGTTTACCCTCTGCTCTCACCATACACAAAAATCAACTCAGAATGGATTGAAGACTTAAACATAAGACCTGAAACAATAAAACTTCCAGAAGGAAACCATGAGGGGAAAACTGCTTGATATTGGTCTTGGCAATGATTTTTTGCATATGATGGCAAAAACACAGGCAACAAAAGCAAAAATGTAAGTGGAACAATATCAAACTAAAAAGCTTCTGCTCAGCAAGGGATACAACCAACAAAGTGAAAAAGGCAACTGAATAGGAGAAAATATTTACAAACCATATGTCTGATAAAGAATTCATATCCTATATATAAGAAACACGTGTAACTCAGTAGCAACAAAACAACCTGATTTAAAAATGGCCAAAGTGCCTGAATAGACATTTTCTCAAAGAAGACTTACAAATGGCCAGCAGGTATATGCTCAATATGTCATTAACCAGGATATCATGACAAGATTAAAAAAAAAAAAAAATATGGGGAAGACATCTTATGGAAAAGATAAAAAATTAAATTAATTGCATAAAAATGAGCACTATCCTCTTAACCACTTGGAAGAAGAATGAACTTGTGAAAATAATAACAGTAAATGATTTTACAAAATATGTGCTCTTGTCATTAGAAAAATAATAAAAGTTAAACAAACAAATAAACAAACAAAAAAAAAAAACAGAAAAAAATGACTCTGTGGCCTGAGAAGGAAAATCATTAATAAAAGGTTAAAATTATGTTTAAAGCACATAGACGGACTCAGGCTAAGATTTTTTTAAAAAAGGAAATAAACTAAATTTTTTAAAAGTAGCTGAAAAGGAAAACGAAAATGACATAATTAACTCCAAATTCGAGGCAAAGAACAGTCGAGTTAACATTGTAGAATACAAGTCATATTGAGGAACACTGTTAGAAGTTAACTCAGAATGTCTTCTTTGGAGACAGTATATTATCTCCTCTCTCTCTAAACATTTTTGTTTTCTAAATTATTGTTTATACCATTTCAGAATGGCTTACCACATAGCGTCTTGAATTCAAATTTCTTCATGCCTTAATTCTCAATTGTATTTTAATTTACGAAGGGTAATGAGTTTGTACTAGTGTATTTCTCATTGCATTTATTAAATATTTGCAGAAAGTGTGCCTTTTAAAATGCATGCTCTCAAGCAGTATACCTGTCTAACAAATCTGCATGTATATTCCTGAATCTAAAATAGGAATTGAAATTATTTTTTTAAATGCATGCTGTTTGATGATATGTGACTAATATTTCCTTTTATGGGAGAATATATTCCAAGAAGAAACATTAAATTTTCTCATTCAAAGTTGGTAGTAAAATATGTATGTTAAAATATTTACCATCAGTACAATTATCTAACTCCATTAGCTAATTCAGACCTTTTGACTGTGTGTGTTGGCTCATATGTGCTTTATCAGAATATTCCTTCATTATTCTCTCTAACACCAAGTTCAGCCAGATGTTGTAGTATGTCAGCTTTGGTTCTAAAGATCTTATTATACTGATTAATCTAGAATATCTGAGGTGCTGACCAGAGTCTACATAGAGCATGAGGGTTTGTTTTTTTTTTTGAGTATACTCCAAGTGTTTCTCTTAAGTAAATTTATTCAGTAAGACCTAGTGCTACTTGTAACCAGAACATATTCACACAGAGTCACTATATTTCTATTGCTCCTATATCAGCAACTTTGAGAAAAGAAGCCCTTTAATTTCAAACATCGTATTTCTTTCTTCAAAGAGTTTATTCCATTTAATCGTGTGCATTTATTTATCTCTCACAAACGGGCATTCTAACATCCCACTTGTCTAATGATTTGTCCACTATCTTATAGTTTCACACCTATATAACTCTTTTAAAAGGTAAACAATTGGCCGGGCATGGTGGCTTATGCCTGTAATCCCAGCACTTTGGGAGGCCGAGATGGGTGGATAACCTGAAGTTGGGAGTTCGATACCAGCCTGACCAGCATGGAGAAACCCCGTCTCTAGTCTCTACTAAAAAAAAAAAAAAAATTAGCCAGGCGTGGTGGTGCATGCCTGTAATCCCAGCTACTTAGGAGGCTGAGGCAGGAGAATCACTTGAACCCAGGAGGCAGAGGTTGCGGTGAGTCGAGATGGCACCATTGCACTCCTGCATGGGCAATAAGAGCGAAACTCCTTCTCAAAAAAAAAAAAAAAGGTAAACAATTTTCTTGCTCACACTGACTCAATTGTCTATTTTAGGATAAGCATTATAATTCTTGACAACTTTTCCATTATCTCTTAATAATCTAAAATATTATATCCCCTAAAGTCATATAAAAGGCAATAGAAATAGAGGGCTTGTCCTTCCCTCCTTTCCTTCTTTCACTTACAATGCTTGTTACAAACTCATTCAAGTAATCTCAGTATTTTTTTCACAGCCCATTCTCACTCATGTTCTTTCTTTCTTTATTTTAATTTTTATTTTATTTTATTTTATTTTACTTTATTTTTTGAGACAGAGTCTCACTTTGTTGCCCAGGCTGGAGTGCAGTGACATGATCTTGGCTCACTGCAGCCTCCACTTCCCAGGTTCAAGCGATTCTCCTGTCTCAGCCTCCCGAGTAACTGGGATTACAGGCACCCACCACTATACCTGGCTAATTTTTGTATCTTTAGTAAAGAAAGGGTTTCACCATGTTGTCCAGGCTGGACTTGAACTCCTAACCTCAGGTGGTCCACCCACCTAGGCCTCCTAAAGTGCTGGGATTACAGGCGTGAGCCATTGCACGCAGCCTCTCACTCATACTCTAATATTTAACCTTCAATTTACATTCACTCATAAGTATTGAAAACCAAACAAAACTACTGTTACTACTGTTTCTTTGTCTTATATTCAAGATTACTTGGTAAGTCATTTTTTGTTATCTAATATTTACTATGCCTTTTTAGGTTGATCTCTTTAATGTGCCACTCTTTTACATGCTTCTTCCCCTATGCTTTTTTGAGACAGAGTCTTGCTGTGTCATCCTGGCTGGAGTAAAGTGGCATGATCTTGGCTCACTGCAACCTCTGCCTCCTGGGTTCAAGCAATTCTTGTGCCTCCGCCTCTCAAGTAGCTGGGATTACAGTCGTGTGCCACCACAGCCAGCTAGTTTTTGTATTTTTAGTGGAGATGGGGTTTCACCATGTTGGCCAGGCTGGTCTCGAACTCCTGACCTCAGGCGATCCGCCCACCTCGACCTCCCAAATTGCTGGGATTATAGGCGTGAGCCACCGCACCCGACTGCAATGCATTCTTAAAAACTAGATAATATATATCCATACACACCTTCAGGTTCATTTTGGCTTATTATTTTGTACAACAGAAATGTTACAAGTTGCTTCATTATTCTCGTCTATATAATGTCCATGCTTTATCATCTAATGTTCATATTTTTTAAAGGTATTGCATGATATTGTTTTCTCATCTTTCTAGACTATTTAACAAAGTTGAATGAAGTGATTATACATATATAAATGCCTTTCAATCACACTGTTATATCCACTTCTCCACTGTGGTTATTAGTGTTCATTTGTGAGTGCTATCTTCCCAACAGTCCCCATTTCCAGGAGTGAATGTCTCCTTGTTATTCATATTTAATCTTTTCTCAAAGTCATCTTTGCTTGGAAGAATGTGGAATTATCTCACTCAAAAGAATGGATTCCAGGTCTGCAGACATCCTGAAAGAAAATTTTTATCATTCATTACTTGAGGGAATCATTCAACACACTTTCAGGTTTTTAATTCCACCCATTATAATAGGTGCCCATAAGCTAACATCTCAAACAGAATCTTTTTATCAAGACACCACCACTGTTAAACCTGAGAAATTATTATAAGCTCAGAGAATCAGGTACATGTGTAAAAGCTTATTCTTACAGAATGTGAAAACTATATACACAGTTTTAAAAACAAAACAAACAGAGAATGAATAATAATCTTTTATTGATACCTTAAGGACATTAAATAGTACTATCGAATTAGCTTGTAGATGATTTTGGTCCTGTGTTTTATGTATTTAAAGTATTAAAGAAATATTGAGGTTATAAATATACCATGGCCCAGTCATTCCTCTTCCTATAAGGCAGAATGTAAAACATCATTATTTATGATAAACAATACTGCTTTTTTTTCACCCAACTTCCCCTTCATCGTAAATAAACATTGATGCAGTTCAGAGGGAAAGAGAAAGTCTGTCACAAGAATGTCATTTGCTCTGTCAGACATCAAAAATTAGAGTTGGCTGCCTATGACACTCTCCCACCTCCCTGGATGAGATGAAGTGTCAATCAATCACTTGGATCAGCAGCCTAAAGAACAAAGAGGCTACATTTATTAAGCTAAACCTCCCTATTGGGGGCCGTTTTCACAATTCTAGTAGCAGAGGGAGTACATAATCTATAATATGACAAATCAAAGATTTCAAAGTAATGTATGCTATAATTTTAGCATGACATTTAACATCTGCTACATCATCTTTTAACATGTTCATCTACATGGCTTAATATTCCATGAGATTAGAAGACTCACAGGAGCAAAGATACCCCTTCCTATTTCATCAGCTAACTCTAGTTCATGGAACTCACTGCACCTGATAGGTGTCAGTGCTCACCCAAAATCAGATCTCATCAGACATTTCCAACTGCTTCCACCTCTTTAGCTCCTTTTATAAACTGGCTATAGATTAGTCAATTATTCAGAGCTTAACAAAGAATTTCAGATAATTCTATAATTAAAACAACTCATCAGAATGACTGCTCTGAAATTTAGTTAACTAATATCCATAAGATCTTTACTTTTTTGGCTTGAAATTATGAGATTTCAAACCTTGTACTTTTCAATTTGGCTCATAGATGAGGATTAGAGTTGGACAGTGGTCTGATCAGGAGGTAAGAAATTACCAAGAAGAGTGAGAAATGAGTAAAACAGACTTCTAGACAGTTCAAGATTTACTCAGAATTTACTATGTGAGGGAGATGATTATGATACTTATTTCGGTTATCTTTCACTGAGTAACAAATCACTCCCAGATTTAGTGTCTTAGAATGACATAAATTTATTATTTTTCACAAGTCTGCAATTAGAGCTTTGAATTTGTCAAAGACAAAAGACTTTAATATGCTTTGAAACTCTACAGCACCCCTTTGTAAGGAAAATTTTTATATTTAAATATGAGAAAGAAAAGGAATTTAAGAAATATGACAAAGCTGGAATAATCAAAAGTAAAGCCCAGGCCTAATCATCAGTTGATCATACTTGAAAAGGTAGCCTTTACTTAAAGTTACTCTTTTGACATTTCTTCCATTTCTATAAATGTATATATTAATAGAGCATGTAATAAATTATAATATTATTACAGAGCCAGACCATATGAAATACTTTAAACTTTATTAGAAAATGAGAAATTATTATAATTTTTATAACTTAAGGTAGACTGTTATAATTAACCCCAAATTATTAGTGACATAATATAATAAAACTATATATTTCCCAGCAATATAACAGTTACTATAATGTGCCTGTAAAGTTGGTGGCCTTCCACAATGTGACTCATGGTCTCAGATGCCTTCAGTCTTATGTCTCTACCTTCCACTAGAACAATGTAATTTTTGCCTTTTAACCAGAGCACAAAAAATGAGAGCATGGTAAAGATATAAAAATTTCTTAGCTATTTTGTCTTAGTATTAATAAATATCCCTTCTGTTAACATTCTATTGGAGAATTAGTTAAATGACCCCATCTAGAATGCAATGGGACTGGGAAATGTATCCTTGGTTAGACTAGTGCTAAGGAGCAACAGTTCTGTTTTTAAAGGAGAGCACAAATCTTTGGTAGACCACTGGTCATTTCTGTTGCAGTATGATAAAAATCTTTGTTTTGGAAGAATTCCTAAAGGTCATCTGTTATAACTATATGTCTGATAGTTGAGTCCTTTTTATGAAATCCAGTACAGTGGCCACCTAGCCCAGAAGGTCTCAATATGTCAGAACATAACTGGTATATATCCACCATTTAAGAGAGAAGTTGAAATTTTAAAAGTAACTAAAAAATAATGTCTTAAAGTTTTCATAGGATTTACTTTTGTCATGATATAGTTGATTTCATTCATTGTTACCTTTATTCACATTCAAGTTTCTTCTGTATTCAAGTAATATGGCAAAATACTACATAATCTACAGGCCATCCAATCTATTTATTGGATCCCTTCAGCAAAATGTGGGGAATCTTATGAACATGTTTTGAATGTCTACATCATGCATCAGTATGTGTAAGTTTGTGTGGTGGGGGAGGGCACTGAGAAACTTTTGACCTGCCTATACATGTGTGATAGCCTGCTTGTTACCACTCAATGCTGCTTTTCCCATCTTTAAAGAATCCTGTTCAAAATATTTCTTTTTAGCTATTAAAAACATGTCTTCTTTAAGATTTTGCCCTTGAAAATGTGCACCATATTGAGCAAATCTAGTGCCTTTCCATAATGGCATCCCTCAAAATGTACCCAAAGAAGTTATCTATCTCCAATTCCTTCAAACCAGTACAAGATATACTTTCTGACTATTCATATCATTCTCCTCTAAACATTACTGAGTCTTTCAAAGGAATTCTCTTCTTTGCCTGTATATATTTCCATTTGCTTAATTTGTGTCAGTGTGGGGAAATGGCAAACGTTTTATTGTAACATATATTACTACATTTTCATTTACATAGAGGAGGATAAAAAAATCCACTGGGCAGGACAGAAATCTCATTATATTGAACAGCTAGCTGCCTAATGTATTCACTGTTATCCCTATGTAGTTAACAAAGATGCACAGAGAAATCTTGTGACTAAAACTGTCTTTATTACTACGTAGGTTTTTGGCCCATTAAATGCATCTATTTTCTCATCTTGGTAGACTGTCACATATACATTAGCCTCAAAGATTCCTTTAGTTTATGTTAAGATTAGAAGGAAGCTTTAGCAGTCAGTTCCACATTCTCTTTTCCCAGAATCATATCCTGTTATCTGTGTGGCTTCCAAAGACAGGGAAATCTAGGTTTCTCAGAGTCCATTTTAGTATACCAGGTATATATGTTGGAAATGAGCAAAGTGATCAGGAAAAAAAATCAAAACATTCTTTTCCATTCAAATCTATTTATGATCACTTCATTCCTTCCACAGATTCACTAAAGTTTTTCCCTTATCCCAGTTTCCTTCTTTGGGTATTCTTAAAGAACCCTTGATAGACTTGGTTCAAATTAGAGATCTTCTTCCCTGAGTAGGAGAGAATGACCTCCAGCTACTTCCTAAGGTTATAGTGTATGGTGCTTAGCAAGTCTTTAAAACCTACAGGTAGTAAGCCTTATTTCAGTGATTATGAAGGAGGAGTCAGAGGGTTGTAGTAGTGGAGACAGACAGGGAAGAATCCACTGAGGTACCTTTTCTAGGGAGTAGCTGCCATTTTAGTATCCCTTTTGTGGTGAGCCATGGTTACTGGCATGTGTCATCTCTCTCAGAAGAGTTAGAGAATAGAAGAAGTTGAGAGCACCTGCCCCATACAACTGTTAATTTAATAGTGCCTCAGCTAAGTAAGAATTTTTAATTTGAATCCTTCAGGTTATTTGAAAAGCAAGTCCTTCAGTTCTCTATTCATTAACCTTTATTATAAATTCCAATCACAATCACTTGAAAAAATTAAACTACTCACCATTTTTTGCAACAATTGCACTTCCCTTCAGCTTGAAAATAAGGAGTCCTTATTCATATTAACTAATACAACTTTTTTCCCCGTTATTATAAAGGCTATATGTAACTGTCCTGAAGATCCTAATGCATCACATTGTAGTCAGTTCTCAAAAATGTCTTCATAAATTCTCATAGATGCAATAAGAATAGTTCAAAATGACAGTTGATGAAAAACAGATGTTATCATTTGACATTGAGATTTTTAAATTTTATCCTTACATTTCATTTGGAGAATCTCTTCAATATCTTTAATAATGTTAATGATGTCATTGTCAATATAGCACTGCTTGGAAATTATTTCCCAATTTCTGACTAGCAACTCCTCTGCAACTCATTTGAGGCTGGAAATAGATGATGCTCATTTAAGTCTGATCTGTGAGATATACCTTTCTTCTGATTGCTTTGCCTTGGGGGATACTATTTTATGTGTTTCAAAGGATTTTGCTGAGAGAAAATAAAGAGAGAAAAGTGACAACTCTACAAAGTTTAATATTTAAATGCACTGAGGGTCTAATATTTGTTACCACATGCTAAGTCCCATTTTAAGAAAGGAGTAAACCTCAAATCCATTTACCATATAAAAAGCTATCTGTACTAAAAAAAACCTTCAAATGAAGATAGATATTAAGAAAAAAGAATATATGTGGTAATGCATGTGTTAGTTAATTATAATGAAACATTGCACTATATATATATAGAAAACATCGTGCACAATAAATGTATCACTTCTATGACAGTTTTTAAAAAGTAGTGACTAAATTGTAGCAAAAGAACATATAGGTTGTCTATCTGTCAATGATGACTGCAAAAAAAATGAAACAATTTGAATTTATGGAGTCTGTTTAGGCTATGTAAAATTTTTTTCACATTTTTAGGTAGCAACTCTTTTTAAATGACGAGTTTTTGTTTTTGTTTTTGTTTTTGCATAAGAAAGCACATTCTGACCAAGATTCTGGAATATTTTCACAAAGCATAAAAAAGTTGGTCGATGTCTGCCTAGGTAGCTTTGCTTTTGCTCTGCATGATTATGTATATTTAGAAAACCTGAAACCATTTTTTTCTATCTTTCATGTTATTTTTTGGCTATCTAGTTAGTTACAAAATGAGATACTAGTATTATATGGCTCTCTCTAGCTATAGTTTTAATGTTATTAACCTCTTAAGTGTGTTTAACTGTCTGTCAAATCTATGTAATTTAAGAAGGTAAATTAAATGATTTCTAAGTTGACTTTTATTTACAAACAAAAAGTTATGCTCCTTTGAAATAAAACAGTCACTGTGGCCAATTCTCATCAGTCCCTACTTATGAAAAGACTATAATAGGCACAAAAAATAGTTAAGAATATGTTCTAAATTTATTTATAGTAGAGGTGAGTCTAATAGTCTACTTTGCTCCTTCTGTAGCAAAGTCCTCATTTATTTCTGCTTGAGACCCATAAGCAACTCGAATTTAAAATATGAAATATGCTTTTGTTGGTATAATAGTGTTTAAATGAAAGTATACTCTTCAGACACAAATAGCATTGAGGAGTTTCCAAAAGTAAAGAACAAAAAAATGCCATATGCCTTCACATTTTTAGGAATGGTGCTGGACTACTGTTGCAGGACAGGCAAAGACAAAATGCTAGTTTAATGAGTCCTGGCTGTTCATCTAATTTTAAAGTTGAAGAATCTAATGGAGTTAAGATTCGTCTGGAAAGAACTGGAGAAATGCTTTCTTTTCACCTATTATCATCTGTTTCTACCAACACAATACTTGTGGCACCAAATGTGTAGGATTTTTCCTCATATCAGCAACCAGTTCTCCAACTCTCTGGACACCAACTGGGTAACCTACAATTTAATGAAATTCTGACACTAACTATCTGGAGTTAGTATCAGATCCTGCAAGCTAAGGACTCCGTTCCACATGACTGCCTTCACTTCAGATGCCAGCTGCAAGTCCTGGACCACTGAAACTTTTGACCAACTAGCAATAAATGCAGGGGTTTCCTGCAATCTCTTTCTTACGCTTGATAATTTGCAGCATAAGGAACTCAGGAAGACACTTTATTTACTATTACTGTTTTATAAAGCATACAAATGAAGAGCGCTTTGAAGAGGTTCATAAAGAGAAGTCCAAAAGTGAGCCTCTGTCCTGCTAACTTAGGGTACACCACCCTTTCAACATATGGAAGCATCACCTGTCTGGAAGTTCTCCAAACCTCATTACTAAATCTCAGCTCCTCTTCTCTTCCAAGAAGTTGTGGGGAGTGGTATTAAAAGGTTGTTGATTGGAGTGGGGGGATTGAAAGTAGACTTCGGGCTGGGCACAGTATCTCACGCCTGTAATCCCAGCACTTTGGGAGGCCAAGACAGGCAGGTCACTTGAGGCCAGGAGTTCGAGACCAGCCTGGCCAACATGATGAAAACCCTGTCTCTACTAAAAATACAAAAATTAGTTGAGCATGGCAGCACATGCTTGTAATCCCAGTTGAGGCATGAGAATTGCTTGAACCGAGGAGGTGGAGGTTGCAGTGAGCAGAGATCTTGCCACTACCCTCCAGCCTGGGTGACAGAGCAACACCCAGTCTGAAAAAAAATAAAATAAAATAAAATAAAATAAAATAAATAAATAAAGTAGGCCTCAAATAAAGCTTCATCTTTCTGGAAACCAAAAGCTATCCTTCTCACCAAGACCCATCTCACTAGAATAAGAGGGATTGCTATTACCCAGAAAATTCCAAGGAATTCAGGAGCTCTTTGTCACTCTGAAAGACACTCTTATCACCCCACTCAGGAAAATACAAGCGTTTTAGGAGCCTTCTGTCAGGAACAAGGGACCAAGATCAAATACATATTTCTTATTTTACCACATATCCTCCAGTCAAATGAGAGAATTTTAGAGGAGCCTAACGCCCTGATATTTTATTTCTGCCTGAGAAATTTAGAGACAATACGCTTTGACTGGAGCTGTGTCCTCATCTATGAGAGAGCTCACTGCATTAGGAGTGAAATCATTTCTACTGATGGTAAGAACAAAAGTCTACATTTCCCATGGATGATAATGGATCACAGGACTGGGAACCATCTACAGTGAACTTAACGAGAATTTTGCTAGGACTGCTGTCCGGAGGCACCAAATCTCTGTAGAGTTGACTACTGTATGCCCCCATAGAATGTTAAGAATTGCCATCATAAATGACCAGCTAGAGAAGTTTATTGCTGTGTCTCCTGTCACTGTGGAGATTTTACATATAACCCACATAAGCATCCAACAACAGAAAACACAGCATTAGTATGGAAATACTACCATACAAGGCAGCCCAATAACCCACTGGCACCTGAGGCAACGAAGGAAGCCTTCTCCTTTTTCTTTCTTTGTCCCATTTCTTCCCTGCACTAACTCCCTAAATGGATTCAGAAACTGTGGCCAGGAAGCAGAGAGAGGCATTGGGATAGGCGTGAGATAAGAGCCTGACCTTTCTCTTGTCTTCAGCAAGAAACTTCCCAGGCTAGCAGTACCAAGCCAAGCCACAGTAGGGTATGCGGGAAAGTATTACCTTCTGTGAAGTCAGTAGCTCCCTGGACTAAACAGTTTTATTGCTAAAATGGTGATATTTAGCATGTGAGAGCAACATGAAGCTATTTTAGTATCAAGAAGTAATAGGAAAATATTTCATCCACAGGTTAAGGAAGAATGAGTCCATGGGTCAGGTTTAAGAGAATAGTGTGGGAAAAAAATAAGTTGTTTTCTGATTCTATACCATTGTGTTCAGCACATTCAATATAATGATTAGAGTCACTACAAGAATGCATGAGATTCATTCATAGTATGTGAATAGAATTCTGTTGTGCCACACTTAAGTCTGCAATAGAGGGGGGCTGAAATAAATATCATGGATATTAATATCACCAATTTAAATTTGACTTTAGAAAGTGGGTGCTCTCTGATCTCCCCCACCCTGTCTTTTACTTTTTTTAAAATTTTCTACATCCACATACCCTGGCTTAGGCTTTTTTTAATTTTACTTACTTCTGGGATCTAGCTAAGGAGATGCAGAATAGGAGAGTGGATGATCTCACTGACAAGTGGGAGAACTATCTTTTTGAACGTTATGTAAACTTCAGTCTTGCAAGTCTTCATCATGCAAGAATTTTTTTTTCTCTTTTTACCCTTATACACCGACAACACTCCCCACTTTCGTTTTTACAAAGAATTTTCTATTAAAACAAACCACCCACCAAAATATTTCTAGTATTTTCATTTATTTCACAGTGAACCATACCCTAAAGGAAGGGGAAACCTATAATATGACTGTTTAAGCTGTAGCTCTCTGTTTAGGCTTTTATGAGCTGTAATGAAACCAGGATAAATTCTGGGTCACAAACACATAATCATTCTTGCTAATAATGACTGATTCTGTAATCTTCCACTCAGATTTCTTGTATAATCTTCTCACATATAATTCCCAATGTATGAATATAACATTTTCCCCTGCTTCTTTGTGAGTAGGTAAGAAGACAAAATTCCCAAGATGTTTTTGCTTTGTTACCTCCAACCAAGTACTCATACACATCTTCATGTAAAATTTCGTCTTTAATAATTACACACAGGGATGACTCTCTGATAGAAGTTCTTAATTTTTTTAAGGAAGTGAGTAAAAAGTTGTACATAGGCGTGGGTTTGTGAGAATTTCTTGAAAAAATAATAGTTAAACAATTTTGCAGGCTAAGACTACAAAGCTATGTGCTTGTCACATAAGGTATTGACCCAGACTGCTTTGTGTGTCCCTACAAGAGTTATGGAAATAAATTATATTTTGTTCCATTGTTTCTATTTTTCAGCCATCGTACCTCTACTATTGTGGTATCAAGAAATTGAATTCCATTTCTGACTCATTGGTTTGCTTTTTCTGTTTGTGCTTGTCTTGTTCCAGACAATTTACAAAGGGACTACATGACATCCAAGGAAGTTGGTGTGCAGCAATTTTTCTCTTTGTTCCCTCCCCTTCTGCTTATCCCTCAAAGTATTCTTCATTTTCTTATTGTCACTATTTCTTATTGCTGTCCCTCTCTGGATTTTATTTTGTCTTATGAGTAAGAGTGGGTAAGAATACAAATTAAGAAATTAGTTACACTTGGGTTTTTTCAATAATTTTTTTCATGAAGCTTTTCCTTGTCACCTAATAACAAAGGAAGTTGGCGAACATGAACTCACAAATTAAAAAGAAAAAATAAAACTCTCTTGTTACAATTTAAATAGAGTATGCAAGGTGTGATTTGCAACTTAAAAGTTGTACTTGTTGTTTTGAATTCTGGGGATATATGAGGGAAAACATTTACTTTCAGAAGCTATAGATGCTTATTCTCTGAACAATGTGTGTAAACAGAAAAGGTCGCTACAGCCAGGTGATGAAGGTGGCCAAAAGCAGACATTTTTCCACGATCTTGCTGCTGTTTCAAGTGTGTTTTATCTCTTCCTTCCTTCTTTCTTTCTTCTTCCTCCTCATAGTCAACATTGATCTTCAGTGTGGGAATCAAATGCCCTACCACTGAACTTCACTTATCTTCAAAAATGGAGAAAGCATACCAGGAGACTTGAGGCGACAACCAGGATCAGTGTTTTCTGTTCTTACTTTTGTCCACCCATACACCAGGTTTAGCACTTACCTTTACACTAACCATCTTTTCCACTTTCTCTCTCCATGCATATCCTACAGAGTCTCACCTCAGAGCAGATACTGTGATAAAGTCTTAATCTCTGACTTATTAATTTTCTCAAATGCATCATTGTACATTTCATAATACTTTGAATATATAGTCCTTAGAAGTAGGTATTATGTCACTATTCAATTAGGTTATGGTATATGAAGATTTCAATGTACAACTCCTCCCTTTAAACTTGAGAAAAGTAAGGTTTAGCTGGTAAATCCAGTCTTAGTGACCTCTCATGGAGTGCATGATTCACTACTATTACAAGCTAAGACTATGAGGCTTAGTGACCATTACATCTAATTACTTACCGTCATCAAGTTCACCCTTCCATTTTTTTAAAGGTCTGGTGAATAATCAAGGTTTTAATACAAGATGACCCTTTTGAAAACCCAGAAGTCTTACATGCATGCTTTATGAATATAAGGTAAAAAGTTTTACTCCTTAGCAGGCGGCCTACAGGCAATCAAATCACCGTTCATTTAGAAGCAAGATGATCTCTCATTTAAACATGTACTTCTGTCCTTTTTCCACCATCTTTCCATGCCACCATAATGGTGCTCATGATTGTCCTGGCTGATGCTCTCAAGAGCAATAACAATGCTAAAAAGAGAGGCAAACATCAGGTTCTTATGGGGCCGTGCTCCAGAGCCATCATCTGGTTTCTCACTGTGATGATGAAGCGTGGTTACACTGGCAAATTTGAAATCATTGATGATTACACAGCTGGGAAAAGAGCTGCGAATCCCTCAGGCAGGTTAAACATGTGTGGCATGATTAGCCTCAACTTCGATGTACAACTCAAAGACCTAGAAAAATGGCAAAACAGTCTGCTCTTCTCCAGTCAGTTTAGTTGTATTGACAACCTCAGCTGGCATCATGGACCACAAAGGAGCAAGATGAAAGTGCACAGTAGGGAAAATCCTGGGGATTATTTTTCTAGGGATGTAATGCTTACAAATAAAATGCTCAATAGACAATAAACAAAAATAAAAGTAAAATAAACGTGTACTTCTTTAGTGTTTCTTATGTGCAAGAGCCTATGCTGTGGAAAAGATAGATGTATACCTTCAATAAAGTTATAATCTAGTAACTGTGTTTTGGCAAAAAGGGTGTCCCCAGAACCTATGTAGGAAGGAAAAGTACAACTTTCAGGGACAAGCCTAGGATTGAAGAACATCCTTGGGAGTTTCCAGGCAGAAGGCCTTGGACCCTCTCTCTTATGGATGCCGAAATTCCAACATTCACCTGAGACCTCCCTCTTTAGGGACATCCCTAGTCATATACAGGTGAAAGGTGTCTTTCTTTGCAAGGGGCAGCTTACTGATATCTCAATTTTTATTCTGGATTTATTATTATTTGAAATATTACAGGAATTTGAGGATGAACTTGGACAATTAGTACCATATTTGATATTCTTTTATTATAAAAACAAAATACAACATAAATGCATAATTTATGAACTGAATTATGCAATGGTGAAATGCAGAACAATGAATATTTATATAGTAAATATACGGAAACAAATACATATATAGAAAAGTCTAATTCTTTTAATTTTGTGAGCCAGTCAACACAATTACCATTTCTCATCTGTTTTGAAGCTAGAGCTCTCCTAGTGTCATATAGTAGTTCTCCATATCCAAGGGGGATACATTCCATCATCCCCAGTGAATACCTGAAACCTTGGATAGTACCGAACACAATTGCCACCAATTGGAACACATGTCTGTTCGTGTCTTCTACCCACAAATTTAATGCCTTTTATATCTTAATTGAGCATTTATCATGCACTCTGGACATAACTTTGGCAGTCTGAGGTGGAACAGCAAAACTGGCATGAATTTCTTTTTGCCTCTTTACAATTTCATGATCTCAAGATTTGTTCTCACCGTAGATCTTAGCAAGTTCAGCATACAATTTTTTGCTTTCCTTAAGTTGAGAACGTGCACTGTTTCATTTAAAGAAAGTACTTTATGGCATATCTTAATTGCTAGCGTCACTATTTTTGCACATTGCGGCCATGATTAAGTAAAATCAGGGTACTTGAACACAAGAACGGCAATTCAGTGACAGTCCATCTGATAACTGAGATGGTTAAGTGACTAAAGGGTGGGTAGCATAGACAACATGGGTACGCCGAACAAAGGGATGATTCATATTCCAGTGCAAGATTTTATCATGCTACTCAAAACAGCATGTGATTTAGAAGTTAGGAGTTATTTCTGGAAGTTTCCTTTTAATATTTTCAGACCACAGTTGACCAAGAGTAAATGAAATTGCAGAAAGCAAAACTTTGGATAAGCGGGGGCTCGAATACACAGATGTGGTATCCGCAGGAAGGTGATGGATGTGGGGATTAGAGTATATGCTGGGCTTCATGGTGCCTACATTCCGTTTGCTGTGCCTCACTATTTAATGCCTTTAAACTTTTGTTTGCCCAAGTAGGAAATGAGGGGTATAATAATACCTATAAGGTAGAATCATTGTGAGGATAAATTTGTTAATACTCTGCTCCTGCCTTCACTACTGACCTCATCTCCAGTGAGATTTCCTGCTTACATCACCTCAGTGCACCAGCCTCCTCTGACTAAGTCCCTGACCAGGTCATGTGCATCCCTGACTCCTGTGCTGGAAACTCCTGTCCTGTCTCCCTCTGCTGGAAACACTGAGCCTACAGACAACTGTTTGCCTTACTCTCTCATGTAGGTCTCTCTTCAGATGATCAGAGAAGCCTTTCTTGCTGTTTATTCACCATTAGGTCTGTACCATCTGGAACACTACCTGACACTAAACAGACACTCAATAAATGTAAGTTCAGTGAAGAAATAAATAAATATGTATACATACCTTAACCGACCACTTATCACAAAACAAGAACTCAAAGTATCCTCTCCATTGCCTCTATTATCAATTATATTGTTAAAAATTGATCCCAACCTATGATAAATCACATGACAAGTAGTGTTTGTTTGAGCCCCCACATTTTCTACACCACAAGCCTGTTTATCTTTTCTTCACTAGACTGCAGTGAAGGGTTTTTTTCTTTTCCTAAATAGAACCTTAAATCAATATACTTGACTGGGTTATCTATTTTCTGAAATCAAATAGGAAAATATTTGTTCTGTTGCACAGAATGTGTGCATTTGACACTGATTCTATCCCAAGATACATTGTGGCAGCTGTTTCTAATCATTCTCAGCTTTGTCCTCATGATATTGGGTCTAATTAATAAGTTTCACTAAAACTTCAAGTACTGGTTTATATTTCTATTAACAGTATTCTACCAATTGGCATAATAGCATATTTAACTTCTGTAGTTTATCTACCAAGTATATATTGTGATACTCTGCTAGTTGTCGTATGTTGTTTGTACCCATGACAAATCTGATTTTCAAAAAACTGTCAATTCCATGAGGAAAGGGAGTCTATATGGCTCCATAATATAACCTTGTACTTATTGATGCTTAATGTAAGTTTGTTGAGAACATATTTATTTATATACTTATTTTGGTAATTAGAGTTAGATTATCTCTTAATTTTCCTACTATGTCCTTCAGAATGTTTAAAAAATTGCTTTACTTCCGTCACTTATTTGACTTTTTAAAAATTTGCGCTTTTGCACAAATGTGCATTTTGAGCAACCTCAGTTGGTCAGTGGAATTTCAGTCAATGAAATCCAGCCAGCGGGTATTCATTGTGTTCCTGAAACCTCACCAGTCTGCCTGCTCCCTGTCCGGCTCAGTGCTACCTGCATTGTGAGCCCATTCTATTTCTGCTCTCCACACTTGGTTTCCGTGACCAGCTGCCCTTGTTATGTTGTTCTCAGTTTGGAAGTCCTTGACTCTGCTTGATCAAATCTTGCCTATTAAAGGATCTCATCAAGAGCTTTCTTGGCTCTGCTACTTTGCCTGATCACTCAGCTCAGAGTTCATCGGTCTCACCTTTTGGCTCCCATAGACTTGTGTTTATCATTCTATTTGTGGCATGTATTTCCTTCCTTGCTTCATAGTTGCTTTGCACAGATCTGTCACTCTTACTGTATTGTAATACAGCTGAAGGTATGGAATGTTTGTTTGACTGTGTATTTGCAGTCCCCAAATGAAATCAGTACTTACCATATATTCAGTTATTAGCTGTACCCTTGAATTTAATTCTACCTCTGAAAAGGGTAAAGGGCAGAGGTAAGAGAAGTAAATTTTTTTTACGTAATGATACCTTGGATTCCAGAGGAAATAATCACATATTTCCCCCATGAAAGCATAACTATGGGGACAAAGGGCACCCCTAGAGTGAGAGGAAGATCTCACTGTTTTTTATATTTTGACAATTCCCTTTCCAGGGAATTTCTAGAAGCCTACAGAAGCCTACAGAAAGTGTAGAATCATGCTGAGTTAGACTCTGGGGTTTATTTTAGCTTTTCTTTATTACTTTATGGTATCTACCAGAGATACCAACTAGAAGAATTTCTTTTCACTCTTCTCTGGAAAAGCGTTTATATAAAATTGCCCAGTGATTCTCAGTTTTGCCAATCCTAGGTTTAACAATTACGTATGACTTAAGTTGCCATCACTGTCCCAATAAGCAGACGCTAAGACAAGGTTTCATGAGACAGTGATGTACTAGAAAGCATTCCCATGAGTGAGGAAATGGCACAGGGAAGGACAGCAAGTAAGGATGTGAGATAAACAAAGTCCCATGGACATAGTCCCTCAGGGGAACTCTGGTAATAGTGGAGATCACACTTCAGAGATGTCAGATCAGGGGCCAGATATTTATACGTCCTCATTAAGGTCTGCCCCAAATGTGTACTTTTTCCTGTGTGCAGGCAAAGCAGGCTGCAGCAGCTGAAGGGCTGCTTTCCTCCAGGGATCCTCAGGGGTATGCTGTTGGGAGTGAGACACTGGAGCCGACACATGTGATGGGGAAACAATCCTAGAGGTATGGATGGAGCAGTGACATTGTCTGCACTGTGCTGCCTATACTCCTGCAGGTTTCTGCTGAGAATCTTGGCACTAGCAAGAGAGGTGGTAGGAACAGTGCACACCAGGTGCAGGCAATAAGAAGGTACATTTTCTGTAAAGAATTTACAAACCAAAAAAAAGAAAAAAAGGCTAAAAGTAAGTCTGCTTTTTATTATCTTCATGCACCAACAATTGTGGAAACTGACTAATAAAATACTTCTAGCCCTCATATGCATACACACCCATACACACACACACACACACACTCCCTTAGTGAATAACTGTCCTGGCCCACTCTTAGGTACTCGAGTACATACAACCATAATCCCTGCCATGATTGGACAATAATATTTAGACTATACATACAGACATAGACACACACATACGCACATATATGAAAAAAAAATTTAGTCGGTCATTATCCCTGTAGGTACAAATAATTTGGCATTCTTTTTAAACCACATGAAATCAACCACAAAAAAAGAATTTTTCTACAGCTATGAAATATAGATGTGTCTTTCTGCAACTGAATCACCACAAGCATAGAGGGAGTAGGGACAGCAGAAGGGGAGGACCACTGACAATGGAGAATGTTAACCTAACATTGCAATTCATTCATTTTACAAATGTTTCTTGAATGACTACTAGCTGTTGGATACTGATTGCTATGCACATTTTGTGATAAATGATTATGTAAGTATAAATTATTCCATTAACTCATTTAGGAGATAAACATACACACACATACACACACAAACAGAGGCACAAAACATATCTTACATATACACACATCAGCTATGCATATATCTATTTATATCATGGTTCATTTCCTTATTTGACTTAAGTCATTGCCATATCTCTCAATATAACCTGCTATATATATCTCTATCATAACTAACTATTCTAAAGAAAGACTCTTCATGTGTTTGGAATAACTTCTCTTCCTTGCCTTTCTTTTTTTTTATTATTAACCAGAGCACTACTGCAGTTTATTACAGCATGCTGAGCAAGACAAAAGGACCTAATTCACTACAGAAGCCTAATGCATAAATTCTGCAGATTATTTGCTAGTGAGTCAGCCTATTTACCAAGATAATTCAACTTGCAAATTAGTCATGTAGAAAGATTTAGTTGGCGAAGATAGAGTAGGCACATTTGCCCTAAAAATAGACACACTATGCTTGTTCCTAAGGCAGTACAGTAGCACCACACATAAGAGACACAGTGAAGCAGAGAGAGACTTTTTTTTGTTTCTTATCCAAATGATCAATTCCTTTCCCTGATAGAGCTTGGAGCACATTGCCAAGCATTTGTGCCAGTTTTTTCTACACTGGAAAATAAACCCTGGCCCATGCTAATGAATCAGGTCCTAACAGCACCAATTGGTCTGGTTCTTCTTTTGCTTTTTGCATTGCTGACATTTCCTCCTTCCAGCTTGGGAGTTGCAGCTGCAGGGATAGAGCTGCAGCATATTTCTGGCTCCTGTCTCTTGAAAATGTCATAATGGAGCTAGAGAGGGAAGTAGCTATACTGGTTTACACATATGAGAAACGGGAGCTGTTTAGAGCCTGATCAGGAATATTTGAAATTATTTGAAAAATGACTAGGGCTCTAAACAGCTCCCATTTCTCACGTATGTAAACCAGTGCTAGGCTGCAAGGTCAGAACACAGAGTTTGCCTATCAAGTTATATCCATATTTCTTTGAAGGTGGTGGGATGGTTAGATATATGTGCCACTCCTTTCTGGAGAGGACAGTAACTTTCGGTATGCTGTTGAGTAGCCTCCCATTGCAAAATTGCAAAATCTTACCTTACTCTTGTATTGAAGATGAGCTAAAATCTTTACCTTTAGATTATTCTATTTTTAGACCTCAAGTTTGCAAATGTAATAGGAAGCTAAATCAATGCACAGATGGTTAATAAGAATACAGTTCAGTAATGGATAGGTTGTACCCAATCCATCCACTGATGTTTCTGAATCATACCCTAATGTAGAATGGATTATAACAATTAAGTCTAAAGGTACTTCAGAATGAGGTCTTGAGAAATACATGGCTCCATGTATATTTGACAAGCTACCTATAATGGGAGAAATTCTTGACTAGAAAGACTGGTACTGTGCTTCATGAGGAAAGATACCACACATAAGACTTGACCTTATGTAGTGCTCAGAAAAATGTTGCCTTTATTAGAGTGTAGCATGACTACTCAGAATAAACTAGTGCTAGAGCTCATTAATGAGGCTTATTCAGCAAATTACTCCTACAGTGGATATGCTTGCATATTGCTGGACTGAAATACCAAAATTTGCATGTGTTTTTCCAGCTGTGCTTGTTTGTTTAATTTAAATGATCAGCTGCAGATGAAATTCTGATCATATTCTTAAATTAGGAGATGGCCCCAGTTCCCTGATCACATTTGAAGGCTGATTTGTTTCACACAGTAACTTCCTATCATTTGTTGCCTCCACTCTACTCTGTACTTCATTTGAAATTTGGCAACCCTTTCCATTTACAAACTGTGGGTGGATTTGAGTACAAGACATGAGGAAATACTATAGCCACTAAAGAAATGGAGGGACATACATTGTCTTCTAGTAATTTGCAATCTTTCCAGAGTTGCAACATATAAGCAGCATGGAACAACTGGAAATATATCAAAGATATGAAATGGAATACAAATAATAGCTGTTATTTACTGAGATTTACCATATGCCCTTGACTAGGCCATGGTTAGGTGCATTATCACATTTAATTAAACCTCTCAAACCTGTAGTAGGGAGCCTTATCATCTTTATTCTCTAGTTGAGATATCTGAGGCACAAGACAGTTGAATATTTTGCTTTAAAATCTGAATGCTAGTTGTCCATGTAGTTAGCCATTATTTCATACAGTTATATGCTTACTTAACTGCTTTGGGATGGAGAGGAGTAAATCTGACCTTATTTCTCACAGAGGTGAGTTTAGAGGAATTGTCCCCCTCCCCACCACAAAAAAAAAAGAAAGTACAATTCTAGGCTAAAAAGAATGAAGTAATGTGCCTGCTCTTTAAGTAGCTTTTTGTATGGTGTTAGAGAGAGACAAATCAACCAAAAACTACATTGCAGAATGGGAAGTACTGTGGTAGGTATACGTGCATACAACTTTGATGAACACACAGAGGAGAACTCAAGGGTGCCTAGATATCATTCTTTTTTCTGCAAGGTACAGATGCAGTGAGCATGTATCAAGAACTTGGATCCTGAGCTAATGCTTTCCTCAAGAAATGAACTGGCTAGATTGCAAGCTTGTCCAACCCGTGGCCACTGGGCTGCCTGTGGCCCAGGACAGCTTTGAATGAGGCCCAACATGAATTCATAAACTTTCCTAAAAAAATGTTTTTGTGATTTTTTTACCTCATCAGCTATCTTTAGTATTAGTGTATTTTATGTGTGAATCAAGACAATTCTTATTTTAATGTGGCCCAGGAAAGCCAAAAGATTGGACACCCCTCGGCTAGAGGGTACTTTCTATGGTTTCCCTAAAAGCCTGGGTATTATAAAGAAATATGTTGTGTTCACCCAGAGAGTATGGCATACTCCATCAGGGGAAGTTCTTTTCCCTGCCATTCTCCTAGTTTATGAACTCCAGTTGGGGTCCCCTTTTTGTACACCTTGAAAAGAAAATGCCATTTGTTCTGCTTATCTGTACTACTAAAGACTAGCTACATGTAACATTATGAAACTCAGTTTATACATAAAGATGATTCTGTATAACATAACTTGAAACCTATTTCTAACCCTTGCTACACTAGAATACACTTGCTACACCTGAACTATTATATAAACTTTAGCCATTTAAAAAATCTTGAATTTCTTATCAGCTTTCATTTATCCCTGTTAGAAAGACAACTTCTCAAATTGAGAAATGAAAACACTGGGAATATCAGAGATGTATTTATGGATGAGTTTTCCCTGAGATGTCCCAGTTTGTAGACAACTATAACCTATGGACTTTACTATTGAAGTTTTGGGTGCACAGAATGCAGGAGTCAAGCTTGAGAAGGCATTTAGTCATAAGGATGGCCTCTCTGACTAAAAGCGACCAGCTTGAGAGAGAGACAAAAAAAGGAAAAGAGCCCCAGAAAAAAGCCCATGATTTTAGGTCAGTTGGAAACAATGTAGATTTTCTAGAAAGAAATTGAATGATGCAAACTGTTTGACAGCCACGTTCTGCCAGATTCATAGGGAATGGATTTGAGAGAGCTGAGCCCAGAAGCATAAAGTCCAGGGGGCACTTTTTCAGTAACCTGGTCATGAGGGAGTGGAATCATCCATCACAGTATTGTTGGCAGGAACAAAAAGCCATGTGCCTCTCAGTACAAGAGAGGTTTGGCAGGACTAGCATTTTTCAATAAGCCTTTAATACTTGTGAGTTGTTACCATGAATGCAAATGGCCATTTATGATGACTCTAGAAAGTTTTAGAAAACAAATTAAACATTATTATGAAGGCCACAGTAGTCACATGGCATAGGTCCTAGACAGTGCTAAGCCAGGTGGTTAAAATGTGGGTTGAGGGTTTTGTTAGTGAAAACTGCTGATGCTCAAGAATGCCAATTTCTAGGTTATGCTCAGACATGCTGCTGTGGTCCATGCCTCAGACTCACTGATGTGTGGGTCCAGGTGAAAATGTGCACAATCCCTATTTAGGAAATGATGGGTAATTGTGGAAAAAGTATACAGCAGCCAAAAATATTTGCATTGCAGAAATGCATTTTAATGTCTGGCAGAACACAAAATCTTGGTTTAGTTAAAAATTAAGAGAATTGGGTATATTTAAGAGGGTGCAGCAGCTCTTTCTCATGAGTGATACTTTCACTAGAACTAAGCATGGTAACTAACTGTATTTGCCTACATAAAGTGAAGTTGTATATTGCAATGTTGGTTTGTTTTGCTTTGTTTTGTTTTTGAGATGGAGTCTTGCTCTGTCTCCCAGGATGTAGTGCAGTGGCGTGATCTCGGCTCACTGCAACCTCCACCTCCTGGGTTCAAGCAATTCTCCTGCCTCAGCCTCCTGAGTAGCTGGAATTACAGGCATGCACTACCACACCTGGCTAACTTTTGTATTTTTAGTACAGACAGGTTTTCCCCATGTTGGTCAGGCTGATTTCAAACTCCTGACGTCAAGTGATCCACCCACCTTGACCTCCCAAAGTGTTGGGATTACAGGCATAAGCCACCGCTCCCAGCCTCAATGTTGGTTTTAATTAAAGCATTATAAACCACCATCTTGAAATAGTGGGGTTCAGATTAACCAAATCAAAATTTATGCACACCACACTTAAATGTTGATTGTAACTATAACTAAATAAAACTAGAAAGTAACTACGAGGTGAAAATTATATTAGCCCATTTAACACAAGCTATATTTACCACTTCCCATATATCTTTGTGATGTACTTAACATCTCAGACATCCTTAGGGTATCTTATCATTATCTGTAAAATACTTTATTTTAGGCAATAAATACAAAAGTCCACACTGGTTTTACATACACACTGAGAATGATATTCTACCTTCTTTGACCTCAGAGAAATAGTCTAGAATTAGTAAGAATCACTTGATCAAAGTGTTAGCTTTCCAACTGAAAAGTCACTCAATAAGCTATGAACTCAAAAGACAAAGTTTCACAATGCTACAAATTATCCTAGTTCTATGAGATATGACATTTGTTGTCTGTTTTTCAAATAAATTAAAGGTAACATTACTATTCTCAGTAGCACAAAACACCTATAAGTAACAAATTACTGGATAGTTTTTAAGTAACTTTTTCAAGGGGGTCTGTATCTGAGTATTATTGAAATAGTTGAATTTTTGTCAAAATTGGAAGTATCACAGAAAAACACTCATATGGCAAGAATAAAAAAGGGCACCTATTCAATAATTGATAAGCTATTCTTAAATGATGATTTCCTAAAATAGAGAATCTTAATGTGTATTTTTGTCACCAAAAGTCTTATTTTTTTGCTATCAGAGTGACTTTTTTCAGATATGAAAAGCTTTTATCTTTTAAGAGATATATTCTCTTATTATTTAGCAATGGTTTAAAATTAATTTGAGAATGATAATTATGGATACATATGCTAATATCAGATATGTCCACCACATGATTAAATTTTCAAACACATGCAAAACTTTACAATGACTGATAATTGTTTCACTGACCATATCTCAAATTATTCTCTGTGAAGCTTCAACACATTCCTGAATTAGCACATGTATTAGTTTCCTGCATAGCTAGATGAGATATTTAAATAGCAGATAATGCTTTGTCTGCTTTGAATTACAAAGAGATGATTTCATTTTTCTCAGTGTGCTTATCCCAAATTGAAGTCTACAGCTTTATTCCATTTTCATGGAATAACAATGTAAATGGCGGCATCAGCCCCACAACACTTCATTTCCCTGATGTCGTGAATCCAGAATTTCTAATTTCCCTTAGTGAATAGTTTTTCAAATGTCTCCTTAGTCCTGAATTAGATTTTATAAAGCTTTAGGGAATATCTTCATTAAGATATCAAGCTACTTGCTTCAAAACTGGCAATAGTCATCTCGATTATTTTATAGGGTAAAAATATTTTTCACAGTGATTTTAAATTATTTCAGTTCTCTTGTCTTCTCTATTTTTCTATGTGTTTAGTTTTGGTAATCAAAGTGTAGTTTCTCCAAAAATTCAGGTGGGTGGAGGAACATCACGTTTTTTCTTAATCAATACTTAGTGTTTCCAGAAGACGATCCTAGCCAAGAAACCAAGTAGAAGGAAGAGAGGCCTCTGTTTCCCAGAAGGACAACTCTGCTGTTTTAAGGTTTCTATGTCTAATAGTATTAAAATGCTTTTAATAAAAAAAACTATTGACTGTGGTTGTGACCATCTTATAACTACCCAAATTAATATTTCCCCTCAAACACTTTTTTCTAAAACTTCCTATGCTTTGTTTATACCCTGCCCTTTCTCTTTTAAAAAGGCAGTTATATCTATCATTACTGGCTCAGTGCATGCCTTCCTCATGTGACCACAGGGACAGCTCCTGGAGAGTCATTCCTCTTCATCTTTGTGTCCCAGTATTTGACACAGTTCCTGGCACATGGTAGGTATTCAATAAATAGGAAAGGAATCAATGAAATTATATTAATGCCTGGGTTCTGATATGCTACCAACTTCTAAACTAATTATTCTTCTTCAAAACTCTAATCTTCATCTACCTAGATCATCCAACAAAATAAAATAAAGATGATTGTTTCAAACTAGAGTTTCCAAAATGTCATCCTTCAGAAATTCATTGCTTAGAATATATTTAGACTATATTGTACAAATTAGTAATATCAAGATCGGAAGATCAATTTTTCTAACATTCATATTTAAAATTTTCTTTTTTTCAAATTTTATATTCAAGGCAACCATTCTTTTTGTCAGAAGGGCACAGAAAGTATAAGGTAGTTCATAAGGCCTTTGTTCATATAAGTGAAAATATAAATATACTGGTGGACTGAGATCCTATCCTGTTTTCAACTAAATATACCATGGAGAAATTTCAGCTAAATATTCCATGGAGAAATTTCTTCTACATGTGATGGAGATAAAATAGGAGCCAGAAAGTGCATATAAGTTATTAACTTTAATATACAGATTGTTATCCCAAGGACTTATAAATCTAATTTAGCGGATATATATGAGATAACACAATATGACACATTTCAACTGCTAGACAAGAGCTGTGGCCCCACATATAAGTGTGAGATTCCCTTAATCATCAGAAGTGGACATTAATTCAGTAATATCTTTTAACTCTGGACATTAAATAGACTTTTATCTTGTGCCATAGATTTTTAATATTTTTTAACCACAAAACTAAGAGCGAAAAATCCCCATGTGAATCTTAGTTATTCTACAGTCTTTAAAAAAACAATCAGAGCTTGATATGTGCACAGCACCCATAGGTTAGCACAGTCATTTAGAGTATTTTGATCTAATAGACATAGTCTTTCAAGAGTTGGTCATTTATGTTAATCTCCATTGGATAACCAAGTCGATGTAAATAATATGCTATCTATATTTGTGTCTCTCAGACTTTGTTCCTTCAAGTAATAATGCTTCAGGTTGTTCATAAGGGTCTTTGAAATAAAGAGTGCTTGTAGTCAAATATGTCGTGGAAAGCTATGTTAGGCAAATTTAAAGGTTCCCTTACTGTGGCACTTTTTAGACTCTTTACTGAAGTATAGCATGAACTGCCATTTAAAAAAATGTAATGTAGACAAATCTCAATGTTTTTAGTTACTAAGTCTCTATTTTAGACTGTCTTCATCTATTTTTCACCATGAAGTTACAAAAATGTGTGCCGTTAAGTATAACTTATTTTTGTAATAATATGATACTGTTACTCCCCAAACCCTCATTTGTGCAAAGGAAAAACAGCACTCTGGGTAGGATTTTAAACATGATCAAATTTCTTCAAAGCACAGTTAGTAGTAAAGCCAAGACCTGGATTTACCTCTTGTAAGTGTTCTGCTTTTTCCATCATAACAATACCAAAGGCGTAATATTTAACAAATTCTTTTTGTGTGCCTGGGCATTGGGATTAATATTTTATGTATCTTTCCACATATGAGTCCCATAGCATTCCAATGACATGAATATCATAATTTTATTTTTACTCAGGACCTTTGAATAAAAAGATTAATATAAATGACTTTTAAGCAATTTTTTTCACTAAATTTAGAAAATTTTATATTTTTCCCCTCCCTAAACTGATGATTAAAACTTACACCGTGAGTCCATTTTCAAAGCTGAGTGAGTTGCCATTGCCTATGGTGATACTTGTAACATCTGATTAATTGTTTAATAATTATTCATTCTCTCTAAGGATTCATACAGGAATATGAATATATACTTATATATTCTCATATATTCATATGTACATGAAAATAAAAAGAGGAATGAACCTATTCAATCACACATTATGACATGGTCAGGGCTAACCAATATTGCCTATGTCTGCAGACAATCCCCAATCAAAACAGATAATGACATAAAAACTATAAGGGCTGCAAATGCCTGATGAGTTCTTCCTGCATGCACAATTTTAAGCCCTGCACATGGATGAGTGTGCACTCAGTCAATCTTCAAAATAACCATATAAGATAGATACCATTTTACAGCTGATGAAAGTGAAACTGAATTAATTAACTTGCCCCTAGTCAAACAGCTAGACTGGTGGCACCAGTATTTGAATTTAGATAATTCTTATACTTGGTCATTTTGTGTACTGTCAATATTTAAATGAATGAGATGCCATCATTTGAATGAATAAGACTTTCAATTGCCATGAAAAATATTATTCCAAGTGCTTACTTGATATAGGATCTTATATGTTTAAACAGAAACAACTTAAGCTGCTCTATTATTGGTATTACTGGTAGATTGGAGCAGTATTTGTAATTGTGATTCAATAAAGTAATATAATGGTACCCCTTTTTTTGTTTTCCACAGAGAATAAATTTTATTTAGGTATTTAAAATTTCTTACACCCCCAATAAAGTGTCTTCCCACTCAAATTAATTAAGCATGCACTTTCTTCAATGAAGTATGAGAAACGCAGATCGTGGCAAAGGGATCATATGTAAGATAATCCTAGAAAACTACCTGGCTAAAAACACAGACATAATCTTGATATTCTCTGTCTTGGCACCACTATCTACTCAATTGCTTAGGAAAACAAACAAACAAAAAGAATTGTCCTCTTCTTTTAGTTTATAATTTCTGATCAACTCATCAGCCTGTTTTAGTGGCTTTACTTCCATTATCTCCTGCAACAGTTCCCTAAGTGCTTCTCACTGGGAAAGGGTCTTTCACAAATATGTCTCAGATCACAACACTGCCTTGCTTAAGACTATTACCATTGTTGTTATAATCAAATCCAAAGGGTGCAGAGGAGTCAACAAGGCACTGTAGGAACTGTACCTGTAGATCTGTACCTCTCTGATTTCAACTCCATTCTCCCATGTATTCATTACCTTCTAGAGACACTGTCCTCCTCTCTTTCCCACCTCAGGGACTTTGCACATGCTTTTCCATCTAGAATGCTGTTCTCGTTATCATCATCCAGACCTCCTTTTCAGTCAATTTTCAGATTATGTAATGTTATGGTCCCCCCACTCCTTGTTTCCCTCTTAGCTACTGATTCTATCACATTATTTTACTGTCTTCTGAAGATTCCTCATTACATGAAATTACTTGGTATTACTCCATCTTTCCCACTAAAATACAAATCTTGTTTCTCTTTTTCACCGATTTGTCCTCAGTACTGAAAATGGTGCCTCGGACTTTGAGGAACTCAATAAAATGTCTTACAATGAATAAATATACATCACATCATGATTAATAAGTGAAGCAGGCACTAAGCATTTGCATGAAAAAGCAAGTCTACCAAAACTGATTTATGAAGATTGTACCTAATGTGAATTTTCAGCATTTGATAAGTCACAATGCAGAGATGCAGATGATGATGGATGCTTTATAAAAAGAATAAGACTTTCCCAGAACAGAATGCTATGAGAGAAGAATGCCATGGAAAAGACAGAAAGTCTGCAGACCATGAATAAAGTGAAAGAGAAATCCAGAAGATACAAAACCATTACCTGTGTTATATTTGCTAAGAATTGTTATAATTTTCTAGGTGAGAAAGAACTGGAACTAAATATCAAAACTGTCTTTCTCCTTTGACATATATGCACATATAAAAATATATATGTGTGTATATATATATATATCTTCATATTTGTTAATTATATAAATTTCTTAGGGGTTTGTTTGTCTTTTGTCTTTGAGACAGTCTCACCCTGTTGCTCAGGTTGGAGTGCAGTGGCGCAATCTCAGCTCATTGCAACCTCTGCCCCCTAGGTTCAAGTGATTCTCATGTCTCAGCTTCCCACGTAGCTGGGATTACAGGCACCCGCCACTACGCCTGGCTACTTTTTGTATTTTTAGTAGAGACGGGGTTTTACCATGTGGGCCAGGCTTGTCTCGAACTTCTGACCTCAAGCGATCCACCTGCCTTGGCCTCCCCTTAGTTTTTTTATATAATAACTTGTGGATGATCCCATTATCAGTTTGTGATTTGATTCTGTTCAACAAAGCTTTTAGTATTTTGTATAAATAACTATTCCATGTAGCATTTTACAAAAATTTTGTTCTTAAGGTGAAGAATTTTGTATGTGTGTGTGTGTTTATATATATATGTATGTATTTTACATATATACATGTATATTTATGTATGTGTGGGTATGTATACACAAATATATGTGTAACACGTATATGTGTGTATATATACATAAATATGTATATATGTATGGAGAGAGAGAATGAGAGACAGAAATGATAGGGAAAAGCTCTTCTTAGAAAAGCCTGTCCCACTAGGGTTTCTTATTTGGGTTTGATATGATAATGAGATAGTAGAATACAAAACATATATGTAGAGAGAGTTCTGAACTCAGATGATTGAAAGTTAATATTTTAAGGTGACATTTTTATTGTGAAACAGTAGCACATTCCAAATGTTAAAGATCAAATATATACCTGATTTTGAAAATTAATCTTTATGTAGACTAATCAACATTTCCCTAGTTTATGGTGAGATTGAATGATAACTCACTATAAAAACATCTGTACTACTATAGTGTAAAGATAAAATGCCTAATTAAAATCTTGAAAGCAAGCCACAGCAACAATTGCAGTAAAACACAATTGTACTTTAAAACTGCACATTAATCTTTTCAAATATGAGAATGACTGAATGATACTAATATGATATTCTTCAGAGTAATTATCCTTATTCATTAATAATACATAGAAAAAAGTGAGTAAAGAGTTTCTTTAATTTTTTCCTGTTTTCTAGTTCTGTATCAGATTTGAAGTGGGATAAAGAATATAATGATATATTTTTAATGCAGTGCATCCCTAGGAAAGTTTCCTTGTGAACAGATCATGAAATTAAAATAGCTATGCAAAAAAAGAAACGAAAAATCTGGCAAGATCAATAAATGTGCTTTAGTGAAATCAAGGAATAATTTATCTTTCTTAGGAATTTAGCACCAGTTTATTTTTTTCTCAGGTTGCAGCTAATCCATAGATCTAGACTAACTGCATGATAAATTTTAGTCCTAGCATGTTCAAACGATAGATCTCTTAATAATGAGAAACACATCTGTCACACAATCTGCACTGAATCAAATGTTTAGCAGAGCCATGTGAGGCTTCCCCTAACTCACTGTTCATTGGCACTTTCTAAGAGAGAAAGATTTGCTAGATAATTGAAACAAATTCACCACTTGAGGAAGTATCTGGCATTACGTGACATCCCAGGAAAGAGAAAAGTGGTTCTTCTTTTTTGACCCTGTCTCTGTCTCCCACCACACAACCTGGTGACAATTACTCAGTTGCAATTAATTCTTGCTTCTACTGAGAATGTTGCAAAAAGATAGTAGGGCTACAGAGAATGAGGAGATTGTGTCTGTATTTATATTTGAATGAATAATTACAAAATGACATGGAGAACCTGGTCCAAAAACTTTTTTCTTGTCACTACTGATCAAATTGGTGAGTACTCTGAATATTTAGAATAGTGTTGAAAACACAGTATCTGCAAACCGTGGCATTTGAAGATCATAGCCATCCTTCCCTCTGTTTTACCTGACACCTCTCAGTTCTCTCTTGCTATTCCATAGCTAAAAAGGATTTATCATTTTCCTTAAATCCATCTCTGTGTTTTCAGCTTTGGAGGTGGATGTGGGAGGAAGGGAGCAGGAGGGTGGTGTTTTCTTTTTGCCTCAGACGACACATTAAAGCCATTTTTAAAACACTAAAGAAAAGTAATGGCCTTGTATGCCATTTTATTTTATTGACAATAATGGCATGATGGCAGTTTACGGGAAGTTTATACCTGTTTAGACTGAGATTTATTTAAACACTGTCAATTTAGAAACAATCTAGTAACTAGTAACATAAGTTATTTAAGTTATCACATAGTTGTAAAAATCACCTGAAATTAATTAGTCCTTGCTAACTATTATTACTTTGATGTGTTACTTTCCAGACATTTTTCCTATGATTTAAGAAAGTAACTCACAACTCACAATATGTAGAGAATTCCAAAGCTTGCTCTTCTTCACCAAGCAGTATATTATAAATGTCCTGCCTCCTCTGAAAATATGAATTTATATCAAATATATTTGATTTATAAAAAATATATTTATATTAAAGTCTTTATATCAAATACAATTCAGTGAATCCTCTATTGTTGGATAACTATGTTGTTCACTGCGTGAGATACATATATGTATATATATATATAAATGATATATATAAATGATATATATAATGTGTGATATATTTACATATCACACACAGAGATGCTTTTTCAAAAAATATGTTTTTTACAAAATATTAATCTGCATATTTTCTAGAAAATAATTTTTGGTGCTATTTTTTAATTATATTATCTAACTAGTAATACTAGTAACTTCCATATTTTGCATATTTCATAGTTAAAATGGTTGCTATCTTTTTGTTAAACGAACAGTTATACCCAGATCATCTTGTGGTGTCAAAAAAGTAAGAACGTGCTTTAAAGAAAAGAAAGGGCTCAAAAAAAGTAGGGGCATACTGAAAACATATAGGGGTCCTTCTGAAAGAGATCCCAATGACCAAATTTGGAATAACTTGATCAACAAGATAAATAATAATAGAAGTAAAAAAAATCACCATTAGATCACCACTGTAATAACTGCCATAGGCTAGATCCTCCGATGGGAGTCAAATTAGCAAAAATTTAGGAGGCAGAATTAGTGGGCAGAAATGTGATATCCTCTAGCAAATACTTTGTGAAGTATACAGAAGAATGTATCCCCGCCAAAATGTCCATGTTCTCATCTGCCAAAACTCTATGTTATTTTATATACTCTACAAAATAAACAATCAGTACTCTTTGAAAACATCCGGGCTGTGTAAGTCAGAGAACCCTCCCAGACTGGAGGACACAAAGAAGACACAAAGAAACTAAGTTTGATATGGGATCCTGGGATGGATTCTGGAACAGAAAAAGGGCATTCATTAAAAATCCAATGAAATCTTAAAAAAAAAAAGACTATACATTTGTGAATTTAGTATTGTACAATAGTTAATTTCGTAGCTTTGATAAATATTCTGTGGCTATGTAAGACTTTTACATAAAGGAAAGCTGGGTAGAGGGCATACGGGCACTCTCTCTTTTGCAAGTCTTTTAAAAGTCTAACATGTCAAAATATACACACATATATATTTATACACACAGATAATAAAATGTCTCAGGAATAGTATATCAAAATTGAACTCAAATGAACATTACTTTCTGAAACTCTCTGGAGAAAGTAGCCTTTAAATTACACTTCAGTGAAAAATATCCTAACACTCCTTGACATTCCTGAACAGAAAACAATTTACTTCCTGTTCCTAGAAGATTATAGCCTCAGTGGCTTTTCTCTGTGTGCGCGTGTGTGCGTGCTTAATATTTCCTTTACTCCTAGACATTTAACTGACATCATAATCACTGGTTCCCAAAGGTCTTCTGTTAGAAAGCATTCTTGGGATTTGATGGTAATGGATGCTATTATTTTGTGCATTTAGGTAACTGTTTGTACATGTATCTCCTACTGAAATTAAATGAGGGTGTATGTATCTGATTTCATTTTATTGTCTGGATCGATGTGTGCACTAATATTTAAAACCTGTTTTACCAGATAGTGCTAAAAATGAATATCTCCAAATCTGAAGTTTGTAATGTGAATATCAAACTTGGTGCAGCCTCTCCCAATAAGACATTAACATTGAACCACATTTTTCAAGGACAAGGATTTCACAAATTTACAGAAATACACCAGGGATTATGGAGACTTATCAGATAAGCTAAATTTAAATTGCCTGATAACTTTAAATGAGAAATTCTTTTTGAAGGTCTACCTTGGGAGCTGCTCCAATTCCCATCCCACTTGGGCTACTTCTTTACTGGATTTCCCCTATCTACCTTCCTTTTCATCATCCCCCACCTTTCTCTCCACACTTCAGATTGCCTTCTCCTGCAACGTACCAACACAAGATGCCTTTTCCATATCTCTATCCTTTAGAGTTAGAAAAATAAAAACTATGAGATTATGGATGGTTGTTTGCTTTGGATTATCCATAGCTAGGCAATGGGAGGGTAGGTGGAGAATGAGAACTTCTATCTTAGTCTATGAAATCAGTATTTTTCTTATGGAAAAGAGAAACATGAAGAGATCAGTTACCTATGTCACATAGATATGTATTGCTCCTGTGTAAGACTCTCTAGCTCCACTCTGAATTAACTAAATAATATACAATCCATGTCACATCTAGAATTTCACTGTTTGCTTAAATAATAATCAGAATCACAAGTAATAATCAGAATAACCATCCTCATAATTGTATGTGCCAAGGAATGATGCACTTCTAATATACAAATGAGTATAAGGGATATAGTTCTGACACACATGAGAAGATGTTGGTGGAGTATTACAAAGAGTGCTGAATTCAGTCACTCTGAACCTCAATTAAATATGCTCTTAAAACTTTTTTTTTTTTTTTGAGACAGAATCTCACCCAGGTTTAGGGCAGTGGCGTGATCATGGTTCACTGTAGCCTGCATCTCCCAGGCTCAAATCCTCTTCCCACATCAGCCTCCCAAATGGCTGGAACCACAGGCACAAACCATCACACCAGCTAATTTTTAAAATTTTTTTGTAGAGACGACGGTTTCTCCATGTTACCCAGACTGGTCTCAAACTCCTATACTCAAGCAATCCACATGTCTGGGCATCCCAAAGTGCTGGGATTATAGGTGTGAGCTACCGTGCCCAGCTGCTCTTAAAAATTAAATGAGGATTAAGGCCAGGCATGGTGGCTCATGCCTATAATCCTAGCACTTTGGGAGGCCGAGGCAGGTGGATCACCTGAGGTCAGAAGTTCGAGACCAGCCTGGCCAACATGGTGAAACCCTGTTTCCACTAAAAATACAAAAATTAGCCAGGTATGGTGGCTCACGCCTGTAATTCCAAGCTACTTGGGAGGCTGAGGCAGGGGAATCGCCTGAACCCGGGAGGCAGAGGTTGCAGTGAGCCGAGATTATGCCACTGCACTTCAGCCTGGGTGACAGAACGAGACTTAGTCTCAAAAATAAAGTAAAATAAAATAAAATAAAATAAATAGTTAAATAAAATAAACAGTGTGTTAGTTCTCAGAACACTGACATATCTTTTGACTTTAACAATCTTAGTCACTAGAAAAATTCAGTAGGAAATAATATATTAAGTTCTATCACATGATTCTTAAAAAGCTACATAAGTAAGAAAATAAAGCATCCTAATACATGAAGAATACATACTAAATTTCAGTTTCCATCTAATTACCATATTGAAATTAAAGAGTACACACACACACACACAGGCGTGGGGATAGGGGAAACTAAGTACAAATAAAGACTGACAATTAGTAGCTGTGTCATCTGGGCAAGTTAACACTTCTGAACTTCACTTTCCTCTTTTGTCAAATGAGTTGCTCTGATGATTAAATTAGGTGAACAGTGCGCGTAAAGCACCTAGTATCTGGTAGATGGATATCAGCATTAATAAAGGTTAGTTTCCCAGCTTTTACTAATAAGTATTGGGTATAGTTACTTAGTATGGAAGAGGAAAAAAGTTAACTCACAGAAGTGAATTACTTAGGAATTTAAAACATTTTGCAAATGCTTTTGACTTTTTAATTATTTTTATGACCAATAAGAAGAGTAATGAATTTCAAATTTAGCTCATGATACTATCAATGGGGATAAAATTTAATATATCATTATACAGATGTGTGACATGTTTAGAGTCCCTAGAATGAAAACAAGAAGAGAAAGCAAGGATTGTACATCTAAACACTGCAAAATAATTTGCCTAAGCATAAAAATATCTTCCACATACATAGAAGAGAAAACAACTGGTTATTTAATTATGGGTAGGAAAAAGGAAATTAATAATCGTTTAAGATTAACAGGTAAAATCTGTCGTCTGAATATCTATCTACCTATCTATCTATCATCTATCATCTATCTATTTAAAATCCATCTATTTATCGATCATATGTTTCTAGGGTTTCGAGTGTATAGAATCAGAATGTTAACTCTATACTTAGTCCTTAAAAGTGAGCTGACACAGAAGAGACATGTATTGTGGCTTTCATGTTGATGGCATTTGAAAAAAGGAACAAACATATTCTTCATGAAAAATTTCAGCTGATTATTTTTAACTTTATTTTTGCACTGTCACCAGCTCAGTCGATACCTACGAATAGGAAAGGAGTTAGAGAAAGAAGGATGGCAAAAATAGATATCATGAAAATTATAATGTAAAAAGTTAAAAAACTTCAGACCTAATATTTGAATGATGGAAACAAAACTTTATTCAATGTAAATATACCTTTAATTTAAGCTTTTTCACTTGATCCTTGCTTTTAAATGGTTCTTAGCTTGAATTTCGGGAATATCCTGGCAGTTCTCTCATTCTTTGGAAGACATGTTTGGTTAACTCATTTTCCTTTTGTTAACCTGGAAGCTGGAGGAGGCAGGAGGGGGTCAAGAGAGGTCTGCCACTCCTCTTTGGAGACAAGAGAGGTCTGCCACTCTTATTCACATTTGCCTTGCTAATTAAAACCTAAAGAAAAGCCCAGGACTTACTAGGAAAAAAAGTAATTGGGAAGTCAACATTAGCACTCATAGTTCCTTTTTAGTCTATGGAGAGTTTGCTCATGAATAAACTCAAATATTTAATGTATTGCTATTACAAACTACTGAGAATGCTTAACCAAGGAAGAGAGTAGAAAATTTATGAATTTGGAAATAAAAATCAGAAAATGCTGGCCTGGAAATTTATGAAACAAAACAGAGCATAAATGTCTATGCCATAGCACACTTCTATATTTTATAAAAGTGTCTTTTTAGTGGCATTTAAACTTCAAAGAATATTGTTAACTTTGTACAATACTTTATTACAGTCACCAAAAGTTCAAAATTGTCAAGCACATGATTTTTTTTAACTTGAAAAAAAATGAATTTAAAAGTCAACACAATTAGCAGATGATCTAACACCAAAGCAAACTAAACAAACTCAAAAAGAATGCATTCTTGTATTTTTTAAAAATTAAGAACATTTAGGAAGTATAATCTAGTTTTTGCAATGCGAGAGTTCTCTAATTCCATTACTATTATCCTGTTAGTAATAAACAGCTTTAGTCTTCATGAGAGGTTTCTTTTAAATTTGATTTTGTTTCCTCACATGCATCGGTTGTATATTGGTGTTCACTAGTAGTTCAGTGATCTACTAGGGATAATTACAACTCTATTTATGCAACATTATACAAAATAAATATTTTCCCTGAATATCAACACAGTATGGTTGTACTTTTTTGTCCTTAAATAACAGACTCAAAGCATTTGCAGCACGATTTTGCTTTTGTTTTTGTTTGTTTTGCTTTTCAGCTGGTCCACATATTAAAGGATGGAAGTTACAGAAATGTGTCCCACTGTCCATCTTTTTCTGAAAACATGAACCATAGTGTTCAAACTTTGTTTTGTTTGACCATCTGTGATGCCAGCCAAAGAAGGCAGGATTCTTCCCCACAATTTGCAATTTAGTTTGTTCTGTTTTGTTTTTTCTTGGCTGATTGACTTACCTAAATTAAATGCCTCATGAAACGAGCTTTTAATCTTTGACTCCCTTTGAATAACATCATTTGAAAATGTAAAAAACATTTCAGGTAGACGTAAGTAGAGACCCCAGAGTGAAATTCTCCAGATACGTTACATCAAACTGACCCAGAGAGTAGGTTCCTAGATTATATTAGGGGTTATTGATTGACCAGGTAAAATGTAACATTTTGACATAATATGTGTGTTTTACTCTCTGGAAAGAACAGCGGCACTCTTCCTATCGTATTCTCAGCTCTGAAGTCTATTTGCTGTACTATATTTCTCAGGTTTTATGCTTGAAATAGGCATGTTTTCTTTGTATATAAATGAATGTAAAATAACAAGAATCAAAATGGTCCTCTGAAAGGGTGCACCATTTGTGTTTGCTCTTCCTGATAGAGGAAATACAGTTTGTGCTACGATGCTTTATTATTATTATTATTAACTTACTCTTTTTCTCTCTCTTTATTGCTTTCTTTTAGATATTGCTTTTGAATCTAAGGAAAATGGGAGTCCTTATAAAAACTTAGTGTCTGATTTTAACAACAGTAAGGGCCTTTTTCACCAGTCAAGGTCTGTAATACCTATGGCTTCATGAGAAAAGGATTACAGTGAGAAAAGGAGTCCTACAGTGCTCAGAGCTTTGCAAGCAATTGAGCCCATCTGGCCACATGTGTCCATTTTCATCAGCTCCAAATTTTAGAATTTGTGTTTTATAGCACCAAGAAGAAAATGGCAACACATACTTGGATAACTTCTTTCTTCTCCTCTACTTCCTTCTTCTCTTTTCTTTTTGCTTTTGCTATCTTCAAGTTAATTAAAAGACCTTTTATATTAAATTGGTATGTAAGATTTTCCCAAATAAAGAATTTATTGGAATTACAACAGATACTGCTGTTTCCAAAATAGAAGACCAGGAAAGATATTAGATATAGTCTATCTCATTCCTTCCACATTTGAATTCTTTATCCTTCATCTTTATCTTGTGACGTGAGTGTGTTACTATGCCAGAATTATTTCTGAAGAGATTGATGTCAGTTGGTGTCTTGTCAGTTATTACAGTTAAATTGAGTAACTTTCAATTTACAATCACTATTCTGAAAGTAATTTTTTTAATTAGCTAAAAATATTAAGCTACCATATGCATTGTATGTGTGTATATATGTATGCATGCATGCATGTATTGTGCATATTCCTTCCATCCAAACCCCACACTGGCATAATTTACCCACTAATCCTTATTATAAAGTTGACAATCGTTTTAATTACTTGGATCATTTTTAGTACTAGCTTTTATTCACACTACAAGGCTTATATCTTGTTACCTTTTAATTTTTGGATTATTCTTGTTTGTATTTGGTTATACCACATATTTCCTTGAAGAAATTTCAACCTTTGATAAGTATGACTACCTCAATAAAAAGACCTCTCCAATTAGCTCACAAGAAAAATGGTCCACTTAGAAAAATATTTTATCCCCCATTGAATTATCAAACCAGTTCCACAATTATCAACTTAAATATGAATATGCAGTATATTTATAACAATAATAATATATTGTATATATTCAGAGATATAGTATATTTTCTTTACATGATTTTAACACAAATTAATTAAACAAATTTAGCTAATGCTAGAATTATAGCTGGCATATGTAAATAAGCAGCAAACCTGTATAAGAAATGTATAAGGAAAGGCCATTAGTAGTGTAGTTAAAAATACAAGAGTACTAAACATAATAAATCAAGTTTATTATTATGTGCTAAGATGTGTTCTGTAAAGGAAGGCTACTGTAAGAAATATTTTATACATTTTTCTCATGATTACTTGACACATATTTAAAGATTTCGAGCATCTTACTTTCTTTGGGTCATGGCCTATGACTTCTCATGGGTCAATCAGCCTACAATAAATATCATTAGGTATTTCAATAACTAAATCTCTGATAGAACAAAAAAAAAAGCTTCCTTTTGTGAATTCTTCTTTCAAGTGTGCAGTATTGATAAAATGAGGACAGTCTGATTATGTCCCTGTGCCTCTGCATTTAGTATCACTTCAGTCTATAATCCTCCTTTCTTCTTGGTAGTCCTTTGCCATTCCCTTTATAAATATTCATTTATACCATGGAAGTATCAACTTAAAATCTAGTTCAACCACTGGCAGATGGATAACTGATATAACAGTGTGAAGTGAATGACTTGCTCAGAGTTGTGCTTCTTAAAAATAACTCAAAATTATTTAGTTTCGTCTGAATACTCTTTAAATTTAACCTCCATTTAATCTGTCTTTAATCCTTTTCTAATCTACAATCTCTCTATATGGCAAGAACTGAAAAGTATTCCACTTTTTGTCACCAGAATTCATAGAGTACTTATAGTAGTATCAACAGTGTTTACTGAACAAATAAACCCTTTCCAATGAGCTGACCTTCTTAACAGAATTTCTGACCTAATGTTCTTCTTGTTCCCTTAGACCTGGGTTCTATTTCTCTCATACCAGTTAGATATAATGCTTGGAAAATGAAGTAAGGAAGTAAATTGCAATAAGATGCTAGCAAGTGATGTCTGAATATGTCATTCTCATTAAAACCATGTGCTATGGTCTGGATGTTTGAGTCCCCCCAAAATTTATATGTTGAAATTCTAACTCTCAGTTTGACAAGGGGTGGGGCTTCTGTAAGGTGATTTGGTCATGAGGTTGGATCCCCGATAAATGGAATTAGGACCTTCATAAAATAGGCTCAAGGTAGCTTGTTTGCTACTTCCACTAAGTGAGGACATAGTAAGAAGCCATCATCTAGGAATCAGAAAGTGGGTACTACCACAGCCTGAACTTTCAGCACCTTGATCTTGGACTTCACAGCCTCCAGAACTTTAAGAAATAAATTTGGGCTGGGCGTGGTGGCTCGCACCTGTAATCCCAGCATTTTGGGAGGCCAAGGCGGGCAGATCATTTGAGGTCAGGAGTTCGAGATCAGCCTGGCCACCATGGTGAAACCCCATGTGCACCAAAAATACAAAAATTAGCTGGGTGTGGTGGCACGCACCTGTAATCCCAGTGTAATCCTCAACTCGGGAGGTTGAGGCAGGAGAATCATTTGAACCTGGGAGGTAGAGGTTGCAGAGAGCCGAGATCATGCCACTGTTCTCCAGCCTGGGCGACACAGCAAGACTCCATCTCAAAGAAATAAAAAATTAAAAAATTAAAAAGTACCCTAATTTTTATAGCAGCCCAAACAAACTAAGATAGAAAATTTGTACTCGTCCAGGTGCAGTGGCTCACACCTATAATCCCAGCAGTTTGGGAGGTCCAGCAGGAGGACTACATGAGCCCAGGAGTTTGAGGCCAGCCTGGGCAATATAGCAAGAACCCACTTCTATAAAAAATTTAGAAATATGCCTGGCATGGTAATGTGCACCTGTAGTCCCAGCTACTCAGGAGGCAGAGGTGAGAGGATTGCTTGAGCTCCAAGGAGGCCAAGGCTGCAGTGAGTGATGGTGCCACTGCAGTCCATCCTGGGTGACAGAGAAAGATCCTCTCTCAAAAATAAAAAGAAGGAAAATTGGTACCAGAAGGAGTGAGGTGATATTGTAACAAGTAACTAAAAATGTGGAAGCAGCTTCAGAATTGGGTAAAGGGTAGAGGCTGAAAAAGTTTTGAGGTGCATGCTAGAAAAAGCCTACATTGCTGTGAGAGGACCATTCAGGGTGATTCTGGTTAGAGCTCAGAAAGAAAAGAGGAGAGCTGTAGTAGATAAAGCCACCATCAACTCAAAGAACATATGAGTAATCCTGGAGAGAATGTTGGTCGAAGTATAGATGGTAAAAGCTATTGTTATGAGGTCTCAGGTGGAGATGAAGAATATGTTACTGGAAACTTGAGGAAAGGTGATCCTTGTCATAAAGTGGCAAATAATTTGGCTGAATTGTGTTTGTGTCCTAGTGTTTTATGGAAGGTAGAATTTGTGAGTGACAAAGTAGAATGTTTGAAGAAATTTCCAGCAAAATGTTGAGTGTGTGGTTTGGCTTCGCTTGAATGCTTCTAGCAAAATGTGAAAAAGGGAAATTATTTAAAGACAGAATTTTTAATCAAAAGGGAAACAAGTTTAAAATTAGGAAAATTCTCAACTTATTTATATAGAAAAGAATGAGAAAGCACAGATAAGATTAATACGAATGTGCCATCTCAACAGAAGCCAAGAGTTACTCATCAAGACAATGAGACCTCATCACAATAGCTTTTATCATCCATGCTTCTACCAGCATTCTCTTCAAGATTACCTATATGTTTTCTGAGATGATGGTGGCTTACTCTACAGCTCTCCTCTCTTCCTTCTGACCTCCAAAGGACATTTCAGAGATTATGCCCTTTCCATTACAAACCCAGAGTGCAAGTGCATGGGGAGGGTGGGAGCAGAATGATTTCATGGTTTTGTTCACTGTACTCTGGCATAGTGCTCTTTAGCCACCTCAGATTTTGCTCCAGTAGGCCAAGGTGGGGGCACAGGATGCAGAAGCTCTCTCCAGAGGGCACAGGTGGTGAACCTTGCATAGTGCCATCTCTCCTGGTGCAGCTCATGCGTGTGCTCTGAGAGTGTACCTACCTCCACCTAGATTTCAAAGAATAGAGTCACTTGGAGCCTCACTCAGAGGGCCATCCCAAGGGCAGGGCCACTTCAAGAGTCCCCACTAGGGCAGTGCCTAGTGGAGTCATGGGGATGTGGGCACTTTTGTGACTCTGGACCAGCAGGGTAGCCTTCATGTGATTCTAGCCTGGAAGAGCAACATGTCCCTAACTACAACCCATTAGAGCTTCAGAAATGGCTGTGGGGGCAGGACTACAAGCAATGTTGGAGGTTCTCCTTGCTTTAGTCTGTCTGGGAGACTGGATATCAAGTCAAAGAAGATTATTCTTGAAAATTAAGGTTTTGGACTCACTCAGGACCTGTAATCCCTTACATCTTTCCTATTTCTTTTTCTTTTTTGGAAGAGGAATATCTATGCTATTCCTGTTTCACTGTTGTATCATGGAAATGCATAACATGTTTGATTTCACACATTCACAGCTACAGATCAATTTCCCTCAGGATGAAGTATACCTTTCGTCTCATCCATATCTGATTTAAATGATATTTAGATGAGACTCTAAACTTAGGTTTGTGAGTTGACGCTAGATAAAATGAAGACTTTGGGGGCTACTGAGATGGAATTACTGTATTTTGCATGTGAAAAAGTCACAAATTTGGGCAGGTGGGAGATGGAATAGTATGATCTGAATATTTGTGTAACCCCCAAAATTCATACCTCGAAATCCTAAACATGAAGGTGATAGTATTTACAGATTGCCCTTTAACAGATGACGAAGTCATGCAGGTGGAGTCCTCATGATTCGCATTAGCACCCTTATAAAAGAGGCCCCAGAGAGGTCCCTCAATCCTCCCACCATGTGAGGATGCAGCAGGAAGACGGCAGTCTGCAGCCTGGAGGAGGCCCTCACTAGAAACCATGCTAGCCCCTTCATCTCAAACTTCCAGCCTCCAGAAGTGCGAGAAATAAATTGTTGTTCTTTATAAATAACCCAATCTTTGGATATTTAGTCATATACCTTGTGTGTATTCTGTTAAGGTTTATACAAAAATTCTCTTGGGGTTAGCAGGACTGCAGATAGTAATATACTATGTTTTTTTTCCTATATACACATACTATAATAAAGTTTAATTTATAAATCAGGCACAGTAAGAGATTAACAATAATAGTAATAAAATAGAACAATTATAACTATATACTGAAATAAAACTTACATGAATGTGATCTCTCCCTCTCTAAATATTTTATCCTACTCTGCCATGGGTTTCTGAAGCCATAGAAAGTGAAACAACCTATAAGGGGGGTACTTGTGAATATGTGTAGATATCCAAAGTATATGTAAAACATATTTTAAACAAGATAGGATGATTAAAGTTGGTTAAATTATAGAATATTGCTAGTGTTTATTGTCTGAGACTATGAGGCAAAGATAGGTTGCTGAGTTTGTCATTCATGAAATATCTCTATTGATTAATCCATGTTTCTTCTTTATATGTTAGCAACCAAAATTATATCTGGTACAAAAGGGTTACTGATATAGAAATTACTCTGCATCTGGATCCAGTTTTGTTCCTCCAATTAAGATTTTTCCAAAGAGTCTTCATCACATCAGAATAGTAACATTAGTTTATTGGTGTTAAAGGAAATGGGTGAACTAAACAACCTGATGATGGAAGATACTCAAATTTATATTAAATATATATAATGATTTACATTTTCACTATTAAGATTGTTTGAACAGAAATGAATCTTTGTTTTTTATTTGCAATAGAATTATATCTAAATCTTTACAGTGTTAGTAAAAATGATGATTACATTAATTTTAAGAATTTTTTGCTTGCTTTTGTCTTTCTTTAAATATCTGTTTTATTACATCTAAATTTTTGTTGGGTTCTTGGTGACATGGTATAAATTTAAATCAGGAGAAAACATCACAAATCTCAACAATGATCAAATGTTCAACATAGTAGTGATATATACAGTAAAATATGAATCAAGGAAAGTAACTTCAAAGACCTCAACCTTGGCAGGTTTCAGATCCACAAGTACAATGTATGTTAGCATTTTTGTAGAGCTCTGGAAACTCAACATTAATTTTTAGTTTTTACTTAAACTAATTAATCAGCAAGTGCTTAATCTCATACTATTTCCCTTTTCTTATCTATCTATATCGCAAGAAATTCATTTTTAGATACTCATTTGTAATTTAGCAAAGGCTATTATTCTTTCCATTAATAGTCAACATTTACTGAGCACTTTGGCATATACTAGCTATATTTTATGAATTATATAGTTTATTTTTCATAACTAGTTGATGAAGTGGTCATTTGTTATCTCATACTGTAATAAAATACTCAATCGTAGAAAGATTAAGTTATTAGGCCAAAGCCATACAACCGGTAAGCATGGCTCTTGGGTTATAACAAGGTGCTGCTTATTTCTAGTCAGTGCTCTTATCTGCAATGTTCATGGACATTATGGAAATAAAAGTTGCATTTGGGATAAGTAGCTGGATAATAGTCTAGGGCTATAACTCAATTTCACAGCAGAGTTTTTCCACTGTATCTCACTAGGACTTCATATGTCCCTTAATTCCTGAGTGACATTATATCTCTTTCATTCTCTTGGCCCTTAAGAAAAGCTAGTTATCATTTTATAAATGTGATCTTCTTCTGAATAGACTCTCACATCCTAGAAAGCCTGCATCTGGTACTCTTCTTTCCTTGGAACTTAAAAGAGCCTGAGACATAGGCACTGTGTAGTTTTAATGATATTCATAACAGAATTGAAGGTTGATTTCTGTTCCTCTAATTCTAATAAATTTCTAACCATGCTGTTGCCATGGCTGATTAGCTAACTCACTCTATTCCCTTGTTTTCATAACGTCCTTTTGTAATTTATGTTTCATTGTATATAGAACATGTCACTTGGTGTTTAATCCCAATGAGGGATTAAACAAATGTCCAGTCCCAAAAAGCTGAAAAGTGTCTTTGTTTTCTCAAAGTAAAAAAAAAAAAACCAAAAACTATTACTTATAATAAATATAGCATCAAGAGGGAGAGGGATGGCCAGTCTTTTTGTTATATAGATATTTACCTTGAAAATGTCCATTTCAGACATTTTAACCAGAATAGTAATCTGCGTTTGACTCTTTCCAATTATTTAGCAAAACAAGATTTGAAATTATTCCCTTAGAGGATTCTTGAAGACCCAGGCAATGCCTTTAGTTACTTTTTTCTTCCCCTTTTTCATGTTACTTCTTTCTTTCCCACTGCCCTTCCCCTTAAAAACAGAGACCCATTTTTAGAAACTCAAACACCTAATGCAATGCATGAGACATAGAATAGAGACTTAGTAATTTTCTTGGCTTCATTTTATTAAAGGACATGCTCTTAACTTCAGCAATTAACCAAGTACAGGTTCCAGCCTATATACGAGTAATTAAAGCATGTGCTTTCCTTGATGTCTAATGTTTACTTCCAGTCAAATATTTTGCAGCCTGGTTAAAACTTTTGTCACTTTATAGATATTTAATAATGATAGGCCAGGTTTAATGTCAGTTTGAAATACTGAAATATGGCTCAAATATTAATTAGCCTGATGGAATGATTTTATTCACATGGAATTAAAAGGGTTAGCAATATACACTTTTCTAGACTAGAGCAAAAATGGTCCTGAAAAAACAAAATGAAATTTTGATGAGATTTTGATAGTTTTCAAAAGCACATTAATAAATCTCTGAGATACATCCATTTCCTTTATTTGTAATATATTCAGCCTTCAGTTAGAGTGTGGATTAAATTTGACTTCTGATTAAGGATGAATGCAAAACTGTTTAGCTCAAAGGCCCTTTTCTGAGACTCTCACCTTGAAATTGCATGGGCAACATGTGGTTTGTGTGTGTACCTCAATAGCATCTGAAAACCATGAGGCTCTTTCCCAAGGAAATGAAGCTGATGTTGGTGATAGCCTGGAGCATTTCTTTCATTCCAGCCTCTCCCTCCCTCTGTAAATCTACTGTCAAAATAATTTATTTTGTCACAGAATTTATACATTATCTGTAATCTACAACATTTCAAAAGTATTTTTGCAACTTGAAATATTTTCAGCAGGACACAGTAGCTCATGCCTGTAATCCCAACACTTTGGGAGGCCAAGGCTAGAGGATTGCTTGAAGCCAGGATTTCGAGACCCACCTGGGCAAAATAGTGAGACTTCATCTCTACAAAAATTAAAAACATTAGTTGGGTGTTGTGGCATGCGCCTGTATTCCCATCTACTAGGGAGGCTGAGGAGGGAGGATTGCTTGAGCCCAGGAGAAGTTGGAGGCTGCAGTGAGCTGTGAGCACAGCTGCACTCTAGCTTGGGTGGCTGAACGAGACCCTATCTCTTGAAAAAAATAAAAGGAAATAATTTTTTTATTTCTGTTTTGTTTTTCTTCTAAATAGTTGTCTGCAGAGTTTCCTGTCTCAAGGTTTTTTGTTTGTTTGTTTGTTTGTTTTTTGCCTCACATTATTCATTCTTCTCCTTTCCCATGAAGATCGACAGACATTTTATATCAGGAAAACTGAAGACAGTTGTGAGTGTTTTGATGCCTACACTTTCCTTCTTCTTTCCAAAAAATATTACCAAACTAAATGGGTGCTAGACTTCACTGGGTTACTGACTGTGAGACTTTAGACAGGCTTCTTAACTGTGATTTTGTTTCCCAATTTGCAAGACAGCAGTACTCCTAGTAAGAGTGACTACTTTTCAATGTCTTTGTGAATTGTTAATATTTGCAAGAGTATCTGGCACATAGCACTCCATAGGAAGTCTTACGGGTCTTTGGGATTATATCAAATGATCTAATATGGCTAGGGCCCCTGTTCCAATATAGGAACGGATGCCTGATGATCCATTTTAGAATATGCATTGATAAGCAGAATTTGTGAATTTGACAGACCAGTAGAGCAGATGGCTGTGAGCTGCCTGCTTTACACATAGGTTAATGCTAACATTTTCCTTATGTGCTCCTTCATGCGCCTACTGCCAGTTAACATTTTTCATTTCCATATGCTTTATTTTCCTATCTTCTGGTCCTATATAACATTTTCAGCTTATAGTTGTAGTTTTTTGTTTCCCAAGGCCAACCGTTATGATCCTAGTGACGTAATAAAATTTAAATAATTGAGAGAAAAATATGGGTAAGCTTATACTTAATTATTTAAGGGAATACAAAGTTTGGCTACAGTCTCCCTATCTGGACAGTGACATAAATGGCCTTAGTTCTAGGCATGATAATTTGTCCAGAGTTTGAGGACATTCTAGAATGTTCAAACCCCACCACATTAGCCACTTATATACATGCCTTAGTTTTCTTTCCCTCTTTTAATATTATACTCTGTAGTGTACTCTGAAAGCTTGGGAGTTTTTTTGTTGTTGTTGTCTAACCACTAACCCCTTCACACTGGATAGAAAAAAAAAGGACGTTTATGGTATTCCTATTATAATTATAAGGGGATCAATTCATATTATCTTGCCTTTCTTTTTGCAACCTACAAATCATCCTTTTCTGATTACTTCCATTTGCAGAAGAGATATACTTTTCCTCCCTCATAAACTGTGATGTACCTGTCTATAGGAAACAGATTAATTCTCCTACACTAAGCCAGTGGCCTGCCAAACACATTATGGTGAACTTTCAAGCCCTAGAAGACACAGATTCAATCCAGGGTTGAAAGCCTATTCAACAGACTAAAGTTGAATTAGAAAAGTATTTGAGAGTCTCAAATGTATGTGTCTTAGACATCTTTTATTTTCAATAACTAGCAGTGATTGATGAATAGTAGATACTTTATAAATACTTGTTAATTCGATTAGTAAAAAAGTAAATTTGATATTAGACCAATTTTGTTGAGCATAAAATACTTATCAAGTTTAATTTAGAGAGAACTTACGGTAAAAGCAATAGGCTGATTTACATAGAAAAATTAGGAATGTGGACATTTTGCAGTTATTTTTAGAATAATAAGCTTTGAAAAGTTGTTGTTCTCTGAAATGGCGTATTTTCTCTCTCTCTCTTCAGCCATGCATTTGATTCATTTACATGTTCAAAACTAGAAGAATATCTCAAATATCTCTTTTATGTAAGTGATTATAGTTGCTATGTCATTTGTTGTCTGAAATCACTTGTTATAAGTTTGTTACAAAGACAAACTTTAAGAAGAGTGAGGAAGTAAACCACAAGTATGTAAAAACAAAAAAACAAAAAGAAAACTGGCAAATACCAGGATCAAATTAGTACAATAAAAATTAAAGGAAAGGATATAAATGATTTCTTGGTTTCCTTAGATGACTTTTAACATGCTTGTTAAAATTTTCCAAGACTAGAAAAACAAAGTTATCACTACTTCATTTTTCTCTCACTCTCCCATATTTTATCATCCTCTTAAGTAAACTACAAGACACAAGGCTCATTCCAGGTTAATTATGCTTTTCTTGGTGCTAAATGGTTAAAGCCTTTAGTTCCAAAGATTAACTTATAGGCATGTCTTCTAACCAGTGGTTAGAATGCAAAACGGTCTTTGCTCTGATCCTGACAAGCTTCCTGTCTGAAGACAACAAATGGTAGTTGGCTCTTGTTAGTATGTGGACCAATTAGAAAAAGTTTTTAAAACAAAAATGAATCTCATAGCCTGTAATGATTGTGGTGCTTATTATGGAGCAGAAATCAGTTATCGTACATACTTCACAGACTTTAAAGTTTTTTGCACTTTACTCCTCAGTGATATGTGAACATGGTGTCACTGCTCACGTTTTTTTCTTATTGAATTGGTCCACGCTGTTTCTTTAGAATGCTCCAACCCACAAAGCGGGGGACGTAAATTAAAATCCAAGAAGCAATATTACAAATTGACTGTCTTTCTGCTGATGATTATACCGTATTCATGAGGTTTTCTTTCTTAAAAAAAATCAAAATAATATGAACGTGACTTTAACCTCTAAGTGTCATCTGGGTGGTTTGAAGTGATACAGCTTCTGAGGGAAGTGGCCTGAAGGACCTCTGCTGTGTCATAAAAGATAACTCTTCTTAGAAAACTGAACTGTACCTACAGTACTGATTAGAAATAGGGATGGCAGCATGTAGCTTTTTATTAGGCTCACCTGAAAATACACAGTTGCTTTTCTTAGAGTTCAATTTGCAGTCTAGAAGAAAAGAAAGAGTAAACAGATGATTTCAGACAAGTGTGATGAATGTTTGATAATAGTGTGATATATTTGTGATAATTAAGTGAAGCCATCTAGGAATGCTATGGTGGCTACCTAGGAAAAGAATCTCCGAAATTTTATATGTACATTTTTAAATTATTTAGAGAGCAGAGTCCCTTCCCATCACCTCCATCTTTAAAACCTTAGTTAAGTTCCCATTATCTTTTATGTGGTTTGGCGAAGTAACCTCAGAACAAATCTCTTGGCTTCTTCCCATAACGGGCTATGTTCAATACAGCAGCCACATTGGCTCTTGAAGCTTTTAAATCATATATTATTTGCTTTCTCTACATCTTCCAGTGTCTTCCCATTTCACTCATAGTAAAAGTTAAAGTTTCCAAGGGCCATGATCCAGTCCCCCCCGCCTTTCTGGTTTTATCGCCACATGCCGTCTTCCACCAATCCACTCCAGACACACAAGGCTTCTTGCTGTTCTTCAGAGATGCCTGTCTGCCTTGGAGTCTTTCCTCTCTCAGGTCCTTTTGCAGCCAAATTGAAAAGACTTCTTTCATGTGTCCACCTGGCTAACATTCTTACCTCCATCATGTCTTTTCTCAAATATTACCTTCTTGATAAGAGTCTCAATCTGGCCATACTATTTAATCCTCTATCTGCCCAGTCTCCTCAAGCAGGCATTCCTGACCCCTCTAACCTTACACTAATCTTACTTTTTTAAAAAGAGCACTTAATAATATCTCCTAATACTATCTAATTTAATTATTTTGCATTTAGAATTAGGTTTCTACTGATCTGAGGACAAATTACACAAATATAGAGGCAGCTTGGAGAAGAATAGACTTCCTAGCTTATTCAGAGTGTTGATAAAACTTTGTGGAGGTTTCATTGTCCTTGCTGATTTCCGGCTGATGGCCGCCCTTAGCGCTTAGAGTCCTTTCTCCATTTATTGCATGTGGATCCCTACATCTCAGAGCCAGCAATTGCTCATTAAATCTTTCTTAGGCATAAACTATCTCTGATTTCCCCCTCTGCCTCACCTCCTTTACACTTCCAGCGAGAGACAGTTGTCTACTTTTAAAAGATCATATGATTAGATTGAGCCTACCATGCTTATAAGAATAATCTCGGCTGGGCACGGTGGCTAACGCCTATAATCCCAGCACTTTGGGAGGCTGAGGCAGGTGGATCACAAGGTCAGTAGATAGAGACCATCCTGGCCAACATGGTGAAACCCTGTCTCTACTAAAAGTACAAAAATTAGCTGGGCATGGTGGCGCACATCTGTAGTCCCAGCTACTCAGGAGGCTGAGGCAGGAGAATTGCTTGAACCCGGGATGTGGAGGTTGCACTGAGCCAAGATTGTGCCACTGCACTCCAGCCTGGCAACAGAGCAAGATGCCACCAAAAAAAAAAAAAAAAAAAAGAATAATCTCCCTATTTTAAGGCTCACAACATTAATTATATCTACAAATTCCCTTGTGCCATGGAATACAATAGTCACAGGTTTTAGGGATTAGGGTAGGGACATCTCTGGGAAATCATTATTCTTCCTACTACATGTGTTATTTGTTATCTGTCTCCCCCTGTTAGAATGTAAGAAAGATTCCTGCAGTCAAGAATCTGCACCTGTTTTGTTTAACTAATGTATTCGGTGTCTGAAGGGAGGCCTTTTTAGCCAGTGGCTGCTCAATATACAGTATTAAATACAGGAATGAATAAACAAATAACTCTCATTTTCACTATAATATTAAGGTATTGCCCTATTGATTAACGATGAATCAGAAAAAAATAATTAACACATGGAAATTCTAACCTTACTTTGAATGTATATTTTAGGTTAAATCTGATTACATAAATGCATTCCCATATCCTTCTCTAAGAATACACAATATGAGAAAATCTACTAAAAGCCAAAGGACAAATTAAGAACCATATTTTCATGGATATAAATTGCTACCTTTGGTGACATTTGAAGATATCATGGAATTCTATAAAGAATTCACAAAGATTCCAGTTGAATAAAGGCAAAATATATGAATAAGCAAACAGAATAAAAAGTAAGATATCTAATAAAAATAATGATTACTGCATTATTAGTAAAATGACTGAAAATAAAACCAAAGAGTCCATTTTAAGCTTGAAAAGTAGTAAATAATTTGTAAATGATTATACTGAATGTAGATTAGGGTGCAATGAAATGGACATACATATACCACCAGTGGAAGTATAAACTGCTGCATTTTGGAAAGTGAAACAAAACAAAAAACAAAACAAAATACACCAGAATCTTAAATTAGCTCTTAGGTTTTAGCCTATAATGCACAATGGAGAAATCATGCCTAATGAAACAGAAACTTGGGCCAGAATTAATATGCACACCTATTCATTGCAACCTTAGAAGAAACTGGAAACAACCTACATAATGTTTTGATAAGGGAATGGATTGTATTTTACAAATAATACAATACCTTTTAGGAAATGAGAAAATATTCACAATATATTAAATGAAAAAAATGAATAAAAGTTCATACTGTACATAGCATAGTATATATTTCTATATTTGTACATCATATAATTAAGAAAAAACATCAAATTGTCAAACAGTGAGTGGCAGTCCCTAGAGAGTGAGGTTGTATATGATTTTTGTGTTCTTTCTAACTTTACAAAACTTTATAATTCTCTTCAGTAAGGATGCAGTGCTTTAATATTGAGGAGGAAATTATTTAAATCATTATGGGAGAATAAATATTATGTTCAACATAGGATGAAAGGCTGAGTCATTGAACCACACCTATTTCTATCAGTAGCCATTAAGTCCAAAGAATAGAGAAATGAAGAGGAAATAAGCCAATTACTACTTTAAATATTTCATGTCTCTTTCTGTCTATTCTTTCTGATTTATCCCTAGAAGAAGAGAAAATTAATAGGATGTAAATACTAGGATATGTCATGTTTTCTCTCTTTATCCCAACCCTTCCCTGGTAAATGCTGCTCCTCAGACTTTTATTTCGTTTCCAAATCTACTGCTATTTTAGTGTCTGCTTAATAAAGCATGCTAAATTTGTACCATAATTAAGTACATAGTTACCATATTGTCAGTCACTTGTACTACATTTAATAAACACTTGTCATAATTCAGAAATTTGTATTGTTTTTATAATTTTGTCATTTTAAAGGATGCTGGAATGAACTACTTAATTACATAGATTAGTTTGTGATTATCTCTCTGGGATAGATTTCTGACTTAACTGGAAAATTTTATTAGTTTTATTAAAATTTATTTCCAAATTTTTTTCCAAAATGAAATCTAATTTGCACGTCTACCAGCAGTGTGAGAGTATAACCTTTTACATATGTTAATTCTTACAACTAGGAACAACTCCTTTCTTGAATTAAACCACTTGCATAGTATTTCCACATAAAGAGATCAATTAATTTTCGTTTCTCTGGACCATTACCTAGGTTTAGACATTTATACTTTATAGGAATATTTTAGTTATACTGAAAATGATTGAAAAGCTTAAACTCAAATAATCCTTAAGGTTTTCAATTGTTTCTCTTTTATTCAAATATTAACTGTACAGGTGCTACTTACAATGTTGAGTCACGCATGAACATAAATAATGTTTTGGAAATGTTCTTTGTAGAGGTAAATCTTTTGATTAAATTTATATGATTGCTTCATGTGTCATTTATACTGTAGCAATTCAAGCACTTTAAATCTCCCTCTTACTGCCTTCATGCCCCAAGTGCTTGGAAGATTATGCAAAATTATGTGACAAAGGCACAGATTCTGAAAATAGAAACTGTAACTGTCAAAGTGATTTTGCATTTCATAATTCAAGAAAGGTATTTGGAAAGACTCTGAAATTGGACAAAGTATTGCACCTTCAAAGTCAAGTGTGTAGCTTTGTTTGGGGACTGATAGTTTCATTTTTTTCCACCAGCGAGGAATAGTAACATTGCTTAACATTACTACTCCCCTTATCTTCGAGAAACAGGCAAAACATAAAAGATATGTTGAGAAAGAGAAATGAATGATTAATTCTCAGATATTTTAAAAAGCACCATGTAACCATCTTTTTCATGGCTGAAGACTTTGTGGAATTTATATATATGACAGAATGGTACACTCTAGCAGTAATACATCAGAGTTTATATTCATCAGGAGAGAGCCAAGAGAAAAACATAAAATGAGGGTATGGCTTAAATTTTATTTAGAAATTCAATTAAGAACTGTAAGATGAAGGGCACATTATAGTTTCTTGATTTAAAAAGGATTTTAATTAATTACTTTGTACTTTTGATAAAGCCGCATAGAGCCATTCTTGTTATTAATCATTTTTACATAAGCATAATGCATATATTTATTAGACAAGAAATACATAGAAGAAAATACCTTTTGAGATATTGCTTAGAAAGCACCGATTAATTATTGCTATAAACATCATTCATTATTTCAGACTCCAAAACTTATAAATTACTTTTAATATTTATCGAAACTGAGCTGCAGTTTTTCATCATTGTTTTCATGGGTAAAGTCTTTATGATGCAAACAATCTAAGATACATTTAGGGGTAAGATGAGAAATTGTCTTTAAATACTTAAAAGATATCTGTCATAATCACTCCCTCAAAATAAGGCAAATAAACCAACAATCCTATTATAGCTTAAAAATGATAGGTAGGCTGGGCATGGTAGCTCACACCTGTAATCCCAGCAGTTTGGGAGGCCAAGGCGGGAGGATTGCTTGAGCCCAGGAGTTTGAGACCAACCTGAGCAACATAGTGAGACCCTATCTCCACAAAAAATAAAAACTTAGCAATATGTGGTGATGCACACCTATAGTCTCAGCTTCTTAGAAGACTGAGGTAAGAGAATCACTGGAGCCCAGGAGTTTGAGGTTCCCATGAGCCATGATCCCATCACTGCACTCCAGCATGGGCAACAGAGTGAGACCCTGTCTCAATTTTTTTTTTTTTAAACTTGGTATTGGCCCATTGCTGTGGCTCACGCCTATAACCCCAGCACTTTGGGAGCCCAAGGCAGGCGGATCACTTGAGGTCAGAAGTTCGAGACCAGCCTGGCCAACATGGTGAAACCCCATCTCTACTAAAAATACAAAAATCAGCTGGGCATGGCGGTGCAAGCCTGTAATCCCAGCTACTCAGGAGGCTGAGGCACGAGAGTCACTTGACCCCAGGAGGTGGAGGTTGCAGTGAGCTGAGATTGCATCACTGTACTCCAGCCTGGGTGAAAGAGCGAGACCCTGTCTTAAAAAAAAAAAAAGGTTGGTATTATAGAATAAATTTCTTTTCTCACCCATTGCTATGTTCATGGCTGATGACTCTCTATAACAAAATAAAGATTTAACAGGAGAAAAACATACAAATTTATTTAATATAAATTTTACGTGACACAGGAGCCTTCAGAAATGAAGACCCAAAGAAACAGGGAAACATGAATTTTTATGCTGAGTTTGATGAAGAGTGGACAATTGTGCAGCTGTATGGTGAGACAAGGGTATGTTCTATCAGGGAGGCCTTAGCAAAGCCCACTTTTTAGATACATCTCTGAGTCCCTGTATCTTCAGAGATAAGGACATCCCTTTTCTCTGGGTATAGAGTGGGCTTCAGAGGAAAATCAGATAATTTTTATGGCCTGTTTCATGGGAGAACAGAAGAAAGTTCAGGAGACCTTCCTTTTTTTGCTATTTTCTCAAATGCCAAGGTGCTGTATTTTGGCATAGCTTGTCCTGAACACCATCATTATGGAAAGCTAAAGCACGCAAATTCAAACTCCATTTGAACTGGTGATGGTGATGGTCATGGAAATGATGACAAACAGCAGGAAGAACTGTTAGCAAACTAAGAGTCATTCAAGTAGTAGAGGGTGAGGATATGAGTTGAGACAATGGCAGTGGAGATGGAGAGAGTAACTTGGCATTTGCCTGTGATTTGTCAGTTTAACGGACAGCACCTAGTGATCAGTTCATTGCAGGCAGAAAATAGAGAGGGAAAAATACAAGAAGACCGCAATATTGACCATGAATGTGATCATCCAACATTCATCTAGACAGCATAAAAGGGGAGTTTACAAAGAAGACTGATAAGGAATGGACAAGAGGAAAAAAATCTTATTTCCAGATTCCAGAATGGCAAATAAGAGAAGATTTTTAAGGAAGATGACAGTGTCAAATGCAGCAAAGATGTTAATTTGGTTAAGAAAAGAAAATGCCCAACTGAATGAGCAGGTAGGACATCTGGGACTTAACAAGAGTGCTTTTATAGGATTGGGGGAAATTAGACTAAGTTGATAAGTTGCTAGTGAATGCTGTTGGAAATGGAAAGTGGTGACTAGGAATAAGAGGAAAAGAAGGCCACTCAGCATGGACGCTAGAGAGAGAAAGTGTGGAGAGAAAGTCTGCTGTTTTTAACATGGGAAAGATCTTAAGAATGCTTTTGTGTTGAGGGAAACAAGAAAAGTCAAGAGGGAGAGATTATATACTGAAGAGAGTTAAGTGATGGTGCCAAATGCCTGAAGAGATGAAAAGGTGGAGAATTCACAGATAGGTGAGGAGGGAATAGTCCTTCACAGGACTACAAACTCTTTGTGAATGGAACAGAAGAGAAGGATTTTGAAAAATTAACTATAATACTTAATGGGTACATTTTTAATGTTAATGTGTGTGTGTGTGTTTGTGTGTTCCAGTATCCTCAGTTGTAATTTCCCTATTCCATGCAAATTTTAGGACAAAGATGAAACATACATGCATATGATATTTTGTAAACTACATAATGCTATACAAATGCAAAAATTTAAAAAAACACATTTTTAAAGAACAGTCTATGCTCTGCCTTCTCTTTTCTTCTTTTACATTCTCCTCTTCCACTACCTTTTCTACATCGTTCCAGCAACATTACAAAATACACATGCTTTGTAGGCTAGAAATGGAACTTCTGTATCATTTATAGCATTTCATTGGAAGGATAATGTATTCCTTAGTGAGCTGGAAATGTGGCACCTGAGGACAAGTTTAGCCTTCTGATTGTAGCAAATAAGACTCTGTTAGAGAATCATGGCTTTATGGCTTTTCTTTTCTCCTTTTGTCTCTCTCTCTCTTTTTTTTGCGGGGTGGGGGGGCGGGGGTTTCTGGGGTTTCTACCCTAGCATACACCAGTCATTAGTTTTTGAGTCTCCTAAATAAGGTTTGTGAAACATAGTAGTAACAATACCACTTGGTTTGCCAGTGTAACATTCTCCTGTTTTCCAAAAGCTCCTCGAGGTCTGAAATTCCACTTTTAATGCCTTTTAAAGATGTGCTAATACTACCTACACAGAGCTACGAATATAGGCATTGAGGAAAATTTAATTTGGTGAATGAGAAACAAACCGTGAAAGTCTTAAGTATTTCTCCTAGCCCACATAAGATAGACACCAATAAACTACACGCTTGTGCTAACTTTTGACCACAAAATGGAATTGTATTTTCATACTTTTAGATCCCATGTCCTAAAGCCAAAGCTTTACTTGTTACGAGGCATTTGAATATTGATAATTTACTGTCTCTCATCTGTCAACCCCTTGAGAATGACCGTATTAATTCTACTTCACAATGAAGCAATCTTACCACTCAATGGACATCATAATTTATCACTTAATTTACTCAGCAAAACTGTGCAATGACACTGGCTGGCATGGGGTTTCCATAAGAGAGCTTTCAGGTGATTGTGCTGGCGACATGGCCTCAGAAGATGTAGCATAGACTTCTGAGTGAATTGATCTGATTGAGTAGATAGACAGGATCACACAACAGCTGTAGGCTATGGGTTGGCCAGTAATTTGCTGCCAGGTAGCTTAGTACCAAACAGATCATCACCCAAACTCACAGTTTTATTTGATTTAATCATTCAGTGTTGATGTGCAAACATAACCAAACTATAACAGAATTTGTTGGTAAAAATTTAAGCCTTTTGGTGAGTACCTCATTTCTAAAGTTGATCATGCTGGTTGTACATAATTAGGCTACATTATCGCCCTTTTCTGGCAAGCAGAACAAAACATGGTTTTCTCTCCCCCTCCCCTTATTTCCCATGTAATAGCTCGGAATCTTAATCTTAAGGCATTCTAAGCTTTCAAAGTCTTTTTTAATTATACATTTTCCTGTCATCTTCCCTAAAGACACTTTTACTGTTTTCAAGGCTGGAATTCCGTTCTATTTTTTATCCCTATAATGCCTGTTGAAATAAATGGAGGTAAGAATTAATGATAAACTAAATAGATAAAAATAATGAGCAATTGTGTGATTATTGTTTTTGGTTGTTAATTTATCTACTTGATGTGTTTTTATTGAGATTCTACTGTTAATTAGACAAATGAAGCACCCAGAACAGTACTGGGGACATAAAGAAAAAAAAAATGCCGGCCGGGCACGGTGGCTCACGCCTGTAATCCCAGCACTTTAGGAGGCCGAGGTGAGCGGATCATGAGGTCAGGAGATCAAGACCATCCTGGCTAACACGGTGAAACCCCGTCTCTACTAAAAATACAAAAAATTAGCCGGGCGTGGTGGTGGGTGCCTGTAGTCCCAGCTACTTGGGAGGCTGAGGCAGGAGAATGGCGTGAACCCCGGGAGGCGGAGCTTGCAGTGAGCCGAGATCTTGCCATTGCACTCTAGCCTGGGTGACAGAGCAAGACTCCGTCTCAAAAAAAAAAAAAAAAGAAAAGAAAAGAAAAGAAAAAGAAAAAAAAAAAAGCCTTACCACTAAGGGTTTTTTTTTTGTTTGTTTGTTTCGAGACGGAGTCTTGCTTCGTCGCCCAGGTTGGAGTGCAGTGGCACGATCTCAGCTCACTGCAACCTACGCCTCCCAGGTTCAAGCGATTCTCCTGCCTCAGCCTCCTACCACTAAGGGTTTTAAGTCTTATGTGTTGTTTTTCTTCCAGCGTTTTGTTCATTGTTGGTGTCACTGATATAAATCCTACAAAGTATATTTTAATATTCACTAAACAAATGTAACTGGTAGATTTTAAATCGGAGCCAGATATAAATGCCTAAGTATAAGGGGATAGAGAGAACAGTCAAAATGTTTATTCTGTATAAATAGTAAGTAGAGGAAGATAAGTTGCAGAAAACAATAAAGAAAAAATAATAGTCATAAAAAGAAGGGAATTAAACATTGAATGTACAGTTTTGTGAGTTTGAGAGAGAATTCAAATGAAATGTTACCTTTGATAGCTTGGGACCATGAGTATACACATTGAAGAATAAAGATTTTGACATTAAATTGTGAAGGAAACAAGAAAAATCATAGTAAAGGAATATGCGTGCTGCAGTATAATTTCTCATAATAAATATATACTTTTAAATGTTCTGCACCTTGAATTTTTTTTCTGTTTATGATTGCTCTGTCAACAAGGTTATTTTTACCAGAACATTATGCATTCAAACTGGAAGAACATTGTCAGGGGAAAAAGGGAAGTAAATTGGAGGTAAGTGCTATTCTTATACCATATGTAAGCCTTTTAGGTGTCACTGCTTAATTATATATTCTCAGTGCCACACTCCAAGTGTACACTTGGATCCTCTTTACAGATACCTTCTCTGACCACATCAGCTGACCCATGGTGACTTTTCTTTCCTCTAAAATCCTAGAGCTTGTTATTTTTATATCCTAAATTTGATAATTACCATGCATTGTTATACAGCATTTTTTTAACAAAAAAACAGACATGATTTGTTTCGTGATTTTTTTGTAAACTCTTTAGGAAATCTTTAAAAAATCAATTATTGAGCATTCAGTGTTTGCTGGGCATTTCACTTTATTCTTATACGCATTTATTCAGTCTGCTCTAGCAGCTATAAATGTGTTATGTGTGCTCCTTAGAATTTAGCCACGATGCCATGCCATGCTATGCAGGGTGTTTTAGAATCTAATTCAGTCATATTAAAGGTCTTCTGAGGTTCCCGAAGAGATTGAAATAAATCTTCTTCTAAGATAATGAAGCAGCAGTAGCTAGTTATTTTGAGAATACAGAAGCAGATGTTGGACAATTATTCCTCATTCTCTCTTCCAACTATGCAAATAGATATTTCCTATTTCCAGTTTCTGTACCTGCTTTTCCCATTTTGCAATTTCTGTGGGTCCTTTATCTTCTCATCGTCAAGTAACTGGGGGACAATGAATTTCAATGTCAGACCCCTTCCTCGTCCTGTTCCTCCTCCTTTTTCTTTTGTTGTGGTGTTGTGGTATACTTCTTTAAGATGGATGCTTCCTTCTTTCTTATGTCTTATCTTTGACATTTCTCTTCTGTACATTCCCTTATTTGTTGCCTATGATATTTGCAAGTATCTTTCAATACCAAAATTTTTACCAAAAACCTGGTTTTCTTTCTTGGCTGGAGAGGAAATAACTTCTAGAGAGGCAGAGGGCTCATCAAATGAATACAAATAGAACCTAAGTATTTGTTGAAAGAGTAAGATTTGTTCTATAATGAAATCAAGTAAAGTTACTTATTGAGTACACAGGGTACAGGTAGATACAGTTGTGTATATATCAATTATTCTGTCCTCAGGCAATTTGAAATGTTTTTGAAGAAGCAACAAATACAATGCTAGAAATAGTTAAATACTAAATTGTATCTTACAAACTTTGTACTACATAGAGACTCAAAATCAAGAAAAGATGATATGAATATAAAGAACTAAGGGAAATAACTGAAAAGATGAAGTTTGTGCTACATATTAGGGAATTTTTAAAGCAGGATGGTGCCCTGAAATACATTAAATTGCATGAAATACAGCACCACAGAACCTGAGTTCAAGTCACACCTCTACTACTTAAACGTTGTGTGTCCATAGAAAAATCCTTTACATTCTCTCATCCTTGATTTTCTCATATGTAGCTGGAAATAATCATGATAGTTTAACAATAACTATCATTTATAAAGCCCTCATCAAATACCAGAAAATGTATAAATATATAGTTTCTATAATCCCCATAACAACCTCTCCAAAAAATAGTTTTTTCTTCATAGCGTAAAGTATAAAATGAGATGGAAGATGATTAAAACACTTACCTAAACTCTCACAGGCAAAAGTTAGTAGAGTTGGACTAGGACCCAGGTCTGCCTGGCTCAATACTGCTTCCTACAAGACTCTTGAGAGAATTAATGCAGATGAAACTGTAACTCTCAAAATAATATTGATTTCTATACTTCAGTATTTTTTGAGTTATAAGTAACCTGGGCATACAGTATTTAAGCTATAGTTCTATATCATGGAAAATGTGGGCTCAGGCAGTTAATTGAAGAGCCGTATAGTATCATGGTAGACTCTGAAGCCAAACCACTGTGGGTTTGATACCTGGACCAGACACCAATCATGTGACCTCAGTAGCGTCATTTCATTTTATGGTGCCTCAATTTATCTTCTGTAAAATTAGGTTAATAATGGTTCCATTCTCAAAGCGATGTTGTGAGGATAAAATGAAAATATATGAAAGTTCTTAAGACAGTGCCTGGTACATAGTAAGTGCTATGTAATTGTTAGTCACCAGATGTTTCTAATTCTTGAGGTATCTAAAAAGGTGAGGCAAATGCACTTGATAATTAGAACTTTACATTCTCTGTATTTTACCTCTCTTAATCTGGGTCTCTTCAACTAGCCCCTAAGGTTACCTCCTTGTATCCAGAATACAATTATATAGCATTTCTTTCTGAAGTATCTCTGTATGTGTGTTTACATGTATTTATATATAAATATCTCTATGTTTGCATGTATTCATATATGTGCTCATGTAATTTACATTTATAGAGATAATCTATTTATAAAGATACTTATCTATTGATCTATAAAGAAAAGAAAATGTCCAGATTTGCCTACGCTTTCTTTTATTTTGGCTTTTGAAAATTTCCTAGGTAATTCTTCCCTCATAATTCAATGTTAGGTCTTAGTTTTTTGGGGTTTGTTTGTTTGGGTTTTTTTTTGGTCATCTTTTTTTATGTTATAATTTAAGCTCTGGGATACACGTGCAGAACGTTCAGGTTTGTTACATAGGTATACATATGCCATGGTGGTTTGCTGCACCCATCAACCCATCATCCACATTAGGTATTTCTCCTAATGCTATCCCTCCCCTAGTCCCCACCCTCCGACAGGCCCCAGTGTGTCTTGTTACCCTCCCTGTGTTTATGTGTTCTCATTGTTCAACTCCCACTTATGAGTGAGAACATGTGGTGTTTGGTTTTCTGTCCTTGCAATAGTTTGCTCAGAATGATGGTTTCCAGCTTCATCCATGTCCTGCAAAGGACATAAACTCATCCTTTTTTTTGGCTGCATAGTATTCCATGGTGAATATGTGCCACATTTTCTTTATCCAGTCTGTCATTGATGGGCATTTGTGTTGGTTCCAAGTCTTTGCTATTGTGAACAGTGCTGCAATAAACATACGTGTGCATGTGTCTTTATAGTAGAATGATTTATAATCCTTTGGGATATACCCAGTAATGGGATTGCTGGGTTAAATGGTATTTCTGGTTCTAGATCCTTGAGGAATCGCCACACTGTCTTCCACAATGGTTGAACTAATTAACACTCCCAACAGTGTAAAAGCATTCTTATTTCTCCACATCCCCTCCAGCATCTGTTGTTTCCTAACTTTTTAAGGATCGCCATTCTAACCGGCATGAGATGGTATCTCATTGTGGTTTTGATTTGCATTTTTCTAATGACCAGTGATGATGAGCTGTTTTTCATATACTTGTTGGCCACATAAATGTCTTCTTTTGAGAAGTGTCTGTTCATATCCTTCACCCACATTTGGATGGGGTTGTTTTTTTCTTGTAAATTTATTTAAGTTCTTTGTAGATTCTGGATATTAACCCTTTGTCAGATGGATAGATTGCAAAAATTTTCTCCCATTCTGTAGGTTGCCTGTTCACTCTGATGATAGTTTCTTTTGTTGTGCAGAAGCTCTTCAGTTTAATTAGATCCCATTTGTCAATTTTGACTTTTGTTGCCCTTGCTTTTGGTGTTTCAGTCATGAAGTCTTTGCCCATGGCTATGTCCTGAATGGTATTGCCTAGGTTTTTTCTAGAGTCCTAATTTAAAAAAGAAAAAAGGGTTTTCATGGTTTTAGGTCTTCTAGGGTTTTTATGGTTTTAGGTCTTACATTTAAATCTTTAATCCATCCTGAGTTAATTGTTTTATCAGATAATACATATAGGAGTCTAGAAGTACAAATGTGACTATAATAATGAAAGCCTTCTGCATTACATAAGGTAGAACAGAAAAAAAATAAAATTCCTCAGCTTTGAAAATATGTTTATTAGGAAAAGTCTGTTTGTTCACTTAAAGTTACAGGCTAAGTTTGTTATTGAAAATTGATTTGTGCACTTGCCTCATGACTATTAGTGCACAGTCTACTATTTCTCCTCAATTTTACCCATTCCAACACTTATGAAACACATAGATTCTCTTGCTAGTCAGAAAATATGAAGACCTGGGTTTACTTTTTGTTTTTCATGCTTGCTACACACGAAAGTAAATATGAGAACCTGTGGCATAAATTGCTAGTTAAAAGAAAAATGGTCCTTTACTTCCTTTCTAACCTAACACATATTTAAACATTGTGAGTATTGTAACAAACTTAAACAAAATGGTGACTATACTGTTTTTATATATGAACATGATTTAAAAGTTATAATTATGTATGAATTCATTCTCAGCTCCTATACTTTATTAAGAAAAACCTACTAAATGTATATGTTTTGTCTGATAATATATCATAATTATTAATATGTTCATTGTCTATAATTCAGTCATGTTTATTTTCTAGGAATCATCATGTACATTTTTGATTGCCTTATAGTTTTCATTGTAACTCTCAAAAATCAAGTTCATATTGAATAACATCATTTTCCAATCACTAGGTATTTACTTTAGTAAATTATTTAAAAAACATTTTAAAAATTATTGCTTTCCAATACGTTTAATGTTATGTTTGGCACTTGCCATAAAGTCAGAAATTTAAGTATATTAAAGACGAAATATTGTATGTAGATATATATTATAATATGCCTCATCATATTTTTTATTCTGAGAAGAACACTGTGGGGAAGTAGATAAACATCAACACTCTGGGATATGACTACATATTGTGAACTTATTTTCAAAACTGGTATAAACTTTGAAAGTGTTCTTTTCATTCTGCATCAAGCTTTTTTCTTTTTTAAATTAGGACTCTAATTTGTTTAGGTGTGATATTATGTTGCAATATTTGAAAATCTAAGCGTATCAGAAATAGTTTTTTTGTTTCTGTTTTTTGAGCTGGCTTTTCACTCTTTGTCACCTGGGATGGAATGAAGTGGCACAATTATAGCTCACTGCATCCTCGAACTCCTGGGCTCAAACTGTCCTCCTGCCTCAGCCTCCTGAGTAACTGGGACCATAGGCATGAGGCCCCACTCCCAGATAATTTTTAAAATTTTTTTGCAGAGACGGGGGTCTCACTATGTTGACCAAGTTGTCTTGAACTCCTGCCCTCAAGTAATCTTCCCACCTCAGCCTCCCAGATTGCTGGGATTACAGGGATGAGTCACCACACCTGGCTAGACATAGTTTTAAATCTTTAATACATAACTTTATATTTGTTGTCAAAAATTATTCATTTTAAAACTTTCTAATAATTGTGGTTTTGAGTGTAATTCATGATCATAATATATTTTTGTTTTAATTTGACACTTTATGTTTAATCATGTGAATAAATCCACACATTTTAATAGTTATATAGTTATGAAATTCTCAAATTAAAATGTTACAATTTTAAAGAGACCAGTAACAAATATAGAGAGGCATGTATACTAGCATATATAAAGAGAAACATTAAGTCTTCTTTGTATTCTGTTTTAGATACATTCATTCAGAAAGCAATACAGTAGTCTCTCTGGCTTGTTTAAACTTAAGACTATTTTTTGCAGATAAAATCAAATAGCCACGCCTATATGATACTCTTTCTGATATGGTTAAATTGCTATCACAGTTGAGGTTAAGTTTAAGATGGTTTCTTAATGGTAAATATTGGGAGTCTAGGACCTTTTACACTAGGTTACAGATGCCTTCTTGCTGATTTACTGTGTTCTAAGTCAAGAAGCTTTGTTTCTGGTCCAGGCTTAAAAAACTATGTCTCCTTCAGTTGTTTATGCAAAACCTCAGTGGCTTAGTTCTTTTATTTTTTTAAGTGAAAATATTATTCTTTTGTGGATAGTTTAAAATTTCAAATGAATGAACAGATAAAAAAGCAATTAAAGGAATGCCACATGCTAACAAATGTGTAGCATTTTTATTATAAAAATTTTTTATTGTGATGTTATTTATATTCATGATGGTGGAAGTGATGAACTGGCATTTTCATTTCATAAGGGGAAAAAAGGGAGCCAGAATATGCAGGTTCACAAGCAATTTTGTATTTGGAGAACATGATTAAACAAACTTAATTGTCCTTCTTCTTCTGACTAAGCCACTGTCCAACCCAAACTTCCAGTGATCAGTTGTCCTGGTTTTGGTACCAAATGTTCGTTTATATTTATAGTCAAAATACAAGGTTTTCCAAGAAAACCTTAGGTTCCTGGTAAGCCAGTATGATTAGTCAAGTCACAAATACATTTCCTCATTTCCTGTACAGGCACAGGTCACAAGATTTTCTTACTATTGAAAGATGGAAAAATAGCTGGTGATCATATCAATGTAGAATGTTAACTGATTATCAATATCACATTCAGATTTCATTGGCCTTTGAAGCTTATAAAATTTTGAAGGAAGGAGGAAGGGCTTCTAAATGAATAGAATATGAAATAGCAAATCAAAAACCAGAGGCTGGTCCTTGGAAACAGACTGTGCAAATAAGGGGCCTTAAGCTTAAAGGTGATGGGAAATTAGCTTCTGCTGATTATAAATCCACTTTTCTCTTTCTCTATACCCACAATTTAAAAGAAAAAGCTGTTATCTGTGGTATTTTAATTTTAACATGGCAAATATATTCATGCATTAAATGTGTAATTATATTTTTATTTTTTTTAATAATTGCAATTTAAAAACTTTAAAATTTTCCCAAAATTGAAGAAAAGTTTGAAAAATGAAAACCTAAAATAAATAGGGATTCTGGTTTTAATATAAAGCAGTATGTTTGGAAGTAAGTTATTTTGCCATAGTAAGTACACAGATTCTCATCGATGTGAAAGAAATGAACGCTTTAGATTCCCCACTTAAAGCAACTATAAAGTTTTTTAATTTCTCAAGCCTGTCAATCTCCAGATAACAAAGATGTTTGACACGGCAAGCTATTTGTATCCCTTCTTGCAATTATTATTATTATTATTATTATTATTATTTTAATTATCTGGTTTCTTTGGTTAGCAGTAATTCAAGGTTCATCTAACAAACACTTTAGTTTTTAAGACTTTGGAAGATTACTTTCTTTTTTAGCTGCAAAAGCTTCTGAAAAAATACTGGTCTGATCTGATATTTCCTGCCAGAATGTGCTTGGCTCATGAAGAAATAAAAGTAACGAGATGCTCAAATTTATATTATTCCCATGCTTCTGAGCTTTTTCTTTGCCCTAAATGTGATCCTTATTTCCATTTAGGCAATAACAGACTTATGTGTTTTATGTTTAAATTAAGAAATCTCATTCAACAGATATTTTTTCTTTATTTTTTATTTTTTGGTTTAAAAATATGTATGTCTACCTCTGGACAGCAAGTGTAAGTGGGAATGTAGGCTGAGCCACATTGCCATGTAAAGCAGCTCCTCATCTGTTCCTAGCAGATGTTAGCAAAGTCTTGCTTCCTGACAAGGTTCCAGAAACATCACAGGATATGTGCAGCTCAGTAGGGTCTCTCTGGACTGTTTACCCTGAAAGTTCTCCTGCTTGTTGAAGGCAGAGTCTATATTTATCTTCCACTCAAAGATATTTGTTGAATAAACATAGATTTTTCTTGAAATCTGGCTAGGACTCAAAGGCCTACTTGCATGAGTCTGTATTATAATAAACATTTTTATGTGGGTCAAAATTTTTATGTGGGTCAAACATTTTTATGTGAGTCATGAGACATCAGCAAAACTAGATATTTTATTTCAATGTACTATGGCGACAGTTTTCCACCACTTTAAATGCTGGAACATTTGCTTCATGAAATGATAAAAGTTAATGATTTCTAAGCTTCATTTTTGTCTTTGCCCCTTTGACTTCAGTAATTAACTATGTCTTTTTCCTTTCCTCAACCTCACCTTAAACGATGTTATTTATCTATTTATTTATTTTCTTGTACATTCATTATTCACTCAGTTCTTTACATACGCCTTCCATTTGATGCGCTCTTCAGGAGATCTGAGTGTTAAAAGTTTGAAATTCTGAAAATTTGATAAGATAAAAGGGAACTTAATTTAAGGTCACCCTGTTACAGACAGAATTACCGGGATGTGCACAGCTTTGCCTCACAGCATGCCAAAAGTCGTCTCCTTTAGCCCTCTATTTGTTTGAGTGATGCATATGAGAATAATTAACATAAAGAGGTGTCAGTTTAAAATAACTTTTAATTAGTGCTTCTAAATTGCTTAAATCAAATCTTTGAGATACTTATATTAAAGGGGGTTTATAGACACCAAAGCTCACCAAAGAGAAAACGGAATGTCTGACACTAATCAAATGTAGCTGTGTGTTTCTAGTATTTGCTGGTGTTGACATTGAAAATTAGAAAAACATTTTCAAATTCATGTATTTTACTGTGAGAATGACTTTTAGAGATGATCAAGATCAAACCTGACATTTAATAATTGATAAAACCAAGATCAGAGAAATGAGTTGCCTTGATTAGTGTGTTATATTTATATGCATACCTGTGACAAGAAAAAATACAATTTAAACAGATGTCCAAAGTGAGATGGGGTTGACATATAACCAGGGAAGGCCGACTAACCGGCATCCACAGAGTGCTAATGGCTGCCATTATATTGTGTCTGACTTTCACTCCCTCAAACCTCGGAAATAACTCTGAATGGATCATCCCGTTTCTTAGAGGCAGTTTCACACTTGTCTATTCACAGAAACTGATTCCTAAAAACTATGGCAAAACAATGCCACCCTATTTATAATGAGAAATCGCTGTCACATGAGCAGAAATTCTGGAGCAGATTTGTGCATTTTCTCCCTTCGGCAAATCTACAGTACAGGCAGTCACAATCAAAAAGTTGCTAGGGCAGCATGAAATCACAGCAGAGTTTGCACTGAAAGGAAGTAAGAAGTGTTACCAGAGTTTGGTCCAGAAGAGCTTCACAGAGGATATCATACCGGAGGAGGGTTATTATGTGTCTGCCAAGAGAATGGAGAATATGATTCCAGCCAGAGAGAACAGCACCTTAAAAGCATAGCATCAAAAGTAACATGCTATGTCTCTAGTCTAGTGTGTTACATTGTAAATATGCAAGGGCTGGCTAGACAGGAGATGGTAGGAGTGGAAACAGCCAGGATAAGGGTTGGAAAAATAGAAAAGAGACCAGACCTTGAAAAATTTGGTCCATTCTATGGTAGGAAAAGAATTCAGCCAAGGATATCAAGAAGAAACATTTAGAGAAATAGGAAAAATTCCAGGAGAAACTGGTGTCCCGGAAACCAGGAGCAGATGTTAGGGAAATAAAATTAGAAACAAAATCTCCCAAACTGGAAAGCCTCTCCCACAAAAGTAAAGGAGAAAGAAACCGGTTTAATTATTGAATAAGCATTAAACTGGAATGTAACCTGCATCACAGAAATCCACTAAAGAGATTGCGAAGATAGAAAGAAATCACCCTTTTATGTGTCTGAGCAGGTACAACTCATTTCCTACGTGTTCCCAAGATAAACAATAACTAGTTCTCAAGTAAGAGAACTTGACAGCATCATTTGTCACACATAATTCATCCTAACTTAATTTGGTAATTGGGGTGACCATGCATATTGTCATATTAGCTAGTTGGCTTTATCCAAAGGAAAAACGATAGTATCTTTACGATGGAAGGTTGTTTTGGCGAGAGGCACCAGCCAAAGTTAGGCTCCTACTCTTCCTTAGGAATTGGGTGACAGAGACACTATCTTCCCTGATGATTCCATTTCAAAAAGTTACTTCCCTAGTCTTTGAGAAAGACATTCTGGGGTTGTAAAGCTGGCTTATTATCTTTTAAAAAGAGTTACATATATTGCAAAGAGAAGAGGAAGAAGTGAAAAGTTTTCTAAATAAATGCTTTAAGAAAAGGACAGAGAAAGTTTATTTCCTTATTTTCAACAGGGAGAATTAAGCCTCATATTTAATCTGTATTTGCCTTTAGGGACCGTTTTAAATTGAGAGTGATCAACACCTCAAATGCTGAAGTTCTACGGATTACAGGAGGGGCACAACTAAGAGTCTAAGGGAAGTCATATTGCAGCTCAAAGAGGCCTGTCCTCTACTTCCATGGGTAGCCTCTATTTGTAAGAGCATATTCAAGGAGCCAGCCTGCATTGTTTCTGTCTGAGAGTCAAGATATTCACCACTAAATAGTTAAATGGCTTCTCTCTTACTATCCTTTTAAAGTCCTTTGGCTCTATGCTTAAAATGTTGTTTGTATGTATTTAAGGGAATTATGTTAGAATCCTCTACCCTTGGGCATTTTAAAGTACTTGACTCTGGCAACAGGTTTTATTCACAGCTCTCTGGGAAATCCCTCCCCCCTTTTTTCACCCTGAGGCCCAAGGACTGCAAAGTAGGGCGGTATTTTGCCTTCTCACTTCTGCAGCTGCAGGGGGTGAGTGAGGCTGCTTTGCTTTCTGAAGTGTGTGTGTGTGTGTGTGTGTGTGTGTGTGTGGGTGTGTGTGTGTGTGTTTTCCTGCAAAAGGGTAATTGACAAGTTCTCTGTAATTGTTCAAATAGCTTTTTATTTTTCATTTATTTATTGTCTAAAGACATTCCTAGAAAGCAGTTTTCAAAAAAAGACCCTATAGATTAAAAATAAGTATTCTACATGTATGCCATTTAAAATTACAAAAATTAGTAAGGTCAGTCTAAGAAACACGCACAATATATTATTACACACATTTTTAGTCATTATATGTCAGTTTGGGGACTTTTTGTTATTTAATTTCATGATACATCATCTATTTTAGAAGTCAACATGTTTATGTGTTCACACCTATATTTTGACCATACAGCATTTGTATAACATTTATTTTTTCATTTCATGGATCCAAAGTATACACTGTGTTAATCAAAGCTATTATGAAGCACCAGCTATTTGCTAGTACTGTGCTGGATGTATTTGAAAATTTTTTGAAAAGTAAAGACTTGGTGCTGATCATAGGATTTTGGTGGTGAAATGTGACTAACAAATATAGATAATGCATAACTTTATATAATTAGTACAGAATTTTGTGGCACAAAGCCTCTGTTGCAATGGAATTTTTAACATTTAGACATCAATAAGAAATAACCAGGGAAGATGTAATACAGAAGGTAAAATACGACCTTTAGTTTGAATGACAGTCAGTGTATCCATCGGGACATATGCTTGTAACTGAGAGGTAGAAAGCACTTTATACTGCAAGGAGGCTGAGTGTGTCATCGTATGCTGAGGAGTTAGACTCAGGCCAAAGTGGCGTTGCTTTGTCTTTCTCTTTTTCTCTGGGTCACTTATCCTCCTCCCTAGGCTTCTCTGTGTGCACCTGCATCACTTTCCCCTTTTTCTCTGAGACCAGCTTTCTGTACATTTCTAAGCATGATAGAAGAATATAACTCACACTCCAAACCCCTAATTTTCTACATCTGTTCAAGATGCTACTTGGCATCTCAGAGTCCTGATTTCAATATCCTGAGAAAAAGAGAATCTGACTTGGTCAAGTAAGGTCAGAAATCTTCAGTCAAAAGGGCAACCAGTTAAGATAGATGAACTGATAATCACTTCCTAGAAAAAGAGTAAGGTAGGCAGAAGACACAGCATTCAGGTGGAGGTAGAACAGATTGTGGGAATGCACAAAAGCAGAAGGAAGCCTTGGTTTGTGAAAGGGAAAATAGCACTGTATTTGGGATAATAGAGTCTGAAACAGTTGATTTAGTGCCAGTAAGGAACTATCCGAGGATTCAGTTTACTTCAGTATACTATTCTCAACCTGGATAATGGTGGACAGTATTTAATTTCAGACTAGATTTTAGAAAAGGAACTCAAACTAAGAAATCACTTATACCGTTATTTCTTACTGTTTATGCCTCCATACCTAGGATAATTTCAACAAGCATTCTGGCAATACCTAACAGAAGAAAGGAAACAAAATACAAATAATCAAAACAATAAAGACAAAAACAAACTCCTCAGAGCATCCAGGAATGAGTTTTCAGGATTAGATAGAAAGGAAAATATGGAAATAGTGTTTGTCATCATTTTCGTCTGTGATTTCTGAGTAACCATACATTAGGATCAGAGGAACCAATGAAAATAAATGTAGTGAATATTCAAAAGTGAGATTTACTAGCCAAAAGGGATTTCCTATTCACATATTGTCATTTTCCTTTATATCGAAGGCTGTGCTTGTCTGACCCATCCCTTAAATACGGATAGGTTTGGACATAGAGAGGGTCTTTCTTACACGTAAACGTATCCTCAGTCCAGAGAGATGGTGAGATCTATGACTTTCAAAGTTGTCATATCCATTCTATGCAGGGTCTAGAGTATGTCAGTTAAGTATATTTATCCTGACACATGGATATTTAAAGTATAAATATGTTAAAAATAATTATGCCCACATGCTGAATTTGGCAAAGAAGTGTTTTCTGCCTCAAATGTTTCAAAACAATTGAGTATCTTGGTTGATTTACTAAGCAGCATAATTTAGAACAACTTCGGCAACTTCTAATTTTTATCTTTTTTACTTTATTTAGCTGAAATTGCTTACATCAAAAGAGTACAAAGGAGAGTAATAGAGGAGGGGTTGTGTGGGCATAAGAGGTACCTGGTAGACAGTGAGGACAGAGAGAAAAACACCCAGCTGTTTTGGTGTATTCCCCACAAAGATCCGAGTGCGTGATAGGGTCATAACAACTTTAGTCTCCACCTCCAGCTTCCATCCTTTCCCTCTAAAAGATAGAGGGGTGGGTTTGGGGGTGGGTGGAGAATAACCCAACCGTGGTACCAAAGTAACCCACTTTACTGTTTGTCTTGGTCTCAAACAACCTGTTCGCGAACTGAAGAAAGGATGCTGATTGTAGAACCGATTTGGCCTATGAAATTTTGAAATAATGTTAGAGAGATCCTTAACGTTTCCTGAGATTGTACAGCAACCAGTTCCTAGTAAGGTATTCTAAAAAAAGTATCAGAAACACGAGTCATACCCTCTGAAGATAACCTTGAAGAAGAACAGTCATGGGGCTGTACAGTCTGATCATATTTGCTTTGGTGCTTTTTTAAATTCATTATGTATCAAGAGCTGCCATTTGTTGAATATGTACCATGTGCCATATATACTATTTTAAATCCTTCATATTATCCTCATAAAAACCCAGTGAAGTAGATATTAATACTCTCATTTTGCAGATGAGGAAAATAAGACACTTTCTAAGATGACACAACTTGTAAATGCAGAGCAGAATCTGAAGCCAGGCAGTGTGCCTCATGAGTTTATGCTCACAGATAGTCTGTTACACTGAGTCATGCTGCAGCCCATATATAGTCCCTGAATGATATAAATACCATACTTGTGGAAGTGGATTCTTCTTCTTATTATTATTTATTATTAGTTTGACAAATTGCCAGAGGCTAGCTTCAACAGGTATTGATAGTCTTGGTACTTGTCTCTCCATTTTTCCTTTTGCTCTTCATATGTTTTCACTCTTCTTCTTAACTAATCAGTACTTTTCAGCAGGGCTCACATTTTATATTACCATTTCCTGAGAACACTTTTACCTTGTAATTGTCACTTTTGTTAACATTTCTTCTGAAATGATTACCATGTTCACGTCTTTGAGGAGTGGTGGCCATTTCATTGTGAAACTGATGATGATTATGTCTTTGTTAACTACGTGTTATCAGTCAGTGGTTTAATTTTTTCTCTGATAAAATTAACCATAATGAGTTTTTATGAAATCAAAATCATTGAAAAGATTATAAATGAAATCTATACTTTATTCTTTTCTTTCTTTCTTTTTTGGGTGGAGTTTTGCTCTTGTTGCGCACACTGGAGTGCATGGTGCGATCTCGGCTCACTGCAACTTCCGCCTCCGTGTTCAAACAATTCTCCTGCCTCAGCCTCCTGAGTAGCTGGGATTACAGGTGCCCCCCACCATGCCCGGCTAATTTTTGTATTTCTAGTAGAGACGGTGTTTCACCATGTTGGCCAGGCTGGTCTCGAACTCCTGACCTCAGGTGATCCAACCTGCCTCAGCCCCCCAAAGTGCTGGGATTACAGATGTGAGCCACCGCGCCTGGCTGAAATCTATGCTTTCATAAATTAGAAAAATACTCTAATGGATATGATATAGGTTTCCTTAATTCATTATACCATTCTGAATTACAACTTGTATTTATTACTTTTTCCCTCTGTCATGTTAGTGATTACAGTTTTGGGATTTATCAACATTATAAAATAGGTAAGCAACTGCCTCAGTTGCTATCATCACCGACTTTCCTTAGAATATCTTAGAGATAATTTGTTCATTTGGCTCACACAAAAGCTACCCCATTTCCTTCTTTCCTCCAAAGAGAGCAAATGTGTGACTTCTTTGCTCCTGACATTTAGAAAGAAACAGTGACAGCATTGCTAATGGCTGGGGAGGAAGGAAGATGGAAAGAGGGATCATTGATGCTCACTCACCTTTCTTCTGAACTACTTAAAACTTTGAAAGAAAAAAATAGCTTTTTAATTATCAGTGTCCTAATATCAGTGTTCTTCTCTTGAATAATAATATTATTATTCCATATTTAAAACAATGTCCTATTTGCCATTCTTGAAAATATTTATGATTGTGTTTCAATTTTTATTTTGATAGATAATTTCATATACAAAATGTATGCTAGCTAATATGGCTCTTAATAAATTATATTTATCACATATTTCAATTATTTTTCAATTTTTACTAAAATAATTTTACTGTACCTAAGGGAATGAATGTCAGTTTCTAATCTTGGTAAATGTGAGCCTTCATAATGAATTTTGTTTGGATCCAGAAACGATCAGTGTCATAGTAGATATTTATATTTATATAGTTATAATTATTAGACTTAATATGCAATTTACTTAAAACATAAATGAAAACATTTTAGACATAGTATAATTTTATAAATCTAATTGGTTTTATTATTAGATATACATCATATATGTAAAATTGGTCAGTATTATGTTCAACTAGGGCTCATAGACTGTTTGGCTGCTTCACCCAGGATTATATAAGCAGGTAATAACACAGTTAGAACTTGAAATCATGTCTGCTCACATCAAGAAAAATGTTTGCTCCCTTTTATGAAACCCTGGCAAGACAAATTTGAAATAGCTGAAGGCATCAGAAGTATTCGTTGTATGGTTCCTCCATTGTTATAGGCTCAGCTATCTTTGTATTCTCTGGTTGCATGGTTTCCTGATTAGCTCTGCAGTGTTCTGTTCATCTGGGCCACCCTACTGGGCTTAACACCCTCATTTGTTCAGTGACTTTCAATTTGTTTTTGCAATATTTTGTTCTCCACTGGAGAGTCTCTTAAGTGGGTATATCAGGTGGGATGGAGCCACTGGGAGCTGTATGGAAGTACTGTGGCACCCACCCAAGCAATCAGGAGCAGTGATTTGGATGGCAGTATGTGGTAAAGTTGCCCTCTCAAGCCATACTGCAAAACATAAAAGTATGAAATATACTGGGTTGGAAAAGAGGGAATGCAAATAATGGTAAATCTCTGTAGTTCCAAGTGCAGCCCATATAATACCAAGAAGAAAATAGAAGAAATCAAGAAGGAAAGGAAGAATAATACAAGATAACAATTCTATGAGGAATGATCCTGGAAAACTGCTGCTTGAGGAAAAATAAAATAGAATCTGCACATTCACTTTTGTTCTAGACTTTAAGATTATTATGAGGTTTAGTATCAAAATGAGGTTGTATAGTATGCAGAACATTGGAGTCCCCTGGATACTAGATCCCCTCATGTGGCTCAGCAGCAACTCGCCTAAGGGTCCATTCTCTGACTCAGTCCCTTTGCCTCCATCAATGCTGCCAAGTATTGACTCTCTACCTTCCTTATTGCCTCCTGGAATTTTTAATGTTATGTCTATATGATTATCAGGTTCTATTTTACAATACTTTGTAAGCCTCTGGATATATTTTTCATATGAAATTATAGGAGAGAGTATTTGATGGTATTCATTAGTTACTAACCAATATGGAATATCATTATGTTCTATTTATCTCTTTATCTAATCTATCTATTATCTATCTATCTATCTATCTATCTATCTATCATCTATCTATTTAACTCTATACATAGAGACTTTATGCTAGGCTGCCTTAAGCACCATGCAGTCCATAGATGACAATTTTTTTGTCTCAGGCATGATCAAAATCGTCATAACATATATTCACAATTAGAGTGCTTTGTGCATTAGCAATTCTAATGAACCGTCCGGGTGTGGTGGTTCACGCCAGTAATACCAGCAATTTGGGAGGCTGAGGCGTGTGGATCACAGGAGGTCAGGAGTTGAAGACCAGCCTGGCCAACATTGTGAAACCCTGTCTCTACTAAAAATACAAAGGTGGCAGGTGCCTGTACTCTCAAATACTCAGGAGACTAAGGCAGGAGAATCGCTTGAACCCAGGAAGTGGAGGTTGCACTGAGCTGAGATCATGCCACTGCACTCCAGCCTGGGCGAGAAAGTGAGACCCTGTCTCGAAAAAAAGAAATTCAAGAAATTCTAATGAGTCTCCATTCAGAAGAATGGTGTGATATGTGTCATTTACTTTCCACACAGAATTTTATTAATATTTCTTCAATGAATCACATATTACATACAGTAGTGATTTAATACATGGACCTTATTAGGCAAGCATTTGATAGGCACTACCAAGTAATCCAGTATATTTTTCTTTTCTTTTTTTTTTAATTGTACTTTAAGTTCTAGGGTACATGTGCACAACATGCATGTTTTTTACATATGTATACATGTGCCATGTTGGTGTGCTGCACCCATTAACTCATCATTTACATTAGATATATCTCCTAATGCTATCCCTCCCCCATCCCCTGACAGGCTCCGGTGTGTGATAATCCCCATCCTGTGTCCAAGTGTTCTCATTGTTCAATTCCCACCTATGAGTGAGAACATGCAGTGTTTGGTTTTCTGTCCTTGTGACAGTTTGCTCAGAATAATGGTTTCCAGCATCATCCATGTCCCTACAAAGGACATGAACTCATCATTTTTTATGGCTGCATAGTATTTCCTGGTGTATATGTGCCACATTTTATTAATCCAGTCTATCATTGATGGACATTTGGGTTGGTTGCAAGTCTTTGTTGTTGTGAATAGTGCCACAATAAACATACATGTGCATGTGTCTTTATAGCAGCATGATTTATAATCCTTTGGGTATGTACCCAGTAATAGGATAGCTGGGTCAAATGGTTTTTCTGGTTCTAGATCCTTGAGGAATCGCCACACTGTCTTCTACAATGGTTGAACTAGTTTATAGTCCCACCAACAGTGTAAAAGTGTTCTTATTTCTCCACATCCTCTCCAGCACCTGTTGTTTCCTGACTTTTTAATGACTGCCATTCTAACTGGTGTGAGATGGTATCTCATTGTGGTTTTGATTTGCATTTCTCTGATGGCCAGTGATGATGAACATTTTTTATGTGTCTGTTGACTGCATAAATGTCTTCTTTCGAGAAGTGTCTGTTCATATCCTTCACCCACTTTTTGATGGGTTTGTTTGATTTTTTCTTATGAATTTGTTTAAGTCATTTGTAGATTCTGGATATTAGCCCTTTGTCAGATGGGTAGATTGTAAAAATTCTCTCCCATTCTGTAGGTTGCCTGTTCAGTCTGATGGTAGTTCCTTGTGCTGTTCTGAAGCTCTTTAGTTTAATTAGATCCCATTTGTCAATTTTGGCTTTTGTTGCCATTGCTTTTGGTGTTTTAGTCATGAAGCACTTGCCCATGCCTATGTCCTGAATGGTGTTGCCTAGGTTTTCTTCTAGGGATTTTATGGTTTTAGGTCTAACATGTAAGTCTTTAATCCATCTTGAATTAATTTTTGTATAAGGTGTAAGGAAGGGATCCAGTTTCAGCTTTCTACGTATGGCTAGCCAGTTTTCCCAGCATCATTTATTAAATAGGGAATCCTTTCCCCATTCCTTCTTTTTGTCAGGTTTGTCAAAAGATCAGATTGTTGTAGATGTGTGGTATTATTTTTGAGGGCTCTGTTCTGTTCCATTGGTCTTTATCTCTGTTTTGGTAACAGTACCATGCTACTGTAGCCTTGTAGTATAGTTTGAAGTCAGGTAGTGTGATGCCTCCAGCTTTGTTCTTTTTGCTTAGGATTGTCTTGGCAATGTGGGCTCTTTTTTGGTTCCATATGAATTTTAAAGTAGTTTTTTCCAATTATGTGAAGAAAGTCATTGGTAGCTTGACGGGGATGGCATTGAATCTATAAATTACCTTGGGCAGTATGGCCATTTTCACAATGTTGATTCTTCGTACCCATGAGCATGGAATGTTCTTCCATTTGTTTGTGTCCTCTTTTATTTCGTTGAGCAGTGGTTTGTAGTTCCCCTTGAAGAGGTCCTTTACATCCCTTGTAAGTTGGATTCCTAGGTATTTTGTTCACTTTGTAGCAATTGTGAATGGGAGTTCACTCATGATTTGGCTCTCTGTTTGTCTGTTATTGGTGTATAGGAATGACTGTGATTTTTGCACATTGATTTTGTATCCTGAGACTTTGCTGAAGTTGCTTATCAGCCTAAGGAGATTTTGGGCTGAGACGATGGGGTTTTCTAAATATACAATCATGTCATCTGCAAACAGGGACAATTTGACTTCCTCTTTTCCTAATTGAATACCCTTTATTTCTTTCTCCTGTCTGATTGCCCTGGCCAGAACTTCCAACGCTATGTTGAATAGGAGTGGTGAGAGAGGGCATCCCTGTCTTGTGCCAGTTTTCAAAGGGAATGCTTCCAGTTTTTGCCCATTCAGTATGATATTGGCTATAGGTTTGTCATAGATAGCTCTTATTATTTTGAGATATGTCCCATCAATACCTAGTTTATTGAGAGTTTTTAGCTTGAAGGGCTGTTGAATTTTGTCGAAGGCCTTTTCTGCATCTATTGAGATAATCATGTGGTTTTTGTCTTTGGTTCTGTTTATATGCTGGATTACATTTACTGATTTGTGTATGTTGAACCAGCCTTGCATCCTAGGAGTGAAGCCAACTTGATCGTAGTGGATAAGCTTTTTGATGTGCTGCTGGATTTGGTTTGCCAGTATTTTATTGAGGATTTTTGCATCGGTGTTCATCAGGGATATTGGTCTAAAATTCTCTTTTTTTGTGTGTCTCTGCCAGGCTTTGGTATCAGGATGATGCTGGCCTCATAAAATGAGTTAGGGAGGATTCCCTCTTTTTCTATTCATTGGAATAGTTTCAGAAGGAATGGTGCCAGCTCCTGCTTGTACCTCTGGTAGAAATTGGCTGTGAATCCATCTGGTCCTGGACATTTTTTGGTTGGTAGGCTATTAATTATTGCCTCAATTTCAGAGCCTGTAATTGGCCTATTCAGGGATTCAGATTCTTCCTGGTTTAGTCTTGGGAGAGTCTATGTGTCGAGGAATTTATCCATTTCTTCTAGATTTTCTAGTTGCGTAGAGGTGTTTGTAGTATTCTCTGATGGTAGTTTGTATTTCTGTGGGATCGGTGGTGATATCCCCTTTATCCTTTTTTATTGCGTCTATTTGATTCTTCTCTCTTCTTTATTAGTTTTGCTAGTGATCTGTCAATTTTGTTGATCGTTTCAAAAAATGAGCTCCCGGATTCACTGATTTTTTGAAGGGTTTTTTGTGTCTCTATCTCTGTCAGTTCTGCTTTAATCTTAGTTATTTCTTGCCTTCTGCTAGCTTTTGAATGTGTTTGCTCTTGCTTTTGTAGTTCTTTTAATTGTGATGTTAGGGTGTCAATTTTAGATCTTTCCTGCTTTCTCTTGTGGGCATTTAGTGCTATAAATTTCCCTCTACACACTGCTTTAAATGTGTCCGAGAGGTTCTCGTATGTTGTGTCTTTGTTCTCATTGGTTTCAAAGAACATCTTTATTTCTGCCTTCATTTCATTACATACCCAGTACATTTGGGAGTAGGTTGTTCAGTTTCCATGTAGTTGAGCAGTTTTGAGTGAGTTTCTCAATCCTGGGTTCTAGTTTGATTGCACTGTGGTCTGAGAGACAGTTCGTTATAATTTCTGTTCTTTTACATTTGCTGAGGAGTCCTTTACTTCCAACAATGTGGTCAATTTTGATATAAGTGCGACGTGGTAGTGAGAAGAATGTATATTCTCTTGACCTGGGGTGCAGAGTTCTGTAGGTGTCTATTAGGTCTGGTTGGTGCAGAGCTGAGTTCAGTTCCTGGATATCCTTGTGAAGTTTCTGTCTTGTTGATCTGTCTAATGTTGACAGTGGAGTGTTAAAGTCTCCCATTATTATTGTGTGGGAGTCTAAGTCTCTTTGTAGGTCTCTAAGGACCTGCTTTATGAATCTGGGTGCTCCTGTATTGGGTGCATATATGTTTAGGATAGTTAGCTCTTCTCGTTGAATTGATCCCTTTGCCATTATGTAATGGCCTTCTTTGTCTCTTTTGATCTCTGTTGGTTTAAAGTCTGTTTTATCCGAGACTAGGATTGTAACCCCTGTTTTTATTTTCTGTTTTCCATTTGCTTGGTAGATCTTCCTCCATCCCTTTATTTTGAGCCTATGTGTGTCTCTGCACGTGAGATGGGTCTCCTAAATACCGCACACTGATGGGTCTTCACTCTTTATCCAATTTGCCAGTCTGTGTCTTTTAATTGGAGCATTTAGCCCATTTACATTTAAGGCTAATATTGTTATGTATGAATTTGATCCTGTCATTATGACGTTAACTGGTTGTTTTGCTCATTCGTTAGTTGATGCAGTTTCTTCCTAGCATCGATGGTCTTTACAATTTGGCATGTTTTTGCAGTGGCTGCTACCAGTTGTTCCTTTCCATGTTTAGCGCTTCCTTCAGGAGCTCTTGTAAGGCAGGCCTGGTGGTGACAAAATCTCAGCATTTGCTTGTCTGTAAAGGATTTTATTTCTCCTTCACTTATGAAGCTTAGTTTGGCTGGATATGAAATTCTAGGTTGAAAATTCTTTTCTTTAAGAATGTTGAATATTGGCCCCCACTCTCTTCTGGCTTGTAGAGTTTCTGCCAAGAGATCCGCTGTTAGTCTGATGGGCTTCCCTTTGTGGGTAACCGACCTTTCTCTCTGGCTGCCCTTATCATTTTTTCCTTCATTTCAACTTTGGTGAATCTGACAATTATGTGTCTTGGAGTTGCTCTTCTTGAGGAGTATCTTTGTGGCGTTCTCTGTATTTCCTGAATTTGAATGTTGGCCTCCCTTGCTAGGTTGGGGAAGTTCTCCTGGATAATATCCTGAAGAGTGTTTTCCAACTTGGTTCCATTCTCTTTGCCACTTTAATGTACACCAATCAGACGTAGATTTGGTCTTTTCACATAGTCCCATATTTCTTGGAGGCTTTGTTCAATTTTTTTTAGTCTTTTTTCTCTAAACTTCTCTTCTCACTTCATTTCATTCATTTGATCTTCAATCACTGATACCCTTTCTTCCACTTGATCGAATCGGCTACTGAAGCTTGTGCATGCATCACTTAGTTCTCCTGCCATGGTTTTCAGCTCTATCAGGTCATTTAAGCTCTTCTCTATACTGTTTATTCTAGTTAGCCATTCATCTAATCTTTTTTCAAGGTTTTTAGCTTCTTTGCGATGGGTTCAAACATCTGCCTTTAGCTCGGAGAAGTTTCTTATTACCGATCGTCTGAAGCCTTATTCACTCAACTCATCAAATTCATTCTCTGTCCAGCTTTGTTCCATTGCTGGCAAGGAGCTGCGTTCCTTTGGAGAAGAAGAGGTGCTCTGATTTTTAGAATTTTCAGCTTTTCTGCTCTGTTTTTTCCCCATCTTTGTGGTTTTATCTACCTTTGGTCTTTGTTGATGGTGATGTACAGATGGGGTTTTGGTGTGGATGTTGTTTCTGTTTGTTAGTTTTCCTTCTAACAGTCAGGACCCTCAGCTGCAGGTCTGTTGGAGTTTGCTGTAGGTCCACTCCAGACCCTGTTTGACTGGTATCACCAGCAGAGGCTGCAGAACAGCAAACATGGCAGAACGGCAAATGTTGCTGCCTGGTCCTTCCTCTGGAAGCTTCGTCTCAGAGGGGCACCCAGCTGTATGAGATGTCAGTTGGCCCCTACTGGGAGTTGTCTCACAGTTAGGCTACTCAGGGGTCAGGGACCCACTTGAGGAGGCAGTCTGTCTGTTCTCAGATCTCAAACTCCATGCTGGGAGAACCACTACTCTCTTCACAGCTGTAAGACAGGGATGTTTAAGTCTGAAGTTTCTGCTGCCTTTTGTTCAGCTATGCCCTGCCCCCAGATCTAGAGTCTACAGAGGCGGGCATACCTCCTTGAGCTGCTGTGGGCTCCACCCAGTTGGAGCTTCCTGGTTGCTTTGTTTACCTACTCAAGCCTCAGCAATGACAGATGCCCCTCTCCCAGCCTCACTGCCACCTTGGAGTTCCATCTCAGACTGCTGTGCTAGCAGTGAGCAAGGCTCCGTGGGCATGGGACCCTCAAAGCCATGCATGGGATATAATCTCCTGGTGTGCCGTTTGCTAAGACTGTTGGAAAAGCACAGTATTAGGGTGGGAGTGTCCCGATTTTCCAGGTACCATTTTGTCACTGCTTCCCTTGGTTGGGAAAGGGAATTCCCCAACCCCTTACACTTCCCGGATGAGGCGATGCCCCACCCTGCTTCGGCTCACACTCTGTGGGCTGCACCCACTGTCTGACAAGACCCAGCGAGATGAACCCGGTACCTCAGTTAGCAATGCAGAAATCACCCGTCTTCTGCATCACTCATGCTGGGAGCTGTAGACTGGAGCTGTTTCTATTTGGCCATCTTGGAATGACTGTAATCCAGTATATTTTTCTTCAGCTTTATCACATTTAATCTTATGAATCCTCTGTTTCATCAATGGATTATACCCTAAATTTCAATTTTTGATAATCTACCTCTTTGCCACTTTATATATCATCTCATTCTAAGTACCCATTTCTCCTCTCCACAGAAAACCACAGCTTTTTAATGTTAATTTCATTTTTATTACATCCAAGGCTTACTACTCTAAAACTTGCCTACTTCAAATCCAAAGAATTTAACCTTTTCTTTAACAAGTTCTTTATTTTTTCTATAGTCCACCAGCACTCTTATTGTTACTTTACATGTGGAGTAGATAGCATGTCAATCTTTTCAATTGTTTGTAATTAATCTTTTGGAAAGTTTGTGCCCCCCCTTTCCTACCTCCAGCAGATTTTGAAACCCCTCAAGGCTATGCATTTTTTCCTGCATTTTTTCTACAGTGTCTTAGTTCCCTGTACAAAATGACTGCTCAGTAAACTTTTGCAATGTAACTAATTACATTGTTTTGCTGAAATGGCATGATACCTATGAGGCATGAGGTTGTATGTCAGTTTTTAGATACACAAAGAAGACAGGAAAATGGAGAGTAAGAACGATAACTCAAAATCAAAGGGGTTGAAGAAAATCAGCAAGTATTTATCAGATTTTAATCCCCTACTGAGGTGAGAACTAAAGGCACAGAAGATAAGGTTTAAAGTTAGCATTAAATGAAAATTGTTCTAAAAATAAAGTTATGCTTGTAGAAATTTATGTTGTTTTTGTTTTTTTACAACTTGAATAAGACAACAAACCTAGATCTGAGATTGACCAATAATAGTTGGATTATACAATTTAATTTTTCTTTTTGTTAGATATATTGGCCTGTATGTATACTGGGCATGTAAATATGGATACTAATGATATTTTCCAGAAAAACAAGTATAGAATAAGTATGTGTAAAATATTTGGCTCATTTGCAGAAGATGAGCTCCAGCATCAGGCACACTGTTTTGCAGTAACTCTTAGAACTATTCACACAGGTTTTCAAAATTAAATGATCAAAAATCCCAAGCTGATTAAAATGTAGTAGGTATAAAATAAAGACTGATGAACATGCTTTGGGACAGAGACATTGAAATAAATTGTGTTTTCTGTTTAAAGGAATATGCTACAAAATATTGTTTATAGTTTTGAAGTAAATACAGTGGGAGTTAATTTTCCTGATGTTTCAGAAACATGCATTACATGGAATAATCTTGTAAATATAGGTAAATAGAGTATCATTGGCTGATTGGGTGGAAACTAAATAAGAGCAAATCAAGTTTTCCACATGGTAATAGGTAATAGATTACCCACTGTGGGCCAGGTTCTTTTGGGAGGGGCAGCTGTGGGTAAAATATAACTTTACTTATGTTGTACACATAAATTACACATAAATGATAAATCACAGCAAATAATTCCTGAACATTTCATAGAAACACAAAATAGTTACATTGTAAACTCTAAATCCATTGTTCTAGAGGTTAGAAAATGGTAGATGTGAATTGTAATTAGAATAATCAGGAAAAGTTTTATGAGGTAACTAAAAATTGAGATCTGGATAGTTGCGAGGATTGGACGAGTAAGATGTCATTAGATGGTTTAATGGAAAAGGAAACTGTAAAATGTAGTTATAGAATCAGAAAAATGAGTTAAAAGTTAATATTCTTTTTTTTAAGGTCTGACATTAGAAAATGGCAGATTTAGGGAAAGCAAGTTATTTAAAATATCATGAGTACATCAGTTTGGAATAGAAGAAAGATGAGGCCAGATTAAGGAGGATTTTAAAGGTCAAGCTAAAGCATTTTGAGTTTATTTGGCAAGTTATTCCCATCACCTGCCATTGAAGATTTTTAAGGAGTGAAGACGTTAAGTGGGTTTTAGGAAGATAAAGCTGGCAGCAGTATTCTGTATAGAGATCAAACAAAGTGATAAGGGCTTTGATTAAGATGGAAGTTGTAGGCTAAGCAGTTACGAAAAAGAAAATTAACTGTTACTAAATGTTTTTTTTTTTCCTAAGAGGCACTGTATATGAAAGTCTTTTTATTAATGATGACTAGTTGAACCCTCTGAAGAACTAGGAAGTAGATACTATTTTTATAGTTTTCTAAAAAATTTTAAAAAAATTAAAAAAAACAGGTTTTGAAAGGTTAAGTAACCAAGTAAATGCTTAGAAATAAATTAAGCCAGAATTTAAGATAAGCCCTATATTTGACTTCAAAATTAAAGCTCTTACCACTATAACACACTGAAAAAAATCTTTGAAATATAAGTAAATGATTAGTTGTAGGGATAAGGTCAGGTTTAAAGAAAATCGAGTCAAAGCTCACACTTGGATAAGTAATGAGTTTTATATTTAAACTCTCTTAACATCTAATAAGTTAGTTTGGTTATAAATTTTAGAAGGCATACCATTACAAATACTAGATTGGAACAGAAAGGATCACATATTTCTAATTCTAAATAATAACATTCATCCGTTTGAGAAAGAAATGTACAGAAAACCACAGAAGCAAATCCAGTCTGTGTTTTTCTTGCTCTTGTATAATACTCCTAAATTGATCTGTCACAGAATTTGAAACCATTTTGATGTTTCATTTCAAAATGTTAGTGGCTGCCTTCATTGATGACAACAGCGTTTGGCAAACTCTGTACTGAAAAAAAGATATTCATGCTGTGATTTAAATCACCAACAGGATAAAAATAGATATGAAAATCTTAATAATTTGAGCATCCAAGAGTATCAGGAGCCCTGCCTAGATTTAAAATTGAGATATTAATATCACATGTGTCTTACGGTCTGGCAATCTTGCTTATATAGAACAGAGTGAATAACCAGAAATCGAGGGAAAAGATCTGAATGGCCAAAATTTATCTCACAATATGTAAGCATTTAAGGTCAGGTACATTATTCATGAGAACTCAGGACTTCTCTTAAATGAGATTTATTCTTTCACTCTTATTTAGATGTATATTTAATGATCTTTACCATCAAAGGTAATTAGTGGGAAATCCTGGGGGAAATGTTGGTGTATTATATTTAAACTACATAGTCATAACATTAAAGATGATGTTCCTATTATTGACACCTATTTTCAAGAAAAATATGGCATATTATTATTAGACACTGCTTAAAAAGCCAAGTAGGTTTATAACAAAGATATTTTCTCATCCCAAATATGTAAAATTAAGAGAAAGTGTTGACATTTTAAGTGGGAATTCTTCACTAACAGGAAATTTTATTTATATGGAATACCTTATTATCCTTTGATGGCTTATTATAAGGTTTTTAGTTAATGAGTATAATATTTAAAAATGAATTTGTTAAGAAACAGTTATCATGTTGAAAAAATTGGTCATAGGTTTTCTTTCAGCTACATCGAGTATTATTCTTATGCCATACAATTCACCCATTTCAGGCCAACATTGAATGTTATTTAGTAGATTCACAAAGTTGTGCAGCTATGACCGAAATCTAATTTTAGAACATTTTCACCTCCTGTCCCCTCCAAAAAGAAACCCCCTATCCATTAGCAGTCACTCACCATCTTCCTCTTGACAGCCCCACAGCCCAGCCCTAGCCAACCCCTGACTTACTGTCTCTATAGGCCTCCTTTTTCTGGAGGTCTATATGAACGTAACCATATACTATGTGGTCTTTTGTGACTTGCTTCTTTCATTTAGCTTAATACTTTCAAGGTTCACTGATGCTGTATCATGTATTAGTAGTTCATTCCTTTTTATTACCAAAAATATTTCATTATATGGATATGCCACATTTTAAGTTAATAGATTTTTTTTCACCTTTTAGGTGGTATAAATAGTGATGATATGAATGTTTGTTAATGAGTTTATGTATGCATATATGCTTTCATTTCTCTTGGATATATACCTAGGATCACAGATATTTTTAAAGTGATATATTGGGATTTATATACTTTATCCTTTACTGATCTTAATTGTCACAATTTTTCCCAAAGCTAATTGAATGAATTAGTGTTGCTATATTTAAATAAAACAATTAAAAATCTCTCCCACCCCTTCTTCTTTTCAAAACTCTCCAAATGATCAAAGATAATAGCCTAGTTTATGTCATTCCATATTCTATACTGTTCTTGAATGCTTATAAACATATAAAACACATATACAAACTTATACAAGTGCAAAATGTATCATATACACATATGAGGTTTGTTATATGATTTTTAAAAATGGGATAATACTGGTATTTGCATTGTTCTACAATACAAATTTTTTTTATCATTTAAAAACATACCATGAGTTTTCCTCTAGGCCAAAAGAGATAGCTCTGACTCATTCTTCCTAGTGACACAGCATTCCATAAAATTATAATAAAAAGTATAATAAAATGTATATGAACATTTGCCTATCATTGGATAGTCAAATTTAATTATTTTCCCTCCAGTTTTTTTGCAGCTACAAAGCTACGATAATCATTTTTTACATATGTTTTTATAAGTAATACAATAATTTCTATAGGCTAGATTCCCCAAATTAGGATGACTGAATCAATAGTAATTCTTAAATTTACTATATATTGCTAAATTCATTTTCACAATGGTGGGTAGCAATTCATACTCTAACCAATAATTCAGGAGAGTAACTGTTTCAGTCTCTCCACCAGCACTGGATGTAGTAAATCTTTTTAAGTTTGCCAATTTTATGTGTATTTCGTTGTTGATTTAATTTGCATTTCTCTGACTACAAATGAGAGGGAATATCTTTTCATATGTTGATTAGCAATTTAAATTTCCTCTTCTGTGAATTGCTAATTCTTTTCCTTTGCCCTTTTTCTATCAAATTTGTTTGTTTTCTTCCTACAATTTATTGGAGCTCTTTACATATTAGGAATATTAACATTTGCTTATCATTTGTGCTGCAAATATTTTATCACTTGATTTTTGACTTTTTTTTGTTTTTTGCCATTATTGTTTATAATGTATGCAAATATATCTATTCTTTTTTCCCCCAGTCATTGTGGTTTGCTCAGAAACACTTTTTCTGCCTGCTGGTGGTAGAATATTTTCATATGATTTTTAAAGCATTTCTTAAGTGCATTTCAACTAATACTATGTTTATACAAAGGACATAATGTTTCTAAGGTATTCAGTAATATTCCTGATGTTAATGCAATATCCAACATTTTTTGCTTAGTTCCTTTTCTAAATATCAGATGCTTTATATAATTTGAGAGTATTTTATAAAATGAAATTATATACATTTTATTTTTGTAAACATATTTCAAAATAATAATTGAAAGATTACAGTATATGTTGTAAATGTTTTCTTCAAAAAAGGTTAGTTATAATGTTATCAGATATGAAATGAAAAATAATGCTAATAGATATTTTTATCAAAAAGGTAGGAATACTGATTTGTATGATGTTATAACATAAATCATCTCAATTTATAAACCTAGAAACTTAGAATTTATAAATCAATACAGAAACTATCTTGGTGTTTCTTATTTTCTGGTTCCCTTTCAGTAATAATGAGAATCTCTTATTCTTACAGTTGGAAAATCACTATGACTATGGAAAATTTAAAATTCATATAATACTTCTTAATTACTACATTTTGGGGGTGAGAGAATTTCAGAGATATTCCATACAGGGAACTACTTTTTGCCTTACCATCCTCAAACTATTTAACTGGTTCTGTGCTTCCCTTACTCTTATTCAGAATATAAAAATGTGCCTGGGGTAAGGAGATTAATTATTATAATGTTAATATTTTATGAGAAAATATATTAAATCATGTCTTGAATATAGTTCATGACTGGAGAGTCAGTACATTAATTTAGATGACTAAAAGAGATTGATACTTCCAAATAACTTGAGTCTGTATTTGAGACTTTAAGTAGTACTTTAGGTTTTAAAATTTTACACTAAAACTTAAAAATTCTTTCGGTGCATTAGAAAGATCAGCATTTGAAAATGGCTTATGTTTATTTTTAAAAATATCATAATTGTTGCTTAATAATAAACTGTCTTCAACAAAACTTCCTATAACAAAATCGCATGTCCTAGCAGGGAATCCTGGCTTGCAGTTTTAAAGTTTGAGAGAAAAATAAAAGTATCATTTATTTTTCAAGTGTATTTCAATTTGTAAAATTATTATTATCTTATAGAACTCCTTTTTCACCTCGTTTTATTAGTATGTTTTTAAAGAAGTTTTTCAAGTCAAAGGATATTTTAAAATTCCTTTTGTGCTATCAACTAGGTGTAGAATATATTCCCTGCTTTTGATGAATTTGTAATAAGGTTCGAGACATAAAATGTACATTCAGGACAGTATTAATCAGAAAAATATAAGACAAAATTTAAGAAGTGGTTAGGTAGTGCAGTATCAACTAAACAAAATGGGAATACAGAAGAGGATGTATTATTTGAAGTTTGAAAGTCATTGGACACCTAAAGCAAGTGTATGATTTGTATTATTTATTTGTTTACATAAGGGGTGGTTTACAGAGAGGATACTGACAGAGCAAAAAGAGAAAAGAAATAAATATAAGCTGTGCTAGAAGGAAGTTTAATGAATTTGAATTATATACAATATAAACAAAACTATTTCAATAAACAACACATTCTTACATGTGGATACTGTTTAAAATAGAAAAGTCTAACTTTCTAAATTTCTCTTTGAATGCCCAAACATAAAAATCTTAAACACACACACACACACACACACACACACAAAAAAAAAAAAAAAAAAAAAAAAAAAAAACAGTAAGTAGACCTAGAAAATAGTAATTCAGATATTCAGATACAGGTCTCTGATGAACTTTCTTTTCATAAGAGAGGGTTTTGTAACCTATGTTAAATCTCTCCCTCCATTCACAAACATTTAGTCCTCTCTTTCTCTTAATCTGCTTTTTTTTTTATTCAAAGCATTGTTTTTCTGCAGTACACAGTAAGTTATGTAATTATTTGTTATTTTCTCTTCCCCTGGAATGCAAATTTTCTAAGAGTAAAGTCTTTGTTTCACCACTGGATTATATCACTCATAATAATATTAAGCTCATGGCAAGAATGAGTAACTGTTGAATGCATTATTGAATGATTGAATTCATTATTTATTGAATGATGTTGAAAAAGTAAGGTTACCATTTGAGAAAAAAACGAAAAAAGAATATGTCTTTTGCCTTCATATTTCAACATAAATGTCAGAATTATTGAAGATTTATTTTTTAAAAAGATGGCTGAATAAGGAATAACATTTTAGGCATTAAATAATAGAAAATGTCACAAAGAAAGTTCTATTGAAATGATTACCTAAATGTCTAAAAGCTTGTATATACAAAAATATTATAAACCTATTAAAAACTAAGTGCCTAGTTATATGCTACAAATATATAAATGGGATAATATTCTTAATATAAAATTAGCTCACAAATCATGATGAAAAATATTCAACTTTTTAATGATTAATCATTTAAAAATGATTAATCTAAAAAAGTTATTAAACTTCCTAAAAGAAAAGCAGATGACCACTATATTGATGGGAAAAAATCATATTTTATTTATAATTAAATGAAATGCAAAATAAAATGCTAGTGAGCATCATTTTTCATCTGTCACTATGACACTATGAGAACATCTTTTTGTTGGCTGGTGGTGTCGGGACCGGGGAGATGGCTGGAGGACTGCAGGGTGGAGGGTGGTGGTAAGAGGATGAAAACCCTGAGTTCTCATACATTGCTGTGAGAAGGAGTTATAATGATTACTACATTTTTGAAAAGCCATTAGGAAATAGTGTCAATCTTAAAAACTATTCTTTCTCTTTAAGTACTTCCATTTCCAGAACTTTTTTTAAGGAAGTTTTCAGAGAAGTGGACAAAATTATATGTACAAAGATCTTCATCTCTGTATTATTTTTTGTTCCTAAAGTTCTAAAAATTGTTTAAAATTTGGAGTGGAATTAAATAAATGATATCATCATAATATGGATATGTCATTGTTTTAAATTGAAGTTATCAGAGGATTTTTACTGTCATTGGAAATATTTAATGATATATCACTAAGGGGGAAAAGCTGTATTGCAAAACTATATATCCAGCATGTTTTCTATCTACGTATGTAAATAGATATCTATCTAGGCATAAAACTCCAAATTGTATAGTAGTGTTTATCTCTAATAATGTTATTATTCATTAATTTTAACATTTATTTTGTAATTTTTGTAGTATCAAAATTGTTCTGCATTTTATATTATTATGCTTATAATCTAGAAAAGAAGTAATAAGTATTTAAAATTCATGCAATGTGTTTAGGAGTGCATGTATGGCATAAAAAATGGTGGAAGTCACTTGCTGATTTTTTAAGGTATAAATTTAGGTTAAATTTTTTAAAGTCAGAAAGCAAGTTAACATGACTTTTCTCCAAGCATATGTTATTATTATATGAACTCTCTAATTATGCGCTTTCTAGTAAAACTCTTTCATTCTGAACTCAAAGTTTTACACTAATGACAACGTAAAACCTGAATAAATATAAAATGTGATAGTATTCTTTAGAACAGATGGTGTCATTTAGATACTATTTATGAAAATTAGATACAATAAATGGAGTTATATATCTTACATCCTAATAACAAGTGACATAAAATTGCCATCGACTAGCAGTATTTCATGTTCTTGCCCCCGCAAAGCATAACCTTGCAAGCACAAGACTAATGCAGAATTTTAATTCTCTCTTGCTTTCAACTATAGGCAAAGTGATCCAATTTTATTACACTGTATGATTATTCAATTCTATTCTCTAATCTAGATGGTAGTAGAAATATTTAATTTGTAAATATATTTTGTTAAAGTTAGTGTTTACTGGGTCTATACAATCATTTATTTCTTTCAGTTCCAGATTCATGTAGCATAACTTTCTTTTTTTTAATTTTTATTATTTGTTTTGTTTTGTTTAGACAGAGTTTGGTTCTGTTGCCCAGGCTAGAGTGTAATGGTGTGGTCTCAGCTCACTGCAACCTCTGGCTTCTGGGTTCAAGCGATTCTCCTGCCTCAGCCTCCTGAGTAGCTGGGATTACAGGCATGAGCCACCACTCCCGGCTAATTTTTTTGTATTTTTAGTACAGACGGGGTTTCACCATGTTGGCCAGGCTGATCTCGAACTCCTGACCTCAGGAGATCCACCCTCCTCAGCCTCCCAAAGTGCTGGGATTACAGACGTGAGCCACCACGCCCGGCCATATCTTTCTTTTTAGAAAGTGTGTGGCTAACATAGGGTACTTTACTTTGATATTTTTAGGGAAAAATAATAAAATCTATACTTCAAGAACACTTTGCCTTTGGAAAAATACATTTTTACTTACCCAGATAGATACAAAGAACATCGCTTTAGTAATAGATAATCTTATTTAGAGTCACCTGAAGTAAGGTTTGGAGAAAGGCAAAAGAGATATTAGCCAAGTAAGGAAATTAACGAAAGCAGAGAAAACTGAATTTCAGAAGGGAGGTAGGAGGTCAAGAAACGTATGTTGGTAATTGTTGCTCTTGTGTAGATGAGATTTGTTTTGATTTTGGCAAATTGTGGAAGAAAAAGAATAGTACAGTTTTTAGAATGGCTTGCCCATGGAAACCTCTGGTAGTTTATGGCCTATCATTCTATAGTTTTATTTTGTGATAGTGTTACTCAAAATTAGAAAATTGGCATTTGGTTACCTGCGAAACAGTATTTTTGGTCGTTGTGACATCAAATTTATTATTACTTTATAGGAAAATAGAAACAAATTATGACTTTAAAGATATTTCCTGGATGCTATTGAAGGGTTTGTTGTACGTTAGTCTTTTTTGAGCATTTTGGTTACATGAACTCTTAATTGGTTTCATACTCTTTTTTGGTACAGCCAGAGACAAATATTTTTAGGGATAGCAATCTATAGGAAAGATTTAAATTGTTTAGAAAATTCCAAAAACTTATCATACCCTGAAACAAGATGGATGATTGCTCTTGCAAAGACAAAGAATACAACTTCCTGTGAAATTACTCATAAGAGTTAATGGATTACTTAATCCCAGTATATTTTAACTGTTTATCATAAAATAAAGAATAATTAAGATAGCTCAGTTATATTTGCATTACTCTGCCAATGTTAACAGTGGTTGGCTAATGAACTCAGATTTTATTCACTACTGTCAGTCTTTTACTTGATGACAGATGATTAGTCTATGGAACACATTATTAGTTCTAACAATGTAGATTAAGGTTTCTGCTCATTACTTTTTATTTTCACATACAAATTCTATTTTTTTGTTGTATGCAAAACTAGTAGGCCAAAGTCAAACTAAAAGTAATTTCATTATATCTAACTTTTAGTAAAACATAGTATCAAACATAATCTTTAAGGTATTTAAATCTGCTTGGAGATAAGTACTGTTACGTGACTTGAAGTTCATGTAATATTTTAAGTGCTTCTAAAGAAATAATAAATTCACTTGAAAAAGGCAAATAATAATAACAATAATAAAAACTGTACTCAATCTGTACTGATTTATAATAAAGAGCCAGAAGACAAAATTTAGTATTATATACTTTAAAAATATAGTACATATTTTTTGTAACAGACGAATATGTTATACTGTCCCTTTTATTGAGTGATTAGTAGAGCACTTACTGAACTATAACCTCCTGGTAAAAGTAGCCAGGTGAAGGGCGAAGAAAATAATCAGGTAGGCATCCTCATTTGGCTTTTATTTTGGCTCTTGCTAATAGAGATCATGGAAAAGAGGCCTAGTTCACCCTGGCTCATCCCGAAAGGACTAGAAAGAATAATCAACTCTCTAAGGAAATTCTAGAACAGCCCCCTTTTCCTTGTATTTTTTTTTTTCAGACTAATACATCAGAGCCAGATGTCCTTAGGGGATTTACATTTTAAAATTCTTCCTACTCTTTCTGCAGAAAAGACACTATTATGTAAAAGGGGATTGGTATTTGGGACTTTCTAATTCAGCACTCTTCCAATAGCCTTCCTGACCTCCCTCCAACAACAAAAGTCCAAAGCCCTCCATCTGGGGAAGTTTGAGCTATGTGAAAGAACGCTTGAATTTTTCTTGCCCTGTGGGAAGAATAGACCTTGTAGTCAGAACTGCAGTTACTGGAAGTATGACCTATAAAAGTGCTTTGGAGCTAGGATTTTCCGCCTTTTCTTTTTCCTTCATACATGGTTATTGAGATTGTCTTTGTGATTGAGTTCTTGGCACCTTAGCTCTAAAAAAGATTTAGATAAATTAAAAGAGCTTCCGAGAAAAGCCACAAAAATGACGAAAGAGTTAGAAGTATTGATGTATGAGGAAATATTAAAAGAATGAATATGCCTTGGCATGGCATTAAATGAGGACATGTTGCCATACTATAGCTATAAATATTTGTAAACAGAAGGAGGAGGAAAAATTATTTAAATGGTCCAATGAAGCAGTATGTTATGCAAGGAAGAGAAGGCTAAGACTGCGTATTAATGTCCTTCCTTCTGGATTTCCTCTCTAAATATGTTGGCCACACCTTTACTTGGAAACAGAATTAGTTACCATTTACTATCTAGAACACCTGAATGCCTCATACTGCTTAATGTGGGGAAAAAAAGGAGAATAAAATGAGAATATTATTTCCTTATCAGTTTGAGAAATGTCGTGCAATGTTTCTGAGCTGTCTAGGCCTTTCCTAGGTTTCTGTCTACCAGTACTGCTCGTGGCCACTGAGTAGCTTACGAATGGCAATGGGTTGCGCTGCCAGCAGCATAGCTGCAGTAATTCTGCCCATCCCAGTACAATGAACTCTTTGTGTTCCATGCAGTGAAGAGCTCCCTTCATTTATTGTGGGAAGAGTTATCTCCGCCTTAGCAGCTGTGCATACTGCAAGCTTCAGCTTCCACGGGAGAACCTTAACAGAAGGGAAAGGCAGGGGTGGGCCCCCAAGATGCACATTTTCCAGCTGTGCTCAGAAAGGCATGTCTTCCTTCTAATCCAGAAGGGGAAGAAAAACGAACCCCATCTTAAGTCTTTCAGAAATAATATACTATTGAGAGGCGGATGGAGATGAAAGTATTATTTGATTTATATGATAATACGCTTGGGCAACTGTTTAGTTCCCCAATCCCATTGAAGGGTGTAGAAAACAAACTACAAATTTCCCCAAAGGAACTTTATTTTGTACAGTTGGGTTTTCTTCAAATTGACTTAAATTGTTTCTTGGAATTCATACATACTATATCATGAAGGCAATGTTATATTGGGTAATTCAAATTTAGATGAGACCATGAAATTCTATTTTACCTATAAACTACTAATAATTCCATTTTGGCTCTACTAGGCAACTCTCCTCATGTTGTTTATGGGGGAAAATGAACTCTAAGCTTCAACTTAAAATATCAAGAGGACATACTCCTGGAGGACAAATTCCCTCAGTGGAAATCTGTACAATGCAGATTAGCATCACTCACTTTTAACTATCTGTATTTGCTTTTGTTTTTTAGTTTGTTGTTTAAACATATACCATTTTTATTTAAAATAACACCAACAAAACAAAGTGAGTATATCTGCATTTGCTTTAAAGAAAAGACTTTATTTGGTGCTTATTTGGTTATCATTCAACAGGAGAGCTGTGCTCTATCATTTAATTTAATTCTGGGGCCGGCGCGGTGGCTCACGCCTGTAATCCCAGCACGTTGGGAGGCCGAGGCGGGTGGATCACAATGTCAGGAGATCGAGACCATTCTGGCTAACACGGTGAAACCCCGTCTCTACTAAAAATACAAAAAATTAGCTGGGCGTGGTGTTGGGCACCTGTAGTCCCAGCTACTTGGGAGGCTGAGGCAGGAGAATGACGTGAACCCGGGAGGCAGAGCTTGCAGTGAGCAGAGATGGCGTCCCTGCACTCTAGCCTGTGCTCCAGAGGGAGACTCCATCTCAAAATAAATAAATAAATATAATATAATTCTGGATTAACAAATTAGCATATTCAGTATTGTGTCATTACATGTATACTTACTCTTTAGATATGACTCATAGATATTATTAAAAGTAGAAACAATAAACTCAGAGGAAATCACTGAAATGATTACCTGAAATAAAGATGGTGAAGCCACACTTGAGACTGTCCAGATTCTATCTGTGGTTCATCTATAATCATGTAATTTGGTGTAGGTCCTCTTTTATTTTTGTCCTTTAACACATAACTTTTAATAAGCTCATTTTTATTTAGACAGTTACTATCTATACATTTATGAACACTTTAAGGTATATAGTTCAAATTTTTTAAAATGCAAAGTAAAAGCATACATGTTAGACATGCAATATGTATTTAAATACATACATTCTACAGTAAATTAGATGCTATCTAGAAATACTCTTTGCACTCATCTATTTTGGCTTTCTCTTTCTCTCTTTCTCTCTCCTCATTTCTCTCTCCTTCCCTTCCTTCTTCCTGCCTTCTCTTCCCTTCCTTATTTGCTTTCTCTTCCTCCGGTTCCTTCCTTTCCCTCTTTGTCTCTTTCTTCTTCTAGCCCTTGTTTATAAAAGAAAGTAAATGATTACCAATCCATTTACCATGCTGTGTGACTTTTTATTATAATTCAATGAGCAGAAGCTGTTTGAAATTTGTGTCAGTATTTGGTGTGTATATAAATTTGATACAGGCCAGGTATGGTGACTCACTCCTGTAATCTCAGTACTTTGGGAGGCTGAGGTGTGCGAATCACTTGAGGTCCGGAGTTCATGACCAGCCTGGCCAACATGGTGAAACCCCACCTCTACTAAAAATACAAAAAGTAGCCGGGTATGTTGGTGTGTGCCTGTAATCCCAGCTACTCAGGAGGCTCAGGCAGGAGAATTGCTTGAACCCGGGAGGCAGAGGTTGCAGTGAGCTGAGATCGTGCCACTGCACTTCAGCCTGGACGACAGAGCAAGACTCCGTCTCAAAAAATAAAAATAAAAATAAATAAATTAAACACATAAATAAATAAATAATTTGATACAACCCAGATAGTCAAGCATTTCTTAATAAGTTAGGAAGTCTAATAGTATGTATAAAATATATTAAAATAAGGATTATAAAAGTGAAGGAAGACATCCTCACTAGATATTTATATCATTACCAAGATGATAAACAGAGACATTAATATCTTCAGCTATTCATAAGGGAAAGAAAAGAGGCTGCTTTTGCAAGGATAGAAAATTGTGTTAGTATGACCAAATTATTGACTATTTTCAAAAGCTTTACTAATTGCTTTTGCATCAAGGATGCATATATTCAATTCAAAACAAAAACTATCAAGCATTTCTAGTTCTAAGTGCTCCTACGGAATGAGATTTTACTGACAGTGTTCAATACACTAATATGGTAGTTTTTGATGCATTTGTTTTGAAGTAATTCAGGATAAGTACAATAAAATAATACCTATTGTCAAAACTGGTGAGAAAGCTTCCATCTTGAGTGTAGTAATAGCAAGCAAAATATCAGACTGATAAAAACATAGCCAAATTTGAAATGTTGTGTTAAATATGATGAAATATTTCTTCAAAATGATTGGGAAAACATAGAAACTGATGACTTTTAGTTTTTACCTAATAACTTTATAATCTTATATATTCAGAGTAATCTTTTTAGAAAAAAATGCAATGTGGTGAAAATATATATAAGGCACAAAAGAAAGAAAAGTAAATGCAACCAACGCAGCAAATAGCTGGATAATATTAAGCACATTAAAAATATCAATACCTCAAATTTCCATTTATTTGGCAGAATACTTATAGCAAATCCATGCATTTTAAAGCCAATAAACATTATATAAATGATAACCCAATTAATTGAAAATTGAGTAAATTGATGTGTTACTGTAGATATACACACTCAATACCTTCAAAATTATTTGATTTTTATTATTTTTAGAGTCTGAGTATTTATAACTTCATTTTAATATGTATGTGGAGAGGAGTCTTCTTTGAAACAAAGGGAAAATGAAGGTACTTCAAAATCCATGAAGATGTCTATATTCCCTTTATGAGATTCAATCAGTAATGCAAATTCATTTGAGTGAGAAAGAATGAAATCCAAGGCCACTTGGGATAGAAGGCCAAGCCAGGCTTCTAGTTCAAGATTCAGGACTCCTAAATCAAATGGAAGAGTGATATATATGCAAATAGATGTATGCTGTCTCATTGGAGGTTACAAACTTTCTATTTTGCAAAGTATAATGTTAAAACAAAACCCACTATCATTTCCATTTAAAGGAAGGACATATTTTACCACCAGAAAATCAAAATAAAAGTGAAGGATAGTAACACAGAATGAAGAAGAGTGCTTCGAATTAGGTAATTCCAGCTTTTTGAAAATCATACTCTGATATCCTTATATGATTCTAATTTTCCTATATTCTGGTGAAAACTTTCTCATAAACTGCCCAGGTATGCAGATCAATGATCAACCAAACAACTGAGTCCTCAGTTCAAACCCAAAGGATTCAAGAATGGAATCCTATGTAAGCAGTCCAAGAACTCATCTGGTCCAATCTCTTATTTTTAAGGGTAAGGAAACCCACATTCTGAAGCCCATTAGAAGGCACTGGATAATAATCATGCTTTAAATCTGAAGGCATAGGGGAGAAGCAGAGTTAGTTATTTGGGGGTGAAAGCAACATACTTTAAAAAAAACAACCAGAAATCAGAGACAGCACTAAGAGTTTTAAATAACCCTAAAGTTTTCTCTGCATTTAGGCATGGTATAGTAGTTTGCTGGAGCTGCCACGACAAAATACCACAGACTGGATGGCTTCAACATCAGAAATTTATTTTCTCACCATTCTGGAGCTGGAAGTCCAAGATCAAGGTGCTGGCAGGGTTGCTTTCTTCTGAGGCCTCTCTCCTTCGCTTGCAGATGGTCACCCTCCTGATGACTCTTCACATGGTTGTACCTCTGCGCACACAAGCACTCTGATGTTTATTTGTGTGTTGTAATTACTACTGCCATATATATATATATATATATAGAGAGAGAGAGAGAGAGAGAGTACAACATGACATTTTGAAATACATATACATAGTGAAATGATTACTACTGGCAAGCAAATTAACATATTCATTCACATAGTTATTATACAATTTTTTGGTGTGGCAAGAGCACCTATAATCTACTCTCCTAGCAAATTTTTATTATGCAATGATTGACTATAGATTTTATGTTGTACATTAGATCTCTAGACTTATTAGTCCCACATAACTACAACTTTGCACCCTTTGACCTACATCTTCCCATTTCCCCCATCATCCCTGGTAACTACTTGTTACTCTGTTTTTATGCATTCAACCTTTTCCTTTCTGTATCTGATTTATTTTACTTAGTCTCATGTCTTTCAGGTTCATCCACCTGACACTTAAGTTGTTTTCATTTCTGTGCTGTTGTGAGTAATGCTGCAATGAACATGGCAGCACAGATATCTCTACAAGGTGCTGATTTCATTTCCTTTGGGTATATATCTACAGAGGGATTGCTGGGTCAAATGAAAACCCTGTTTTTAAAGTTTTGAAAAACCTCCATACTGTTTTCCATAATGAATATACTAATTTTCATTCCCACCAACAGTATACAAAGGTTTCCTTTTCTCGATACCCTTGTCAATACTTGTTATCTCTTGTCTTTTGATAATATTCCTGACAGATGTAAAGTGAAATTTCATTGTTGTTTTAATTTGCATTTCTCTCATTGGGAAAGCACCTTTTCATATACCCGTTGCCCATTTTTATGTCTTCCTTGGAGAAATGTCTATTCAGATCCTTTGCACATCTTTTAATTTTTTATTTTATTTTATTTATTTATTTATTTATTTATTTATTTATTTATTTTTTGAGATGGACTCTCACTCCTGTTGCCCAGGCTGGAGTGCAATGGCACGATCTTGGCTCACCGCAACCTCCGCCTCCCAGGTTGAAGCAATTCTCCTGCCTCAGCCTCCCGAGTAGCTGGGACTACAGGCATGCACCACCACATCCGGCTAATTTTGTATTTTTAGTAGAGATGGGGTTTCTCCATGTTGGTCAGACTGGTCTCGAACTCCATACCTCAGGTGATCCGCCCACCTCAGCCTCCCAAAGTGCTGGGATTACAGGCATGAGCCACTGCACCCGGCCCTTTGCACATCTTTTAATCAAGTTATTTGTGTTTTATTTTTTTCTACTGAGTTGTGTGAATTTCTTACATATTTTGGTTATTAACCCTTTATCAGCTATATGGTTCACAAATACTTTTTCTTAATCTATAAGTTGAGTTTTCATTTTGTTGTCTCTTTTGATGTGCAGAAGCCTTTTAGTTTGATATATCCCTACATGTTTATTTTTGCTTTTGTTGCATGAACTTTTGGTGTGATACCCAAAAAACCATTGCTAAGGATGGTATAAAGAGACTTTTCTTTCATCATGTTTTTTTTTCTTTTCTTTTTTTTTTTTTTTTTTGAGACAGTCTTGCTCTGCAGTCCAGGCTGGAGTGCAGTGGCGCAATCTTGGCTCACTGCAACCTCCACCTCTCAGGTTCAAGTGATTCTCCTGCCTCAGCCTCCAGAGTAGCTTTTTTTATGTATGGTGAAAGATAAAGTTCTTAAATTCATTCTTTTGCCTGTGGATATCCAGTTTTCCCAACAGCACTGGAGAAACTATCCATTCCTCATTGTGCATTATTGGTGCCCTTGTTGAAAATTAGTTAACCATATATGCTTGAGTTTGTTTCTGGGCCCTTTATTCGGTTGTGTTAGTCTGTGTGTTGGTTTTTATGGCAGCACAATAGTGCTTTGTTTACTATATCTTTGTAACATAATGTTTTTTGTTTGTTTGTTTGCTTGTTTGTTTGTTTTTGAGACAGAGTCTCGCTATGTCACCAGGTTGGAGTGCAGTGGTGTGATCTCAGTTCACTGCAGCCTTCACCTCCCGGGTTCAAGCGATTCTCCTGCCTCAGTCTCCTGAGTAGCTGGGACTACAGGTGCGTGCCACCACGCCCAGCTAATTTTTGCATTTTTAGTAGAGACAGGGTTTCACCGTGTTGGCTAGGATAGTCTTGATCTCCTGACCTCGTGATCCACCTGCCTTGGCCTCCCAAAGTGCTGGGATTACAGGCGTGAGCCACCGTGCCTGGCCAGTAATATAATTTAAAATTAGGACATATGATGTCTTCAACTTTGTTTTTCTTTATCAATATTGCTTTGGCTACTTGAAGTCTTTTGTGGTTCCCTGCAAATTTTAGAGTTTTTTTGTTTGTTTGTTTAAGTGAAAAATGCCATTGGAATTTTTATAGAGATTGCACTGAATCTGTATACCACTTTAGATAGTATGGACATTTTAACAATATTAGTTTTCCGAATCCATGGGCATGGAGTATCTTCCCACATATTTGTGTCTTCTCCAATTTCTTTCATCAATGTTTTACAGTTTTCAGTGTAAAGATTCTTCAACTCCTTGATGAAATGTATTCCTAAGTAGTTTATTATTTCTAATGCTGTCATAAATGGGATTGTTTTCTTGACTTATTTTTTGCATAAGTCTTTATTGACGTAAAGACATGCAACTGATTTTTGTATGTTGATTTTTCATCCTGCAACTTGACTGAACTCATTAATTCATTCTTAAGGTTTTGGTGCTGTCTTTAGGGTTTTCTACGTATAGGATCATGTCTTCTGCAAATAGGGATAATTTTACTTATTTTCCGATTTGAATACCCTTTGTTTCTTTTTACCGTCTGATCGCTCTTGCTAGTACTTTCAGTACTATATTTGATACCCGCACAACGGGTGGGTTTGATTGCTTGGCAGGTGACAGTCTAATGACCACAACCAAGAAAGGTTTAACAAGGGGATTTTATTACTTTTAACAAGTACAGAGACCACTAGGGAAGTTCCCAAAGCAGTGACTCTCCAAAGAAAGATGAAAACAGGGCTTTTATTAGGCTGATTAGCTGAGTCATTGCATACAGAGGTGGAGTAAAGGCAGCACAGGAGCAGTTGCTGATCATGCTTCCACATCTATGCGTAGAAAATGGTGAATAGACACCTCTCTGGGTGAGGTTTTTAGTATACTAATGAGGAGAGGTCACCAAAGTTCATCCCCAATTCAGGCATGTATGGATCCAACTGGTTTTCTGGGGCAGAGCTTCTTCCTGGAATTTTTTGAAACAAGACCTCAAGGTGCAACAGTTGCAAGTAGGCACTTTTTCCACAGTGTGTACCAGAAAACCCAGGGACTATGGGTTACAAATCCCCCTCTGAGACATTCTACTCCTCATTCTTAGAGCTGGAGGTCATTGGTCTGTAACTACTTCATGTAGACCAGGGGCATTGAGTCCCCCTAAAGTTAGAAGAGTGAAACTCTTGCGCTACTGAGTTCAAGTAAGTTTTGGGGTCACCTGGAGTTGTTCAAAGGGGCCGATATTTTTGTTGTAATACAAGCTAGAGATGAAACTGTTGAAGTCTGGAAGACACAAAGTTTGCTATCACTTTAAATATTCAAAGACCAAAAAGTAACAGGGGAACAGTGGTCACTAGTATCCCCAACAGAGGAAGAACCCAGGTGAGGTGAGGTATAGTGGACTTGACTGTCTTGCAAACCTTGTTGCTTGAGCTACCCTTCTGGTTGAAGGAATGCAGCCATTCTGTGTATCTGAATATTTCTTTTACGTTAACCTCTGTTTTCCCAGAGGTGCTTACCCAGGTGCAACAGAAGGTACTGGTGACTGCATATACCCCTCCCTGTTCTGCTAGTAAATAGTCTAAGGCCAATTGATTGTCCAACCCTACACTGTCTAGTGAATTTGGAGAAATATGCACATTTTCGAGAGCCTCCCTGTGTTAGCTGCCAAAGTGTTGGATGATAGGGTGAAATTTTTTTAGGGTGATCTCATGGCATGCAAACCCCCCAAGGGGCAGCCAGCCCTACAGCAAGTCTGGTGTCTGACAAGATTAGTCCAATAGTCCTTTTGGGTCTATTATAGTGGTTGGTTTCGTTATGGACTATTATCCAGATGAGCCCCTGTAGGCTCTCAGTGCACTGTCCTAGGTATATTACATTATGTACAACAGAGTAATCCACTGCAAGTTGTGGAGGGGAGGAAACGGTTTAACCAACCAAGTAATTAGGGACCCCAAAGGGGAGAAGTAGTCTCATAACACTGAGAAGATAAGGATTCTCCACAAATCTCCGCTAAGTAAAAGTAAAATCTCCGTTAAGATTTATTTTTCCAATGGAGCTCTTCCCACAGCTCGAGGAGTGCTATATGATAGTCTGCAATATGCAGGGGGTTGTTTATCTCTTACCAAATTTTACATTGATTGTGACATTTGGTGTTAGGGTCTATCGAGTCCCCATAGCTGTCTGTGAGGGCACACCAATGGGTGGTGTTTAGAATGCAAAGTTTAGTGAGGTCAAAGGCAAGGAGGGTAGACATCAGACTTGCCTCCGTTACCTTCTTGTTCTGAATGCATTTGGTGCTTTTCTCTTTTTTCTGAACAATTTAAATAAATGAGGTCTACTTTCATGGTGACATTGCCCTTAGGGGTGAGGTCCACACAACCCACAGACAGGGAAGGGCCCCTTTATGCTGAGATAGGTTCAGGCAGTATTTTGGATCCCCTTCTTTCCACCATGTTGTTAATGTTCCCCTGCAAAGGGTAAGCAACAGGCCACTCCATCTGAGTCTGGGGATACGCATGGCATATTCAACATTCAGACAGATTATCTCTACCAGCTATAACATGGGAGAAGTTTACTATTGCACTGGCCTCCCAGAGACCACTGGCCACGGGAACTAAGAGGCCCAAGAAGCATAAGGAAAAGACAGGGTTCATTTTAAGGTGTCATATGGAGGGCTTTACTATCAATTGAGGACCTAACAGAGTGAAAGAGGGCGATAAGCATAGGGGTTCCTACAAGGGTGAGAAAGATGCCTAGTATGTTGAGAGAATGGCAAGGGCACATTTTAGTTATATGAGCCTTTTCTTCTGAAAACCAATTTGATATCTCTGACAGGTTCACAAGTGTGTGCTGGGGAGGGGTCCTCTAGGGGCTCCTGGGCTTTCTTCTCTCGTGAGTGATGAATCCAAGGTGTTACCCTCTGGAGTTTAAGGGAAGAATGAATACCTAGAAGCATTTGGCCAGGCCTTGTCCATGCAGGCTGAGCTGGTCCAGGGTGAGGCCAGTCTTTCAGTTCTTGATGTATACCCAGTCTCTTGGCTTGTACAGGTCAAGCTTACCTCAGTGGGGTTTGGGAGACTGCGGTTGCCTTAATGGTTGAGAGCAGAAAAGACACATGCACTCAGATGAAATGTGCATTCCCATTCAGAAACTGTCAAAAGAGAAGCATCTGCCTCCTAGCTTCTGAGAGTTCCCACTCAGGGTTACGCTAACTGGGAGAGGAGGATTGATGCTGGGAGTGGGAATAGGAAGCCCCTGGTACTTTGGCTGTGGAAGTGACTTCTCTTGTAGAGGTGGGGAAGGCCCAGGTGGTTGGGATGACAGCCGTCCTCTCTCTGTCCTCTTGTTTCCTGAGGTTTATGGAGCAGAGGAAGTCCTCCTCATCTGGGGGGCTCTCTAGGATTGGGAGCACTTTCTCTGGCAGTTTAGTGGGAGATCTGGGTGGTCCCACCTAGAGAGTGCAAAGCCTGCACTATATCTATAGGGTCCTTTTCTGGTACAGGGCCATAAAACACTGGACATAGGGTATCACATCCCATTTCTCTTATCCCTTACAGAAAAGATCTAGCTGTAGAATGATATGGTAATTAAATGACCTGATATTCCACCATGGTTCCTTGCTAGGGCCCACTACAGCCAGGCTGTATTGCAGAAGAAAATCATCTGCTTTTCAGTCATTGGGGAATACCCAAAGATCTTCCAGCGTTAGCGAATGCACCCTAATGGGCCTTTCTCCGGGAGAGAGGTTGGGTTCCTGATACCTTTGGGTCCTCATTCAGGGCTGATCATAGGTCCCAAGGGGTTTAAGTAAAAAGGTATTGGCTATACTGATATGCGATCATTACTTCTCTGATGTGTAAAAGAAAAATAAGCAGATGTGCGAGGGTAAGCTGGTGGGGCCCTAATGCAGCCCTGCATGCTCCCCACAAACTCCAACTGTGCTGCCTACCTACCCAGGCATCGGGCACAGTAGCTGCCCCTTCTTTTAAAAACATATCTGAAAACATACCCAGAATGTACCCAGGTAGTAAGAGCCTCTTCTCCTAAGTTAAAATTTTCCCAGCCTGTCAAGGTTGAGGGTTTCTGGGCATACTTGGGTCCCTTCTGGTTTTGGGAAATGTCTCGCCCACCACACACACCTAAAGACCTTAAACCCATCTTTTTGGAAAAAAAAAATTATCTTCACAGTTAATTTCACTGTTTGTTAGCCAGATCTAGATTACCAGTGACCACAAGGGATATGTCTCTCAATCCCCCAGGGCACCAACCAGCCAAAGACAGGGTTTGTTTGATCGCTTGGGTGACAGTCTAATGACCACAACCAAGGTGGATTTAACAAGGGGTTTTATTATTTGCAACAAGTAAAGAAAATGTTGGGGATAGTTCTCAAAGCAGTGCCTCCCCGAAGAGAGGTGAAAAGAGCCTTTCATGAGGCTGGTTATCAGAGTCATTGCATTTAGAGGTGGAGTAGCGGCAGCACAGGCACAGTTGCTGATCATGCTTTTTCATATGTCACATGTATAAAAATGGACAATAAACTCCTCCCTGGGTGGGGTTTTTAGCATGTTTGGTGGTGAGAATTTGCCAAAGTTTATCTCCAAATCAGGCATCTCTGGATCTGACTGTTTTTTGTTGTTCTGGGGCTGAGCTTCTTCCTAGAACTTTTTGAAACAACAAGAACTCAATGTGCAGTGGTTGCAGGTAGGTACTTTTTCACAGTGTGTACCCCAAAACCCACAGACTATGGGTTATATGTTGAATAGAAGAGGTGAGAATGGGCATCCTTGTCTTGCACTGAATCTTAGAAGAAAAATTTTCAAATATTCACTATTGATTATGATGTTAGCTGCGGGCTTTTCATAAATGGCCTGTGAGGAAATTTTCCTTCTATACCTAATTTGTTGAGAATTTTTCTCATGATAGGATGTTGAATTTTGTCAAATGCTTTTTCTATATCTATTGAGATGATCATATAGTTTTTGTCCTTTATTCCATTAATGTAGTGAATCACAGTTATTGATTTGGGTAAGTTGAACCATCCTTGTATTCCAGGGATATATCCCACTTAATTGTGGTGAAAGATCTTTTTAATTTACAGTTGAAAATAATTTGCTAGTATTCTGTTGAGGATTTTTGTACCTTTATTCATTAGTAATATTGGCCTGTAGTTTTCTTTTCATGTAGCGTATTTTTCTGGCTTTGGTATCATGGTAATGATGGCCTTGTAAAATGAGTTAGTATTCCCACCTCTTCAGTTCTTTGGAAGAGTTTGAGAAGGATTGATTCTAGTTCTTTAAATGTTTGGCAGAATTCAGCCATGCAGCTTTCTGGTTCTGGACTTTTCTTTGTTGCAAGCTGTTTACTGCTACGGTTTCTTTTGTTGTTGTTGTTATTGGTCTACTCAGGCTTTCTGTTTCTTCTTATAAGTACACCAGGCAGATTGGATTCAGATTCCTTCGTACAATCTCGTTTTAACTTAATCACCTCCTAAAAGATCTTTTCTCGAAATGTGATTATATTTTGAGGAACTAGGATTAGGACTTCAACATACAAATTTTGAGAGAACACAATGTAGCTTGTAACACATGACTTACTGAGGCAGGAGAGGTAGTCAAGGAAATGATCATGTTTCCTGGCAGCAGCAACTGTAGTGACCATACATCCGACACAATAAACCTTAGCATTCTCATTGTAATTGAGCTCATTCAAGCAAAGCTATCTTCAGTAGGGACTTTCCCTTCTAGAAAGTATATGCATTTTCATTTCACCTTTCCTTTTGCTCATTGTAATAGTAAAAGACACACCCCTGGGTGGAGATTTAAGATGCTAATGAAATATGCCATGTATGAGCAAGCATGTACAGCTACTGTGCATGTGCACCCAGAAGACCACCCAGAACATGCTTGCTAGTAACACCTCTTGCCACCTCCTCTTGAATAATCATGTAAAACTCCAATAAAGGGAGTTTCTCAAGCAATAATTAATGTTGCCTCATCCTTACAAGCTGCTCACCCTGAATCCTCTCTTTCAGGGTGTACTGTCTATTCTGCACCTAACTTTCAAAATATTCTTTTTCTTTTGCAGTGAATTATTCTATACTGCATCTCCTTTGCTGTGTGTCTCATTTAAATTCTTTTAAGCCAAAAAGAAAAGAACCGAGGTATCACAACAGCCATCAACATTTCCAGACTATTCACTAAAGCATGAAGCATTGTAAAGTAAAGCATGTCCCCTCCTCAAATGCTCTCGAAATAATCACCACAAAAAAAAGATTAATGACAAAATGGGAGATATTGAAATGTAGGGAATAGTATTGTAGTAACTTTACTGAAAATAGTCATTACTATCTGTTTAGTAACTTATGATTTACAAAAACCTTTTGCAAATATTATGCCATGTTTTTTCTCACAATAATCTTGCAAGGAAAAAATGAGATTAGGTGAGCAAGTCATACTAAATGTAAGAACTGTCAGTTGCGTCCATGTGAAGAGACCACCAAACAGGCTTTGTGTGAGCAATAAAGCTTTTTAATCACCTGAGTGCCGGTGGGCTGAGTCCAAAAAGAGAGTCAGCTAGGTTTGCTTTTGTGAGTTTATACAATGGTTTAGTCAGGATGGTTAAAACTAGGTATCCAAAGGCAGAAGTACCTAACCATGCCTAGGAAGGAAAGCAGTTGTTATTTTGTGGAAGGGGTTGGAGTTTGGGAGATTAACCAGACACGATCAGCAGGGAGAGCACGTGTGTTTTCATGAAGAATTATGCTGAGATAGGTAACCGATGAGGAAGAAATTTGGGCTTGACTAAAGTAATGGGGGCTGTCCGTGAAGCCTTGCAGCAGTACAGCCCAGGTAAGTTGCTGAGGCTGATGGGTGTCAGGGTCAAGAACAAATTGCATTTAATTTTTGAAATAATCATGTGCCAGGTGTTTTATAAATGTTATTTCAATGAATCCTGATAACTCCTTTTGCCTACTTTATATAAGAGGAAACCAAAACTCAGGATAGAATAGGAAACTAATTTCTTTCTTAAAAGATCCTTTCATGATAAGTCTCATGGAATTATATATGCATATGTGTATATATATATGTTTGTGTGTGTGTGTGTGTGTGTGTGTGTGTGTGTGTGTTTAATTTAGAGAGCATATAACATCTATAAGTCCTAGAATGAAATTCTGCTGAAGATATAGTGAGGCTTTACTAATTATTCTTATTATTTGTAACTTCAAGTATTTGAGGTACTTTTTCTGGTTTCACTGAAATCATCTGTGAAACGATTTCTGCTCCATATCCATTAGCAAATCATAATAATTAAAAGGATGATTGGCTTATTTTCTTAGGTATTAACATGAAACTTATAATGGAATAGCATAATTGATGCAGACCTTTTCAGTGAATAAGGTGGGGCAATGGATATACAAGAAACTCATTAAAGGCTAAGAGTCCAGATAGACGATTTTCAGACCCTGTATCTCATTTAGCAAGTGCTTATTGAGCCTTAACCAAGAATAGTTATAATCTTAAAGATGTTGAATCCTGGCCCTTGAGTTTACAGTTTGCTAAAGGGTAAAGGATAAAAATATAGTTATAATTATTGATATTTTTGGCAGCTGTCAGTTTGGTGCCCATCATGAAATTCAAGATGTGATCAGTCCAGGTGCGGTGGCTCATGCCTGTAATCCCAGCACTTTGGGCGGCTGAGGCCGGCAGATCACTTGAGGTCAGGAGTCCGAGACCAGCCTGGCCAACATGGTGAAGCCCCGTCTCTACTAAAAATATAAAAATTAGCGGGGCATGGTGGCAGGCGCCTGTAATCCCAGCTACTCGGGAGGCTGAGGCAGGAAAATCGCTTGAACCCGGGAGGCAGAGGTTGCGGGGGTGAGACAAGATCGTGCCATTGCACTCCAGCCAGGGGGACAAGAGCAACACTTCGTTTCAAAAAAAAAAAAAAAAATTAGCCGGGCCTGGTGGCACTGACCTGTAGTCCCAGCTACTCGGGAGGCTGAGGCAGGAGAATCGTTTGAATCCAGGAAGCCGAGGTTGCAGTGAGCCGAGATTGTGCCATTGCGTTCCAGCCTGGGTGTTGCAGCGAGACTCCGTCTCTAAATAAATAATAACAATATTTGATCACATAATAGAAATCCACCTGCACAGGCAACCACTCTTCTTCCTTTGACTATCCTTTTCCCACTGCACTCAGAACTCCCTTGTCTTTTATTGAAACTTTGTATTGAAATCTCTTCATGCTCCCTGGATCTAGCTACCAAAATTACTTAGGTACTTGAGAGCTATTGAAATGGAAATTTATTAAAATGCTAGGGTTACTTGTCTCTGCCTCTAAGATACATTCTCCCAGTGGAATTCTAGATTTTAGAAATTATTTCAGAAGTTTTTTGAATGAAGGCTTCAATTATTTATATTGTCTTACACTCCCACGTGTGCGCGCACACACACACACGCGTGCACACACACACGATGTCTGTTACAAAAATGACCAATTCATTTTGAACATGCTGTATTTTGTATATTTAGAATTTCATATACAACATTTATGTTTAAATAGGTAACGGTATTATTCAGATATGCCCCCAATGTTTTGGCTCCCACTTAGAGTCCTAATCTTTCTACCTGCTATTTCCATATCCCTGTCTATGCTGTAGCTTAACTGGACAGTTCTCCACCCTTGAAAATGCCCTGTATTATTTTACTTTAATATTACTCCACCCAGAAAATGAGAGCAGCATATAGAACTCTTACTTTTCCACTGGGCCAGGAAATGCGCTAGTGCCCTTGGGTGAACTTACACACAATACAGTTGCAGATCATGGTATAAAGTGGGGTTAGTTACAGGTGACTGTTTAAAAGAAGGCAGATTCTGTCCTGGGGGAGTAGTAAAGTTAACAAAAAGATTTCCAGAACATCGTTGGAGCATGATAGGGAATCGAATTCCAAGCAATATACAGAGATCTAAATGGACACAGTCAGTCATATGCTGACTTCAGGGTTATAAGGTCCCCGTCCTATTTCCTGAAATGAAGCTTAAGCCAGGGCAGGTCCTGCCTTCGAGAAATGGATGTATCTGATGTGATAGCTCTTGCCCTCTCATCTCCTGCCAGTGCCTCTCACTGGCTGGAGCCACATGGAAGGCAGCAGGCAAAGGAGGGCCAGGTTAATGCATGACTTTAAGGATCAACCTTCTGGGGGTAAAAGAATGAGAAGAAGAGAGAATGGACCTGGAAAGGTCAGCAGTTAATTTGCAGCTCAGAGAAGAACAGAAAGGACTGACTCTAGTATCGATTGCCTTTTATCTCTAAACATTTCAGAATCTATTATTAGAAGGTAAGATCTTTTCTTTTTGAAAACTAATTCATGTTTTTTTTAAAAAATGAATGTTTTCAAAGACAATTTAAAATGAAAACAAAAATGCCAACATACTCCTAAAAAAGGCTTTGTGCCAAAGAAAGATAAGTTTATTATTTTAAGGAGATAGTATAGTTGCTTTGAAAAGTCACATATAATTTTGTAAATAGGGAAGCTTATTTCAACCTAACTAATTTGCATTTGAAGATATGTATTATGTGGTATCTATTAAACATTTTATCTTAACTATAAATATTTGACTTTGTCAATAGCAATAATGATGGTTATCATTTGTTGAGTATTTATTATATGATAAGTGCATAACTGTTACCTGAAGAGGTTAAACCCATTTGATCTCTTTGAATGACTCAGCCCAGGTTAAACATTTAAGAAACGAAAAAGAGGCATTTGGACTCATGTCTAGGGCAATCCAGTGCCGGTAAACTTTACTGCCCTCTGACAGACCTTTTCTATTAGCACTTGTCTCCCTATCACGTTGTATTTCTTCGTTCATCACTTCAAGTAGGCTCTAGGGAATACTTTCAATTCCAGTTCCCTTTTGTCTCTCTGTTACAGTTGCTTGTCAATATTTGTATCAATTCAACTGTTTATTTTCTTTACTCCTACACCACAAATTCTGTATACTGCCAAAGAAGTCCAAATAAACAAAAAGATTGATTTCACTATAAGTTTATTTTTTCCATCCTTTCAATCTCCACTGGATTCTCAGTACATAGGAAATATTTCATGTTTCTCAGTAATTCTCTCTCCATTTCTTCTTGGGAGATGTTTTAAAATTCAACTTTTCTCCACTTGCAAACTAACTCCCTCTTCTACTCAAAAATTCAGCAATGACTTTTAGATTAACAGAAGCCGCTAAAATAAAATTTTCTTAAGTTCTTGCCACCAATTTCTACAAAGATTTTTGCTTCTGCACTCATTTTTTTCCACTCTGCCTTTGTCTCTCTGTCTCCATCTCTGTTTCTGGGTCTTTCTGCTACAGTTAAGGAGGTATTCTGTTCCTTTCTAAGTCACATCCCTCCAATGTGCAAAGGATTTCATCCCTTTTTGCCTTCTCGAGAAACTATCCCCCTCTCTCAAGCAATTATATTTAATTTCTAATTCTCATGAATTTACCATAAGCATTTAAATATGTTAAGGGGCCTGATGCGGTAGCTCATGCCTATACTCCCAGCATTTTGGGAGGCTGAGGTGGGCGGATCACCTGAAGTCAGGAGTTCCAGACCAGCCTGGCCAACATGGTGAAATCCCATCTCTACTAAAAATACAAAAATTAGCTGGGCGTGGTGTCACACGCCTGTAATCTCAGCTACTCTGGAGCCTGAGGCATGAGAATCGCTTGAACCTGGGAGGCAGGGGTTGCAGTGAGATCACACCAGTGCACTCCAGCCTGGGCTCCAGAGTGAGACTGTATCTTAAAAAAAAAAAAAAAATTTAAGGATTTTCCTATTTTAAGCACACACACACACACACACACACACACATATACAGAGAGAGAGAGAGAGAGAGAGACAGAGCACAATACAATTATTTTCTTCAATTCTAAGTATTCCTCCAGCTACTGCAGCTAAACTTTTCTCTTTATAGACAGGCTTTTTATGAAAAAGTTTATACTCCTGACTTTATTTTCTCATCTCTGAATTCAGTCGGCCTTCTCCACCTAAAACTTCACTCTTGTCTTCTTCCTGGGACCTTTCTCAATTCTGATTTTGCTTGACCTTTTCCTAGCACTTGATGTTATTGAACATTTCCTTATATTTTGGCTTTTATAACATTGCACTTTTCCCATTATATACCAATATGTCAGGTCATTTCATGTCAGTCATTTTTGTGGAATTTGTCCATTTTTACATATTGGACATCGTAATGATGTCCTTCACACTTTCTTCTGCTGCTTCCTACACTTACATTGGATTATCAAAATTCCCATGACTAATTTCCACTGTATGCTGATGATTCCCAAATCTTTATCTCCATTCCATATCTCTATCCTGTGTTTCATGTTGCAGTGCTCCAAACATTTCAAACTTAACATGTTGAAATCTGAACAAACAATTTTCCAAAACCCATATTTCCTCTTGTCTTCTCTAGCACAGTGAATGACAATAGCAACCACCTGGAAGTTCGAGACAGATACCTTAGAGTCATCTTGTCTATTAGACTAGTTACCAATTCTTTCCATTCCTTTATGCCCGTTATTACTCACTGGCAAATAAAATGCCACGTTTTTAAAATTCTACCATCAAAACATGTTACATTTATCACCTTTATCCATTCTCATTGCCATGTTTTCTGCCTTTTTCTAAAGTACATACCACTCTCAAATACGGGCATTATTGCCTCAGTCTCCTCAAGGTACCCATTCTTAATCCATTCTTAACACGTTCTTCCCTATTGAAACCGTTACGTGTGATTGCTTTTAGAATGACTTTTAAAAATAAAATCTGGCCATGTCGCTTGCCTGCTTAAAATTCATTGTTCATAAATCAAAGTTCAGGCTTTTTAATGTGGCTGCAGACCTCTGTTTAGTTGGTCCCCTACTTACGTCTGATCATTTCTCAATCCTTGTTTTATATACTTTAGAAGCAGCCATGCAAGAGTTTCACTTCCTTAAACACAGTGGTTGTGTTTGTGGTGCACTCCCCCGTCCCAGTTGTCCTTCCATTAGTCTCATCTTTCCATTTTCAGATAGGTACCAAGTTTTTTTCAGCCTTTCTTAAAAAGACACACTGAACCGTTCCCACTCTGTATACTTCACCATCTAAAATCTTACTGCTTTGTAATTGCCTGCTTTTCTATCTTTATCTGCCATGAATTATATTGTTCATGGATTATATGCTTTGCAAGGGCAGAAATCTTATCAATTTTATCTATTATTGTATTCCCAGTACTTGGAATGCTGGCAGGCACAATAAATGGTAAATAAATGTTTCTTGAGTGAATTAACAAAAATAGGATGTGTGCCATAAGAAAACTATAATTAAGAATATTTACTCCAGTTGGAGGGAATATTAATATCTAATATGTAAAGTATTCTCATAAACATGTTATGCAATACTAAGAACAACTCTCTGAGTAGGAAGGACTATTGTTTTATGCATGAAAGAACCAAAACAGAAAGTTTGGGATTTGTCCAAGGTCAGAAAGAAAGGGATTTTTAAAAATGCAATTAGGATAACCTCTAACCTCTGCTTCAGTTTTGCTTTTTCTGTCCCACACTGGCTAAAATTTTAAAGTGCTGAAGTATAAAATTTGCATATTTTTTAATCAGACACAAGATTATATGATGCCTAGCAGATTACAACTAACAATAAAACAAGAATAATAGTTACCGCTTATTGGATGTTTGCTATGTTACTTACTAGCTGTCCGTTAACTGTTGTTAGCTTGACTATTTGTTTTGTTTTTAAATTTTTAATTTTTAGTTTTCAAATTGACATAATCATTGTACATATTTTTGGGGCACATAGTGGTTTCAATACATATAATAGTGATCAGATCAGGATAATTAGCATATCCGTCACCTTATACATTCATTATTTCTTTGTGTTGGGAACATTCAATATCATCCTTCTAGCTATTAGAAAATATATAATATATTATTGTTAACTATAGTCATTTTACGGTGGAACAGATCACTAGAATGCATTCCTCCTATCTAGTTATAATTTTGCATCCTTGAAGAAATCTCTCTGCATTCCTCCCTTCCCTCTTCCCTTCCCAACCTTTAGTGTCCTCTGTTCTACTTTTTACTTCTATGAGATCAACTTTTTTAGCTAAAAAACTTGACTATTTGAAAAGAGCTACTTTTGACTCCACTCACTTAGATACTATCCCCAAATGTATTTGTGTTTATAATGAAAACAGTAAACACATGCTACACTTCTGTGAATATGAAATGTCTAGTATTTCAGTTAGCTAATTTATGACTATTCTTTAAGCTTCATTGTAATTCATCTTCAGTCTTACAGTGGAGAAATCCTCATGCTGTGGAAATTGTCAGATTTCTGTGGTTTTATTGTTTAACCAAGTAGCTTTTTTTGAGAGTTGGAAGTAGGGGTGGGGGTATGGATATAAATTTTCAAATTGTACAGGCACTAGATAGTTGAGAGTTGTCACCCAGAAATTGCTAAAAGTAGGAATTTAAAAACATCTTTGAGTTCATTTTTTTCTTCATCTTTTATTCTCTTGATACTTCACTTGCAAATGGATATGAAAACTTGTTTGGGGAGATATTTATTTGCATAAAGAATATTGGTGCAGTCCTTTAACTTTCATTATTTTATAAAACCAGATTGTAATTCTTACCTTCCTATTTATAGCATGTGTGGGAAGTATATTTTATTATAAAGGGGACAGGCTGAAGACCATCTTTGTTTCCGGTTGGGGCATTTCCAGATTGGATAAAATCGAAGGAGAGCCATCTGTTGAACATTTAGTATTCAGAACTGTAGAACTACTCCTGGCATCTGAGTTTGCCAAGTCCTAGCTAAAAATATATATTAAATGGGGTTTGCTTCCTTTTTTTATTGGTTTTGAACTCTTCTGGCAGAGGTTGTATATTCCCTAAGGAGAGAAATGTGAGAAAAAAAATGTAGACATTTATTTTTCATTTTCATTCACAAAACATTTGGTTGAAATATTAACATCAAATATGCCCAGACATTTCTACTTTCATTTCTATGTCTCTCCTGTAAGTTTTTTTAGAAGTTGTTATTAAATAATGATTACCAATTCATTGATTTTGTGTATGTCATAAACACACACACACACACTCTCATACACACACAGAGACACCCCTGTCTGTAGTCACATATTAAGTTGCAATTTTATGATAATGTAATAAAATTGTTAAATTATACTATTTCGCCAGCTCTTGGGAAAGTATTTTTTTTTGCATGTAACTCATCATCATTTACATGCGAAAAAAGAAACAAACAAAATATTTTTATATAGGTTAATAAATATTAATATTCTATCCACAGATATTAATTAATGAATGTCTTCTCTCATGGAGCCAAGGGACCAGTATACCAAAATCAAAACAAACAAACAAACAAAAACAAAGAAAATAACAACAGAGATTTGTTATATTTCTGTTTATTTAGAACCTACCCAAATACCAAACTCTATTTACAGCTTATTGTTATTAGCCATCATACATCTTGTAAAAAATTTGAGAAGCTCACATTCTTTAATAATAATCATTCTGGGACAGCAAACTAGTGTTTAAGGGAAGAATCAACTATTTTAATAATTGGCTCTGGTTTGCCTGGCAAAATATTACATCAAAACTGTTTGTTTGTGAATTATGGAAGGGAGGTTTTAATACAAAGGAATGTCAGTAGGCCCCACCCTGGCCAGTCTTTAACAACAGGATGAGAGGCAAAACATTTGTCCTGACAATACAGCATTGTGAAAAATATTTGACTTATGCACATGCCAAAACTAAAGATTCTTTCCTCTTTAGGAAATAAATAAATAAATCTCTTCACCCTCAAAAGAAATGTTTTTGATAAATGCCAAGAATAAAGAAGGCAGAAGGAAATTGTAAAGAAAATGAGGGAAACAACTGAGTAGTTGAGAGTGATTGTGTGGTAAACAGTGATCAGCTGTTTGCACTCAGAGGGGCAAGAATGACAGTTCAGTTATTTCTAGATGCGCGGAGGTATACACTCTTTTCCAAGAGTCAGGATAAATCAGTGAGCCTTAAAGTAGTAGATTCCGTTGTTGAATTGAATAGTGAATAGCTTTGTTGGTTTTCAGGGACATATGGCTATTTTATTCTGAATTAATGCATATTACCTTAACTGTTTTCTTTTTTTAATGCATTTTAAAATGATAGAGCTCATATAATTGTGAATGTTTGAATACAGAAGAAAAAAAAGGCCTAGAGCACTAGGGAAAGCTTTAAGAAATCAATTAACAGAGCAATATGAAATTATAATTAACTAAATGAAAACTTTTTAAGGAGATAAATAACTTTCCTTTGTATCTTTATGTCATTTTATTTAGATAATTAATGAAAATGGCATCTTTGTTCCTTTGGGTCTTCCTTTTTGTTAGAGAAAATATTTTTACTCTGTGGCAGTTAATTATGCTATATCAACTGAAGATAAAGCTAAAAAGAAGCCATCGTGAAAACCATTAAGGGAAAAATGACAAAATGAATGGAAAAATGGAATGGCTGCCTATACATGAGACTGATAAGTGAAATGTAGTGACATGATACAAAGAACACAAACATATATTTATGTTTGGTTCAAAGTTAGGCTTTTCACACCACTTTCTGTCCTCCTTTGAGCTGTGGGAGTATTCAGTTCATAATAGACTCACAGCGTCTCATTACTACTTAGAACTTAGTTAACATTGCCTTCCTGATGTAATACAATGCCCGGAATTCGATAATCGTTCCTGAAAAAAACAAACAAACAAAAAAAATCACCATTCCTTTTAATAGCTTGAGCCTGTACCAGAATGATAAGTGGAAATTAGTCCTCAAAGTAACCTCAGCTGTTTCATTATTGTGTGCCTCGAGCATCTGGTTATTCAAGGTGAGGCTTCCATGTTCAAGTATGAATCCCTTGGGATCTGCCGCAGGACTCACGGTAGTGCTGCCTGCTTCTCCCACTCTGTGGCTGACTCCCCTGAGGTAGCATTCTGCCAGGCAAAGCTGCCTTTCCTTCCTCCTACTACTGTGACTTCAGAAGGTATGGTTTTCCCTAATTTATCCCAAGTATGAAATGAGTTCCTTTCCTCTTTTTTCCCCCACACGGAACCTAGCCTTTAAGTGTTTAAGGAAGTTTTCTTTGTTTAATAGAAGTACAACATGGAGAAGAATTTGCTGCTACTTTTGTAAGTGTTTTATCTGCCTAAATCTAGGACAATTTATCTCCTCTAAGAATATCCTCAATTGAGCACCCATTCTCCAGACTGTAGGCCTACCTGAAAAACATTTCTCCGTTTTTCCGGGTCAACATCTTCACAAGACTACGCATTATTTCTATGCTGTGCTGGAATTCTTCTTAGTAAAATATATAGCTGCATTTTCTACTCCTATCACAGAAAACTAGCTACTGCTTCCACAGATATAAGAAAACAATATTCTGAAAGGAGTATATTTTCCTAGTTCTAGGTTTTTAAGTGGAAGGTAGTAAAGAATATAAGAACGTGGGTTGTGAAATAAGAGATACTAACGTTTGAATCTCAGTTCCACCATTCACTAGCTATGAACCTCTGTTTTCTCATCTGTAGAGTGGGAATAATTATTGTTCATTTCATATAGAAATTGTAGAAGATATATATACACACATATTTATATATGTTATATAAATATATATACACACATATTTATATATATAACATATTTTATATATATATATATATATATATATAAACATTTTGTGCTGGACATAAATTTTCAGTAACTGTTAGCAAGTTTAAATAAATAAAATCCCGATGTAGGAACTCATAGGCCTAGCTTATGAATGGAAATAAGCCAGGCCAGGCGCAGTGGCTCACGCCTGTAACCCCAACACTTTGGGAGGATGAGGCAGGCGGATCCCTTGAGGTCAGGAGTTTGAGAACAGCCTGGCCAATATGGTGCACCTGTCTCTACTACCTGTCTCTACTAAAAATACAAAAATTATCCGGGCCTGGTGGTGCTGGCCTGTAATCCCAGCTACTTGGGAGGCTGAGGCAGGAGAATTGCCTGAACCCGGGAGGTCAGAGGTTTCAGTGAGCTAAAATCAGACCACTGCACTCCAGCCTAGGCCACAGAGCGAGAGTCTGTCTTGAAATAAAAGACAAAGAAAGAAGCCAGGTTCAGGTTCTAGGCACACCCTCTCCCACAATACCATGCTGCTGTTTTCTCCACTTCAGCCCTCTGTCTTTTGCAAATAGCTGCCGCCAAAATAACACAGATAACTGCACAAAAATATTTCAATTACTTCTAGGGAAAGGAAAACACATAACACTTTTCTTCCAAGGAACATAAAAACTTACAGAGATCATTTTTAAATTTTAAAATGGATTTGTCTTAGTCAAATATGTATTATCAAAGAAAATATTATTTGCATTGAAGTAACTTCCTATTTTCAGATTTTCTTGAACAACTGAGTGTATTTGTTTTATTTTTGCATTAAAGAACAAAACCTGGACTTAGAATTTACTCCAAATTAAGAAATTACGTACCAAAGAGCAGATATTTCTTACACTTTAAATAGTTTTCATTTTACACTTTATCGTCATCAGTGTTGAAAAGAGTAATCCAGATTTAGTCACTTCACTCTATGACATGTGTAAAATCAGCTTATTTGGCCACATACCATTGCATCAGGAAGCCCAGAATCCTTGGATTTTCTTATGGCGAATATTATTAATTTCACTTGCATTTTCTTAAGAAATAGTTTCCCAGCCAACACTATTATGTGAAATTCAACTGTTTCTTTGCATGTTACTAACTGCAATCTTCCTTAAAAGGACTGTTTAGAGTAAGATCAATGTGGAGGGAAATGTAAGTTAGCCACATTATAAGATAGCAGATGAAACTGAATGCAGTTTCTTATATAGAAAGCAACAACAAGCTGCTGTTAAAATGTGAAGATAAGGCCTTCATTCAGAATGAAATTATAGGAAATTAAATATAGAGGGTGGGACCAATCATCAGTACAAGCAACCAACCTGAATCAATATTCTCTTAAGTGTTGGGTCTAAAATCACAGAAACAGCATAACAAAGCGGGATGAATTTTATGACATTGGATCTTGAGTGTTTGAATATATAACATGACTGAAACTTAATTCTATCTCTGAAATAAACAAATTTCATTTAAAATGTCAATTATAATCAACGTGTAGTGATTGCCTGGTCTGAGAATGAGTTGAAGACTGAGTCCAGATTTATGAGAAAAGAGGAACTTAATTGACATTTGCCATGCTATTGCATTAAGAAATGGCAGCAAACTCTTTGCTGATGCTCTTGTTACTCTGTCTCATAAAAGGCTACATTCACAAACCCTAAGAGGTCAGTAAGAATTTTTAAGACAATTTTGAAATGAATTGTTGGTTTGGTTTTGGCACTAACAAGTGACAGTGCCACCAGTATCAGAGACCCATCTGGAAATTATATCTCTGTGATTGAGATAGATTCTCCAGAGTAGGATAACTAGATGGCACTCGTTATTGATGTATTCTATATAATTACCCTGGATCCTGAAATTATGAGTAAAAATTAGTATTTTGGCTATTTTTTATTTTTCATTTTGGTTTACTGACTGGGAAAGACCACAGTGATAAAGGATGTTTGGCTTGTTTGGCACTCCTATTTTTCATTATAAATTGACAAGTAGGAATTCTATTTATAAATTGGTTTATGCATTGATGTCTGGAGAGTTTAGCTAGCCAGAATCATTCCAATTGAGTATATCCTGCTGTGATCTCTGGTTGTGCTGAGAAAATTAAATGATTACCTGTGAAACTGAGGACCCCTAAATTATGACTATCAAGATTGTCTCTGGAAGGCCTCTCCGAGTAGCCAGCCAACAGCACTGCAATGCTATTTTTCCTTTCTTCTTCTAATTCTAATATGAGTCTAAGATCAAAAGCAATTTCTTACTCATATATCTATCTTTAGAGCATACATATTTGATAAATTCTATTATTATTTTTTAGGACTATGTAAGTCTGAATTTGTTGAAAATTCAGAATAGGACTGGCATTACTAGGGAAAACACCTGTGTGGATACAAACTCATGATTATATAATGTATATATACATATGCTTATGTAAATGTAAGTTAGCCACAGAAATCATGCTTTCTGTTATAAAATTTTTAAGTATGTCTTAGTCTGTTTGTGTTGCTATACAGGAATCCCCGAGGCTCTGTAATTCAGAAAGTAAAGAGGTTTATTTGGCTCATTGTTCCGCAAGCTGTACAAGAAACATGGTGCCAGCAATTGCCTCTGGTGAGGGCTTCAGGCTGTTTCCACTCATGGTGAAAGAGGAAGGGGAGCCAGCATGTGCAGTGATTACATGGTGAGAGAGGAAGCATGAGCAAGTTGGAGGTGATGCCTAGTTCTTTTTATTATAACAACCAGATTTCACAGGCACACAGACCAAGAACTCACTCATTACATCCAGGAAGACACTAAGCCATTCATGAGGGAATCTGCCCCCATGACCCAAACACCTCCCACTAGATCTCACTGACCACAATACCACCACACTGGGGATTAAATTCCTACATGAGATTTGGAGGGGTCAAACCAACCATATCCAAACTATAGCAGTATAATTTACAGAATACTATTTTTAAACTTTTATTAATTATGTTCTCTTTTCTTGAGAAAAATAAAATCTCTTTTTGTATTATTTGTAATTGCAAATAAAATATTACTAATATTAAATAAAGCCATGCAAAAAATAGTGTTTCATTTTCTAAATACTAATGCCAGTTCCCTCATTCTTTTATACCCCTAAATATGACATACACACCCTTGTACTTTGAAGAGTATATGATTATAAATGAAGACATGATAGTCCATTTTAAATAGACTCCCTGTAAAAGATACAAATTTATTATTAGTGATTAATTTCAATCAGTATAAAATAGACACATTTTTTTCTTTCTAAATACTTAATAGGCCCATAGAAAATTTCAAAATGAGCAGCTCCTGATGAAGGTAATGGCTAATAGTACTGTGATAATTAAATTAGGATTTTGTGAGCCAGTTAGAAAGGACTGTACATCATATGAACAACACTACGTATCCTTAATGTTGCTTAACATCAAGTTTCAGGAGTGAAAATATTCACTACTGGGTTTGACATACTTGCAAATATTTCAGAGTTGAAGAAATGAATCATAATATCTCATAGCTCGAAAACATGCCTTCTGTGAAATAGCCTTATCTGAATCTATAGATACCTTTTATTTCCAAAGAAAGCAATTGTTGTGTTGTGAGTAGAATGTTGAGGTGTCCATGAACCTACCACTACATCTTTGCAGAATTCTTAACTTGACGGATTGACTAAAATGGCTACCACTCTTCACCAACCTACTTGAACAACTATTTTCTTAGAAGTGCTTATTTAGGTATTATGTGAACTCTGCCTTTGGTTATGATTCCAAACATACAGCTGGATTGATAATGTGCCTTTTAAAAGAGACTAATATTCATGTCTCTCAAAAATAAACATATCTATATATATTTCATATATATATATATGAGGACATTATAGCCCATGATACTAGCAAGATATGTAGTCTATCCAGATAGACCTTTTGTGTTTTTAGCATCATGTTTCTTCTCTCCCGTGGCATAATAGAGTTCTTCAGAGGCTACATATTTAATATATCCTATCTAGACAGTAAAATGATTTCCATAAACATGCACAAGCTGTTTAAAGCAGACCATATCAAATAAAATGAAATCTCATTCACTCTAATCCTCATGATCTAGTTTGATGGCATGCTAATTAAAAAGAACAAATACACAATTAAGGTATAACAGCTATTGAAAACCAGGCTTGTCTCACCTAGATTAGTAGAAAGAATAAAGTAAACATACAGATTATTTTTAGATACTTTCAGAACAAAATCGTTCTGTTGCACCATACAATTATTTAAAAACTCTCAAAGGGAAAATCAGACTATGTAGTAGCAACTGCAGTGCAGTGTTCTGGTGTGTGTGTAATTCAAAACAACATATCATGGGAAACAAGATATTTTCAAAATAAGGGGTATTCATAGACTAGCTTACACTAAACAAAGTGGGCAATGCAGGTGTGACATGTAGTTTTTTTCTTGATGTTTCCTCTAATGTAAACATACATTAACATACACAGTCTGGTCATGTGATATTGAATACTGTATAATTCTAAATGCTTAATATCATATCATACATTATGAAACTAAGGGTAAAAATTATTAATAGCCATCATTTGAACAACTTATCCCCCCCATTTTCTCTTTATTGTCTCTTTCTCCTCCTTTATCAAATATCTGATTTCTTTTGATTTTATTTTTACAGCTCTATTTCTAAAAAACATCACTGTGCTGTCAGTCTCTAGTAGTATTTATATCTGAGAAATTTTAAAGTGCCTCTCCTCTTTCTCATTCTTTACCTTATATCTACATTTTTTATCTTTTTCTCTTTTAATTCAATTGACACAAAAGCCTTGTTGTTCTTGCCAAATTAGTCAGATAGACGGGAGCTCTAATTTATAAACAGATTTGTATCAACATTTCTCAGAAAGAAGAATAGCCAGTAAGGCAAGTTGGTGCCCACTTTTCTCTTAATCTTAGGCTTTTGATCTGTCAGTGGCACCCACATCACCTCTTGCAGCTGTGCTGTTACTGAAGGGTCTTTACAAACAATTTTGAACATATAGAATTTTTAACATACTTACAGATTTTACCTTCCTTGAATTTATTACTTTATGTCATTGGTAATTTCTATGAGAAACTGAGTAAAGAATACAGTTTATATAAAAACGGTATCACTATAATTTAATGTAAATTACAGTTATAGTTAGTATTAGGGTTGAAATGTAAGTGGAATCAGATTTGAAAAGAGAACTAATGAATATTTGTAGTTTTGTTGTTGGCAAGATGTAACAATATTCAAGAAGGCAGGTACAGATACATATTTATGTTTTCCACATTGGCATGAATGTGAAAAGAAGAAATGAAAGAATGGTAGTCATTCATTCAACAGATAATTATTAAGCATACATTGAACATGTACTACAATGGGCACTGTGCTGGGTACTGTGGAAAAAATGGTGAACAAGTCAAAAAAGATGCCTGAACTCTTTTACACTCAGGAAACTAAAAAAGTAAATAAAAAATAAATAAATAAATATAATTAACTACTTCTTTTGAGCACTATTAAAGAAGCATACCATGTGATATGATGGAGATCTTGAGGGGGCCTACTTTTCTTTGAGGGAGGTGAAATTTAAGCTGAGATCTTACTGCATTATTAATGTAAAAGCTCTTTCCTCAAACCCTAAGATGCTAAGACTCTAAATAATTAATCTAATGTAGTGACTCAAAGTGGGTACTTTAATTTAAACAAAATAATTTGTGGTTACATACTATTGCACCTTACTAGTTTTGTGATCTAGGGCAAGTTACTTATACGTCAAAAATAAGAAAAATAATGCCAACTTCAAAGAATTATTAGGAGGATGCAAGTATTTCTTCCTCTTAAACATATCTTCTCAGTTCTATTTTCTCCTTAATGCCAGTCTCCATTTCTTTCTTTCTTTCTCAGCTAAATTCTTGAGATGGCTGGGTACTTGCTGGGGCTAATCTCTCATTCCATTCTTCCTCAGAATTACTAGAGTCTCCCCGCTGCCCTGCTTCCCATCACTCTGTCCACCAAAACTCTTCTGTTGTGGTCAGTGATGACTTGTGTGTTGTTAAAGGTAAAGATACATGAAGTCTACAAGACATCTCCTAAATGTTGATATTTACAATTCCTGACCTTTTCCTGAGCCTCAAACCTTCCACTCCTACACTTTTTCTTGTATGAGTTAGGGGCAGCTCCATCACTCCATTCAGGTAAAAAACTTAAAGTCTTTATCGAATTCTTTCTAGGGCTTCACACTCAGAAAAGTTCTGTGCTTGGTTTATTGCTCCACTATCACTCTACTGAAATTCCTAAATTTGTATTGAAATTTGAACAAGGGATCCTACATCATTTTTCTGTCTTCACTAGAACCCACAAATGTAGCTCTCCTGCCCATTTCTCTCCTATACCCTACATTTGAGTCCTGAAGTCCACTTTCTCCTGAGTTAAACTGAAAGCATCCTAACTGGCCTTCCTGCTTCAAATTTTGTCTCTCTTTAGTGTATTTTCAACACAACAGCCAGAGTGATCCTGTATGTATGTATGTATATATATATATAAAATATATGTGTGCATGTGTATGTGTAACATATACATATAATCTGACACAAATACATACATCTGTACACACCTATATGTATTTATGTAAGATTACATTATTTCATTGTTTAAAATCATCAGATGACTTCCTACCTTACTCAGTGTAAACACAGAGATTAAAAGCCCTACACAATCTGATCTCCTGTAACTGTTGACCTTATTTGCCATGACTGTCCCCTCAGTCTGCATGATTCTCTGAGCTCCATCTCAGGATCCCTCCCTCTCAGGATCTTTGCATTATTGCTTCCAAAACTTGGAAGGCTTTTCGCCTACATATCCATATGGCTCATTCCCTCGTCTACATCAAGGCTTTGCTCCAATGTCTTCTTTTCAGGAAAGTATTCCCTGACCCAATCTATTTAAAATTGCAACCCCTCAACCTACGGAAACCTTTTTTTTTTTTTTTTTTTACCATATACTTTTTTTTTTTCTGTGTAGTACTGATCACCAAATAATGTTGCTTACATTTTATTTAAGTTGTATCTGTCTTGGCTGCTACAATATATGAATTACAAAGGCAAGAATTTTGTTTGCTTTTTCACTGCTGAACCTCATCATTCTAAAGAGTAAGGGGCTAGCATTTAGTAGGTATTCAGTAATAGCTTTAAATTAATGAAATTAAATAAGGAAAGATACATAAAGTGCATGCTGTTGGTTCATGGATAGCCTGCAACAAATAATAATTTTACTGCTATCTTACAAACCACCCAATTTCAAAGCTACTCCAGATTACCTTAGCAGTTATGCAATTCACATTCCCATTGTTTTATCTGGAAAGCCAAAGCTCAAAGATTTTAAGTGCTAATTCAACAGATATTGCCCATTCAGTGTAAAGACAGAGCTGATCTGGACCTCCACCTCAGGGATCCTTCCACCACATTAGATAAACTTTCTGAGCAGTCACAGTTGCTTGTATTTTATTCTATTTGAATTATCAGTCATGCCACAGCCTGCATCTTTACAATACTGAAAATCTGGCCAGAGAGATATCAATAACATCTTTACTTTGCTTACAGAATTGTCAAGAAAAGATTAACAACTCACATAATCTAATTTTCATTTGTGTATAACTTGAAAGAATTAAAGATATTAAGAGCAATATATTTAAATAAAAATTTAGATATAACCACTATTTATTCACTGCATGTGGTTTAAAGAAATTATCCCACTAATGGTCTGAACAATCCTGTGGATGTATTATAATCCCGTTACAACTGAGAAAACTGATGCTTCCGGAGGTTCAGTGATTTGCCTGTGATCGTGCAAGTAGTAAATAAAGTATGAACTAAAAGCTATGCTACCTTACTCCAGAAACTTGCTTTTAAAAAATAACACCACACAAAACAGACATGATCCACTGAAAATGCAGATTTCCTACGAAAAGGATTTTTAATAATGAATGTATAATTGTGTTTCATTGTGGTGAGTCAAAATCACAAGACATAAGGTTTGAAAACAGGTCTGATATATCTCAACTCTAGATATTTTTTTTAATTTTTGCTTTTTCTGTACTAAGTCTGTGCTGTAGAGCACCACAAAAAAGCCAAGAAGGTTTTTTGCTTTGTTTTTGTTTTTATATGTCATTTGAAGATTTCAAATATTCTATATATCACCTTTTGAGTGTGATGAGTCCTAATTCCATTATAGACTTATTTTTAGTTTGTCATTATCATCCCTGTTGAGAGCTATATTTCCTCCAAATTCTGAATGCCAACATTTTCCTAGAGGAAATATCTGAACCATATTTACAATATATAGGGATCCAGAAATATTATTGTTTATCACTTGAAACTGAGAAATCATTTTAATAAAACTACTACTACAAATATATTTTAAAATGTAGGCACAGAGTATTTTTGTTTCTCATCTGTCAAGTCAAAATAGAATTTTATATCAACATACATTACTTAGTAAAATAGATTTGAGATCATTTTTATCTGTGAAATTATCTTATTTTATTAAATGATGACTTATTAAATTTGTGTGAGTATGAAGGTTGAGAGTGGAAATTGGGAGAAATAAAGGAGAAAGACTTATTTGTGTTGTGTGGCCTATTGTTGATAGTGGAACTGTGATTAAATTTATAACTTTAAAAATTATTTCTGTATTATATTACTAACAAAAAATAATATTATGAAACAAATAAAAATTGTCTGATCATTTGGATTATAGTGATCAAGACTTCATAGCCAAAATAAAGATTTTCATATTTTTGGTAATTTGGGATAAAATATTAATCTTTACACACTGTTCATCTACTGTGACTACACATTAGAATGTAACTGCATTCAAAATAATTGGAAACATGGATTTTCTACTATTGTGATAGTTTGTGGAAAAATCATCATACACCAGTCAGGTTGGCTATTATTAAAAAGACAAAAAATGACAGAGGTCGATGAGGCTGCAAAGAAAGGGGAACGCTTTTACATTGTTGGTGGGAAATGTAAATTAGTACAGCCTCTATGAAAAACAGTATGGAGATTTCTCAAATAATTAAAAATAGAACTACCATTTAATCTAGCAATCCCCCTAGTGGTTATATATGCAAAGGAAATCATTATATCAAAAAGTTACCTGCATTTGGTATGTTTATCGCAGCAATATTCACAACAGCAAAGATGGAATCAACCTAAATGCCCATCAACAGATGACTGGATAAAGAAAATGTGGCATAGAGATACAATGGAATACTATTCAGCTTTAAAAATAATCAAATCATGTCTTTTGCAGCAACATGGATGGAACTAGAGGCTATTATCTTAAGTGAAACAGCTCAGAAACAGTACCACATGTTCTCACTTATTAGTGGAAGCTAAATAATGTGTACACATGGACATAGAGCATAAAATAATAGTTATTGGAAACTCAAATGGTAGGAGGTTGGGAGGGGGCGAGGGCTGAGAAATTACTTAATGAGTACAATGTGCACGATTTTGGTAATGGTTACGTTAAAAGCCCAGACTTCACCATTAGCAATATACCCATGTAACAAAACTGCACTTGTACCCCTTACATTTTACAAATTTAAAAAATTGTTATTTAATTTTTGTTTTAAAATATGAAACTAGAATTATTTTCTGAAAGATGTTTTACATTAACAGTGAGTTAACTTAGTGTTTAGTTTTGAATTTTTTTTAAGTGCTTTACATCTTTTTCTTTCAATAGGACTTGATGATGACCAAAGTTCCCTCTCAGCTGCATAGGCAGACATGTGCTATTCTTTTTTTTCTGATAGGGTTATAGTTTTGTGTATTAACTCAAATTGGCTGTTTAATTTTTTCTTGTTGCCATTGTTTTAATGTTGTTTGGATTCAACAGCATGTCTGAATTCTGCCAATGTTGTGCTAACATGCTGTTGCCAAAAGTGACTGGAGTAAGGCCAGTGTGGTCACTTGGCCAGTTTCTGAATGCAAACCAGTCACTAGTTAACAGAATTTGAGAGCTTGAGGGAAACTTCATAAATGACTGTCTTTCAGCTTTCCAGCTGAGAAAGCTGAGACAATGAATATGATCACCTTGTATGGAATTACACAGAGAGTTAAAGAAGTTTAGATTTGATCCAGGACTTAATGGGATAAAAGTAACAGTTCATGTAGTAAAACTCAATATTATTATTTTGTGTGCATAGACATATCCTGAATCATTCTGCAAGTTTTTATTATGACTAGACATGCGAATAACTGGATATAATTTCCTATTCTTCCATTTTTCTGTATCCTTGGTTAAATTGTTTGACTTCTTTATGCCAAAATGTTCGTACGTGCTAAATGAGAGTTGTTTTATTTGATTTCCTTTTAGAAAAACATGCAAGTGGACAATTATCGAAAAGGACTGTTTTTGAAATGTTTGAGATTTAGAAATGAAAATTCACTAATACATAAATTTAATTACTGACAGCAAAGGTGTCCCTGATCTAGTTAAACTAATAAGTGAGTGCAAAATAAGGCAATTGGTCTTTATTAATCCTATTATATAATCTAATAAGCTTCTCTTTCCCTTAGTCCTGATAGGCTAGTTTGGAAGCAAAAACCAAGCAATGCTAAGTAGCTTTCCAGACAAGTATTAAAATAACCAGGAAAAATATCAAGTCATTTGAGAAAAAGAGAGGAAATATGTCTGCATGAAATGTGGTATGAAAGAGTGGGAGAGTCAGTAAAGAATCTGCGTCAACAGAAGCATTGTGAAAGGAACTTTTTCAGATGTCTATGTGTATAAGCTAAACTAACTACATATAGATTAAAATACTAGTTTCTACAGTATAAATTTTATTTGAGTACCTTCCTATTGGCATAATGACATCTACAGTAATATTTCTGTTGATTTTTCTTTCTTGCTTCATACCAAAGTGCTCAAGGCTAAATACAGGAAATTATATTTTTCTTTCTAATCTCAGCATTTGATTGAAGAATTATGTCACCTACCAGTTTATAAAAAAGTATTTTGTCATAAAAGTACGTTTTCCCCTAATGTTGGAAGTAGTGTTGTTTTTCAATATTTTGGGGAATTTATGTATGTTTATGTAGATATATGAATTTATCTTTAAACTTAACTTTTCATTGATCTCTAATAAAATTCTTAATGGAATGGTACAGCAATTTACAAAATTTTCATTATAAAAAAGTTGCTGGTTTAGTAAACCTAAGAAGAATTGGATTTTTAAACACTGATAAAAGCAGCCTACTCAGTCTGAATTTCATTAATAGTGTCCAAGTTCCACAGCTCTAGACATCACAGAAACATAGAGATAACACAGTCTATTAATGTCTAATTTTTTCATAGAAACTACCTTTTGACTTTATTGAAACACACAAATTTAGATAGACAAAGGATCTGAAAAATATTATGGAATGCAGCTGTTTAAATGGATTCTTCATTTTACTCATATGTATTTCAGCTGTCAAAAAGGAAATGGCCTTTGTGGTTAAATCATTTGCTTAGGTTTTTGAGCCTAAGTATCTCATATCTTTGATTTCTTTTTTTTTGGTGGCTGTAGAAAGATGAGAATCATTATGATATAGCTTTATTATAATATTTACTGTAGTATGCTACCTGTCATGATTGAAATTGACTTGGGAATACAAGTTATACTGGTTATGCTCATCAGAGACAAAGACATATCCTCTGTATATTTAAACCTCTCTTTTTGAAGACACAGTTTCACTTTACTATCAGAGTTCTGCTTTCCTGGCTTAAAATTTACCAAATATTTGTAGATTATTTCCTCTAATGGTGCATTGAATTATGAGCCATGTCATATAAATACTGTTTGAAATATATGTCCTTCTTTCTCTGCATTTCTTTGTATATCCCAGTTATTTAAAGCACAGACACATAGCACAAACTATGGCATTTGATATCTCAAGTAGAAATTTTGTTATAGGTTAATATATCTAAAATATATAAAGGAATAATAATTCTTGAAATGTGTATCAGCTTTAGATCTAGGTATATACAAATAAATCAAATTGACATACAAAATACCTGATATAAATTAAAATTTATATTAAGTGACCTGTAATTCACTCATAAAAATTAGAGAAATGTAACCTTTAAAATTGCTACTTGTGAAATATACATATAGGTGTAGATACAAGTGATTTTGCAGTTCTTCCTTTTAAATTGTTATGCCTTAATATTTCCAGCCCAAGTGGTTTCCCTGCAGCTATTTTAAGAAAATAAACATCAGTTTGAATATTATTAAAACACCTGATTGGTTCATTGAAATTATTTGCTTTCTTTCTCTCTTTCTAAATATAGAGGATTTTTTCCCCACTTTCTATTCTATGATTTGGGCTAAATTTTAATGTTGACGTCTAAAGGTGTGGCTTTTGGGTAAATCACTTAATTTTTCTTTAGTTTTCTCATTATAAAATGATTGCTAGATTACCTAGAGTTCTGTGATTATTGATTTTTGTATGTATTTTTCACTATCTGTTCGTGTCAAATTGTATATATTAACTAGCAATAATTAGTTCACTATAGTCAACACCTGGCATTTTTATTATAAAAATTTGAGACTTTCCAAGTATTCATGATATATAGTTTAAAAAATTTCTTGGAGAGCAGAAGATAAAGAAAAAAAGAATTTATTAAATGATCATAATCAACTTTACTTTTGTTTCTGGAAGAAAATAAACCACACTGGAATCTTACAGAAAAGCGATATGCTCATTAATGGGAAGTGAGAAGCTTTTGAAGAATATCAACTTTGAGAAACTCAGGCAGAGCACCTATCGTTCTATGCTAGGAACTACTAAGGTTCACTTGGGCCCTCCCTATTAGAGTGATACCCTCTCATATTCTTTTCTTTTCTTTCTTTTATTTTCTTCACTTCCCTTCTTCCTTTTGTCTTTTTTTCTTTTTTACAAATAAGACATGTTTAAGAAAATAAATATCTAGTCTAACAAGCTAAGCTACATTGTTTGTCTTTAGATAGTTCTTCAACATAATAGAGACTACGGGCTGAGCATGATGGCTCACACGTGTAATCTCAACACTTTGAGGGGCCAAGGCAGGAAGATCACTTGAGTCCAGGATTTCAAGACCAACCTGGGCAACATGGTGAAACCCCATCTCTACTATATATATGTATATATTTGAATTTTCCCCCTAGTTTATAACAAACACATTGTTTTAAAATATGAATTAGCTTTATGTGCTTTCACATATATGGTATTTATTAAATAGGCAATTAAGTTTAAAAGCAAGAACTAGTTAAAAATTTTGTGACTCCTGCTCTATTTACTGTATCCACAATGTGAGAGCAACCAAATGTTGCTATGATTCTTATCTTTTTTATTTGGGGATGCAGTGCCTTCCAAAACACTTATATTCTCCGCAATCTTAATTGGCTTATTGGGCAGCAGGTCCTAAAAAGAATCCACAACTTATATTTTAAAATCACTCAGTTTGCTTGCTTCTCTTCGTTGTCTCATATTTATAATGTGAATTTCCTTCAGTGAAAGGCTTTTTCTCTGAAGGTTGTTCTTACCTCTCACATTAGATACCTGGAAAAGTAAAAACAGAAATAAATTTAAAAAAATTCAAAACAGTTGGATATGTACACAGGGACACAGTTCTTTCAGACAGACTTACGAATTCACACTTGCCAATTAGTTCCAAGAGTACAGGCTGTGAGCACGTACAGTGTGAATGAAGTTTCTTCCAAGAATGCATAAAACGTGCAAATTGTAAAAATAGGTTTGTATTACTTAGGATCTTTAAAATGCAGCATGATATTAGCTTAAATTTTGGTTGTATGCCCTGAAAGAAGAAGAATAGGTTCTTTAATATGTAGTTTTCTTCTCCAAACACTTCTTTTTTGTACTTGCTCCAGCTGATCATTAAAGTTTCCCTGAGTTAGTAGAAATATAGGATTTCATAGCAGTTGACAAATACTGTGTGGAGAAAATCTTTCCCTTTCTGTTTCTTCAGGAATTTGTGTCTAAATCCACATTTGTCTTCCAGTGATTTAGTTTATCCCCCTCTGCCCGATATGGAGTGCTCAGACCATAAAATTATGTGATGTCAAGTGATGGTTAAAAAATCACCTCAATCTTTTGATCATGAAGAAGCTTCAGAAAGAGAGTGACTTTGTTAAGATTATCATAGGAAGAACAGTGTTTCTGTTTGTTTCTCACAAACACAATGTGTAATAGTACATTACTCGACATTACACAAAGAAAATGTGTAAGAGTACATTACTCTACGTCATTCAGCAATTGTAGGCAGGAAAACTTTGTCACTGAGAGTGAGACACTTTTAGATTCCTGTAACTTGCATTCTAGCTTCCACCTTTTCCTTAATATGTGAACTCTTGGTATTCACTTACTTTCTCTAAGCTTTAGGATTCTTCTATGTAAATGATGATGAGACAAGTATCCTAGGTTGTTGAACTTTAAATGAGTAACTTTATGTGAAACACACAACAAAGAGCCCAGTATATTTAAAATCATGGAAATACACACATATAAATGTTTGTACTGTATATGCATAACATGTGTGTATGTTAAATTTATAATTTGTGTAGTAATTTGCATTATACGATGTGAATAAATCATAATGAGAAGCAATTCTAAGAGCCAGGAAGATGAAATAAACTGTTATTTCTGGAAGACGAGTGCAATAATCTGGTCTTGCTTTCCATTAGGATTTATCAGCAGTAAGGATTTATTCATGTCTCCACCTGTCAAAATCCTTGCAATAAGGCAGTGGGAAATGGAAGCCCAGAAGCCTTCTTGTTATGGAGAATCAGATGATATCCTTGTTTCTTACACTCATGTAGGCCTGAATTCATACAATTTAATGTCAAAGACAAAACTGTTATATATAAAGGCACACAAATGCGCTGGATGTTTCCGATTGGTGCTTCCATACTCACTCTCTAACCCTGTCTACCTGGCTTTGTTCCTTGATGGGCTGACTCAGCTGAGCTCTCATTGGATTAGGCCAATGGAACAAAGGGGGAAGAGATTGATTTCTAGGAAGAGAAGAGGTTGGGGGTTTATTGCTCTAACTTCCTCTTTTAGGGAGCCACAGTTTGTCAATGGCTGTGTTCCTCTGTCCAAGTAATGGCTCCTGCCTGGAGGCCCTCATCAGCTAAATGTCTGGGCAGATCCAGACTTCTTGTCTGTTCAGGCCCAGGTGGGGAAGGGGCTTCTAGCCCTCCTAGTTCCAGAGTCTTTCACACTCCTCGCTGTTTCTCAACTCCATCCTCTCCTTGGTAAGCAGCCTCTTTGTTAATATCTCTTCAATCATGATTTTGAGTGTGCTATCTGATTCCCGACAGGGCTTTGACTGATGAAAAAAGCTTCAATGAAATAAAATTAATGATTTCTCTGTAGAGAGGAAGGAACAATACATTATTTAACTCCAGGGATCAATAGCAATTAATGTCTCCGTTTCTAAAGCCAAGACAAGCCATAACCAATTTCCCTGAATTTCTCTCTGTGTGTGTGATTAAGAGTTTAGAAAAATGATACAATTGTGTGTGTGTGTGTGTGTGTATACTATCTTACTGGCTTCAGGGTAGAGGGATGATGTGACTTGCATTTTAGAATGACTGGGGCAACAACATAAAGGAGAGTGACTTGAGAAGGAATAAAACTGAAGGCAGAAACATTCATTTGGAGACCTTTGAAATTTAGATAAGAGGTGAAAGTAACTTTAACTAGATCAGTAGGAGGAAAGTTGTACTAGAGAGGAATAATTGGAAAGCTATTTGAGGGGTGCTATAGTACAATGCTTAAGAATGCTCAGATTCTTACTCCCTTTGTGACCCTGGGCAAGTTATTTAACCTTTCTGAGTCTCATTCTTCACCTCTTCAAACTCAGGAGAATAGTACCTATCTCATAGAGTGTTTGTTTGGATTAAATTGGTATGAGTAAAGTGCATAGAATAGTTCTTGGCACATTTTAAGCATAATATAATATATATTTTAAATCTTATTAGCAGTATATTTATGGATGTGGAAAGATGTTGGCAGAGAGAACATGTCTAAATGACTTGCAGATATAGGATGTGACAGTGTGTGATTTTTTTGGTACCATTCACTGAAGTAGGTAATTTAGTAGGAAGTTCAGATCTTCAAGTTTTTCTGTTAATTACATGCACATATTTTTCCTCAAATTCACATTGCTGTCATCTTAGATTAATGTCTAATATTGTCATCCTCAACATGCTCAAATAAACCCCTTTGCATGGAATCTCAAGTGAATTCTGGGCATCTTCCGCAATAACTGTCTTAATTTGGTCCCGTTATCCCTAGTAGAGTCCTCCGTAATGATCCAATGCATCTTTCTTTCAGTTCATCCTACCCAAAGTGGCCTCTCTATAATTTTATCTAAAACCAACTATGGCTCTCTGGTATTTCCAGAATAATCTACAATTCAAAGCTCTTGCTCGTTTGGCCCACCTATTATATATTGCTTTATTTCTTCACTGTACTCCATTATCAGATATTTCTGAGCCTTGTTAAAATTTATTCCCTATACCTGGCATATATACTTCTCTCCTGCACATGCCTAGTAAACTTCTAATCATCTTGCAAAGCTCAGGTCACATTCAATTTTTGATTCCTTCTTCTGATCTTAGTTGTGTTCTATCAATCCCTCATGTCCTCGTGTCATATTAAGTGATGATCTATTATAGTACTTTTCAAAGTATTTTTGTATTAAAAAAGAGATCCTCAGATTATATTGTGAATATCATTAATGCAGCTCCTTGGGTACCCTGACCCAAGAGATTCTGATCCATTAGGTCTTCAGGTTTTAATGCAGAAGCTTATTTTCTGACAATCAATAGTCAAAGAGAAAATGATTGACACTACTTATCTACATGCCTATGGTGTCTCCTCTTGGTATAAAGTTATTATTCCCTCATGGTTGTGATATCTCCTATGGGATAAATGGATGGAGGCAATCATCCCCGTTACATTTGATGAATGACTTCAGTGTTGCTGAATTTTCTATTTCAGTTTCATAGTTTAGTTGAGAGATCAGTCAGATACTGAATACCCAACCAAAACAATCAGAATATACCACTTTTCATACCCATATCTTCAATGCTATTTCCCACTTCTCTATTACACACTAGTTCTAGTTTTTTTTCTCTTTCTCCTACGCTTATCAACTTTTACTCCTAAAGTTGTGCTACAACACAATAATCATGTCCTGTTTTTTACTTTTATTATAGCACCGTTCTTCTACTTTTTATTCAGATATATGGGCCTATTTTCCCTTGATCAATCTTTCCCCATTTTGCTATGTCATATATGGAGCCTACAGCTTTTTGATTTAATTACTCTGAAAACTGCCTTATCTCTCTCTCTCTCTCTCTTTCTCTCTCTCTCTCTCTGTGTATACAATACTGAATTACAACATTTACAACACTTTTTTCTGTTTCACGAGGGTGAGATAATCACTAATAGAAATCAAGAAAACCTCTTGCATGTTTAAATTTTAAAACCATTTATAAAAGATAAATCAACTGATACTAGAACCTGAACTATTAACACATAGACAAAGGTTCATAGTCAAAAAAAAATGCATGAATTTGTGATCTTTGCATTTTCATCACATTTTTCAAGGAAACTAAGATGGGAAATAAATATGAAAAGAATACTCTTGTGATAATATTGATAAAACAGTGAGTTGGCTCGATGGTTCTGCGACTAGAAAGATACACAGAGAACTCCAGAGTCTGGATGAAATTTTACCAAAGAAAAAAAAGTTCTGAGTTTCTCTAAATGGAAGGTAACTTTGATATTTTCAGCCTGATTAATCAAATGTGCATTTTTTCACATCTATATTTCCAGTGATTCTGGTGCATTTGGCTCATGGGTAACACCAATGTATCTGACTCTCCTAATTATACTTTGCACTTTAGGAAGAAATAAAAACTGTTTTTTATACTTTTGCATCACTCAGAGATCTTTTTTTTTCCTTTTGAGATGGAGTCTCACTCTGTCACCCAGGCTGGAGCGCAATGGTGTGATCTCAGCTCACTGCAAGCTTCGCCTCCTGGGTTCACGCCATTCTCTTGCCTCAGCCTCCCTAGTAGCTGGGACTACAGGTGCCTGCCACCACGCCTGGCTAATTTTTTATATTTTTAGTGGAGACAGGGTTTCACTGTGTTAGCCAGGATGGTCTCAGTCTCCTGACCTCATGATTCTCACGCCTCGGCCTCCCAAAGAGCTGGGATTACAGGCGTGAGCCACCACGCCTGGCCCACTCAGAGATCTTAATACACCATTTTGTATAGAGTAGCTACTCAATTAAATATTCATCAAATTGAATTAAATTTAGTTACTTAAGATTTGTTTTTTCTCATACCGATTTCTTCCATGCTATTTCATGCTTTCATAATTATCAAATTCCTTTCTAGTTTAAGTTCTTTTCCCTCTTGTGCTTTTGCCAGCTTCCAGTTTCAAAGTTCTATTGCAAACTAATTCTAACTGAAGACGTCATTCCAGTTGAAAATGTTTAGTAACTGTTCTATAGTTAAAGACAGTTTTATTTTCTCTGTCATGTTGTTTTTTGTTTTGTTTTGTTTTGTTTTTTGAGATGGAGTCTTACTCTGTTGCCCAGCCTGGAGTGCAGTGGCGTGACCTTGGCACACTGTAACCTCCACCTCCCAGGCTCAAGAGATTCTCATGCCTCAGCCTCCTTAGTAGCTGGGATTACAGGCCTGCACCACCATGCCTGGCTAATTTTTTAAATTTGTTTTTTAGTAGAGACAGGATTTCTCCATATTGGCCAGGCTAGTCTCGAACTCCTGACCTCTAGTGATCTTCCTGCCTCGGCCTCCCAGTATGCTGAGATTACAGGTGTGAGCCACTGCACCTGGACTGTTTGTCTTTTATGTAGGAAATGAACCATCAATTTCATCACATCTACTAATCAAGTCAAGCCACAAGTCATTTAAAAAATACCTGTACTTGAGCCTTTTATTAGCAGTTTTACATACAGTCACCGAAATGTCATCTGTAACTATATACCATATATATATATATATATATATATATATATATATATATATATATCCATGACTCTTTTTTCTCTGGGGCTTATTCAACACATAACAAAGTTCATTCCAGGAAAATGGGTGGTTAGTCTTTAAAATGGGGAGAAGAGTTCCACTTTGGAATTTGTGGCTCTGCTTCTCTGAAAGAGCCTTAGGCACCATCTCTCCTTCATTATGTATGGCAACTACAGAATTTCTATTAATACCATGCAGCTGTCCAAAGGAGGAGGATGTATGTGTGTGTAAGAGAATATGGTAGTGGCGATTCCAGTTATGGTTGGAAGGGAGAGGGAGGTTTACGTTAGCAGATGCAATCCAATGCTGATAAAATATTTCCTGCATTTGTATTTTGGCTTTATGATTTTGAAAAAAATATTCAGACTTCAGATAAATAAACTTTAAAGAATAGTAATAACAACAGGCTACTCTTCATAGAAGCTAGAATTATTACACTGTCTGAACCCGAACTGAGAATCTGAATATCCACACATGGTAAATAGAATCTGAGATGTGGATATACCACAGAAGTTACGTTACTTACGTGCAGGTTGCGTTTTCTGGGTCGTGTCATATTAAAAGTCCTGCCTGCTCTGTCTAGCACTGCTCCTGAAGGATAAAATCTGATTGAGCTCTGTTCTTCCAGGGTCTGTATCTCCTCGTCAGATTGTTTGAGTTCAAAAAACTTAGCAGTAATTTTTATTTTTTAGGCTTCCTTATTTTCTTGCTAGAAAGCACTGATATTAAAATAATAATAATAATAAAGCACGAAATGAAATATAGCACAAAATTACTTCCCAAGACTGTTGTCAGAGGATAACCTAATTTTCACACTTTAAAGCTTGTCAGTAGAATACCTATTAAAGAAGAGAAAATGTTATTTTATATGTGGAAATCTTCAGCTTCCCTGCTTTACAACTGTTTACTCTGCTGTTTAAGTTATTTCTGCTAAGGTTTAAAAATGTATGCTCTGTGACATATGGCCCATGTCTGTTAGTCTGTTTCTCCACTGATAGGAAATCAAATCCAAATATAACACTGTTAACAGGAAGTACTTTTTCTATGGAATATCTGGGAATCGCTCTGTCTCTGTCTCTCTCTTTCTCTCCACTCAGTTTCCTCTTACGTTTGAAGTTGAGTATTTTTAAAGAAGAGCCATTCTTAGCATTTTAATGACAAATAAACTAGCTATTTATTTCTAAGTGGAATGTTTTATACAGTTGTAAAATAGTAAGCTCCAGAACTGAAAGGGACTTTCTCAATATAAATTATTAAAAATGAATTATTAAAGAAACATTCTTTTTTTGAATGTTACCAATTAGTAGTTATTAAGGAGAGAGAAGATGGAAGTAAAGGCATAGCAATTTTCCAGACAAAAAGTTTATGGAAATTTAGTAATGCAATGTGACTACATTCTTATTAAGGTCATTGCACTGCTCTTGGTTTGTAAGCGTCTTTAACTTGTATAACTAAACAATCACTTATGAACAGTGTTGTAGTTTTTCTTTTTTCTCTGGCTCAGATAAAATTGCAGTAAGTTGAGTATCACAGGGTAGTCTGTGACTGTTAATTAGCTTTAATAGTTCCTACTAAATCTGTTTGTAGCACAGAAGAAACCACAGAATAGCAGATGGTAATCTCATTCTCTGGTGGGAGACAACTGGCATTGAATGTTGACAAGCTGAGCAGGTAGAGGTTAGGTTTCAATTACCAGCCTTTAGGGCAATCAATGTTTGATAGTCAAAAATAGAATGCATCTTTTAGTCAAGACATTTCATTTGATAAAATCTGCAGGAACTATTTTTTTGTGATGTTAACGATGCTCTATTAAACACCAGCTGTGTCAAAAAGCTATTAATTGAAAGGCAAGGAAAAATACCAACCAAGCTCTTTTCTTAATCCAGTGACCAAGGTCAGGTCTGCCACATAAGAGAATCTCAAGAGCAAATGCATAGGGTTACCCAGAACTGAGTACAGAGTCACTTTTGTGTGTGTGCATGTGTGTTTCCACTCTCAAGCTAAGACAGAGCAGACAGCTAATCATTCAGGACACAATCTACTCTGTCTGCCTTCATTCACCTTCAAATATGTCCTGTGTAGTCACCTATATGCTTTACATGTGTTTCCTAGAACGGTCATATCCTTGCCATAATATACGATAGGATGTCCTTGAAACTCCTCTGCCGATGAAGCCCTTGCTCATGTCTTCTTTACCCATAATCTCTTATAAGATTTTGGTTCAGTTTAATCTGGGGTACAATGTTTTTTGGGTAAATGGCAGAGATTGATAGATTTCCCCTAACTTTAGGGCAAACACAAGTACTCAAAGCATTCTTAAATCTCTTTAACCGAGGCTCTTCCCCTCCAGGAAAAATAGAGGAGATTATTGATATAAATTCAGATTTTATAACCATCCTTCACTTAAGTTTACTATATGTAAGTTTAAGGTACAATAAAATTGGGCTTCTTCACTTGGAAAATTCAAGTTTCTCTTTATTAGTATTTGGAAGGTTGAGAGCATCATTATTCATCACACTATTCAAAGGAAGAAAGGAAGGGAGGAGACAGGATGGAGGGATGGAGGAAAAGAGGAGAGAAAAATATTGAAGGAAAAGAAAGTGGTAGAGAGAGGAAAATGGAAGGGAGCATGAAGGAAGGAAGGATAGGTAGATGTATCGGATGCTATCATTCCTACTCACCTACAGGTTTGGTAACTATATTCTCATATAATCAGGGAGAAATGCCAAACTGTAAGCATCCCATCTTTCTCACAGAGTTTTTGTTTTTGTTTTTGAGACAGTATCTCTGTCACCCAGGCTGGAGTTGCAGTGGCACGATCGTAGCTCACTGCAGCCTTGAACTCCTGGGCTCAATCGATCCTCCTGCCTTGGCTTCCCAATGGGTTAAGATTACAGGCATAAGTCACCACACCCAGCCACAAATTGTTTAATAGTGTATTTGTTTGCTAGGGCAGCTGCAACAAAGTACTGCAAACTGGATGGCTTTAACACATTTATTGTCTCACAGTTCTAGAGACTCTAAGTCCAAGATCAAGGTGTCCACAGGGTTGGTTTCTTCTGAGGGCTGTAAGGAAGAATCTGCTTCAAACCTCTCCCCTAGCTTTTGGTGGTCCTTGGAGATGCAACGCATCCGTCTCTGCTTTAATGCTTATATGGCATTCTTCTTGTGTGCTTGTCTGTGTCCAAATTTCCCCCTTATACAAGAACATCTGTATATGTATTAGGGCCCACTCTAAAGATTTCAATTCAACTTGATTACCCTTGTCAAGATCCTAACTCTAAATAAACTCACATTTTGAATTAATGGAGGTTGAGACTCCAGCATTTCTCTTTTGGGGGAACACATTCCATCTATAATAAATGACATGTCCTTTTTTGGTAATATTACAGAAAAAAAGTTAATCTTTAAAGTATGTTTCTCCTATTGCTGCCATAAGACAAACAAACAAAAGATTCAAGGTAGTAGAGCATAGTGTACTTTCTTCCCATGAAAAAATAGTAGATGAAATATCTATTAGGAAGTATCTCTATCATGGAAAATAAAGCTTTGATAATTTTTATCAGGTCTATAGAAAATATGGAGATGAGCCTGAAGAGATTAAATACCCTTGGCACCTTCTTTCTATAGGTTGGAGTTTAGTAGCATGTGTTAGCTGAAAATGGGATATGCTTTTAATCATTTAGTTTACAAGGTGTTGATGTAATAGGAGGAACATATATTTAATACTTTAAGATGAATAAAGGTCTAGAAATGGGTAAAAACAATTTCATTATTTGGAAAACAAATATAATTTTGCAGATTATAATAGACGTTTTACAACTTGCCTGCAAATCAGAAATGTACACTCACAGAAGAGAAGATTTGTTTGAATTTGTTCAAACTCAAGGATGTTATTTACAAATGTCAGTATCTGTGACTTGCCTACATAAAGCAGATAGTCTACTGTTCCAGTCCAGAATAATAGGAGGTGATTGACGATCCACCAACCAGTAAGAATATTATAATATGACACCTCGGGAAAATATTGTAATACAATCATAATGTGCATTTTAAGCAGCACACTTTCAGACATTTTTATATGTAAAAGTTACCACATAATAAATAGAACATAGGAAAGGCAATTAGTCTTTACTCCTCAGGTTAAAGGAAAGTATGACATAACTTATCTTACCATAAGAGATATTGACCTGAATTAGTTTCATTTGATCAAGTGACAATCAGTTAGGAAAAGATAGAATTTAGAAATACAACTGCAAGTAATTTGTAAAATTAGAGTTAGTGTTTGCACATATTCAAGAATTATGTTTAACTTCTCTATTTCCTTCCTTCCTTCCTTCCTTCTTTCCTCCCTTTCCCCCCTCCCCTCCTTTCTCCCTTCCTCCCTCCTTTTCATTCTACTACAGATCTAGATAGGCCATTTTTTTCTGCTGCATTAATTAATTCATTCGGTAAGCGTTGAATGAACAACACAATGTGCTGGTCACATTGCTTGGTCCTTGGGATAAAATGCCAATAAAATCAGGTGCCGTTCTTGCTTGTAAGGAGTTTATTTTTAACAGAAGGTGACTGACTGACTTTAACAATCACAGATATGTGTGTAAAACTGTATCACGTTAAGTAGTATGAAGAGCTGGTTTATGGAGCTCTGAGTACCCATAAATGAATGATTGGATTTGTTCACAGGGGTCAAGGAATGTGTCCATGAGGAGGGGACACTGGAGCTGAGTTTTAGGTAAGCAATTAGATTAGTGGAAAGGACTTCGAAACTAGGGAGAACAACATGCATGCAAAGGCCTTGGGCCAGGATTAAACAGAGCAAGTTAGAAAGACCGGAAAGAGAGAGAAACGAGTTTGAATACCCTGAGGAAGCAGAAGAAGAATTTCCAGCGTTTTTAAGGTCATGTTAATGACAATTTTACTTTTAAAGTGTTAGAAAACCATTGAAGATTCTTGAGTAAGGGATTAATATGGTCATTTTGAAAAGATCACTAGTGTTCTCCCTGGAGATTCAATGGGATAGGTACCATCAGACTGCTTTTGCAGTGGTTGGAGTGAGAGATGATAGTGGCTTGCATTGGCATGAGAATGGCAAAGATGGAGGAAATGGACAGATTAAAAGGGCAAGTTCTTATGTTTGTGGTATATGAAACATTTCCGATGGTATTGCCATTCAATGATGTAGGAAAGGCTGAAAAAAGACACCTTTTTTGAGAGAAGAGAGGTGTTGAACGTGAATTCAATTGGATATATTGGGATATATTTAAGACATCAAGAGAAACTGTCAAGTAGACAGCTGGGCACAGGGGCCTAGAAGACAGGGCAAAGTCTGTGTGGAAAATATAAATTTGTGGGCCATATAGATGGTAACTGGGCCATTCTAAACGTGATGTATGTGTTCTCCAGGTAAGAATGGATGAGAAAAAGCTAGAGCAGCATAGGGACAGTCTTGTGGTTTTTTACTCTTTTCCCTATACAACCAAATTGGGATGAGCCCTAGGTCCTCTCCCCATATAAATCACTAATGGGAGAACATGATCTTTCTAGGGGAAGGCTTATTTAGTGTTGACTAGCATTACAGGAAGCTTTTCTTGAAAAGATATAATCAGAGCTTTAGGTAAACTCTTCCAAAAAAAAGGTATAAATGCCCTTAGCTTCACAGCACATTGTCAGCAGTCTCCATCTCAAGAAGATACAAAATAATTCAAAACAAATATCATGACATAAGTAAGTATTTTTGATTTGAGGTTTTCATAAATATACACACATATATCATGTGCAAGACAGTCCTTAGGTTTCTCAAAATTAATGATTACTTCTCTGTTTATTTAAAGAGGAAGTTTATTTCCAGAATTGAATTATGTGATCTTTGCACTAAATCCTAACTAAAAAAAGATTTTGAGTACCTGTACAGCTATTTATTATTGTATTTATCTTTTCTTTAGTGTCACTTATCAAATGAGTAATGTAGGCGCAGAAATATTTGTATTTCATTGTTACTGAGGTGCTCTTCTAAATGTTTGGCTAGAGACTGTAATCTGAATTAGGATCATGTGTAACCATTAATTTGCTGTCATAGTTTGATATACTAATGTAGGTCAGTGACAAAACACCACTTTAAGGTACTGGTAGCTAATAGGAGCTTATCGACATGAGAACTTGTCAAAAAGGCCTTTCAGTGTAAATTAAGGGAAGTTTGATATATGTCAAAATAGCTCTGGAATTAGACCCTCAGTTCTCTCATTCTCAACCATTAATTAAAATAGAGGCTTCATCTGCATAATGACATTTCTGGTTTATGTCACTTTTTGACTATTCATTTTAGGTATTGAAATTTCAGTATGGAAAATGCCATTTTATAATAGCTTGTTTGGATATTTCTTTTAATTTTCTACAAATATTTGGCTCCTTTTGAGATTATAATAGGGAATCAAATACATACTTTGCATTCTAAATATTAAAATGTTATTTCTAAAAATGCTGATTCTAGTGATTGATTAGACAGAAGCCTACCAGAATTGCTTCTCTCTTGATAAGCCTGCTAGTTAGTTATTAGATATTTCCTTATTTTTATATATTTAAGTTGTTTGTGATATTAAGTAAATGAAATAGTACTTAATTAAACAAGTTATTTTCCATGTTTATTTTTGAAAAGCCCAGTTTCAGTTGAAATTTTCAGCAATAATTTTCCTTCATTTATTTGATGAACTGACCTCAAAAAGAGAACTTTAGATTTGTTGACAATTTTGATCATTTCTTTACATGGGCAATATACATAAAGTTGCGGTTTATTTTTACAAATGTACTTATTTTTGGTTTCTTTGGATTTTGTAGAAATTATTGAGAAGAAAATGTAATGTTTTTTAGTAATGAGCAATAATATTACTTTTCACATGTTTGCTCCATACATGGAGATTTCAGACTCTCAACAAAAACTAAAAATTTGAATGGTTAATGCCATGAGCCAGAAAGTATGGTAAGTCCTAGATATGAATTATATAACATGAGTGCTACAACAGTATGAGGTAGAAAGCCATATCATCCCCATTATATAAATGAGGAAAAGGAGATTACCTTAGATTATGCTAGCATTTCCAACTCAGCAAATCCAACTTCACACACATCACAATAAATTAGCAACATTGGGAAGATTTAACTCTTTTATCATTGGAGACTTTATAACTAGAGGAAAGTTTTTTTTGTTTGTTTTTTGTTTTGTTTTGTTTTGTTTTTTTGCCAATACCATTAGGCAGATGTGAAAAAAAAAAACTTGTGGCAGAAAATTATTATTGAAAGAATAACATTGCTTTTTTTTCTTTGCTTTAAATTTTGACTGTTTTAGTTACTGCTCTAAATTATGTTGATATTGTAAAATTGTAATGTTGGTATTTGGGAGATAAATCCTTAGGACAGTGGGCCACTAAAAGTGGCCTTGCCAAGTTGACAGAGACGGTGACCTAAACCTTAATGAGCTTGGTCATTCCTTGGATTTTTATGTATTGTCTTATTTGCTACACAAATGAATTGAAAAGAATTCAAATGAGATTGGAAGAGTGCAAGAAGCTGTTGAGTTTCATTAAGGAATGTGGGAGGAGGAAAAGCAAAAATCTACACTGGCATCTTGGAAAATGACAAATACTTGTTATGCTCCAATGATGACCCAAGATTTATACCACGTGATGCCTACTGAGACCCTGCCAAGAAAGTCACTTACAGTAACACAATAAGTGAAAAAGGCAAACTTTTTAGAAGTTATAAATAGAGGTGTTGGTTTTGCTTCAGGCAGACTTGGTAGGGCAAAGAAGAGGGTGAGCTTTCTGAAGGCCAGAAACAAAATTTAAGACAAGTCAGAAGATTCTAAGTCAATAAAAAATGTCTGGAAGTTCACAGAGAAAAATATAGTGGATCCAGATAGATAAGTGTTTCCTTTATCCATCTGGATTAAGAGAACCAGGGTAACTGTAAAGTAGAAGTAGAAAAAGTATTATAGTCAGGGAGATAGAGCTTAGCTTAGAAATAAACTTAGAAATAAACTACAGAATCATTATATTAGCTCTGGGGGAAAAAATGTGCTCATTGTACAAAAAAATTGAAAAATACAGTACCATATTAAGCAAAAAGCAAAGATATCAGAAAATTAACTTTTCCAAGCATCATCATTGTTAACATTCTAGTTAACGTCCCTCTAGACAAGTCTCTAGGTACACAATATGCAATAGTACATTAATGGGGTCATACTATGCACATTATTCTTAGCAATATATTATGGATTTCTCGTCATGTCAATAAACTATACCATTTTTGTATTGGTCATATTGTAATCTATTTATGGATTTTTCACACTTTATTAATCCAATGCTTTATGGCTTGATATTTATAATTTTACCAATCATTTAAAAAATAAAACCACTTTAATGATTATACTTGTTCATATCTTTTCCCTCTTGTATGATTATCTCTGTTATCACTTTTTTTTTTGAGACAGAATCTTGCTGTCACCCAAGTTGGAGTGTAATGGTGCAATTATAGCTCACTGCTGCCTCGACCTCCTGGACTCAAGGGACCCTCCCACCTAAGCCTCACAAGTAGCTAGGGATACAGGCTCATGCCACCAAGCCCAGCTAATTTATTTTTCTTTTGTCGAGATAAGGTCCTGCTATATTGTGCAGGGTTGTCTCAAACTCCTGGCTTTAAGTTATCCTCCTGCCTCAGCTTCCAAAAGTGCGAGATTACAGGCGTGAGCCACTGTGCCTGAAAAATTATGTTTTAAGAAAAAAATTTTGAGAACATCTTTTTAGAGAACTCTTATGTGTACATACTATCTGTGTATGTACTAAGTTTACACATAAACTAGAAAATATTAATGGTGTACACCTGCGGCCAGCACACTATGGGTGGGACATGGTTCCATTAAGCATTAATGATCACATCCTCATAAAATCTTTTGTGGAAGGTTAAATTATTAATCAGCTTTACAGATACAGAAACAGAGGCACAGAAAGGTCAAACCATTTGCCCAGTGTGACACAGTTAAGTTTAGAGCTCTTGCTGAAAAACCACAGTGCTTACTCAATCTCTATACACTTCACACTCTTCTCAAACTGTGTTTTTAAAAATCAAATAATGTCAATATTTTTCCATGCCAATGTAATATTTGGAGTTACAAGTGTATATTTTTCCATATATGCTGTTATTGACAGTTTCTCCCAATATAAATATTATGGTGGGCATACTTGTATATGTATCTTTTGGCAATTTGTCGTCTTACAGTAATTTTTTTAGAGATGGACCAAAAGTTAAGTATATTTCATATTTGGATCAACATTGACAAACTGCTTCCCCCCACAACTGTACTGACTCCATCCAGTAAGTATGGAGGTATATATTTCTTCACACTTACTCCAGCTTTAGGGTAACCAATTCATTATTTTACTTATTACATTTACTAATATCTCAGGCAAAAACAAATTATTGAATTATGTAAATTTCTTTTAAAATAATTTAGATAGAACAACATTGAACATGTATAGACCACTTGTTTTTGAAAGTACATTTTGAGTTGGGCATGGTGGCTCATGCCTATAATCCCAGTATATGGGGAGGCAGAGGCAGGAGAGTTGCTTGAGCCCAAGTGTTTGAGACCAGCCTGGGTAATAACAATGAGACCCCATCTCTACAAAACAAAACAAAACAAAACAAAAGAGGAAGAAGAAATTAGCCAGTCATAGTGGCTTGTGCCTGTGTCCTCAGCTACTTGGGAGGCTGAGGCGGGAGGATTGCTTGAGCCTGGGAGGTTAAGTCTGCAGTGAGCCAAGGTAGTGTCACTCCATTCCAGCCTGAGTGACAGAGCCAGACCTTACCTTATTTTAAAAAGTAAAATAAAAAGAAAGTACATTTTGAAAGGCACCGATCCATGTGTTTTACAGCTTAGATTAGTTAAAGTCTAAATAGCTTATTTGGTTTGACATCTAACAAAAACATGATCTCATCACTTCTTCGGGGTTAAAATAGAATAATTTCCAAGATAACATTTAAAATTAAAGTTGTGCAAATTTTGGTGTGAGAATCTAAGCAAAATAATTTTACATTTAACAATGAGAGAGTATGGCTACAAATAATGCTTAGTTACTTTTTATGTATTAATATTTCTTCATTAGTTTAAAAACGGCAGGGAAATATTAATTAGCAGTTTGTATTAGAGAAAATAGGTTTATATATATATATATGTATATATATAATTAAATTTAAAAATCTTGTATATTTAAGTGTTGTGAGTCATCCATTTGATTTTCCATTATTATTAAGATTCTAAGGTTCTGTGATAGGCCAGGCATGGTGGCTCATGCCTGAAATTCCAGCATTTCAGGAGGCAGAGGTGGGAGGATCATATGAGGCTAGGAGTTCAAGACCAGCCTGGGCAGCATGGAAATACCCTATCTCTACAAAAAAAAAAAACAAAACAAAACAAAAAAAAAACTAAAAACTAGCTGGGCATGGTGGCATGACCTTGTAGTCCTAGCTGCTCAGGAGGTTGAGATGGGAAGATCCTTTCAGCTCAGAAGGTTACAGGTTACGGTGATTTGTGATGGTGCCACTGCCTTAAAAAACAAAAAGGACTGTCATGACAATGCAAATTTCCTATATTGTTTATTTTATTAACAAACTCTAACATTATTAATGACACTTCTTAGAAGAGGTGTTTATTAATTTATTCAGGAGAATGAAGTATATTCTCTTTACCACTGAAAGTAGGGTCTTGCTCTATGGCAAGCCAAAATGGTAAAAGTGCTTGTGGAGAGGCCAGAGTGTGAGGCTCAGCCCTGGGAGCCTGAGGTTACAGGTAATCTGGAAGATGGCAGATATAAGAAGGTTCCTGGGAAGTACCATGCCACATTGCCACATATGTGAATCACTGAGATACATACTTACAGAGCGAATTTCAGAACTCCATCCTCAAATAAATGAAAATTGAATTGTTTGAGCAGAAATTTTGGATAATTCAGCTCCTATATATAAATCTATGAGATTGTCAAAGCCTAATATTTTAAAAATTAGGAGCTGAATTGTAATATGTACTAATAATTGCTTATGTTTCACATTGTATGGTTTAGACAAATGTTTTTACTTTAGATTCTCATGGCACCAATTAACTTAATAAGAGTATCTTTTTTATCAGAGTATAAATTATTTATATTTCTTTTTCTGTATTCTATTCTTGCTCCCCAAATCCCCAAAGACACAAAGGAATGTCTAGACTTTTAAAAATGGGAATGCAGCAGGGTAAAATGAAATTATAATATATATAAAAAATCACAAAATGTGTTTCTAGCATAAGGCAGAATTGGCATCAAAACTAAGCTTTGGCAATTCACAAACCTTCACTGGGGATATTAATTTTGTTCAAATGGAAATAAAAAACACATGATCTTCAGGGTTTTAGAGAGGACTATAGATCATCAAAAAATAACATGAATTACACAGGTGCTTGATATTTACTAAGTTTACAGTCCATGAGGGTATTGCCCCAGTGGAGTCTGAATCATTTCTACCTTGTGGTAAACTGTTCTTCTGCCTTTTGTAGAAGGAGAAAAGAGCCAGACTTGGGGTATGTTCCATTATCTCACTGATCTCTGTCTCCTGGGATCCAAGATGTTTTTTTTTGACAGGCTAAGAAACTTGTCCATGGGGCTAGTCACAGGCAGTGGCAGTGATTTCTCAATGGAGAGAAACAGTGGGGACATTGGCAGGCCAGATCCTCACAATTCTCTGCCTACTATTGCTACTCTTGGAAAAGCAAATTGAAGTTTTCATTGTTGTCATATTTCACAGTAAATTTTATTTGTTTTCTTGATGAGTTAGGCTGGAAGAAATAACGTCTCTCTCTAATTACCCAATTTATGCTTAAGGTTGGAGCACAATGATAAGACTAATTTCATTTTGGTTAGTATTTGCTGGGGCTTTGTGGATGTTTCCAAGAAAACTGAAGAGCCCTTAATTTTAGAGAAGGATTTAAGTATACATTTCAGTCTACAGAGATTAAAAATGATGTCATTAGTACCTCTGCCTTTAGGAGTCCTGATCTCTTAAGGTGCTGTGATAATTTATAAGAGGCAAGGAAGATTTGGTTCAAAGAACCTTGAAGAGTTCATTGCCCACATGATATATGGCTTCTGACACTATTAACAGGATGCCATTTCACAAGTTTGATTTGGAGGGAAAGACCTGATCAAAGATTTTAAGGATTAAATGCCATCCTTTCCTGCAGTGTTATAATAGCTTCTCTCCCACTTTTACTATATTCTTGTACAAATTTCAAAACCTATAAAAAGTGGTACCATAAAGGCAAGAGGTAAGCTCCATTGTTTTTATCTCAGCTTTCTTGTTTGTTTGTTTGTTTTATACTCTATGACCTAGTTGCCAAGATTTCTGGAATATTTATGGGGTTTTTGGTCTAAAATTTACTGATTTGGTAAATATCTAATTTAACCTTTAGTGGGAGACAATTCAGGATGTAGCATAGGATCCAATATAAAAAAAGGAACATATATATATATATTCATTATGTGATGTTACATTCATACCAAAGAAGAGGAAAGCTTAGTTCCCTACAATATTTACCTTCAAGTTGGGGTATTCCACTTAGTTTATACAAGTCGTTTGAGCAACATGAGATTAGTTAGATATTTGATGGATTTTCAAATATCTCCCAGGTTCAGGTCAAATCTACTGGGAAGAACATAGTGAGGGACTTAGGGCGGGAACAGCCAGGTAGAGACAGGGAACATGGATGACCGATGGCTATGCGTGACTGCCTAGACTTGATGGCCCATGGTTCTTCTCTGGCATACTTGTCAGAAGTTGTCAAATGCTGTATTTGAAAAGAATGTTATGAACCTTAGATTCAGTGTAACTTTTTTTTTCATCTCTAAAACATGCAAGGGTTTTTGAAGTTTTAGGCTTAGATGCTAATAGGGAACTCTTCTAGGTGAAAACAAATAAAGGTAATCCTGATGAAATCTGAAGCTGCCAATGTGTAAATCTTCATGAAATAACATTTTTAGAATTGATATTGCTTTGTTTTAAAAAATAGGACACTTGTTGTTTTGTGGAAGATAATTCAGAATAATATTTTGCAATTTTGTATTCAATTTTTTATAAAGTTAATACTTGTCAAACAAGATAGTTTTTACACAGAAAATATGATTGCTTTTTATCATTGTCTTACCATTAGAATTTAAATTACATAATTTATTTTTTGTTTACCATTAAAATTTAATGTACATTTAATGTAAGTTTAAATTGTTATTGAATGTCATTGCTCTCTTTTGATGACAAACTTTCATCTGTCTTTCAAAATAGTATACCATATACTGCACATAAACAAGTAATTTGACTTTAAATAACAAATTAAATTAAAATTTAACTTAAATTAAATGTTTAAAGTTTTTTCTTTAAATTCTTGGTTAACATCAACCTAAAAAATTATGTCAACTTTTATTATTTAGCAAACGTTAATAATTGCCATCTGAAGCCAGAAGCTTCTGGATTTAATTTAATTGCCTTACTTTGGGCTTTGTAAAGTCTCTTAGAGTGGTTCAGTTACTTTATAACAATGCTACCCAACATGTACTAAGGAAATAATACAAAATATTAAAAACCTTTAATAATCAAGGCCTTTCAACTAAAGTCATATGAGAAAGATATAACCTTCTCTTGATTAAATCCAGTATATCAATAGGATCTTACTACTTTCACTTTACAACTCATCAAATTAAGGACAAAAAAATATTTATCTCTAGTGGACAGGAATACAATGTTAACCAAACATGGCGGTGGGAGGTTGGTAGAGGGAGTGCAGAAATAAGTTTACATTGATGTGGATATTGTAGTTAGTTTAAAATAACCAATGGAATCAAACAAATAAAATGATCTGCAGTCTGACTTAAAATAATATATATGTTGTTTATGTATCAGAATATTTTTCTATTTGGGATTACATAAATGACAATTACAGAAAGATTTTAACCATTTTTTGAAGAAATTATTGAATAGATATACAAGTTGAACATTTAGCTTATGTGCATGTTTGGATATGTGTTTATGTTCATGGGTGCAGGGAGTATGGCAGTGGGATAAAAGAATAGTCTTTATTGTGTTATAGTATAGGACAAGTATGTAATTTCAAAGATCTTTGCATAGAAGTAAAAGCAAGTAAGCTAAGGCTGAAGGAGAGCAAATGATCACAATAATGACCAAAAAAAGAAATAGCGATTTACCAAAGTGGTCTTCTATTTTCCTGCCCTGTTCTTTTAGAAATACAAATGATAGGCAGAGCCAGACTGTAGTAGACAGAGGAGGGCAAAGCACATGCCAAGGATGGCTGTGAATGTGTTATCATTATTTCTAATCACTAGACAGTAAAGGAAAGACAAGAGGAGTCCTGTTGATGGGAGGATAAATGTTGCTCTTTTGTCTCTGTTTTTTTTTTTAATGGGACACACTAAGCTTATTTATATGCTGTAGCATATTTAAATGCTGTGAGGATTAGCCTTGATTGTTTTACAGAAGATATTAAACAGCTTTGAGAGATTCCCTCATATGTGGTCCTGAAGTTGACAGAGTTGAATTTGTAAAAAAAAAAAAAAAAAAAACTAACAGAAAGAGAGGGAAAAAAGAAAAGAAAGAAAGTGGCCTTTTAGAGAAATTTATTTTTTAAGAATGTGGAAGGATACTAGAAAATAATATTGTAGTGGCAAAAAGTTGCAGTTGTGCTAGAAGTACAAACATGATGAGTTGTTGTTTCTTATGATTAAAGTAATTATTCTTTGCAGTCCTAAAATGCTGGTACAATATTGTTGAAATATTCAGTTTTTCACTTATCACTCCTTTTTACATATGAGTAAGCCTAAATAGCGGTTTTACTATTTGCTTCAAGCTTGATTTGACCTACTGAGATCTTTTTCCTCAGTCAAACCACACATCGTTCATCTTTTGACTCCAATTCTCTGCAGCCATTGCTCAGTCAAAATTCACTAATGCTGCCTTAATTCCCAAAGGCAATGACCTTTTGTCTGTGCTGCTCCTAACTGACAACTCCATGGTATGTAATATTTTTGGACAGTCCACTGTGCTCGGCTGTCTACTTATGTAACTTCTAAAGCACCTCATTTTCTTTGTTCTCCTTCTACCTCTCTGACTTTATAATCGCACTAAGTCTCTTTCTTTAGCTTCTCTAGTTAAGAATACATATTTATCATGGTTCTATCATAACTTATTCTCACTCTACATGCTCTCCTATAGAACTCTCCTCTATTCTATGTAGCATCAACTACCATTGAAAGCTCTAAAACTTAATGTCCAGCAACAACTTGTCAACTATTGGTGAACTCACCATCAGCATCCAAAACTGAATTCTCCACCTTCTTCTTCAAATCTTCATATTTTTTTCCTGCCTTTTTTTTTCCCCCCCACAGAGTATCTCTCTGTCACCTAGGCTGGAGTGCAGTGACAAGATCTCGGATCTTGTCTCACTGCAACCTCCGCCTCCTGGGTTCAAGCAATTCTCCTGCTTCAGCCTCCCAAGTAGCTAGGACTACAGGCACCCACCACCACACCTGGCTAATTTTTGTATTTCCAGTAGAGACTGGGTTTCACCATGTTAGCCAGGCTGGTCTCAAACTCCTGACCTCAGGTGATCTGCCTGCCTCGGACTCCCAAAGTCCTGGGATTACAGGCATAAGCCACCACAGCTGGCCCTGTCAAATTTTTTGATAATAAAACATGTAATGTAACTAGGCTAATGAGGAAGATGTTAGGCAATGGAGTTGTCAACAACAGGAGTAATATGGACTAGGACTGTATGCACAAAAAATATATAAAAATCAGTTTAGAATATCATTGTGAAAAAGGGAGGTGGGGGAGATCTCATGTAATATATTAAACCAGAAACTCAGATAGGAAAGAAAAGAATGGAAGCCACCATATCCTTGAAGTACTATACACGTGCTACATTGAACATTTTGAGATAAACAGAAGAAACCAATCATTGACAATGCTGATTAGCTAAATGTAACATGTTGTAGAAAACTGAGAAGTGTTTTATGAAAGCGTATGATCACTTAAATCAATAGAAAGCTGGGAAGAAAGTTTGATTATTGTTATGTTTGCTTTACAAGCAAAACAGAATGACAGCTAAGAGAATGGTATAAGTAATACATACTGACTCTTGGCCATGTGAGAACAGTAAGGTATAGGCTGTCTGTCTGTCTCTATCTGTCTATCTGCCTCTCTCTCTCTCTCTCTCTCTCTCTCCCTCTTTCTCTTTCTCTGTCTCTCTATCTCTCTGTCTGTCTTCAAAATATCAATAGTACATGAGTAATGCTGGCACAGCATGGTTTGCTGAGCTGTTCACTAGAGGTTCTAGGAGAGGGACCAGTGAACATCCTTCTCTCCACACTACTTAACTAAACAGATCTGTTACCTTAACCAAGAACATAAGTTACATTGACCTAGTGTGGAAGAGTAGCAACATGCCAGTGGCAACTTGAATTCCCAGAGAATAGCTGCGTGAGGGATTTGAGAGATTTAACTAAAAAACCAGGCTCTTACTTGAAGCTCTTAGCAGAGAGGAAGCTCCTTGTACCAAAACCATAAATAAAACCATAAATGCCTGATTAGCAGCACGTTTTTCAGGAAGCATCGCCATTACTGAAAAAAGTTTCTTCATCAGAAACATTTCTCATCTAAGCCCTCATGCCAACAACCCTCCACCCCCAATGAATTGGGCTTAGGGCCCCTCATCTCAAGATTCCCCCAACGGTGGGTAATGTGAGTTCCATGGCGATCAAGAAACTATCTCCTATTAAAATAAAAAATTGTCATCTTTCACCTAGTCAGGGTATAAACTTCAGTGTCATCTTAACTCTTTCCCTCACCCTCAGATTCAGTTAATTGTCATGTCCTTTCTAACAAGACCTCTAAAATGCATCTCTCCTCCATTATCCATTCCCAGGCCTCTCCAGTGTCTCTCCTATGTCTGAGACATAGTGGCAAGCTGATAAGGCTGTACAGTGGCAAGGTATGGAGTAAATGATAAACTACAGGGGATACATTTTTACATGGTTATTTCAGAAACACAATAGACACTGGCATATTACAAAGGCATATTTCAGATTTGCCTTTGAGCACACTGTTTTCTCTCTCTGAAATCTCCTTCCTCTTTTGCTCCCAAGAGCATCTCTCCAAACTTAGGTTAAATGTCACTGACTTTGCGAAACTTGTTAGACTCCCCCAGGCAGATTTAGCTATCGTCTGCTTTGTCTTTGTTTAGTACTTTTCATTTTCTTCTGTTAGAGTGTCTATCCTATTCAATTATCATATAATTTTAAATAATTTAGACAAACCCAGTAGGCTGTAAGCCTTTAGCAGGTGCAGCTCATGGCATTAATCATCATATCCCCAGCACAGAGTCTCATGCCTGCTATAGCAGCTGCTCAATAAATATACGCTTGAAAGTCTATATATGAGGTGAAAGGATTAAAATGCCCCTGGTTGTTGCCATTGTAGAATAATTTATTTGTACTATTTCTCCAGAGTGAATTTGGTTTAACTTTCAAAAGTATATTCTAACAAGATAAAAGAATGTCTCTCTTTTGCCCTTTTAGGCTGACCTCTTCAACCCAAAGCCAAAATGTCCTCGGATTAAGACAGTTGATATGATTAGTGTTAGGAAAGATTTTACATAATGAAATTTGGTTTACTTCAAGAAAATTTGGATGAATATGAGTCTCATGCAATATTTTAACATTGTAATTCATTGCTGACTCTACAGGGCAAAGGAGATCTTAACCCTTAGTCCAATTTAAGGATGATGAATTGAGGTTTTTTACCAACAAGGCAGAGGATCAGAGATGTCTTGCTTCAGGTATAAAACTGCAAATTGCATTTATATTTAAAGTAAGCAAATGCACTGCCATAATAGTTGATATTTTGCTAAAGTAAGAAGTTGATGTCATTATAGTGATAGTTGCTAAAATAGAAACTAAAACTCAATTAGTAAATAAATACCTCCTCTGTGCTGTGAATTATGTGATATGGGGATGATGCCAAAAATGATGCTCAGTCTGGCACTGAGATGCTTACTATCGTGTTTGAATGTGGAGAGAAAGGAAAATCACAAAGCAATAAATACATACCTCATGGAAGAAAAGAGAAGATAATCATTTATAAGTAATCCAAGAAGGTATCAGGAACATGGGTCCAATTATTGGTATGGGAATCTTAGATGGGAGAACATTATAAGCAAAGACACTTAAAATCTCAGGGTTCTTTGCATTCTCACTGAGGATAGCCTGATATTACAGAGAAATGGGACTTTTAGTTGGATGGTAAGCATGAGGACCCTTGACAGAGGGCCTAAATGCCACCCATGCACAGCGATTAGGACTCTATGAAATGTCATAGGGAGATATTGTAGGTTCTTAAGCAGAGAAACAACATAATGTAAATAGAAATTTCAAAATACTATTTTGATCATTGTGAAATGTCATGGATTTGGCAGGTACTGGAGGTAGGATGATGAACTGGGACAACATTCTATTGTGAAGTTTGGTTAAGTTTGGAGCAATTCTGCTACTTACATTCTTAATCTAGTTTATGGTGCTCTAACTGCTTTATTAATGGTTTCTCAATAGTTTTTTATACCCCTAGCCTAGTCTAGGTCTGGGTCTAGTTTGGGAGTTATTTAGAACACTAATTTAACTATGACAGACATAGTTTAAATAGACAGCATCAAGTAATGAAAAGAACAATAGGCCAGTGGCTTTGGTCTCGTTTAGCCACAACTAGCCACAGGATTGTGACAAAGTCATTTGATGTCCTCAGGCTTTTCTTTCCTAATCGGGAAATAAGAGTGCTGACCTATATGAACTCTAAGGTCCTTTCAAGTGAGCTTTGTGCACATAAAAGAATTAAGGGAAGCTTCCAAAATACTCTCATTATCGTTGAGCAGCTAAAATATTGAGCACATATTTTGATGAATACTAAAAGGAAGACAACTTCCACACTTAAAATTTGATGAAATATTCCACCCTCCTACAGGATAGGTGGTAGGTTCATGATGACTGCAGTATGCAGGCAATTACCTTTTCCAAGAATGTGTTATAATATAGAAGAAAAATAGCAGAAAATTAACCCTTGTAAATGTCACAGTGTGCTTACTGTATAATTTAAGTGGTTTAAATAAAGCTACTTATTTGCATAATGATGTTTTTGAAAGATATACCTTAAAAATAACAATACTAAGCATTGATTTGAAATTAAAACAAAAATAACAAGTGTAAATTAGTCTGGAAAGGATGTCATGTCACTATATAATTAGATATATTAATAAACGTGGGCTATCACTATCACATATGAAGCTAAAGTTAGCATGGAAATATATTTTAAGATAATAGATCTGTATTTTCTATTGAACATTTATTTTATTTTATTTTGCAAGCATTTATAGATTTTCATCAATTCGTTAACCTCTATAATATGGATATGACTATATTAGACAGATGCCTAAAAATAAGTACTTCACTAGTATTACTTATCTAAATTGAAGTCCAAATTTGATCACTGCCTGAAATGATTTGTAGGAAATGTGGTGTGAAACATATCAGAGCACTAAGAGAAACACCAAAGATAAGGATTTCTAATGTCATAAAACCAAACGAATTATTACAATGTCTAGACAGAGTCCAGAGACATGATGGAAAATTTTTAATAAATTGGTTTTATAGACCAAGCTGGACATTTGACTTAAGCATCATTTAATTTTTCAAATCAGATAAAATGATGCATAGCAGAAAGTTTAGTTACTTTAAAAAGACAAAGGAAAAGGATATTTTATTCCTTGGAGTATTTTTCTTTAGCCAACGAATATAATACCCAGAACCTAGTCTAACTAGCTCTGTCATTGCAGCTATCTGAGTGTTTGGTAAAAATGCAGATTCCTGGGGATTCCTGCAGATATATCAGGTCTCTGAACACCTTTGAAATTTGTATTTTTAACAAGTTCTTGAGGGGTGTTTATTATGCGTATTTAATGTCAAGACCACTTTTCTAGAAGTACTGTTTTGTTCTTATTCTACTATTGGAAACTTTTACCCATCATTTTGATGATGGATATTGGAAAGCAGGGTTCTGAGTTTCAAGGTTGAGTAACAGGATTATGCTTTGGTACCTAGAAAGAGCTGGACATAACCAGTTGTTTTATTAATCATAAGCGGTCTTTTCCATCTTCCAGTTTCTGCCTGAAATTGAGAAAGATAATGAAATACAACCTGATGTCAATTATTAAGCTCTATGGGTAGACTGTGCATTTATGTTATATAAAACAAAATAGTAGATATTGAAAACTATTCTATTTTACTTTCAGAACACAGCTTTTCCCAGAATGATTTTTTTCATGAGTTGGCCTTATAATCTTTTTTTCTTCCATAGAATCACCAAATTTATTTTAAAATTCTATAAGATTCATTGTCTTTAATGTTAGATAAAACATTCCTAATATGCTGGCACTGGCGTTAATTTTTAAGCAATCACAACCTCTGCTAGTAATACTACTGTTTAGGTTGAAGATATCTATCAGGAAATTCTTGAGATCACTGTCCTTTACATGAAGATATAACCTTTCCACTTGCCTTTAACTGAAATGATCATTCTCTTTCACTCCCAAATGTATGACAAACAAAAATGCTTAGTTCACAAAAGGAATTGATCTCCAATTTGAAGCTAGTAGCTGTCAATAATTTACTTGATGGCAAGCAGCATATCTTATTAGCTAAGTACTTCTCTCATGACTCACAGAAAGTTTCCATGTAGTTGTCCCCAACGATGTGTAAGTCAAGGAGTGTTAGTTAAATTTTACTGGCCCCTTGGCACTGAAGTAGGAGAAAATTATATTTAGAAATTTGGGCAGCTTTATGCTAATGAAGTTTCTTTTGAATCAGAATTTTAGACTCAGGCGACAATGGTATATTGTCTTCTTCCATGGCTTAATCAAGAATCATACTTTGTTTACATCAATACAGATGTCTATAAGTATGGTAAATTAAGTTGGTTTTCACTTCCTGAAAACCAAATCATCTTATTCGTGAGCTTATTAACTTGCGCGCTACATGACTTAAATAATTAACAGACAAATGTCAATGTCTTCCATTCAAATTCCCTTTTCTCCTCCAATTGTCTTCTTTCTTTTGCACTACATATTTTTGGTGCAATATTCCTTACTATGTTAAAATTTGAACTCAGAAAGGAAGGGACCTTCTCACATTTTAACAATCAAATTTTATCTTGTGGTCTTGTATTGATGGTGATTTCCTGAGGTTCTTCCACTACCTTGTTCCCCTGGAAATGTGTTGGTCACTGTTAGATAAATTTGAAGATTTCTTCCAGCAAAATCTTTAATGCCTTGGGGAGGTGTTAAGACTGATGAATCTGACTAATCTGACTATGGTGAAGTCTAATAAGAATTGCTTTTATAGTCAAGATGGTTCATGAGAAGATCACTGACTTACCTTTTCATGTATCTTGTCTCTCTTCTTCCTGACTCGACAGCTCCTCCCACGGTTCGTATTGTGCACTCAGGCTTGGCCTGTAACATTGAAGAGGAGCGCTACTCCGAAAGGGTCTACACTATCCGGGAAGGAGAAACCCTTGAGTTGACTTGTCTAGTCACAGGACATCCACGTCCACAGGTGAGTCCCGAACTGTGACACTGGAGAAAACATTCTCTGACTTTTCTCAGAAGTCAAAAAGTGTATATTTTAGAATATTTAGCTAAAACTGTGTGTGTGTGTGTGTGTGTGTGTGGGTGGGTGTGGGTGTGTGTGTGTGTAACTCAAGTGCAAGTATATGTGCAACGCAGGACAAGAGTGTGGATTTCGGAACATTCAAACTTGAGCTATTCTTTTGTATAAGATGAAAAAAGAAATTTTTGTTTTGGTATTGTGGGAAATGTAGAAGACACTTCTAAGGAAGCTGTTAAACAGACAACTACAAAAATATCTCAGTAGGATAACAATTCATATGGCAATGAGTTTATTTTAAAACGTGGAACATGATTTCATGATGACATAATTGCAACCGAGAGGTATTTGTTCTGAAGAATGTGAAGCATGAGGTCACACATACTTTTCTTACTCCTTGTCATTTTATTCATAGAAAACCTTGAAAAACAAACAGTTGCAGATACTGTATGCACTCAGGCCTTCAGAATCGTCATCCACAGCTTTCTTAAACTAATTTAATAGAAGCAATAAAAATGGAGACTTTTAAAGGGCACTAAAATTACAATATGCAAAGGCAAAGCCCAGGTGTGGTGGCTCACGCTTACAACCTCAGCACTTTGTGAGGCTGAGGCAAGGGGATCATTTGAGGCCAGAAGTTGGCGACCAGCCTGGGCAACAAAAGGAGACTGTGTCTCTACAAAAAAAAAAAAAAATTAAAAAATTATCTGGGCCTGGTGTTGCACACCCGTAGTCTCAGCTACTCTGGAGGCTGACGTGGGAGGATCACTTAAGCCCAGGAGGTCAAGGCTGCAGGTTGTCATGATTGTACCACCACACTCCAGTCTGGGCAACAGAGAGAGACCCTTTCTCAAACAAACAACAGCCAAAAAAAAAAGAATAAAAAATTTGTAGGAACAAAAGAAACAGTTATATAGAAGATAATATGTTTAGGTTATATATATATGATGCAACAATCTAATTTAGATGCAGAATATTGAGGATGTTTTACTCAATAATTGATAATTCTTATTGTCAATGACCTTACTAGCTCAAAATTCACATTTGTAATCAACACAAGCACTATGGTAGGAAAAATAGTTTCACTCAGTAGACAAAATTACATATTTTAAGTATTTGTGTTACAGGAAAAAAGAAATCCAGCTAACAAAGCTACAGAGGGAAAAGCGAAAAGTAATGTGGAGATTTTATGAACTCACCATTTTAACCCTGTTTTTAACTTCTGCCATTCTTAACTCTTACTGACGGATCCTTAAGTATCTTTTTATTTACCATTTTGACTCTGAAATGATAAAAATAGGCATATAAAGCATCACAGAATGAAGCATTAAATAGATAAGACTATGGCTAAAACAGAAATGGTAAAATATGTTTAATAAAACTCATGCTGTTGGTAAAATGAAAAAGAACAAAAGTAATCTGAAAGAATAATTATTAAAAATGTTGAAAAAGGAAAACTCACGATAACTAAAATTTCAAAGTATAACATTTGCTATTAACTGAAAATGGATTAAAGAATAAAATTGTCATAATGAAATTTAGAGAAACACAATTTGAGCCAGGATAATTACGCTTGATAGAAAAAAAAGATTCCAAAAGACAACATACAAGGACAGACTGATGACTGATAATTGTTAAAAATTGAAACAAGGAAATGGATATGTGAAACATTTTCATTTTAAAATTTATACAGAAAACAATGAAGTCCAGTGAAAATAATGTTACCAAAAATTTAAACAATGATAGACTTAATTCAAGATAATATTAACTCAAGGAAAATATAGTGTTGTTATAATTTGATTATATTTTTTGTTTTGTAGACATGGAATAGAAATTTCAGAATCAAAAGTTGGGATCTAAACAGGAGGGTCTAAACACATCCAAAAGAAGCCTTGAAGAGCTTTATGAGAGGCAGTTTATGGCAAGAGAAGACTCATTGAGGTTCCCATTAGTCCCACAAAGAGTGTACTAAATTTACACCTTCTGAACTCCAAATTATATTTTAAAATGCAACTTCTTATCTCTGTTTCTAACATACCCCAGGTGTTGCTCTGCTGCCTCTCTCTCCATCCTCCTGTCCCCTTAATATTAGAAATTTCCCATTTTATCCATACATTTTCCCTTTTTATCATTCACAATCAGGAGTACAAACTTTGACCTCTAGACAAACCAGATTAGGTTCTGAAACAAAGTAGATCATGCATTTTTATTTTTTTCCTAAGCAATTCCATTTTTTGGAAACATTTCAAGGTGTTTTGATCCTAAGAAAAATGTATTGTTTTGGTATCAATATTTTTTTATTCCTAGAAGTAATTAAGGTGTTTGCAGGTGAATCAGTTTCAGCTTATATTGCCCATTGAAAAATTAACTGGGCGGCTGGGCGCGGTGGCTCACGCCTGTAATCCCAGCACTTTAGGAGGCCAAGGCGGGCGGATCACGAGGTCAGGAGATCGAGACCATCCTGGCTAACGTGGTGAAACCCTGTCTCTACTAAAAATGCAAAAAAAATTAGCCGGACGTGGTCGCGGGTGCCTGTAGTCCCAGCTACTCAGGAGGCTGAGGCAGGAGAATGGCGTGAACCTGGGAGGCGGAGCTTGCAGTGAGCCGAGATCGTGCCACTGCACTCCAGCCTGGGCGACAGAACGAGACTCTGTCTCAAAAAAAAAAAAAAAAAAAGAAAAATTAAGTGGGCCTCTTCATTGTCAACAAACTGTATAAGGAAAGCTGACAGAACACCTGGGCCCTGGCATCCCGGCCAAAGTCTAAAGGGCAATGCTGTTGGCAGCTGGTCCTGAGGATGATTTTTCTTGGCTGATATGAGAAAGCTGGAATGACTTTCTCGCTTGGTCTAATCTGAGTATAATAATAGTTGGAAATGCAGTGGAAGAGAGAGGTTCCTCATTCACTCATCAGCAGATTTCTTAATCTGCTGCCTATTCTTGTAGCAGTAAGAGTCATAAAGATTGTTTATTTCCAAAAGTATTGTAAACAGCATTTTTTCTAGCCTCTTTAATTTTTTTTATGGTATATTGTTTAGTGATGGGTAGTGGCCTGAGAGTATTGATGTATCCAAAGAAAATGAAACAAGTGAAGGAGAGGTCAGTACGATGCAATGGTTAAGAGCATGATGCTGGAATCAGATTGTCTGGATGTAACCCTGGCTCCACCAGGACTAACAGTGTGACCTTGGAAAAGTTCCGTAATCTCCCAGCTTTCTGTGCCTCAGTTTTCTTTTTTATATATTAGGGATGATAATAACTATCTTATATCATAGAATCCTTTTGAGAGTTAAATTTATATTATGGATATATATACACACATATATTCTGTGTGTGTATATATACACATATTCATATATATACAAACACACACATACAAATACAACTATACATTCTTGGTACATAAGCATTATGTCAGCATGTAATAGAAACATATGTTGGCTTTATTATTTTTCAGTAATTTAGGACCATCAGCTCTAAGATCTAGATTTGGATGTGTAGGTATGAAAATAAGTAGATTTTAAAAATGGTTTTAGCATTCCTATATCCTGCTTTAAATTACATGCATTTAAATCAATTTCAGTATTTGTTGTGTTTTATTGCTCTGCATAGCCTTTACATCTCTGTTAATTAGCCTTTTTAGCTTGCAAGGAATAGAACTATGTTCAGACTACCTCGTTTAATGAGGGTTTATTACAAAGATGCATGAAGAAGTAAGAAAGAAAGAAAGTAAGGGTTTGCCAGTAAATCTAACAATCTAGTACAAACTCTAGATGTCTACAGCTTCAGGATTCAGCTACCCTTTTTCTTTCCTTCCCTGCCCCCCTCCTAACCTCCCTGCCCCTTCCCTTCCCTTCCCTTCCCTTCACACCCCTCCACTCCCCTTCCCTTCACTCCCCTCCACTCCCCTTCCCTTCCCTTCACTCCCCTCCACTCCCCTCTCCTCCCCTCCCTTCCTCTTTCTTCTTTCTCTCTCAAAATTGTCACGTCAATAATTTAAATACATTATAAATATAGTCTTCTTGTAAATGACTTAAACAGTAGGATATTTAACATAAATGTTTCTCTTCTCACTCCTACCTGCCCTCCTTCCCAGCAGTAGATATTAAATAGTTTGGCATATCACCTTTCAGTTCTCGTTCGTTGCATTTCCTTAAATGTAATTATTTATGTTCATGTTCCATTTTTAATAAGTGAGATAATGAAAAGTATTATTCTATGACTAGAATTTTTCACTTGGCCATGTGTCCAAAACACCAAGTATGGGTCAAGGCTGGTAGTTCTTAATATGTGGTTTCTGGAGATAATTGATTAAAAATGAAGATTCTCAGATCCCTTCACATTAGAAACCCCTGCATTGGGGCCAGCAATTCATGTTTTAGCAAGCCCTCCAAGTGAATCTGATGTCCACTAAAGTTTGAACCAGTGGCCTGGATCATTGTCTTCACTCAGGCTGAATAGTTCTTTGTATGGGTGCACTGAGTTTTGCTGTGAGTACTCTCAAATGTGTATAATTGCTGCTGTGTCCTTCATCATGAAATTACTTACAGATGGTCACTGTTATAAACAATCCAATGAATACTTGTAGGGTATATGTTTGTGTTGCCTGTATGTACATCTTTGTGAAATGTATGGTAGCATTGCTGTAGCATAGTTTCCTTCCTCAAAATGGAATTATTTAGCCAAAGTTGAAAGGGACCTGTTACTTGCTTTCTCAACGGCAGTGTATTTTTTTTATTTTTGTCAATTTGATTCAAGAAAGTAAATTACACTCTATTGTAGTTTAAATTTGCATTTTAAATCACTAGCCAATTTGAACATTTTCCCACATGTTTATCAGTCACTTGTACATCTCTATTTACTGGTTGCTGTTTATCTTCTCTTTTCTTACTAGTTTGCTGCTTATCTTCTTGTAGACTTGTGACGACAAATATACTACGTAAATAAATTCAATTGCTGATAAACATGTTGCCAATTGCACCTCCCAGTGTGTTACTTGTGTTTTAAGATTGTTTAAGATACTTTTGTTCTCAAGTTTTTGTTTTTAAAAGATGAATTGTTTTTGGCTTCTGAGTTTTGTAGCTACTTTAGCAAGATCTCCTTATATCCATTTTTTTTTCTAACAGCTTAAAGTCATTTATGTATTTGACAATTTAATCATCAGGAAATCATTTTGTCCTTAGTATGAAGTGTTAGTCTAGTGTTCTCTTTGTCTTTTTCTTCTCTCTCTTTCCCTCTTGCCCTTATACAAACAAGATGGTCAATATTCCACTGCACAGCTTCAAAATGATATTTTTAGCATTAGCAAAATTACATTAGTCTGCACCTTACTGTTATTCTTTTCTGTACCAATTCCATTTTAACTTCTACAGCTTTACTATATCTATCTATCTATCTATCTATCTATCTATCTATCTATCTATCTATCTTATCATCTATCTATATATGTATATTTTTAGACAGAGTCTCACTCTGTCGTCCAGGCTTGAGTGCAAGTGGCACAATCTCGGCTAACTGCAACCTCCGCCTCTTGGGTTCAAGTGATTCTCCCACCTCAGTCTACTGAGTAGCTGGGATTACAGGCACGTACCACTACCCCCTAATAATTTTTGTATTTTTAATAAAGACCCAGTTTCCCCATGTAGGCCAGGCTGGTCTCAAACTCCTGACCTCGGGTGATTCGCCCACCTCAGCCTCCCAAAGTGCTAGGATTACAGTTGTGAGCCACTGCGCCCGGCCTATAATACATTTTGATATATAAATGAGCAGGTCATTCCTTTATAGTTGTTTTAAAATATTTCCTCAGTTGACCTCAAACATTTTTTATCTACCCTATGAATTAGAAAATATGATTTTCATGTTCTCCACCCAAATAAATGTTGAGATTTTAGTTACATTGCTTTATTCTTGCAATGAGGTCATATGTAGAAAGTATGACCGGTTTTTAAAAGGAAGTTCTCAGTAGGAATACTGAACATTTGAACTCTTAATATTTCAGACTTCTCAGATAGCAATACAATTTAATTGTAACCAGTATAATGTGTGGGTCTTTGAATTTCTTTTAATAATAAACATAGGTATGCCTGTTTGCAAGGTTGGAAGATACTGACCTTCTCCGTTCAAAAATAAAACAAAGAAAGAATGTGCATCAATCAAAGCAGCTCTGCTTTTCTTCTTTTTATATGCTGGCTTTCTGGGTAAGATTTCATTTGAATAATATTTTTCATCACTAAAATATTTTTGAAAGCCACTCTTTAAAAATAATTATGTAAATCCAAAACACTAGGAAGCATTAAAATTGTCTAGTAGTTTATTACACCTTAACCTTAGTGAGCATTTGCTTTTTGCATAAAAAAATTTGGCTAGGCCATTTTTCAATTTTATAATAGAATTGTATTCAGTCATTTGATTGTTGTATAAATGCATTTTTAACTACCAAGGCTGTTGCAGAGTTATTGATGCTTTTGTCCTTGTTAATCTTCTATGCAGATTCTCAAATGGTAATCTTACCATGATAAAAATCTTAGCAAACATTAGTAGCCAGTTCTTCAGTTTGAAACCATTAGTGCTACATGTATTGTTCTTTGCAGATATTTTATATATCTTGATTCATATTCCTATACTTTTTTCTGATTTAGTCTATTAAATTTTTTACAAAATGAGAGTGCATGCACTTGAATAAGAAACATACTAGATTTTTGGATTTATCTCCAATTAATGTGGGCAGGTTTAGGTTCTACTATAATCAAATATTATATTAATTCTTTTTTGTGTTTTATAAAATTAATATAATTTGCTTTTTTTCGTCTGTGATAAACATATCTAGACTGAATCTGTCTGCTATATCATGTTAGAGAGTTTCCAACTAAAATAACTAATACTTTTTCAAATAATCTTTGGATAAGATGTGGAAAATGTTTAGGATAAGCATCCAAACATTTATTTTTAAAAAAATTCCACATCAGCTGGGTGCAGTGGCTCACTCATGTAATCCCAGGACTTTGGGAGGCCCGAGGTCAGCAGATTGCTTGAGCTCAGGAGTTCGAGACCAGCCTGGGCAACATGACGAAACCTTGTTTTTACAAAGAAATAAAAAAATTAGCCAGGTGTGGTGACATTTGCCTGTAGTTCCAGCTAGTCGGGATGCTGAGGTGGGAGGATTGCTTGAGCCTGGGGAGGTCAAGGCTGCACTGAGCCCTGATCTTGCCTGGGCGAAAGAGCAAAAGCCTGTCTCAAAAAAAAAAAAAAAAAAAAAAAGATTGCCATATCAATGGCTGCTTTCACAATCCCTGCCTCTACCTCATGTACTTAGTCCCATCTCCAGGTGATGTACATCTTTATTAAGTTCATGGTTACATGAATAAATGTATTAGCATAGCTTGTTTAGGAGGAAACACTTACAGTCTTCCTTATAGTCTTCAAATAGTTTTGTTTCCATTGATTTTTATATAGAATAAGAAAGGCTTTTTGGGGTCAACACTTTAACATACTCCTAAATTGCTAATACTTTTTACTCTCAGTGTATCAGCATCAACCAAAGATTTTTAGAAATTTTATTAAAATTCTCAAGAAAAGTTATTTTTGTTCATCATATTTACCTATCTACTATTCTCTCAGAATTCATCTTTTGTTTAATTTTATGAACAATCTAAAACATCTCATTCATTCCAGATACTATCTCAAAAAATATTAGATCATTTAACAGAGTGCCAAGCACAACATAAATGCTTAGTAAATGATAATCGTATTTGTGATTGAGTCGTTGATACTAAATAATAATTTATTTACAAACTTAATAATTATAAGCTATTACTCTTATCACTATATACTTACATTTAACTCAACAAAGTAGGTGGAGTATTCTTGCCTGTCCCATTGAAATTTGTCTCTTCTCTATGCCTGGATTTGGCTCCTGGACTTTGAGTAGAGGTAATGTGGGTCTAGAGTGTGACGATACTGGGCTAGGACTAATTTAAGAATAAAGTACTCTTCCATGACTTGGGTTAATTATGAGTAAGAATACCTGGAGCTAGTCCTAATATGCCGTTATGATAGTTCTTTGAAATTTAAACATCATGAGGACTTATAGTAAGAGAGCTAGAGATATAGGAGCTATCTTCACAGAATATTAAAACTTAGAAGACTCAGGGAGGTGGGAATGTTAGCACATATTTATTATATGAGACTCATTTTTAGAGGGTTCCCAAGGCATTCACTGTGAGAAATGCAGTAGTCAGATGGACACTGGCATCTCTGAGAAGCTCAGGGTGACTGTCCTCTGTATCCCAGGGTGTAGTAGGAGATGCTACCATAGAACAAGGATCTCTAAACTCAATGGTCTGACTGCCATTTTCAGAAATGGCAGAAGTTTAGTAGTAACACTTCACCAACAGACTCAATATAGATATCAATAGTGTGAAGAGCAACAAGGTCAGAATAGCAACCAGAATTCGTTTATCAACAAGGGTTTATGACAATGGATAATATATCATAGTGTTTTTAGGGATGAAATACAAGGGTAGCTGACTAGAGTGGTACTTGACTTATCTAAAAAGACAAAAATGACACCTTGAGGAAGTAGGCATTTTCCGCTATAATGGAAGATCACAATCATTCATCCAGTTTCCAAATTTAAACTACTTCATGGAGCCAACTCTTACTGGTTGAAAGGGAAACCAAGTTTTCTTAAAGAAAGACCTAGCAATATCCCTGAAAGTTACACAAAAATGCTGTCTCAATCCTTCCTTCAAAGGATTTATGGCCATTTTACATAGCAGCTTACACTGGAAAAAGTGAACTAGCAAAGCCTTTTGAGGGCTCTTAAAGGTACAGATCCTGAGCTAGCACTGACATCAATGGACTTCTAATGCTAATGGGGGCTTATGAAAGACAAGCGATAAATGGAGTTCTAGCCTGGGTAAGTGGATTGATCTACGGTTATTTCCCCAGACTCCCAAGTACATAATTGGGACCAACATACTTAGCAACAAGCAGGATCCTCACACTGGTTATATGACCTGTGAAATAAGTCAGAATCATTTTAGTAGAAAAGACCTAGTGGAATCCTATAAAACTGTTCTTCCCAAACCGATGTATGAAATCATCAGTAACACTGCTTCTCAGGAGAAACTTCAGAGGCTATATGCTACCGTCAAAGCTTTAAGAGTGAAGGAGTCATAGTCTCCATCATGCATCTATTCATTTCACATGTAAAGCAACTAAAAAGTCAGGCGGATTATGATATATAATAGCTTATGGTAAACAACCAAATCAGCGCAGCTGCTGGATCAGATGTGGTATCTTCACTGGAACAAAATCACACCCCTGGCACTAGCTGGTATGCAGCTAGTAATCTAACAAATGCATGCTTTTTAATTCTTATCATGAAAGAGAATTTAGAAGTTTGCTCTTATGTGGGATAGACAGTAATCCACATGTACATATCTGCCCTAGATCAGGGCTAACGCTCACTCTCTGTAATATTACAGTGCACAAGGAACTTGATTGTCTTGGTAACCTAGAGATGATTACACGATGGTCTCCTAACATGATTGTTCAACTTTACAATGGTGCAAAAGTCATAAGCATTCAGCAGAAATCTTACTTTGAATTTTGAAATTTGACTGTTTCCCAGGCTAGTGATGTGCAGTACGATATTCCCTTGTGATGAGGTGCAGTGGCAGCGAGCTTCAGCTCTCAGACAGCCACGTAATGCTGATAATCTACAGCGTACTGTGTATCCAGATGATTTTGCCTAACTGTGGGCTAATGTAAGTGTTCTAAGCATGTTTAAGATAGGCTAGGCTACACTATGACATTTGGTAGGTTAGATGTATTAAGTGCATTTTCAACTCACGATATTTTCAAGTTGCGTTGGGGTTATCAGGAGATAACCCCATTATAAGTTAAGGAGCATCTGTACTGGTCCATTGCATTGATTACATCATGGCATTTTTTACCTAGTGAACAGGAAGCAGCGAGTAGTGTGGATGCCATAGTAAGATGTGTGCATAACGGAAGGTGGTAAAAGTTGTTGCTCTTCACAAGTCCTATCACTAAGAATGGGGTGCAGAATAAGATAGACCTTTGGATTCTATGGGCTGCACATACTACATTTAAAATATTTCTCCAAGTCATTTTATCAGTTAATTTTGAAGGCTGGCAGTTTCGAGTAGGGCTAAGAGCAAGAAAGTGTTCAGCAGCAAGTCCAGCTTTCAGTGAAAATCGCCTTACTGCTCAGGCAATACAATCTAGCTGCTTTGATGTTGGATAAAGATGCTGTGTAGATTCTTCAGTAAGTTTGAGAAGAGAATCACAGCACAGAACTTTAGATTTTGGAGCAAGACTAAGCTTTCTGCAGCGAAGTACTAATTGCTGTTTGAAAAGCCTCTGTTTGGTTAATTAAAAGTAGGTTTTAGTTGATACATGCTCCCTTTGTTGTCCCTTGGTCAGGGAGTTCTGGGCACATTCTACATGTCTTCTCAGAGATTCACAGTAGAATGGAGTCTGTTACTCTAAGCAATGACCAGAGGAATCACACTTTCTTATATTGTGTTTTTTTTTTTTCATTCTTTGTGTCACTGTTCTAAATCCTCTACATGGTTTCCCTGGGATTATTTCCCAAAATAAACTCCTTTTTATAGAATTTTCAAGCTCAATGAGGAGTGTATCCATACATGTGACCCTAGTATCTTCTTCTTTGCTGCTGACCTGTGTTGCTTAACTGTGATTCAGAATTATTGTACTTTTATTTTCTTATAGACTTGTAAAGAAAAGCCATAAGTCATTAGCCAGGGTATAATGTTTAGTGAAATTTTGTTTTTATTTCTTAAGACCTTTATGTAACATAATTAGCATGAATATATTTCTAAGTCTGTCTGGACTGCTATAACAAAATAACATAAACTGGGTGGCTTATAAACAATAGAAATTTATTTTTCACAGTCCTGGGGGCTGAGAAATCCAAGATTAAGGCACCTGCAGATTCCATGTATGATGAGGGCTTGCTTTCTCATACTTGTTCTCCTTTTTATTTTAATCTCATATGGCAGAAAGGGTGCACAAGCTCTCTAGGGTCTCCTTTTTAAGGGTACTAATCCCATTCATGAGGTCTCTACCCTTGTGACCTAATCACCTCCCATAGGCCCCGTCTACTAATACCATCCTACTGGGGATTAGGATTCCAAAATATGAATGAATTCTGGGGAGGGACACATATTCAGAGCATAGCAGTATAGGGCTATATTTTCCTTGTTTGTTCTTCTCATCTCTTAAAAAAAATGTCTTTTACTTGAACTAAATCTAAGCATTTTACGTTTGCAAGTTCATGCACAAGGAATTTTGTGTGATAGAGATTTATGATATAAATGCAAAGTAAGGATTTGTTTGGTCCTAACAACTTTGCCACTCACATTTTCTGATGGTCAAAATTGGATCATGTGGGAGCTCAGAAAATGGATCTGAAAACTCAGAATCAAAATAATTAGATATACAACTTAGTTGAAAATTTGAAATTAGATGTCTCTCTGTGAAATCTATGTATTTTAATGAAAAATATTATATAGGTAGAAGGATAAGGTCAGAACCATTGTTTTACTACAAGAGTTGATATGAAATAAGTATTTGAAGATTATCAGGGCGTTTCAAGAAGAAAGAAATACCATCTGTCAACATAGAATTGAAAATCTATTGATTGCATTGCTCATAGTTATAAATATATCATTTTAAGGAAAACAGTTGTAATTTTTTTAATGTGGAAATTCTGAACAGTTACATGAACATCGATGAATTGGATTTTGTATTTTTATTATTTGAAGACTCTTATTGACATAGTTCAGAAATGTATTATTTAAGTAGGAAGATCACCAAATGGTAGATATTTCACAATATGTTTTTGTTCCTCAGATTAACCAACTTCAGCATAGCCTGAAGAGACTTTTTTAATCATGAAATGATAATCAAATTAATTGATCTAGTATATGAGTCTGTATTATGTATATGCCTTAAGTATGAGAGTGTGTGCGTGTGTGTGTGTGTGTGTGTGTGTGTGTGTGTGTAAGTCCAGAAAGTATGAGTTATTTGTTATATCCACCCCTATTATTTTAAAAAGGTAGCATGAAATAAATATAGTAGCAATCTACTTGTGGTCCTATTGAACACAATTTATCCTTTTCACTTTTGGTTAGCACATTAAAGATGCCAATTAAGACAATTAATTTACTTGAGTTTTCAAATCTCTAATCTAATGAAACACTCATTAAAATGACTTTAAAGGAGGTTTCAGACTTAAGTTTAATAACTTACAAATATAGAAAATACTGCCTATCTGCTTCTATGCTAAGGAATATGCCGTCAGTGGTAATTAATAATCTATACAACTGCTGGTTGTAAACATGATACATTTATTCTAAATTACGCTCATCACAGCCATTTTCTGAAAAGCTGCAAGATGCTTCAAACAAAATCAGTAAGGAATAACAATCTTTCTGTGATCTGAAAAAGTTAACTTATACTACACAAGGAAAGTGCCTATAAAATGTATTTCCAGAACCGAAAAATAAGAAAACAGTTATTAAGAATGATTCAATCAATTCTTTTTTTAAGGAATTGTTAATCTTTTATTTTGACTTCCTTTTAATGCCAAGGTCTTAACAAAAAAACTAAAAATAACATTTATTTTCCTGGCAGTTTTATCCTTTTCCATCAGCAAACATTGATTTCTTCCTTTTTCTGCTTCTTGTGGTACATGAGAAAACATTATCTTCTACAACCTGGCCCCTTCTTGTTTACTTACTCGCCTTTGGCAGAAATCATTAAATGATGCTGGATAAGCTTGAGCAGAACATGATCCTTGGTTAATTAGTGCCTTCACTGGTGGATTTCATAGAAATTCTGTATTTTTAAAAATTAACTTTTGTGCATCTGGGTCTGCAATATGGTATCAAATTGACGTGAATTTTTTGTGTTGATACGATACATAATCAGAACAACTCTCCATTTTGAATAACTCTTTGTGATGTCTTCAGGAAGATGTACTGTAGTCAGTCAAACTTACAGGTCATTTTGAAAAGAATTTTCTGAAATAGCACAAAAGCATGATGTCTGCTACTGCACAGAATGAATGTAAACATATTTCATGAGATATGTAAATTTTATATCTGCTAACATCCGTGGAGTCTAAATGGTTCTCAAATTCCAAAATTGGGCAAGTGCCTGAATTGTGTGATAGTGCCTTGTATTACTTCCCTTGGGCTTCCATAAGAAAGTATCACAAAGAAAGTGCTTAAAACAGGAATGTATTCCCTCTCCGTTTGGAGGCTAGAATTCTGAAATTACGGTGTCAGGAGGGCCATCATCCCTCTGAGATTCTGGGTAGAATCCTTCCTTGCCTCTTCCCAGCTTCTGGGGGTAGCTGGCAATCCTAGGTGTCCCATGGCTTTCAGCTTCATCACTCCAATCTCTGCCTCTGTTATCACATGCTTGTCTTCACATGGGGTTTTCCTCTTCTTGTAACGACACTGGTGGATTGGATTAAGGGCTCACTCTATTCCAGTATCCTCATCTCAACTAGTTATACCTGCAACACCTTATTTCCGAGTAACATCACGTTGTGAGGTACTAGGAATTAGGACTTCAGTGTATGCTTTAGGGGCACATAATCAACCTGTAACATATATTATTTATTCATTGAAATTAGATAATCCATACTTTTACTGAACAAATTCTAAGGCTACCTTTAAAGGGTCTATTGTACAGCATTGTGACTATAGTTAATAATAATATGTTGTATACTTGAAAATTGCTAAGGAGGTAGATCTTATATGAAAACTATGTGAAGCTATGGATATAGTAATTAACTTGATTTAACCACTTTACAATGTATACATATATCAAAACATCACATTGTACACCATAAATATATAATTCATATTTTTCAACTATTTGTTGATAAAATATTAATAAGTGGAACATGATAAATATGACTGGTATGCATCATTAATATTGAAGGAAGCGACAGTGCTTTTCCTACTGACTATATTTGTGGTCCCTTCTACTTGTTCCCACCCCTTCCTCTTTGCTAACTAAGTAAACACCTTATTTGTCACCTCTTCCCAAAAGCTTTGGTTGGTTTAAAAGGCTTGGCATATATCACAGGACGCTGTTTGGGGGAGTGAATGAGATTATAGGCTTTGGAGTCAAACAGCATGGTTTTAAATTCTACTGTCTCCACTTTCTAGCCCTGTGAATTTAGTTAATTTATTTAACCTCTCTTTTACTTGTTTTCCTCTTGTGTAACATAAGAATAGTTACAGTAAGTATATAGTACAGTTATTTAATGATCAAATAAAGTCACACAAGGAAAGACTTAAAACTCTGGATAATAATGATTATCGTAGAATTATAAAAGAGAATAATCAAATTATTTTCAAATTTTCTGTCTTTCAGTGAACTACAAATTCTTAGAGAACAGGGACTTCATGTTGCATTCTCATTTTCTATCATAGTAAAGTATATATATATATACATATATATATGTATATATATATATATATATATAATGATATGCCTGAGATAGTCCTGGTTTGTGGCTGTTGTTCCACTATACTTTTCAATAGCATTCTCTCTCTATTTCAAAAAGTGTCCTGCTCTGGAGGGTAAAATATATGGGATCTATTGCAGCACCATTCACAATAGCCAAGATACAGAATCAACCGAAATGTCCTCCGGTGGATGAATGGATAATGGACATGTAGTGTATAAACACACAATGGAATGTTATTCCACCACACAAAAAAGAATGAAGTCACATCATTTGCTACACCATGGATGGAACTGGAGGGCATTATGCTAAGTGAAATAAAACAGGCACAGAAAGACAGATGTTACATGTTCTCACTAACATGTAAGAGCTACAAATAAACTAATCTCATGGAAGCAGTGAATAGAATGGAGGTTACCAGAGGGTGGGAAGGGGAATAGGGAAGGTGGGATAAAGAGGGTTTGGTTAGTGTGTAAAACATACAGTTTGATAGAAGGAATAAGATCTAATGTTTGGTAGCACAATAGGGTGACTATTGTTCACAATAAATTTTTCTACATTTCAAAACAATTCAAACCGTAGATTGGGAATGTTCCTAACTTAAATAAATGATAAATGAGGTGATTGTTACTTCCAATTACTCAGCTTTGATTATTACATACTGTATGCTTGTATCAAAACATCACATGTACTCCACAAATACGTAAAAGTATTAGGTATCCATAAAAATTAAAAAGAATTAAAAGTTATATATATATCACACACACAATGCAAACACACACACACACACAGACACACAATATAGGACCCTAAACATAAAAGCTTCACACGTAGTAGGTCTCAAATATTTATTTAATGAGTGAATATGACAGGCATTATTACTTTTCAGTCAAATGGCATGGTTTTAAAATCTAATGTCTCCACTTTCTAGTCCTGTGAATTTGGTTAATTTAGTATTTTAATTAATTATGCTGCTTTTGGAAAATACTGAATTGTATTTGCCTGTGCTTCTGCTATTTACCTCTAAGAATTAAGCATTTAATAAGGAAATCTTCCGATTTACTTATGTCCGTGAGGTACTGTTGGAAGCCATATACCTCAATGCCTGTAGGAATGTATTAAATGCTCCCTTGATGGCTTAGAAGACTTAATTTGTCTTCTTATTTTACTACCCAGCTTGGACTTAAAGACACTTGGGAAATGGGACTCAATAATATGAAGCTATTAAAGCCCTTCAGTCAGAGAAAATTCTAGCTTTAAACCCTCTACATTACTTTTGACAACAGCACACAGTTTAAAGTACAGATGTAATGGTGAAACATTGGGATCTCAAGTCATTGGAACATATTCACAAAGTAATAAATTTTTAGACAATATCTCTAAATTTACTGCTTATGATTTATTGCTTACACCAAACTAAAAAGTTATAATCCTGTGTCTTAATAATACAGAGATGATGAAAGCTTTTTTTGTTAGAAAAGGAAAAAAAATCAATTTAGTAGAAAATAAAACAGAGTTACAAAAAGTGTATGCTAAAACATTCAACTTCATACTGACAACTAGCCATAGTTAATTTTGCTAGAAGGCTTTGAGGGAACATTGTCTCTGGCACAAAACAGAAAGCCCAAGGGTAAATTTAATTCCTTTAGAGGCAGAGAGAATTTGGATGCATGAAATAGGATGCATGGGTGATCCGTAAGTCATACATTCTATGAAGTATAAACTTCTCTAATATATCTTTGGATCCCCTCTCTGGAGAGCAACATATTGACTTGGCCAATATGTTAGTTAATAGAGTTGGTAAATGTTCCAATATTGTGATGGCACTCTGTAACATTATGTTTAGCAGTCTGAACATTGCTAAGCATTCTAGTCCACCTCTGTAGAGATTTGGTATGTTCATGGATTAAACTAAAAACTATATTTAATATACTATTAGACATACCGATAAGCTAAGTCAGTAGCTGCCTAGGTACAGGCAGACAGTCAAAGATATATCATCTGGGTAATGCTGGCTTGCTTCTTAGGCAGTTTCTTACCACAGGAGAGCATTAACCTTGGTAAAATAAGGCCACTCCAGGTTCTAATATTCATTTTACAAGTTCATAAATATGGTTTTGTTAGTATAATGGAGTAGATTAGAGATGGGTTTGCATTTTCCAGACTCATAAAGGCTGACACATGTACAAATGATCCAAAAATCAGGTTGGGGACATTTCTCATTATGTTTGAGAAATAATGAGAATGCATGCAAGTCAACCAAGAAACCAAATAGTATCAGGTTGACAAGCAAAAACTTTCGGCTGGGGTACCTGAAGGCCATCTTACCTACTATGGAGTAGGAAACCATGGGCTTGAGTCCAATGGCAAAGAGTTTCTCTCTCACACAGTTCTCAAATAGGTACTACTTGCCAAGCTGTCCACCCACAAGTTTGTTTTTCCATTCTCAGGGCTGACCAATTACTGTTTTGATTGACACATTCTTTCTTTAGCCATATTAATATTAATACATTCAGTCACATTACACTCAAGTCCCAGAGATGTGTTAACAATTTGGCTTCATTAAGCTGACTTTGCATGTCTCTATTCCAAATTCTACTTAATTAATCATAACTGCCCTCTCTGAGGATAGTCTCTTTTAAGTTATTTGGGATGGGTGCTTCTTCTTATATTTTATTAGAAAAACAAAATTTTGATGAAACTTTTATTTTACCTTATTTGTTCCTTTGCATTTCATGAATATGCAGACTAAGGCTAGAAAAATTAAGTGACAAGACCAAGGCCACCTAGATTGTTGGGGACAGAGGCTACCAAAGTGCTGACTTCAAGCTGCTTCCACTCTACTGCTCTATGTCTTCACACGTTTATACACTTTGTCCCCTTTTTAGGATTTGCATACTTTCCAGCTTTGTAGATTGAAATGATCTTACTTGACTTGTTCAGATTTTATTATCGTCACCCATCAAAAGCACAGCCAATGTAACTAACTCCAGGACTTTTCCACTGTCTTGCTGTTTATTTATTAAAACGACTATAGAAAGGAAAGCTGGTGGTTAATTTTTGTTATTATTTTTTAAAAATAGCACTACAGGATTATCATCATTTCTTAAAAGACAAAGCAAAAACAAAAGTATAGTCTCCTGAAAATGGGGTTTGAGAATTTGACAATGACAAGCACCGAGCATCAAAAAGATTTAAATTTATGGCAGAATGCATAATTGTTTCTCTCTTTGGAATTTTATTTACAGTTTACCTGGTTGCTTTTGTAACTTGCATCAAATGTAACAAAATGGTATTCATGTAATGTTTCTTCCTAACTGCACTGTAGATGCATGAAGTATACATATGTATAAGGTTATGTTCTAGGTGACATGCAAAACACACACAAAGTGTACCGTATCACCAAATATTAAAATTTTAAATTTTATTGCATTAAATAGCAAAAAATAGAGTTGAGTGAAGCATCTTCTCAGAAGAGCATACCAGTATTCATGCTATCCCTTTCCAAATCTCATTTTAATTTACTTTTCTTGAAGGTAGAGGACTGATTGAAATTCCATTCATTCTTTGTGAACTTTTGCCCTCATCTACCAACTTATTGCCCTTTCCCTCAATATGTTTTCCTCTCTTTTGCTTTCTATTTCTTTCCCTAACCCTCACTTCTCCTTCCTTTCTCTGTTACCACAATCTATACATTTAAAATAAGCATTCAATATTTGCCCAAAATTAATAGCCATAAGCATAATAATGTAACAAAGACCTTTGATATGTGATGACTTCATCACTAAAGAGATTTTTGGAGTGTACATTTGAACAATAGACATTTTCACTGCCTTTCCATTTAAAAAATGTATGTTATTTATTTATTTATTAAAGACAGGATCTTTTCTCTGTCGCTCAGGCTGGAGTGCGGTGGCATGATCATAGCTCATTGCAGCCTCAACTCCTGGGCTCAAGCAATCCTCCTAACCTTAGCCTCCTGAGTAGCTGGGATTACAGGCACAAGCCACCACACCCAGCTAGTCCATTCTTAATATTCACATGTATTTTACATTTTTAAAAAGATGACAGGTTGTATAGAACTGATTACCTGTTTTTTGTTTTTTGTTTTTTGTTTTTTTTTTTGAGACACATTCTTGCTCTGTCACCCAGGCTGGAGTGCAGTGGCCCTATCTCGGCTCACTGAAGCTCCACCTCCCTGGTTCACTCCATTCTCCTGCCTCAGCCTCCCGAATAGCTGGGACTACCGGCGCCTGCCGCCACACCCGGCTAATTTGTGTGTGTGTGTGTGTGTGTGTTTATTTTTAATAGAGACGGGGTTTCACCGTGTTAGCCAGGATGGTCTCAATCTCCTGACCTCGTGAACTGTCTGCCTCAGCCTCCCAAAGTGCTGGGATTACAGGCGTGAGCCACCACACCCTACCCTGTTTGAATTTTTGTAAACATCTGTCCATGAACATTTAAGTGGGAATTTCTAGCTCTTCAGGTCAACTATTTATTTAGTATTATTCCATGGAAAGTTGCATGAACCTCAAGTGACTGCATTAATGTCAAATATATCAGTATCTATTAGTATATAATAACACCAGCCCATGAAAACAACAACAACAACAAAAAGAATGAATGGCCACATTTAGAATGCTTATGCATATATTCGTTTTTCAGAAAAATGATAATAAAGAGTCTAGCATTTTCCTGACTTTTCTATACAAACATCATTTCAAGGTATCCAAATAATTGTTGAAGAAAGTGTCTTTTTTTTTTTTTTTTTCCCGAGACGGAGCTCTGCAGCCCAGGCTGGAGTTCAGTGGTGCGATCTTGGCTCTGCAACCTCCGCCTCCCGGGTTCAAGCGATTCTTGTGCCTCAGCCTCCCGAGTAGCTGGGACAACAGGCGCGCCGCCACACCCGACTAATTTTTGTATTTTTAGTAGAGATGGAGTTTCACCATGTTGGCCAGGTTGGTCTCGAGCTTCCGACCTCAGGTGATCGGCTCACCTCGGTCTCCCAAAGTGCTGGGATTACAGGCATGAGTCACTGTGCCTAGCCGAAAGTGTCTTCTTTACAGATGAATTTCAATTAATACATACTGAAGAAATTACAGAATTCAAAAATCAGCATTTTACAACACCTAAAAAATAATGGATTTATGCCGTGATCATCAATGACTGCTAAAATCATTAGTTGAAATATGTTGAGGAAATTAAAAATGGATGGATCAGTATGACAATACCTAGATTCTCTGATAAGTCCTAACCTAAGAATGGTGCAACCAGACAGTATATACCTCTACGTGCCTCTTGATAAGCACTAAGCACTAACAGTGCTATCCATGATTTATTCATGCTCTGTTATCAAATACATTTTAAAAATGGAAATAAACACAATTAAGCCTCTAGAATGAATTACAAATTCTGGAAAATACCTGGATAGAGAAATGTATTAATTGGCATCAAAATATAATCACTAAAATACATAATGTATGAAAATCTATAAGGCAAATCACCTAATAGCTGACATGGGATGGGGGGAGAGGGGTGAATTTTATAGATTAATTAAGATACTTAATGGTCATGTCATCCTTATGCAATGGATAGACCTTGTCCAGATTCTAATTGAAAAAAAAATACTTAAAAAGATATTTTGAGACAATAGAGGAACACAACTTGGTTATATTAAACTATATTGGTTATTTCATATTACATTAAATTATTATTTCATAGCATATTTAATTATATTTTATTTTATATTATATTAATTGAACACAGCTTGTTAATTTTATATTATATTAATTATATATTTTATTATATATTATATACCATATATAATATATTAATTATATATTTTATTATATCATATATACCTTATATATTATATTATTTTGTTTATATTACAAGGTTTAAAAATGGATTATGGTGGTTTTAAAAAATGTGTTTGTTAGAGATTCATACTGAAGTATTTACAGAGAATATGATATGTCTTGAATTTAAGACCAATAAAATAAAAATAAATTATTTAAAGGTGAGAGGGAGGATAGGGGAACTATAAATGGCAAATTATCATTTGTTGAAGCTGTGTGATAAGTATATATGGCCTTACTAAACCATTTTTTTACTTTTGAGTCGGTTTACAATTTTTTAGTATAATATGATGAACATGAAAAAGTAGCATTGGATTGGCTGTAGCATGCAGATGAACAGGTGATAGAGCATCCAGAATCCTGTCCCATAGAGCTCTCCACAAATCTCCACAGTTGGAGATTTAGTCTGGAAAACATTTTAAAACATTGCAAGCTAAATATCTAGAAAATCATATTTTTAATCATAGTAAAACACCTATAAAAAGTTTAACCTTGAATGTAGTAACTTCCTGCTACAGCCACTATAACGTGGGTTATACAATATTTAATGAATTGTACACAAGAATTAACTTGCTTTTTTGTTTGAGTAATGAGATAGATCGATGTCTGACAATCTCTCTTTTTTTTTTTTTTTTTTTTTTTTTTTTTTGAGATGGAGTTTCACTTTTGTTGCCCAGGCTGGAGTGCAATGGTGCGATCTCGGCGCACCGCAACCTCTGCCTCCCGGGTGCAAGTGATTCTCCTGCCTCAGCGTCCCGAGTAGCTGGGATTACAGGCATGTACCACCACGCCCAGATAATTTTGTATTTTTAATAGAGACGGGGTTTCTCCATGTTGGTCAGGCTAGTCTTGAATTCTCTACCTCAGGTGATCTGCCCACCTCGGCCTCCCAGAAGTGCTCAGATGGGATTATAGGCGTGAGCCATGTGCCTGGCCTGACAATATCTATTAAAAAAAAAAAATCAAAAACTAGGAGGCTGAGGCAGGATCTCCTGAGTCCAGGAATTCGAGGTGATAGAGAGCTATGATTGTGCCACTGCACTCCAGACTGGAGCCTGGAAAATAAAGTGAGATCCCATCTCTAGTCCTTTTAATTGTGAGCAGTTAAATACCAGGACCAGTTGTCTAATAAAGCCATATTTAGGGGATGGCGGGGGCAACATATCATTTGAATTTTTTAAAAAAGAAAAAGTGTGTGTGTAGGGGAATGGGTAGGTGTGTGGGTGTGTTTGTCTGTTTGGAAGAGATCTAGAGTTAAACATAAAAAAGGAATGAAAATACTAGAGGAAAACATGATTTTTTTTTAAAAAAAATCACAGGATAGGGAAGCCTTTTTAAGGATGACGGGAAACTCTGAAGCCATAAATAACTAGTATGTTTGAATACATTAAGTAGTAATAATAATGCAAAATATGTCTAGGGAAAATCCTGAATTACATTAAAGGCAAATGTCAAACTGGAAAAGAATATATAAAATATTTACAGCTTATATCCAAGAAAAAGAGATAATGTTTTCAACAAAAGAAAAGCACAGCATATTATAAGAAAAAGTACAGTGCAAGAGAAACATGGTCTAAGAATGTGAATAGGCAGAAATACACACACTCAAGTGTCTCTTAGACCAAAACTAGCTTAATCTAACACTTATTAATAAGCCTGATAAAAATGGAAAATAGAGACTTAAAAATGTTACATTGTAGAGAAAAAAGTAATTGATAATATACTCTATCAGTATGCATACCCTCAAAATTTGCTGATGGAAGCACACATTTTTAATCAATTTGGAAATATCGATTAAGACTAATGCACCTAGATTTTGACCACAATTTCATTTCAGTGTATTCATACTTGCATATGTATATATGTGTATACTGTCATTTATACTATGTACATGTATAACAAGGGTTTTCATTGCAACATTATATACTAGCAACCTAATTGTCAAACTTTAGGGAATTAGATACATAAATCAATCAAAAAGCAGAATACTATGCAGTTTTTAAAAATAATAAAGCCTTCCTATATATTCTGATGTCAAACTTTCCCCAAGATATATTATTAAATTAGAAGGGAAAATGACAAGGCAAGTGGAAACACAGTGCTGGCATGTGTATGAAAAATTCATGGAATAATCCTGAAAGAACATACAAAAAGCTAATAATAATGTAGGGGACAGGGGATGAGGAGGAAAGATACTTACTTTTTATTATATACATTTCTTGTTTCTTTTGAATTGTGTGTCATATGCGTATATTATCTATTCCATACCTTAAATTTAAAAATTGAATAGTACTCAGTTTTTAAGTACTGAGAGGTTGGTGAGGACTAGAAAAAGAAAAATAATCTCATTCTAATCTGACATCCTTCACTAAGCCCTGATACTTAACACAGGTCTTTAGATGACTGGACCATAATTTTGGACCCGGTTTGAGGTCTCTGCCTGGGGATCCCGGGTGCCTGAGTCTGTGGCTTGGCTCCTGACAGTTTATGGTGAAAGCTGGTCTCGCTGAAAACACAGAGGACCTCTAGGGGGCAGTGTTTCCCAGAGCTGTAGCCAGCTTCACAGTCTGAGTTCTGGCTTCATGACCCTGATCTGATCACTATACATTGTATGTATCAGAATCTCGTTGTGGACCCCATGACTATGTAAAATTATTATTTGTCAATTTAAAAATAAAATTGAAAAAAATTTAAAATATTCTCCAAGAGTAACCTTTTTACTACTCTTACTTTATGTATTGAATTTGATCCCTGTTATTGCAGTAACTTTTCTGATTTTTTTGTGTGTTCATTCGTTTATTTTTATTTAATTAATTTATTTATTTATCTTGACTCTTCATCATTCAACTTGAATTGTGTATCCATTCTTGCAGCCATGGAAATTTTAAACCTCAGAGGTTTTTCTTTCTCTTTTCCATCCTTTACTCCCCTCTATAGCTACTTGGGCTTTCCCTCCCTAACTCTTTTTCCCCTCTGCTGGCTGATGCCTGGAATCCCTTGCCTGTTTTTTGCTTCCTCTTCATCTCTGGGCTCACTTTGTCATAGAGCAGAATGATGGTAAAGAAATTCTTACTTAGGGTGAGGTTCCTAGCCATCAGCATTTCCAGGAAACTGGCGGGGTTGGGCAATTGTCAGTAAGTACTCTCAAGTTTCAGTCCTGTTACCAAGACATTCAAGAGAAATGCATGAACAATTTAGCCTTCCTGAGATTTTAATTCATCTCAGTCCAACTCCCACTGTATTTCTTAGCCCTATCATTTTGGTTGGAGAAACATTTCATAGTTTTGGTAGATTAGGTCCAAGTGACCTATATGCTTTTCCCCAACTGATGCTTTCAATTTCTCATAGTTAATATTAACCCTGTTTTACTTTCCATCTTCAATTAAATAAATTTCTTCTCTGAAGTCCTTCTCTGGTCAATATTGTCCAATCAAATGCATAAGAATTAGACAATGAATATATGTATTTTATATTTGTTGCTTAATTTAATATTTATAATTGTTCACTCAACACATATTTAGGGAATATCTGCTAGAGCATTGCTAGTTAAATCAAGGTGATAAAAATGGTCTAAATGTGCAATTAATTATTTAAGCCTGCCTCCCTTGAAAAATAGAAGGATGTCTTGTTCACTGTTTATCCACATTGCATATATGTTTTTAATTGTTTATCTTCTATAAGCAAGTCTTAGGTCAGGTTTCCTGGAAACAGTTTCTGAGATGAGGATTAACATGAAAGAGATTTGTTAAGGGAAGTGCTCACAGGAGATTGGCAGGGTCTGAAGAAAGCAGGATGGAGCAGGGAAGGAAGCAAAACAAGGGTGTGAGCTCAGGCAAAGGCACTGAGAGAATGGCTTCAGCCTGATCCTTCATAAGAGCTTTATGGCTCAGAGCTTCGCTGTCCCTTGTAGATTTGAGTCCACTGCCCTGTCCGCCGTGGTCAGGCCCTGTTCCTAGAAAAGAGAATTCCCAGGCTGGTAGTGGTGTGGTATGGTATTTTAGTCTTGGATTTCTGACTTTGTACTCCACACAGTAACCTAGGACTGCTAAATATATATTTGTAAGAGAAATGAATGGAAAATAAACTAGTAGGGAATATCAAGGAGCTTAGACTCTAGTCAGAAGAAGATATTGAGGAGCGTGATGAAAGCTGAAAAAATAAATTGCTGTTGTAATTCAGAGGAAGAACAAAAGATGTGTACTTCAGACCAAGTTGACCAAACTCATTGACCACTCCAAATAACACATTTCTGGGGCACAGAATAGTCATCACGTATTAATTGGCAGAGACATTGGCAATTACAGAATTACAATTTGTTTCTTTGCTAGTGTCTTTTTTAATTGGAATTTTTTTTATCAGAGATAACTTCCATTGGAGACAAAATGGAATTATAGTATGACCCATTATCTCTTTTTACTTAGAATAAATAAAAATGACCCATTTTTATAAAGGTGGTTTACTCAATTAAACAAAACACCTCCATCAACATTTGGTGGTTTATCTGACCACCTTAATATATTAATCTATTATTGCCTGATACACATTTTTCTGGATTTTAGATTTAAGAATAAGGTATTTGCACAAGTATTTATTTCCTTTCTGATAAGTAATCTGGAGAGATACCAGGGATTACGGCTAAATAGTAGCATGTTTTTTAATCAATTTATCATTTCCAAGACTTAGTTTCCTCATTCATCTAAGGAGGTTCCCTTTCACCTCATAGACTGGATTAGAACTTATAATTTGGACTCTGGTAGTGTTATGCATTTTTAAACCAATGCCTGATTATGTTTAATTAAGAGATGAATAGCTGGAAGATACTTCTGACAGACTGAACTGGCACTCTCAAATAAAATCATATAGGTGACAAACTACTACCACTGCATGTCTACACTGCCTTGACAGAGGTGTTTATCACTGGCTTCACCAGTAGTTTCTGCTTGGCCACTTCATCCAGGAAAGTCACAGTTGAAAAGACTGTCTAGTCAAACCCTTGAATTTTTCGCTTGAGACAATGGGAATGTAGAGATGGCAAGTGATGTTTCAGAGGACACAAAGTTAATGCAGGGAAGAACAGGAACTGTGTGTCAACTCTTAGACCTTGGCTCATTACATTACGCAGGCTGCTCTCATGCAGAAGTGAAGTATTTCTCTCCTGTAAGATAAGATGATCGGGCGCTTCTCTGCTTCAGTTCAATGTACTAAACTCTAAAAAAACTAAGCAAAACACTTCATGTTTAAAAATGAAACTGGAAATATTTGTCTAAAGCAAAAAATATTAACATGAGTGCTATAGTTAGCAATATTATTAAATGTTTCCCCCTTTTTTCATGGAATTATAGTATTACATAAAGCTTTTTAGGTATATTTGACAGTTATCTAGATTTAGTTTAAATCTAGGATAGTAACTAAAATATTTAAACTGGACTTTGCCTTAGGGCCTCCACATGAGAGGCATAAATATTTTAATTGTGTAATTGTTATTTTAATTATTTAAAGAAATATAAATATTTTTTAAATGTTTATATTACATTGGCCTTCTTTCAGCACATATACTCTTTCAACTGAGCTTAACCTGTAACTAGCAATAGCATAGTGTGAATAATATCCATCTGGGAACCACATCGTACATTAGAAAATCTATATAATGGTATGCCAAAGTTGTTAGGTATGGCTCTGTGGGACTCTACCCTGTTCTAAGCTAACAAAAGAGGAATTCACAGTATATCATGTTTACATGACATTGCTTGTTCGCTAACGTCTGTCTGGAATAAGGTTCCACTATTCTTGATTTGTTCCTTCTTACTCATCATTCAAACCTAAGCTGAGGTGATTTCTTAATATGGCACCAAAAGCACAAGCAATAATCACAACAAAAGTAGATAAATTGTACTAAATCAAAATTAGAAACGCTTGTGCTGCAAATGGGACCATTAAGAAAGTGAAGCAACACCTCACAGAATGGGAGAAGGTATTTGTAAATCATATATCTGATCAGGAACTTGTATAGAGAGTTTATAAAGAACTCTTACAACTCAATAGTAGAAAAATAATGCAATTTTAAAATGGGCAAAGGATCTGAATAGAGATTTCCCCAAAGAAGATATGCAAGTGTTCAATAAGTGCGTAAAATACATGCTCAACATCTTTAGTCATTAGGGAAATGCAAATTAAACCTACAAGGAGACACCACTTTATATTCACTAAAATGCCTATGAACAAAAATAAGGTCAATAACAAGTGCTGGGGAATTGGTATCCTTATACATTGCCAGTAGTAATAAAAAATGATGCAGCCACCTTGAAGAACTATTTGAGAATTCCTCAAAAAGCTAAACATAGTTACAATATGACCCAGCAGTTTTACTCCTTAGCGTACACTTGAGAAATAAAAACATACCTTCGCACAAAAACTTGTACACATAAATGTTCATACAACAGTGCTCATAGTACCAAAAAGTGGAAACAACCCAAATATCCGTCAGTTGATGAATGGATAAATAAAATGTGGCCTATCTATGCAATGAAATGTTATCAGCAATAAAAATAAATTAACTAATAATACATGCGCAAAAAGGAAGAACCTTGGAAACATTATCCTAATAAAGAAAGTAGTCATAAAAAAAAACATCGTGCATACTTCTGTTTATATGGAATGTCCAGAATAGGTGAATCCATACAGACATAAAGTAAATAGTGGTCGTTTAGGGCTGGTGGGGTTGGGGAAAGAGTCAATGGCAAGAGATGATGAGTGATAACTAATGGCTACAGGGTTTCTTTTAGAGGGAACCAAAATGTTCTAAAATCTGATTTTGGTGATGGTTGCGCAACCACGTGAATATATTAAACACTGAATTGTAAAACTCTAAATGGGTAGGTTGGATGGTATGAATGAAATTTCAGTAGTGATTGCAGTGAAGCCGTTAAAAAAATAAAAGCCCTACTCTTAGTGTAGCCTCTAGAATAATTTATCTGAAACTCAATTTGAGCTCATTTTCCTTTCTTTTGGTTGCTTGTGCTTATATTTATGTTGACATAAAAGTTCCTCATATGTCAATCTTTATAGCTAAACTCAAAGTTCCTCATGATCGGAGACAAATTCTTCTTTATTATTATTGTTGTTTTTCTAAACTTTTGCCAGGGTCTGGCATAGGTCTTCATGCATAGGGAGCATACAACTGAACTTCACTATATTATCCTTTACATTCAAACAGGCTTTTGAAATTATTTTTAAAAATGTTAATATTCAAAGTTTTTATGGACAGGAAAAATCTCTCTCTAAATGTTTGAAAATAAATATAAATTTTAATAAGGCAAAGGTTTCACCTTGAAAGTGTGAATGATAACAATAAATTGTAAGAGAAGACAATCAATATTTACATACTGAAAGTGACAAAATGTACCAGGCCATTAATATGATTTTATGAAGGAAAAATCAGATCAGCTTCCTTTTACTTTCTTCTTGTTATAAGGATCTTATAATTCAAAAAATCCCTTATGACTATTTTATCTTTCGTTAAAGCACCATTAAGCTTTTCAAACATTGTGAGTTTGCTCTGACTTTTCCTTGCCTCAGTATACTTGAGCAAAAGAGCTGGACTGAACCACTAAAATATTGTTATTCAAATATTATCATATGGTTTTACTGAAAGATTCCACTGTCATCCTGGCTTCATTAATAATATCAGAATATAATTTGACACGAATTTTGAAGATGGCTTTAAGTAACAATTATGAGTTGATTTTATGTTCAAAATTATGCTTGAGAAAAATAGAAAGTCCCTTACCTCAGTGATTTGCAAGATTTTTTAAACTGAACTCTTTGTTCCACCAAAATCTTATTCAAAATCCAGTATATAAGTCAGAAGGACAGAGTTGTTCTGCTTATCAGGGACTAAAAAGGGGGTCAAGAGATCCAACCCGTGGCCAGCGTCATCCCCTGGGATACCTCCAAAGATTGCTTCAGGCTCCTTAGAGTAAAAAATCACTGCCTTAGTTAAGTGGAAAGTAGGCCTATGCATTTCCCTGCATCTAAGGAGTTGTATTTTTTTATAGTAACCAATTACCTTCAGCTAAGCTAATTTAATGGCATTTCGCTAACTGATTAGCAAACACCTACCTCATATGTATATTGTTCTATAGACTTTTTAAAAATGGAAAGGTGTTAATAGGTTAACCCCGTGAAAACACACTGGTGTGATGAAAATAGCTATGGAATGAGGTGCATGAAATTTGTTACCAATAATATTTAAAGTGTCAATTTTTGCAAATGGTTTCCTTGGGAAAAAACTTGAAGATATTTCTATAGTCAAATTATCTGTATTCCCTTTTCTTCTTCATTAAAAGCCCAACTGGAGTACTAGGGAAAAAGTGGAGTACAGCTGATATGGGGATTGCTTCTAACCCTGGATATGAGTTTAAGAGTGGGTGAAGGGAGTGAACAGGTCCATCCTAGAAGGGCAGAGGATAGGTGAGAACTTTTCCTTCCCTTCGTCTTTCAACTCCCCCTCCCATCTTCTTCTTCTCTTGACCATGATTTTAATCTCTATTTCTATCTTGTTCTCTCTCCTTTCTTCTGGTGTGACATAACTGGTATCAGAGATAGCTTGGCCATTCACCCACAATGAAACCTTCAGTAAGACCTTTAGCTTTGACTTCAGTTTCTTCATCTGTGCAATAGAGATAATCATGATGCCTCCCTCGTGGGGTTGTGTGATGGTAAGTGAGGCAGCCCATAGAAAGCACCTAGCAAAGGGCCTGGGCAGGTAGTTAGGTCTCAACGAAATTAACAATTGCTCTTTCATTAGTTGTTTCCTTTCCCTCGTCTTCCCTTAAATTTCATTTTAACACTTAATGTGTTGTATTTCTTATTTATACTTAACTAAAGAAAAAAAATGCTAAGCATTTTCATTTGACTTTGTCAAGGTTTTGGCTTGAGGATACTTTCATGAAATAATAGCATGTAAAGGAAAAGCAAAACGTTGTTTATGAATATCTAGAGTGTCAAAACTGGGGTGTACACAATAGCAAACTATCAACTTAAAAGTGATTTTCAGCATACTGTGACTTGTCAAGGGTGAAGTCCTAGATTAAAACAGTTTTTCTGGAATTTGGTCACCACAATTGAGAAAGAAAATTATTTTAGAAATCCAGAAGAAAATAAGGAATGAATATTTGATATTTGAGAAATTATTTATAAACAAAATTTTACTGATAAAATTATTTATAAGTTTTTAAAGTTTTTTAGCTATTTTCTAACATTATTGATGTTTTATGTCTAAAGGGAGAAAAGAATGGTCTCTGTAGCTTAAATGACTTATTCAAGGTCAGGAGGTGCAGAGCCAGCCACAGGAATGGGACGGGAACTCTGACTTTTATCATTCCTACTGCTGTTTGATGACTCCTTCCAGGGCAATGAGCACTCCCAGCATCTTTCAAATCAGTCTGTTTTTCCCAGGGTTCTACTTATACGCAATTCTCATTCTCTGCTGCAGAGTGAATATTTGCGAAAGAACCTGGAACCACATTTTAGATTTTTACATTTCAACTTTATTTTCATCTTTTTCAAAAAGAAAAAACACATGCAAACTCTTAGTTGGCCAACAGACTTGCTCGCACTGTACTTTTGTAGGTATTTTCTGTTCAAAATTAGTTGTGGGGAAATAGGACAGAATTGCATTAGGGATTTTCAATTAATTGTGCTTAAAATATTAAAAATAAAAAGAAGGAATTCGAAGGTGAAGCTGTTGCTAGTATTGGAGCAGCACTAATGCAAAGGCAGGTAGAGCTAAGACTTTGGGGGCAGGAAAGGTTTGGGGTGCAGATATGGAGGTCTGGAACCATTTTTAAGTTCCTCTCTCTGATAATAAAACCCTAAAACCTTGCATTTTCTACTGCAGAGCATATGCATTCAAGACTAAAGTTAGTAATCCTACACAGGAAAGAAAATGGCAAACAGACAGAAGAGGAGGAGTGACTTCCTTTTAACTTTCCCTGGAAAGCTTCTAGGGACATCTTCAATCCTGCTAAGTATAGATTTTCCCTGCAGGATTGCGGTTAGAGGAAATCACATGAGTAAACAAGCCTCTTTTGTTTTGAAAGTCAAATGAAGACATATATTTCTACGTCTTTCTATTATTTTGAGAGCATATTCACATGTGTGCTCACGTGCCCACACACACACACAAACAGTGCACGCTTACATACAGCCTATTCCAAGCATAAATTAAAATGTATTTGTAGTTTTCTTACAGTGATGATTACTCTCCTATAAAATATTTAAGAAGTTTTTGTATTTTTCCATCACTGTATTTTGTCCTAAAAACACCGTAAAAGAGCTTCCTCACATCACCTCCTCATCTCATGCCACCTTGTCATTTGAGCCACACATAAACCAAGAAGAGATGTAAAGTGGTATTACCATTCCTTTTCCCCATTAACATTAATCTATATGTTTTGAATATATTTGGGTCTTTTTATTTTATGTTCTTCTGTTAAATCATAGCAACTGAAACTACTTTCTCTCCGAGTTCTTACATGGCATATACAAATATTACCCACATGAATATTAACGCTTCTCTTCTCAGTTATGCCACTTCAAGATGACTGGCAGTCTCTAGTTTATGGAACCGCTTGATCCTGTTCTATTAGACACAATCAGGATTGCACATACACGCAGTAGAAAATTCTGGTACTCTGGAAAGTAGGTAGAAAAAAAATCACATTACCTTTTTTGGAACACAAATAACAGTGTTTAAGTGTCTGGTATTGCTTAATGGAAAAATCCATGGTACAGTTCAAACTAAATGAAATAATGATGTAAGTTAGGGTGCTCCTTCAAACAGCATCTTAAGTAGATAGTTATGCACTTCTGAGATCAACCCCACAGCAGCCGTGCAGCCTCAGAGCTTGTTATGGAATTTCATATTCCTTTAATGGAAATGGCTCCACGCTGTGCTTTCACTTTTCCAACTGTGGCAGTAATAGTTAGTAATCAAGTCATAATGTAATAATCACAACTACAGGGAAATGCTGGCTGATGTAATGGGTTGCAAGGGGAAAAAATATTGGTGTTTTTCCAGACTTTATTTCATCAGTCTCTTTTGTCATATGTTGAAAGAATCTAAGAATATAGATGAAAACAGACCCTCAAAGGTGCCTACATAGATGATGCTATATCACTTGCTTATTTCTACTGAATTTTTCTCATCTCAGTACTCACAAAGATGTCACAAACTTGAAATTTTTATGTTAAAATCTGAAAAAACATTATGCTCTGAGTAAGAGCCTAGAACTTACCAAATTCTAGAGTCTGTCATATACTTTACTGATACTTTAATGAAGCAAGGATCAACAAAGCATATTTATGTTCTATAGTTTGCAATTACTTGAATTTTTTTCAGAACCTGGTTATTTATGATGTTTCAGGAATTTTCATAAAAAATGCTACTTGCTGATTAGAATGAGTTATTACTACTGCTTCTTTGATTAATTATGGTCTCCTAAATTTTCAATGAAGACACAAAGTCCTCTGATTTAGAAATACAAATTATACACTCATTCTATGAAAACTGTCCTGTCTAGTCTTTTTACTTTTTGGATAAGGAAATTGGTACATGAGAAAGTAACTGACTTTATGTTCTTCACGTACAGAATGGTATAAATGAATATAGTTAATGATGACCATGGATCGTTTCAAAGGGCCTATAGCTTCCCTTTTATAAGAATACATATATGACATAGCTTCACCAAAAAAAAATGCTTAGGGAAGGGCCCATGAAGTCCTACTACGTATAGTACTAGGCAGTGATCTTAAGGATGACAGAATATTTTCCTAAACTATATCCCTCAGCTAAACCTAACTACTGTACTTAAATGCCAAGTCCTACCATTGGAGCCTTCCTCAATCCACAGAGATTTTTTTCTCCTCCTCAGTTTTACCCAGGTATTAACAAGTAGGACTTAGCTCACAGTGAGCCTTACTTCACAGTACTCTGTGAAAACTTTATAATCCCAAAGTGTTAATATGCTTACAGAAAAAGTAAAGCATATTTATTTAAATCATATTTTGCTATTATTCTATTGCATATGGCAGCATTTATCCTTAAACACTGATTTCCATTAACATTGCCAATAATTTATCTACTCATAGAATTAATTCATGCTTCATTAATGCAGAGAATGTTTCAGACATAGTTTGCAGTAGAGTTTCATAGTATCATCAGATCATCACAGGGTAGACATAACTGTGCAACCCAAACTGCATCTTTGTTTCTAAAGGTTACATAATTATAAGGTTTTGGCACCAAAGAGATCAGAATTGCATCTAGACATATGACAGTAAAACACTTCAAGTTTTCAGAAATGGAGAGTTTAGAGGCATTTGGCACCTTGCTTTCTCATTATTATAGAGTTTCAGGATGGAATGTGTCTGAATTCTAGTCCTGACTATTGTTTGTATTCCTGTCTTTTCTGTTTTTTAAATAGTCAGTAGAATCCAGCCATTTGTTCTTTTAGTATCATTCTTTTTAAAATAAATTTTTCAAAATTATTTTTATAATGAATTTGCCTGTATATAAAAAGGAAATAAGGGCCTGGCGCACTGGCTCATGCCTATAATCCCAGCACTTTGGGAGGCCGAGGCGGGTGGATCACATGAGGTCAGGAGTTCGAGACCATCCTGGCCAACATGGTGAAACCCCGTCTCTACTAAAAATACAAAAAAATTAGCCAGGTGCAGTGGCACATGCCTGTAACCCCAGCTACTCAGGAGGCTGAGACAGGAGAATGGCTTGAACCAGGGAGGCGGAGGTTGCAGTGAGCCGAGATGGCACCATTGCACTCCAGCCTGGGCAACAAGAACGAAACTCTGTCTCAAAAAAAAAAAAAAGAAGAAAAGGAAATAAGATGTTTTGAGGCTGCATGAGTAGATTGTAGCCTTTGTCCTATTGTGTTAGGTACTTAAGCCCATAAACAAAATAATGTTTAAAACTCAAGGGAAGGGCAGAAAGAACGTTGCTCAGTACTACCAATAAATGTTTGTTAATCAAACCATAACATTTTGACCCTAATGTTGAGCACCTAGAAACTATAACTTTGACTTACTAAAGGGCTTGAAATTATTTTAAGTGCTTTATATTTTGTTCAGAAAAATAAATCAAATTATTAATCATTTATATCATTCATAATAAATAATACCAGTACAAATAACACAAAGCAAACAGTGGACAAAATTTAAGTTTAAAATTTGTAGAAGAAAAAAACAATTGAGGAAGATTGTGTTTTCTATGGGATTTTCAAATTGGTATGTGTGTGTTCATTAGAAGTAACCTATAAAACAGATATTGTTCAGATATGCATACACTTAAACCATTATTTCCAGAAAATAATGGAAAAATTAAATTATTGTGACAAAGTTTCTATTTGCCATTCGTGACCTGAGAAATTAGGAATCAACAGTCACAGTGACTGGAAAAGAAAAAAAATGACATAAATAACAATTAAAAATTGGATATGGACAAAATTAAATCAATGAGTCAAATTTTTTATGTCATTAACATTAGTTATGATGAATACATATAAAAACATTCAATAAAATGAATTTTAATGGAATTTAAAATCATTTCATTTCCTTTCCAAGTCATTAAATTGCCTTTGTGATCTTAATTTTAAAGACTGTTTTTTTTCACTTAGAATATTTCCACATTCATATAATTATGATTAAAAACTGTGTATTTACCAAAAAAAGAATCATATTTTGAGATCAAAGTGGAGAGGTCAAAATAGCTTTTACTGTGTCATTTCCCTTTTCCACCTTTGTATCTATAGACATGGTTAGATTCTTAACAAGGACAGTGTTACCAGGTACTTCATGCAATCATCCCTCATTAATCCTCTGAATAAACTCATCAATTCATTCAACAAATGTTTATTGATTACCATTACCATGTAAGCCACTATATTCAAAGTTAGGTATATAGACAAAAATAAGACAGACATAGTTTCTGACTTCAGAGAACAGGAAAATTATGAATTAGTGTGCTAAGTGTTTTGAATGGGGATGTTCTGGATAACATGAAGGCAGAGCACCTCTCCTAGACTTTGAGAGCCCAAAAAGGCTATGCATAAAGAGTGAAGTTGAAAGTTGAATAATTAATCAAATTACACTGGAAGTGTTGGAGAAGAGTAGGAGCAGAAGATTAGCACCTCAGGCAGAGAAAATTACTTGTTAGAAAGCTAAGTGGTGAGAGCTTGACACCTTCAGAGAACCAGAAATCAGTCACTCTAAGAGGGGAAAATACAATTCCAGAGACTGAAGAGATTATAGGGAACAGATCCTGAAGAGCTGAGGAAAATCTACATAAGGACTTTGGAGTTGAGTCCTCTCTGAAATATTTTAATTAAGATATTGACAGAATCAGATTTTAATTTTAGGAAGATTATTCTAGCTACATGCTAAAGAATGATTGAGCATGAGGAGGCAGGGAATAGTGGCAAGATGGAAGAGAAGGAGACGAAGTAGAAGACTCGTAGTTACATTGGTCAGATATGACAGTGGCCTGACCAGGGTAGTGGCAGTGGAGATGAACGTGTCTGAGACTTATTTTGGAAGTATAGCCTATGGGATTTAGTGATTGAATATATGTAGGGAGTGAAGGACTAGACAAAATTAAATAAGTCTGGGGTTTCTAGTTTGAACACTGGGTAGACAGAGGACAGGTGAGTAGAGATAATATGATAATAAATGTTCTGGAATAAAGAATGGGCTTGGGAGTTAAGCAGACCTGGGTTTGGGTTCCAGCTTTATCCCTGCGATAATTTGGGCTAGTTACTTAGTCTATTTAAACTACATCTCTTTGTCCACCTATACATTGAAGATGAGAGGTACCTCCCTATTTTGCTGTGAGGATTAAATGAGGTAACATATGAGGATTATGTGACCTCATTTAATCCTAGACCCATGCCTTGCTCATAGTGTTTGCAATCAATAGCATTAGTTGTAATAATAGTAGTAAAGATTTGTGGAGGCCAGAGATTATGATTTCTGTATATCTTATGTGGTAGGTGTTGTGATTTGTGATTTGCTTTTTAAAGGTCTGAAGAGAGCTTGATTGGAAAATTTTAAACTTCTGTGTTATTGGGAACTTGGGCGCATTAGTTTATTTGGTATTAACATGGAAGGCCTCTAATGTGAGATAAGATTATAGTAATGTCACCACTCCTTACAGTGGAGTTGTGATTCCTCTAGGAGTTTTCAGATTTGGCTAGTCAGTTTTTAAATAAAATAATTTTATCCTATGATAAGCTAATGAGTTTTTTTTTTTTTTAATGCATTCCCAAAACGAAGTTAAACACTGGCTTCCACAATAATGTCAGGTTTATGCCATTACATTTAGGGTCTTCTCCATGAACTTCAAAGCAAATAAGATAGTAACATACTCAAACTATCATGAATAGAAAATAGACCAACTAATGAAAACTCTCTAGAATGTTTTTATATGGATATTTAAAATATGAATTTTGCTATCATGGAGATACATATATTATTAAATCTTGATTAACTTTATAACATAGGGAGTGATGTGCTAGAGCCATCTCTTCATGGCCTGTGAAAGATTATTCTTAAACACAATGACCATTACAAATTAAATGACACGGTGTTACAATTAAATATATTAAAACCAAATGTAATACATACTCAAAACTAATCACTTCATAATTCTTTTACTGTATTACAAATGCTTTTGAAATTATTTATGTCTACTGAATCCATATGATGGAAATGCTATGTAATGATGTACAGTGCATCTCTTCCTAACTCTGCATTCAATGCCATTATAGTGGTAATTTGAAAACTGCCCTGTTGAGAATATTTCATCATAGAAATTGGCAAATGCTACAAATCGAAGCTTTTTGTTTTGCTTGGTTTCATTTGTTTAGAGAGCTACTTGTTAAACATTTACCAGCATAACACTGAACATAGGTACCTTTTTACAGCAACATTAAAAAATAAAATCATGTTCTCACACATAAGTGGGAGTTGAACAATGAGAAAACACTGACACAGGGAGGGGAACATCACACATGGGGGCCTGTCTGGGGATGGGAGGCTAGGGGTGGAATAGCATTAGGAGAAATACCTAATGTAAATGACGAGTTGATGGGTCATTTACCCATGGCAAGTGTATACTACCATGGCACGTGTATACTACCATGGCACGTGTATACCTATGTAACAAACCTGCACATTCTGCATATGTATTCCACAATAAAAATAAAATAAAATAAAAATAAAATCATAAAATTTTTAAAGAAAAAAATCACAAATATTTTTTAAAACTGAAGTGAAATATATTGACTAGAGTCAACAGAGTGAAAAGCCCTAATTACTAAGAAAATATTTTAAATTATTTGACACTTCCTTAGAAGGTAAGACTTGGAATGTAGAAAACTTAGTTCAGCCCTTTAAAAAAGACTTTCGATGTCCAATTCACTCTGTCTTTTTTAAAGGTATCCTTTTTGAGTAATGCCATAGAAGACTAATTGTACTGTGTTCCAAAAATATGCTTTAAGAAATGGTTGAAAAATTGCAGTCAACCCAATACTTTTAGCCTACCTGGAGCAAATAATTATGAATTTTAGTAGTTTGGCTCTATTATTTTTTGTTTATTATCTTTTACTGATGATGTCTATAATGACATGTTCCATTTGCCAAAGATTTTAGAGCAGAAACACCTGTGAAGAAATTTTCAGTAGTATGTGATTTATTAGTGAGTTCATTATAGATGGGTCTCAGAAGTACAAATATAGGACAGATTTCAAAACTAATGCCTCCCTGCTTCTTGAAAACAATTGCAGTTATTAAATTATTACACAAGGACACGCTGACTTAAATAGCTTTAACTTTCTTCATGGGTTCGAGAAATGGTAATGGGGTAAATTCTGTGATATAAAAAGTGGTTTGAATATCATCATTTTGGCTAAACCTGTTACAAAATGGAACATGACTTTGAAAGCTTGTACTGCTCCATAGATGTAAGTGTGGTCACAGGTTGGTTGGTGCTTGTTGGAGTTTTTGAACTTAGAGTTCAATTGTTATTTTTCTTTATGAAAATGGTAAAAATTGTAAATGACAAATGGTAAAAATTAGGATAAAATTAATAAATTAATTTTTCATTTTGATATAAAGAATGGCTAAAAATGTTGACTTATAAGTGAATATTTGTCAAGGCAAATCATCTTCTGCCAAATGCAAGCAAATGTGATGCTTTTGCTATTCAGATGTGATCACCACCATGGAATGAAGCCTGAGAGTTGGCCTAAGAAAGTCCAATGCAGATTAATCTATTGGAACTTTCTAGCTCTTTGCATGTATGACAATCACAGTAATGGTCAGAAAATAAAGAACATCATCAGTTGTACTACCCTATAACAGTTTTTTAATGAGGACTCCACTGAAACACTAAAAAACTAGTAGTAGATCAAAGACTTTTCTAATTCAAAAGACAGTCCTTCAGCCAGAAAATATAAATCACATATTTTCTAAGAGAAGCTTGAAAAATATGGCTTCATATTACTATTTAGTTGTGTCCTGAATACTTTTCTTAGGTGATGAGATCATAAGGCTTTTGGGGATGGAGGATGGGTGGCAGTGGTGGGGGTGGTGGAAACAAAATAACAATTTATAATTTGAATCCACGTGCCTAACTAAATCCACGTTCTTAAGATTGTGAGACATGAAAACATAAAGGAGAAATTTCCAATTTATTGACCCAACTATGCAGTGCCAGATTGAACTTAGAAAACTTAAAGTAGTAGCATCTTAGAAGCCGGATGTCACCAGGACAATACAGCCAGACTGGCAGGCAGGCAAAGGCAAGAATTACCCTGCTAAATTTGCCTTTGTGCAGGATCTACCCCACAGCCCGATAGGCCCTAAAACTCACACTTTGCAATGAACTTGGGAGGCTGACTCATGCTGAAAAAACTCACAATAATGTTAAGTTTATAAGCAGAATGATGATTAATTTATGTATTATGATACATTTACCTGCCAAAGAGGTAGTATCATTCTTTGGCTATGACATTTTTTCCTTGTTAGAAAGCTGTAAAGAAAGCCAAATTTTCATAAAGAGAGATAGATATAGGATTCACATATAATGATATTAAGCTTTCAAATCTATGCTCTTCATCTCCATGAAAGTGAAGTCCAAGATACCAGGGCCTGTCAGGCCAAATATTATGACCTTTTGGTCTTAACTTTCCTGTTCTGTATTTGAATAAGGTCTGCCATCTTTGTCTTTTGACTGTACTTTGCTCAAAACTTTCCCTATTGAACTTCTATTCTTCAGATTGATGGCCTAGATGGTGTTGCCCAAGCAAATTCATGGAGTAAGGGAGAAAAACATCAGAATTTCCACTGGTGCCTATTTGCATCATTTTTCTATTTTATATGTATTTTACAATGCACATACTATTTAATAATAACATCAAACAGTGTATGGTGTAAATTTTGTGTCAGTCGCTGATCTAAGGGCTTTAAACACATTTGATATTTGGGACAGCCTTGTGAGAAAAATACAAATAAAGCCAAGATTAAGTCATGTTAACTCATCCAGAGTGGAGGAGCTGAAAATTCAAAACAAGGTTGTCTGATTTGAAATTCCATGCTTTTAACCACTACACCATTCCCACAGTGGTCCCTAAATATAATCCATAGATGAATGAATACACATATATTAGTGAACAATATGTATTGATAGGGCTATATAGGTGAATCCATTTGTTCAGCCTTAGCCTGTTCTTTCTGATTTGAAAAAGTCTTTTGCATTTCTGAGTGTCAGCTCTCTGATCTGCTTGTCGTAGCCTGGTTTTGTAGTTGAAATGTCTGTGGGTAATCACAGCTCCCTGTTTACAGCCACTACTGTGTGTCTGGATTCTGGAAGTGACTACCTGGCATTACCTTTATAATCTTAAGATCACTCTAGCAACATTTAGTGTCATCACAGACTTAATGAGTGTTGCTTTCTTTATAACTAATTCAAAGACCAATGAGTCCCCCACTCTCCTTGTTTACTGTGCAAAAAATTATCTGCAAGACTATACAGTATAGTGCACTCTTTCCTAGGTTGCTGGTTTAGTTTACACTCATTTATCTCCATCACACAGGTGGGCTCATAAGACAAGGAGGCCCTCATTTAAGGAAAGAGGTTAGCTTCTTTCATCTGGGCATGGTGAGCACCCAGACACTTAAACATATGCAACAGAACAAGAGTAATTCAGAAAATAGCATAAAGTGTAAAGAGGAAAAACCTTTCTTGAAGTGAGATTTCTTCCTAAAGGTATTTTTGCTGCTGTACTTGGCATCTTGTTAATAAAAATATTACTTAGGCTATTTCAGTTCTAGTCTTCATACTTGTGTAATGTAGCACTGTGACTTAGGCCATCTGCTTTAACATCTTATGATATGCCATTCTTTGCTGCTTTTAGCAGATGAATCTTTCAAACAGCAGCTTATAAAACTTGATCCTTACTTACTTATTGCATTACCTTTTTCCTTGTTAAAATCTTCTGGATATCCAAGATCTAATTTCACATTTCACTCTTGACCATGTGCTTGAGATGGAAAGGGGATAATTAGTAAATGGAGATCATGCAGTTGTAAAAGATTCTAGCTAAATGCCAATTTCTGTTCCAATTTGGCTTTTTGTTTTGTTTTGTTTTAAATCTGAAGGCTTGAATTTTAAAAAGCCTGAAGAACATGATATTGAGGAGGCATCAAAAATGTGCTGCTAGTTATAAATAAAACTGTTTATATTTTTTGATGGATTTGTCCTTCCTAACGATGTTTTTCCAAACCCTCTGAACCCTCTTAAGCCTACACAGCTTTCATTGTCATTGCTATGTGATATGACATTGAGGTAATTTGCTTTTGCTCAACTTTTATGCCATTCTTGTCCATATTATTAACTCAGTGGGCTAGAATGCTAACCACTTTAAATAACCCATTTGTTGTCATAGTAACTGATATTAAAGCCAAATATAATCTGTCTCTTGGATTCCATATTTAAATCTTTGCTGGTAGTTGCATTCTTTAGTAATGCTATGGACTGACCATAGTACAACGTACTATGTACAAAGGGGATACATATTACAAAGGTATCCTGAAAATGTAGGTTTGATTGAGGAGTCAATTCAGTGACATCCAGTATCAGCTCCCAGCTTACAATGTGTTCAGACCCAGTCCAGTCCTGTCAAATGTATGTTCAGAGAACTCTAAGAAGGATGCTGATCTAAATATTACAGGGACTATATAGACAAAAATTGTATTTTTTCACTGTGGTTGTTGTCTATGCTGTTCAGTTTTTCTCCTTTACTTATCTTTGTAATTTTTTCTATGATGTTTCTAAACCTTTAAAAATTACACTGTGGGTACTGAGAAGAGAACAGGTACATTATAGAAAGCCTTTCAAGAGAGACACCTTCTGGACACACCTTATTATCAGCTCTGTATCTTAGGTGACTTCTGTGTCCTTTAGAGGCTCAGTAAAGATTCCACCTCCTGCTTAAAGCTTGACTGTCGTCTTTCACTTCTCTTATGTCACCTTTTTTCCCCAAAATATATGCACTGCATTGAGCACACAAAATTTGATTATAGTGCTAGGGTATCTCAGAGAGAAAGCTGTCTGTATACGAAAAACAAAACAAGTTAAATTTCCCTCATTCACATATTAATTCATCTGCATCAATTTAAAGATTCATTGCTCTCATCTGGACTTTGTACCCATTTTCTCCAGGCAGGTCAGTTTTTCACATATTCTTATATTTTGGGCCATGCTATCCTTTTTCTCCTCCTCTAAATTACCATTTTTCCATCTAGCACCATTTGAGACTGAATGAATTTTCTTAACTCCCTTGATCTCTGGAGATGCAGAGTTATTTTTTGTCTAGGCTCCCCATCCGCCCCCAGCTTCAAAATGAAAGAATATTCTCAGCAGCAGCTTATCTGTTGAATATGTATGAAATATCCTAGATGTTAGATCGTCTTGTCAAAGTCTCTTATATAATAGCTTGGTGGCAACATTGAGTCTTCTCCCTTCCCCCATATTTCTTCAACTAGCCCTCTTTCTGTTCTAAATGTGCAACATCCTGCTCAGCCCCTGGGTCCCTCTCTACTCTCTCAGATTCCATAGTTAGCAAAATTCACTTTCCTATGACTTCAGCAACCAGTGTCATTGAGCCCTTATTTTCTAAAGCCACTTTTCTTCGGAGTTCCTATTTTATATATCGCCATTCTTTTCAGTAGCCACATCTAGTATAGTGCTACATGTGTACCAATGGAATACTAGTACTGTGGGTTGTCAAATAATGTCACAAGAGAAAAGTGTCCTGTGTTCAAATTTGATTTAGAAAGCCTGTGTTAAACAAGCCAAACAGGTTTCTTTACCAAAGAACACCCATATGTTCATTATATGCCAACAGTGAACATTGTGAGTTTTTTAAGGAGAAAAGCAAAAGTAGCATTTCTCAAACATATCTTTTTGGTACACATTTTAGGACACTTATTTATAGGATTGGTTATTTTTATTTGCTTGTTTTAAAGTACAAGCTTCAAACAAGGGTATGCAAGTAGAAGGATATTTTTAAGGAATCAACCTAAATATCTACAAAACCTGTATGTGTATAGTTTCCTAAAATCTGCTTCAGAAAGATTTGATGAGATTTAAGTTCTCCTCCCCCACCCATTATAATCACTCTTATCTCTTTATAAAAGAGAAAAAAATCCACATACTGAGCAACCTTAATCATATTATTGGTACATTACTCCTTGGAAAACAACAACAAAAACGCTCCAGGGCACTAAACAAACAAATGGAAATTGGTCTTGGTGTAGAAAACAGTGAATAGCTTTTAGGTTTGAGTATCAGATTCTTCTGAAACTAAGGTGGTTTTCAATTCTTTTTGTTTTCAACATAATTGAAGATATACCTAATAGAGTTTCAGCTGACAGGTTATGGGAAACCATTTTTGATGATTTAGTATGGCACTGTATATTCTTTTTGTAGCTTGGAAGAATTTCCAGGAATTAAAATTTCCATATTCTTATTATGTGAGCAAATTTCTCAGTTCTTAATTAGAAAAATGAAAAAAAAATAAGCAGCATACTGAACCCTCTGTTCCATTCCAGCAACAAGTGATGATCTTCCAAGTACATGAATTATTAGAAAAAAAAATAGCCTCATCCATCTGATTAACAGATGCATTTCCAATAAATACTTTTCACATTATATAATACATTTATATTGTTTAAATCAAGTCTGTACTAATATAATTTTAGTGATAAGATTCTCAGTCTCAAAAAACCTACATTTTCCCACTTCCCATGTGATTATGGTTTGGATTTGTGCCCCATCCAAATCTCCTGTCGAATATAATCCCCAGTGTTGGAAGAGGGGCTTGGTGGGAAGTGATTTGATCATGGGGCGAGTTTCTTCCTTGCTGTTCTTGTGATAGTGAGTGAGTTCTCAGATCTGGTTGTTTAAAAGTGTGTAGCATCTCCCCCTTCACTCTCTTCCTCTTGCTCTGGCTATGTAAAATATGCCTCCTTCCTCTCCGCCTTCCACCATGATTGTAAGTTTCCTGAGCCTCTGCAGCCATGCTTCCTGTACAGCCTGCAGAACTGTTAGCCAATTAAACCTCTTTTCTTTATAAATTACCCAATCTCAGGTAGTTCTTTGTAGCAATATGAGGACAGTCTAATATACCATGTAATATGAAATCATAATTAGTAAATGATTTTCCAGCAAATGAACATACTACATGAAGATAAAATTCTGTGGGGAAAAGTGTCATGGAAAATGATTCAAGGAGAAAAAGAAATATCATAGCATTTCTATTAAAGAAGGCAGTGCTTTCATATTTTTCAGTGAAAGATATTGAGTATCAGATTGTATATTCCATGGACCTATTTAAAGAGGTGATGTAACCATTTTACTTTCAAATCTCAATAGCTAAAATGCATCTTTGCAACTAGTTAAAACTTAGGAAAATAATATTAGATGTCAATAAAAAAATACATGAGAAGTATCTGTTTTTTCAAAAGTCACCTAGGAGGAATATGAACAAGAAGTATGTGGAGACCAGTGCTACAAAACACTCTGGAAAGAACTGACCTAAGTCTTCAGGTTCTCTTTCTGAGGCCCAGACTCCTCTGTTCTTCCTGTCTTTTCAGGCCAAGTGACGCTTTCTGGGTAGAGTTCTTGGACTATAAAAAGTGATTCACTAATCAAATTATGTAGTCAGTTTAAAAAATTATTAATAGTTTTTGTGTTCAATAATTACAAAAATTGCGTTAAAGTAATTCTATAGGCCAGGCACAGTTCTAGGCAAACCACTTATGAACAAAATGATGCCAATTCCTGTCCTCATGAACATTCTAATGAGGGGATGCAGACAATAAACATATATAATAAAATATAAGAGTAGTAGGTGGAGAGAGCTGGAAGAAGTTGTCAAGGGGTAAATAAGATCCAATTAAATGTTTAGGAAAATCTTTGTAAGAAGCTGATATTTGAGCAAAAATCTAAAGGAGGCAAAGGAGTGACACATGTAAATATCCGAGGCAAAACAAGAGAAAACAGCAAGGGAAAGGTCTCTGAGGTGAGATCACACAAATATTACCGAGGAAAATGTCATTGTGAGAGGACTGGTGTGGGCTATGAGAGTGTAGGAGATAAGATCTGACAAGCAAGGGGAGCAGAAACACAGAGCCATGGTGTCTATTGAAATGACATTGTCTTTTATTCTAAGCCAGGAAGCTATTTAGAGTGCTTTGAACAGAGGAGTACAAATACTGCAAGCCACAACAAAGTAGTGTTGTTACTCACAACTAAGCTAACTTTCAAACTTGGGCTCTCTTAACCTAACTGTTCCTGTATATATCCTTTTCTTTCCCCATTCCTATCCCCTTCCTTTTTCATCTTGTCCCCCCTCTTTTCTCTTTTTTTCTTTCCCTTTCTTCCATTCCTCACTTCCTTCATTCCTCTTTCTTTTTCTTTCTTTCTTTCCTTCTTTTTTCTTTCTTTTCTTTCTTCCTTTCTCTCTCCCTCTCTGTCTTCCTGTCTTCCTTCCTTCCTTCTTTCCTTTCTTCCTTCCTTCTCTCTTTCTCTCTTTCTTTCTGGCTCTAATTTTAATTAAATTACCATTTTATGATTTGTTACATTTAATAAAAAGTGTTATTCGATTTCCTTCCAAATTACAAACCAACTCAATCAAACTATAATAAAGAAGGAAAAAGTTATATTTAAAGTCACAACTATGTAAAATCACCTCTTCTCCTAATGGAGTATCAGAATTTCCTTCCAGAGAAATGACATTTTGTTTAGCATATCTTCTTTAAGTGTGCAAGATGCATACTTCCGTGCATGCTGTGTTTGGAAAGAAAGAAGCAAATAGATAAACTGGATAAATGTACTGCTACTACAAGTAAGGAGGACCAGAGAAATGTAGGCAGAGAAATGGGGTGAGACAGGAGAAAGAAAGGGTCATAGGAGCAAAGGGTACTGTTGGTGAGTGTCACTCGTGGATAAATTCCTGACTGGAGTGGAAGGAAAGTGACGGAAAGACATTTAGGGGCAGGCATATTGAATATTTTATTTTTTGATTGGTAATATTGATACTCCTATGATGTAATCATAGCCCCTTTCTCAAACCATCCCAAAATTCAGTAGTCTCCCACACATACTCCATGTTAATCATGCCCTGGCCACGTCAGTTTTAAAGGAAGGTATTATAGGTTGCTGTGGGGCTTGAATAAAATAGCCATCAGAGTGAGATATAAGATCAGGGCTTCAGAAAAAAAAAAAAAAAGAAATTTGATTTAAAACCAAAAAAGGCCCATTAAAATAACCCAAACTTTGAGGAATTTGTAGGAATCTGGAGGTGGGCATCAAACTTCCCACTAAATGTAGAGAGTGGGGTAGGGGAAGGGAAGATGCAGGAAATGGGTCAATTTAATTTTATGTAAAAGTCTCAAAAGATGGGATAACATCAGTTAACACCTGGACTATACAAATATGCCAATACTGGTTTCCAGTAATACTTATTCTATGATCTCATTTACCAGACAAGCAGGACTAACATGCCTACACTGCTCAGATATAAGAATAATATCCTGGAAGCTTATTTTATGTTAGAACTGCATTGGGTAGGACCAAGGAATGTGAAAATATGAGGTACTATGACAAGCAGTTGACAGAATAAAAGCTAATGCACCTATTAAACCAAATTATCATTTTTAAGTAACAAGGCAAAGATGAAAAATTTAATTTCAGTGAAACTTCATCCTATGGAAATTGGGGAAGCTGAAAAGAAAATGAGGATTAAAAAGAGGAGGGAGAAGTTAGGGCCTAGGAAAACTTCCTGTGAAGAAAGTAGTTGCATATAAATTTTGAAAAGCTTCTGAAGATGCAGGCATAGGGCCAAGGGACAAATCTAAGTGTTAACAACCTGAATCTGAACACCTACAATGAACACACAAATCTGATCATGTTATATCTTACATAAAAGCACCTGTTGGATCCCACTACCTGTAAGGCACACAGTCAGTCCCCTGCCACCACTCTTTCATCTCCCGTGACTCCCTGGAGGGTTGTTTGTCTAGTCAAACCCATTCCAAGCTCTTCCTCTGAGATACTGTTTTCCTTCATACTACCACGCTTTGCCTAAAATTTGGTATATCCTTTTTCCCTTTGTCAATTTACAATCTCTTTAATGTCTTAGATACTTCAACCTTTCAGAATTCTGTTTTCTGTTTTCTTGCAAAATTAAAATGGGTAATATGTCACATGTTAATGTGATTTGGTTGTGTCCCCACCCAAATGTCATCTTGAACTGTAGTTCCCATAATCCCCACATGTGGTGGGAGGGAACCCGATGGGAGGTAATTGAATCATGGGGGAGGTTTCGCTCATGCCATTTTCCTGATAGTCAGTAAATCCTTATAAGATCTTATGGCTTTACAAGGGACTTCCCCCTTTGTTCAGCTCTCATTCTTCTCTCTCCTGCTGCTATGTGAAGAAGAATATGTTTGCTTCCTCTTCCATCATGATTGTAAGTTTCCTGAGGCCTCCCACCCAAGCCTCTTTCCTTTATAAATTACCCAGTCTTGGGCAGTTCTTTATAGCAGTGTGAGAATGGACTAATACAGTAAATTGGTACTGGTAATGGGGCTCTGCTATAAGAATACCCGAAAATTGGAACTGGATAACAGGCAGAGACTGTAGCAGTTTGGAGGGCTCAGAATAAGTAGGAAAATGTGGGAAAGATTGGAACTTCCTAGAAACTTGGAGGGCTCAGAAGAGAGGAAGATGTAGGGAAGTTTGGGACATCCTAGAGACTTCTTGAATGGCTTTGACCAAAATGCTGATAGTGATAAGGACAATGACGTCCAGTCCGAGGTGATCTCAGATGAAGATGAGGAACTTGTTGGGAACTGGAGGAGAGGCAACTCTTGCTATGCTTTAGCAAAGAAACTGGTGGCATTTTGCTCCTGCCCTAGAGATCTGTGAAACTTTGAGTGTGAGTGAGATGATTTAGGGTATCTGGTGGAAGAAATTTCTAAGCAGCAAAGCATTCAAGAGGAAACACAGCATAAAATTTTGGAAAATTTGCACCCTGACAATGTGATAGAAAATAAAAACCAATTTTCTGAGGAGAAATTCAAGCCAGCTGCAGAAATTTGCATAAGTAACAAGGAACCAAATGTTGATCACCAAGACAGTGGGGGAAATGTCTCCAGGGCATGTCAGAGACCTTCATGGCAGCCTCTCCCATCACAGGCCTGGAGGGCTAGGAGGGAAAAATGGTTGTGTGGGGCAGGCCCAGGGCCCCCCTGCTCTATGCAGCCTCAGGACATGGTGCCCTGCATCCCAGCTGCTTCAGCTCCAGCCATGGCTAAAAGAGGCGAATGTACAACTCGGGCCATTGCTTCAGAAGGTGCAAGCCCCAAGCCTTGGCAGCTTACATGTGCTGTTTAACCTGTGAGTATACAGAGGAAAATAACTGAAGTTTGGCAACCTCTGCCTAGATTTCAGAGGATGTATGGAAATGCCTGAATGTCTAGGCAGAAGCTGGCTGCAGGGGCAGAGCCCTCATGGAGAACCTCTGCTAGGCCAGTGTGGAAGGGAAATGTGGAGTTGGAGCCCCCACACAGAGTCTCCATGGGGGCACTGCCTAGTGGAGCTGTGAGAAGAGGGCCACCATCCTCCAGATCCCTGAATGGTAGATTCACCAACAGCTTGCACCGTGCTTCTGGAAAAGCCACAGCCACTCAACACCAGCCCATGAAAGCAGCCTGGAGGGATCTGTTCCCTGCAAAGCCACAAGGGCTGAACTGCCCAAGGCCGTGGGAACCCACCTCTTGCATCAGCATGCCCTGGATGTGAGACATGGAGACAAAGGAGATTGTTTTGGAACTTTAAGTTTTAATGATTGCCCTACTGAATTTTGAACTTGCATGGTGTGTGTAGCCCGTTTGTCTTGGCCAATTTCTTTCATTTGGAACTGGTGTATTTACCCAATGTCTGTACCCTCTTTGTATCTAGGAAGTAATTAACTTGCATTTGATTTTACAGGCTAATAGGAGGAAGGGACTTGCCTTGTCTCAGATAAGACTTTGGACTTGGACTTTTGGGTTAATGCTGGAATGAGCTAAAACTTTGTGGGACTGTTGGGAAGTCATGATTGTGTTTTGAAATGTGAGGACATGAGATTTGAGAGAGGCCAGGGGTGGAATGATATGGTTTGGCTGTGTCCTCACTCAAATCTCATCTTGAATTGTAGTTTCCATAATCCTCACATGTCATGGGAGGGACTCAGTGGGAAGTAATTGAATTATGGAGGTGGTTTCCTACATGCTGTTCTCATGATAGTAAGTTCTTTTGAGATCTGATGCTTTATAAGGGACTTCCCCTTTTGCTCGGCTCTCATTCTTCTCTCTCGTACCACCATGTGAGAAGGATATGTTTGCTTCGCCTTCTGCCATGATTGTTAAATTTCCTGAGGCCTCCCCAGCCACGCTTAACTGTGAGTCAATTAAACCACTTTCCTCTCTAAATTACCCAGTCTCAGGTAATTCTTTATAGTAGTGTGATAATGGACTAATACACGTGTACATGTTATTTTCTTCCTTTATTGAGAAATCACTCTCACCTTTTCCTTCTCCTCACTCCTTTGCCAGTTCTTGCTGTATTCTAACATACAGATCTGTTTAGCATTTTCATATCTGTCAAGCTTTGAATTCAGGTTGTTACTCCCAAACTGTGCTCCTGTAAGCACTTGTGTTTCATCACCAAAATGGTATAATGTCAGTGTGTCTCAATTTGCAGTAAAAACATAGTAAATTAACAGATTCAATTTTTTAAAATTCTGCATGTTTCTTGCATAGTTTTAAACCTTTATTGCTATCAGGAGCTTACTAGATTATGAAAAATGGAATAGCCAGTTCACATGAACAGAAATATGCAAAGTTGTGATTAAATTATTCTTTTGTTCTTTTTGAGAAGGGACTTGTGTGTGTATTATGATTATATTTTATGTGAAAAGATGCTGTCACAATTAAATATATCACAACCCTATTCTGTTCTGAAAGTGGTTTGCCTGAATAAAATTAGTAATTTATTTCTTATTTATTATAAGATTATCTTATTGTTAACAATGTTTGTGTACTTCATGAGAATCTAGTATTTATGAATTCTAGATTTTCTATGTTGTATCCTACCTTTAATCAAAGTATGTTCCCTATCCACTTTCCCTTTAGCTGTAAAATGGCCTGATAAAGTAAAAAGTGACCACTATTTTACCATCTTACAAATCTGGATTGAAAGTGAAGTTGTCCAGATCATGGCAGTAGAGGAAGAAGGAAGAATAGCTGGGGTGAGGGAAAGGTCACTCTGGGAAACTATAGCCTCTTCCCTTATTTCCAGTAGCACCTTTCCTGCAAACCACCACCAATAATAATAATAATAATAATAATACAAGAGAAACCAACCTTGTTCTGAGTCAAATACTATTAACTTCCCTATTTTTTAGTTGGAACAAACCCAATAACAGGTTAAAGTTCTTGTCAAGGACACCCAACTAATAAGCAGAGACAGCATTTTCTTTATGTTGATTGTGTTTTTTAATCTGAAGATTTTAAAGAAACGTTCTTTTGTCTTGAGTGAGATTGTTTTACTTCCAAACAATTTGGTATCTATCCAAGTGTGAGTGTGAATGATTTATGGGAAATTTGAACATCTTGGTGTGCTTTTTGTGAAACAGCAAACAAGTGATATTTATTTGTGGTAGCTGTACTTTTAATGACAGTAACAACAATCTAAGAATTGTACGATGGTTTATTCATCTCCCATATATCAATGTTCAGGATGTAGTACGTATACTTCGGGGGTAATGAGTTATATAGTAGACAACGTCAAGTGTTTTTTTAAAAAAATTATGTACTAAATATAATAAAGTGCTTACACTGTAATAGGACTGTTCTAACTTTTGAAGGTACAACAGGGCATGAGATGGATCAAGTCTAACCTCTTATGAGGCTTACATTTTAGTGGAGAACACAAGGAATACAGACAGAGTTATCTTGCTGAGATCTGAATGATGAGAAAGACCTGATCCATGTGAAGATTTTGGTGAGATGTATGAGGCAGGAGATAAAAGGGAAATTTTCCAGGTAGATGGAAGAGTAGGTGAAAAGGCCCTGAAGCAAGGACTGCAATGAAGAATTCTAGGACAGAAAACCAAACATATATGAAAGTCAAAGTTTCTGTAGGCATTTTAAAGCTCCATAATAGACAAGAGTAGTGGGAAGCTATTAGAGACTTTTAAGCAAGGATATAATTAGTGTACTTTGACTTATATTTAAACATTATTTTTTATCTGGTAAGAAAAATAGACCACAGGGGAAGAAAGAATGAAAGCAGATCAACCCAGTAAGAAGTGACTGATATATTTCAGGTGAGATAATAATAGTGGCCTGGATGGTAGTGGTATCCATGGAGATGCAGCTCCTCCCAGATTCAGATGATGAAGACATAAACCCCATCTTTCAATGGACAAAGGGCCAAGGAATTTGTGCCTATGCCTTAAAATTGCCACAATATCTTAAATTCTTCTTCTCTTCTTCTTTTTTAACAAAAGACACATATCTGTGTGGAAAACTTTCTTTGTCTCTTCAGGCTGCTACAACAAAAAACTTAGAACTGGGTGGTTTATAAACAACAGAAATTCATTTCTCACAGTGCCGGAGGCTGGGAAGTCCAAGATCAAAGTGCTGGAAGATCTGGTGTCTGGTGAGGGCCCACTGTCCTCTCACATGGTGGAAGAAGAGAACTCTAGTCGATTCAGTCCCTTCTATGAACTCTATTCCCATTCATGAGGGCTCCATCCTCATGACCTAATTAACCTCTCAAAGGCCTCACCTTCTAATACGATCACATTGGGAATTACGTTTATACATATGACCTTTGTGGGTACATACACATTCAGTCCATAGTAAAGAGTGTATTAACTCATTAAATTATAAATAAGTAAGTAAACAAACAAATAAATAATAAAACTTTAAAAATACAGCATAATCCAGAATTCACCAACGGCAGTCTTGCTCCCTGAAGCCAGCTTGGATTGTATCATGTGGTCTGTTCCAAGTTTTGAGTATTCTGCTCCCTGAAAGTTCCAGAGAACTGTTCTGCCTTTAGCAGTAAAGTATTCTGATAGATGGCTCCATGCTGGTGTTTTTGTCTTTTGCTATAGTCCAAGGGTAGGAATACATTGACTCAGTGTCTAATCTAATGTCAAGCTACACTACAGATACAATGAATTAAGACCTTTCCCACACTCCAGAATTTCCTTCATAATCTTGTGTCTCTACCCATGTCATTCTGATGCTTTTTAAACAATTTCTTCAGGACTTCTGGATACAATCATAATAGTCTGTGGGTGTTCTCTTTTAGCTTTTCAATAGTGTGAGGGTCTGTTTCCTTGCCATGTTAGTGACAGGTTACAGATGTATTGTCTCCTATTACCTTCTCTAGTTATCAACACTTTATTGACAGGATCTGCAACACAAAAGAAATACAAAGAAGAATCTTGTGAACTTTTTTTCAGTAAATAAGTGAAATAAGTGTCTTACTCCGTAGGACTTCAGCTTATTCCTGTACTGTTTACAGAAAAATCTAAAACTGTTTCTCTAAAAAAAAATGTAGCCTAAAGTTACTCTCTGTCTTGTCTTAACAATAAACTCTGAAGAAGGTAAAGAGGCCATAAGAATTGTGGTCAAACATGAGTCTGGGCATGGTGGTTCATGCCTGTAATCCCAGCACTCTGCGAGGTTGAAGTGGGTGGATTGCTGAAGCCCAAGAGTTCAAGACCAGCCTAGGCAACATGGCAAAACCACATCTCTTTAAAATATACATATATAATTTAGCTGGGTGTGGTGGCACATGCCTGTAGTCTCAGCTATTCAGGAGGCCGAGGTGGGAGGATTGCTTGAGTGCCAGTGGTGGAGGCTGCAGTGAGTTGTGATTGTGCCACTGCATTTCAGCCCGGGTGACAGAGCAAGATTTTGTGAAAGAGGGAAAGAAAGAAAGAAAGAGGCCGGGCGTGGTGACTCATGCCTGTAATCTCAGCAGTTTGGGAGGCTGAGGCGGGCAGATCACGAGGTCAAGAGATCGAGACCATCTTGGCTAACATGGTGAAATCCCGTCTCTACTAAAAAATACAAAAATTAGCTGGGCATGGTGGTGCGTGCCTGTAGTCCCATCTACTCGGGGGGCTGAGGCAGGAGAATCACTTGAACTTCAGAGGCGGAGGTTGCAGTGAGCCGAGATCGCACCACTGCCCTCCAGCCTGGTGACAGAGCGAGACTCCATGAAAAACAAAAAACAACAACAACAACAACAAAAAAGAAAGAATGAAAGAAAGAAAGAAAGAGAGAGAAGGAAGGAAGAAAGGGAGGGAGGGAGGGAGGAAGGGAGGGAAGGAAGGAAGGAAGGGAAACATAAATTTACTTTTGGTTTTTAGGCAATGGTAATATCACCAAATATACTAATTTTTTTCTGAGTTCTTATAGCAGCATTAATTGAATTTTTTTTCAAATCAATCTTGCTATTAGAGAAATACAACAAAAATTTTAAAATTACTTTGATAAACCTAATACTCCGTTGCTTTTAAGCAAACTGTTTTTGTTTTCTAGCCACTAATAAGATTTACAATTATCTGATGCTCAGAAATTATATTAAAAAATAAAGCAAACCAAGCTGAACAAAAATAAACAAAACCCAGACAATATAGTTTGCATGATGCCAGCCATCTGCCAATTTTGACTTATTTTATTACTATAAAACCGTATAAGTTCAATTAGATATTAAAGATTTGTCACATAACTTTTAAAAAATATAATTTTATATTTAGCTTTGCCCTGTCTAAATTATTACCTTGTGGCTACTATCTAGCAATGATTTTCTGCAAATTCACAGAAAAAATTGTCTTCTTTCATTAATCTATTTTCCTAAACTTTCTAACATGATATTCTCTCTTCTGTGAGGCTTATATAAGATGTGGAAAGAGGCATGCTTTTTATGTTATAATTTTCTATTCCTATTATTCCGTCTGATGTTTCTCATTTTTTTGTAAAATAAATTCATCCTTTTTACTCTCCTACTCCTTGTATAATATATGTTATATTTATTTTTTTTATTTATTTTTTCACTTATTTAACAATACCATTTGACCCAGCAATCCCTTTACTGGGTATATACCCAAAGGATTATAAATCATTCTACTATAAAGACACATGCACACATATGTTTATTGCAGCACTATTCACAATAGCAGAGACTTGGAACCAATCCAAATGCCCATCAATGATAGACTGGATAAAGAAAATGTGGCACATATATACCATGGAATACTATGCATCCATAAAAAAAAGGATGTATTCATGTACTTTGCAGGGACATGAATGAAGCTGGAAACCATCATTCTCAGCAAACTAACCCAGGAATAGAAAACCAAACACTACATGTTCTCACTCATGAGTGAGAGTTGGACAATGAGAACACATAGACACAGGGAGGGGAACATCACACGTCGGGGCCTATCAGGGAGTGGGGGGTGCTAGGAGAGGGTTAGTATTAGGAGAAATACCTAATGTAGATGACGAGTTGATGGGTACAGCAAACCACCATGGCACGTGTATACCTATGTAACAAACCTGCACATTCTGCACATGTATCCCAGAACTTAAAGTATAATAATAATAATAATAATAATAATAAATATGTACTGATGTTAAACATCTGAAACTAGTCTGGACACGGTGGCTCACGCCTGTAATCCCAGCACTTTGGGAGGCCCAGGTGGGCAGATCATTTGAGGTCAGGAGTTCGAGACCAGCCTGACCAACATGGTGAAACTCCAACTCTACTAAAATTACAAAATTAGCGGGCATGGTGGCAGGTGCCTGTACTTCCAGCTACCAAGGAGGCGGAGGCAGGAGAATTGCTTGAACCTGCGAGGCAGAGGTTACAGTGAGCTGAGATCACACCACTGCACTCCAGCCTGGGTGACACAGTGAGACCCTGTCTCAAAAAAAAAAAAAAAATATGAAACTATATCAGCACTATGGGATATACACACCTATTTATTTTATTTCTGTCTCCACACCCGGAGGAGTTCCACAGTTGACTCCTTCGTTTAAATACTACCCTTATCCCAAAGATGCAGGTTCAGCAGACGCAGCACCTCTTGTCCTGCAAGGTTTAAATTTTCCTTGTGGCCAAAATGGTCCTGAGACCAAAAGACACTGGTTAAGATACAGCCTGAAGTATAGCCTTAACATTACATGGTAGAAAGTAATTTTTATTCACAGAAAAACACACCAACACAGAAAAATATGTACAATGCCCATTTGATAACTGAGGATCGCACAATATAGCAGTAACTTCTTGCTTTGGCCATAGGCATCGGATAGATTATGGGGAATCTTCCTATTCTCCAAACCAAGGACTGCAGCCTCACCCTCTGCTACCTATTATGCTCCTAGGGATCATCTGGCTTTTTGTTGATACGTCTGAGTGTGTGTGTGTGTGTGTGTGTGTGTGTGTGTTTCATTACCTGCTTCAGAATTAATGGGTTTTTGTTCTTTCCTGTTAACCTTTCTTCTTATTTCCTTTGGAAACCTTAATACAGCTTTAAATACTTCTTTTATTTAAAAAATAAAGGGAGGAGTCATTTGGTTTTTGCAGTTTGTTGACCTTATTACTAGTCTTCATTCCTGGGGAAAGTGCTGTTCTTTCCAAGGCAGTTAGTAAGTAACTGGCTCTTTCCACACTTATCTGGATGAACCTGAGGAGTCATCTAGCTCAACCTCCTATACCTGTCAGTAGTCTCTTCTAACAATTCACTGTAGGTATGCATACAGTACCTATTCTAATACACGAGCATTTTGAGTTGCCTGAAAGGAGTTTGGGAAATTGCAGCCTTCTGGAGGGTATTGAAGTAGGTGCCTTTATATCTCTCCCAGCAGCCTTCAAATGCCTCTTATTTTTTACCAATATTGGTGATGTTAGAAATGGGTGTGAAATGACTAGATCAGGATCGGGGGAAGGACTGATAAATTTTTGGCTAGCTATTACTGGGAACAAACTGAAAAGCTGGACTTACCAGTTACTGGAGATAAAGCTGTGTTTTGCACATAATTGGTGCTCAAAGCATTATTTGTAAAATACATGGATAGTAAGTAAATATAAAATCAAATTGTTGATTAGCATAAACATCAGGTTAATGTTTGGAGTGGGCTGCCGAGGGAAGAGCATAGGGCAGCATAGTGTAGGAAGTGAGCTTGGAGAAAACTGGCCTCTGAGCCAAAGAATCTATCTGTGAAGCTCAGCTCCACTAATCATTAGCTCTATGTGACTTTGAGCAAGAAAGTTGCTTTTCTTACCTCAATTTCTTCGTCTGCAAAAAGAGGTGATAATGACCATCACTTTGTAGAGTTGTTGTGAGTATTAAATGAGTTAATGTTCCTAAAAATGCTTGAATGGAGCACTCTATAAGTGATTACCATTATTTTCTTAAGCAAATGGTTGCAATTACAAATAGGATGTTCCTATTTGAGTGAATTTCCAACTAGGTAATGAACGACTTTAACATTTTGTATGTTTTTCTTTAAATATTAGAAATAAGAATAAATTTAAAATCTTGTATGTTTACAAAAAATACTACCACTATGTACCTACAGTTTTACAACTTACTTTTTTCACTTAAAGTATGTCTTGAACAATTTTCTGTGGTCAGGACAGAAAAATTTTTCTCTTATTTCATAGTTGTTTAGACTTAGGAAGGCACTTTGAAGTCCTTTATTCTACCCTTCTAACTCCATATCATGAATTAATTGTGCAGTTGGCCCTTGAAGAACCCAGTGGGTAGGGGCACTGAACCCTACACAGTCGAAAACCCATGTATAATTTTTGACTTCACCAAAGCTTAACTACTAATAGCTTACTGTTGACCAGAAGTCTTACCAGTAACATAAATTGTCAGTTAACACATATTTTGTATGTTGTATGTATTATATCCAATAAAGTAAGATAAAGAAAAGAAACTGTTATGAAGAAAATCATAAGGCCAAGAGGGGAGGATCTCTTGACCTCAGGAGTTCGAGACCAGCCTGGGCTCGTCACAGGGACACCTCATCTCTACAGAAGAAAATTTAAAAATTAGTGAGGCATGATGGCATGTGCCTGTAGTCCCAGCTACTCAGGAGACTTGAGTTGGGAGGATTGCCTAAGCCTGGGAGGTCAAGGCTGCAGTGAGCCATGTTTTGCCACTGCACTCCAGCCTGGGTGACAGAGTGAGACTTTGTCTCAAAAACAAACAAATAAAAAAAGAAATGAAAAGAGAGTCATGTGGAAGAGAAAATATCCTTACTATTTATTAAGTGGAAGTGTACCATCACAATGGTCTTTATCTTTGTTTTCTCATTGAGTAGGCTGAGGAGGAAGAGAGGAGCACTTGGTCTTGCTGTCTTAGGGATGGAAGAGGTAGAAGAAAATTCACATACAAATGATCTTGTTCTAAGAGAACATGGGAACAAAATACTGTTTCGGTATATGTATATAAAAATATACAGACACAGAACCCACATTTTCAAAGCCTTTTCACAGGATAGCATCTTCTACACCTTTAATCAAGATGTCATGTCATTGAAAAATACCAGCTGGTCTGTGTACTATAACCTAGACAACAATATGTTTGCCATAAAGGCTGACTCTATTTTATGAAACCTTTAGAAATCAGTATTGACATAGATCCAAGAGTCAAATGAAAAGGATATAAGCAAAATTAATTTTGAAGAATTAAGACAATTATATTTATAAGTATATAATTGAGATTCTTTCAATGGAAAATTGTAGAGTATTCTAGTATACGTGGCCAAAAAAATATGTTAGATACCAAAGGCCAGAGATAGGCCTTCCAATAGCTAAGAAGTTCTAGTAGAAAAGACAGATATATAAATAAAAATGGCAAGAGTGTAATATTGGATACATAGGGACTTATTCACTTAATTCCAGAGGGTACATAACTTATACAGAAAATACATTGCTTTAGGGCAAATAGAATTTTATTTAAATACTTTAAAATTAATTGACTTCTATTATCTTCTCTATAATAATACATTGGGTATTATTCATTTGTTAAGCCAATACATTACAGTTCTGCAGGTAGTTTTTAAGAGACTACTACATGTCAGGCACTGTGCTAACTGTTGGAGATAAAATAATTAACAAAACAGGTAAGTTTGTCCCCTTAAAAGCAGAATCTCTCACAAGAGAGAGCTAAATAAAGAAGCAATTATCAAGCCTGCTAAATGCCAAAAAAGGGAAAATCATCAGGGGTAGGAATAGATTATTTATAGATCATAAATTTTAGAATTATTAAGCTAGAAATAATTGCAGTGGTCATCTAATTTTTTACAAAGCCATAAACTAAGACCCAGAGAGAATAATGGTGTAGCTATAGGCAGAAATGAAACAATCACACGTATGTCCTATCACCATTGGTTGCCAGTCGCCACTTAAAATTGTTGGAGCGTTTGGTTTTGTGTCCGGAATTGGTGGGTTCTTGGTCTCACTGACTTCAAGAATGAAGCCTCGGACCCTCGCGGTGAGCGTTACAGCTCTTAAGGTGGCGCGTCTGGAGTCTCTCCCTTCTGATGTTCAGATCTGTTCGGAGTTTCTTCCTTCTGGTGGGTTCGTGGTCTCGCTGGCTCAGGAGTGAAGCTGCAGACCTTCGTGGTGAGTGTTACAGCTCTTAAGGTAGCGCGTCTGGAGTTGCTCGTTCCTCCTGGTGGGCTCGTGGTCTCGCTGGGCTCAGGAGTGAAGCTGCAGATCTTCGCTGTGAGTGTTACAGCTCATAAAAGCAGCGTGGACCCAAAGAGTGAGCAGTAGCAAGATTTATTGCAAAGAGTGAAAGAACAAAGCTTCCACAGTGTGGAAGGGGACCCCAGCAGGTTGCCAATGCTGGCTTGGGCAGCCTGCTTTTATTCTCTTATCTGGCCCCACCCACATCCTGCTGATTGGTAGAGCCAAGTGTGCTGTTTTGTCAGGGTGCTGATTGGTGTGTTTACAATCCCTGAGCTAGATACAAAGGTTCTCCACATCCCCACCAGATTAGTTAGATAGAGTTTAGACACACAGGTTCTCCAAGGCCCCACCAGAGCAGCTAGATACAGAGTGTCGATTGGTGCATTTACAAACCCTGAGCTAAACACAGGGTGCTGATTGGTGTGTTTACAAACCTTGAGCTAGATACAGAGTGCTGATTGGTGTATTTATAATCCTTGAGCTAGATGTAAAGGTTCTGCACGTCCTCACCAGAGCAGCTAGATACAGAGTGTCGACTGGTGCACTCACAAACCTTGAGCTAAACACAGGGTGCTGATTGGTGCATTTACAATCCCTGAACTAAATATAAAGACTCTCCACGTCCCCACCAGACTCAGGAGCCCAGCTGGCTTCACCTAGTGGATCCCACACCGGGGCTGCAGGTGGAACTGCCTGCCAGTCCTGTGCCCTGCGCTAGCATTCCTCAGCCCTTGGGTGGTCGATGGGACTCGGTGCCCTGGAGCAGGGGGTGGTGCTCGTCGGGGAGGCTCGGGCCGCACAGGGGCCCATGGAGTGGGTGGGAGGCTCAGGCATGGCGGGCTGCAGGTCCCGAGCACTGCCCTGCGGGAAGGCAGCCAAGGCCCAGCGAGAAATCGAGCGCAGCGCTGGTGGGCCAGCACTGCTGGGGGACTCAGTACACCCTCCGCAGCCACTGGCCCGGGTGCTAAGTCCCCCATTGCCCGGGGCCAGCAGGACTGGCTGGCTGCTCCAAGTGCGGGGCCCACCAAGCCCACGCCCACCCGGAACTCCAGCTGCCCCGCAAGCGCCACACGCAGCCCCGGTTCCCGCTCGTGCCTCTCCCTCCACACCTCCCTGAAAGCTGAGGGAGTGGGCTCCGGCCTTGGCCAGCCCAGAAAGGGGCTCCCACAGTACAGTGGGGGGCTGAAGGGCTCCTCAAATGCCACAAAGTGGGAGCCCAGGCAGGGGAGGTGCTGAGAGCAAGCGAGGGCTCTGAGGACTGCCAGCACGCTGTCACCTCTCAGTTTCATGAGTTTAATATCCTCTATGCAAGGCAATATTTTATCAAACCATTGAATAACTACGTAATTATTGAAAAGCAGAACTGCAAGCGTGTGTGTGTGGGGAAGGTGTTATAATCTGTATGAACAATTATTCTAAATGAAATAGTAGCAATCTTCATAGGTTATTAGGATAAGACACTTAGTAGGTTTTATTAAGTGCCAGGGAAGCAGAAAAGATACTAAGGAAAATAAAAACAACACCTATTGTCATTTTCTATGCACCATCTCATTTTTTCTTCACAATGGCCTTCTATGTTGGATATAATTGTCTCTATTTTACTGATGTGGAAATGAAGTTCTAGAAAAAAGAGTACCTTCTTCAGGATCACAAAATGATTTCATAGTAAAGAAGGGATTTCAATTTAGCTATTTTGTTTTGTTCCCCTATGCAAAAATATTCTTGGTAGGTAAACATCACTTTGCCAATTGAATGTTAAACATTTTTTTTTACCTCAGTGGAAAAATCATAAAATATGTGCTAGGGTTTTATGATACAATGAAACATTATGGAATGCAGGACAGTCAGAGGAAAAGAGTTGGGAGATGAAAGTGTTTGGGACAACATTTCTACTCTTTTCACATAATTATTCATATAAATAATTTGGGCCACAAATAATTCACTGGCGACTTAAACTTTTGGTTCAAGGAGTGACCTTTAATTAAAGAAAACACCTTTGCTAAAGCAAACAACTAAAACCTTTCTAAAATTAACAAATTTTTACAATGGAAAGAAACACACACAAAAAACAAACACAATAATTTTTAAATTTCTTCTATCCTGTGAAGGAATTGACATTTTAATGGAAAAGATAGGATTTTTCTAAGTCCCAGGGAGTTGGCCCTATGAAAATAGCCTGAGGCAATATGAGGATGTTTGGATGTTTATCTAAAAGTGCATGGAGCCTGAAGGAGAGCAATGGTTTCACCATTTTGCCTGCATGTGCCTCCAACCATAAAGCACAGACTTAGCTTTCGTTAGGATTACTTAAGGTATTTCCCTTCCCCCAGGCCATCTTAAGCTTCCTGAGAGTTGAATTAGTTACACTTGTTTTAAGGAAGTATTAAAGTAACCTTTTAAATGATCAACTTTGCAACATCAAGTGACTCTGAAAGCCCATCTCCTGGATTGGTCATCCACTCCTAAAGGTTAAGTTTTCAAGCAGAACATGAAAACCCTCAATGATTTCAACAAACATATCTGGAGCAAGTTTCCTTCAAATAACCCATTTTCTAAAATCACACATGTGCCTCTTTATACTCTTGGATGGTATGCATAACATTTCCAAATTTAGCTGATTCAGCCAAATGTTATGAAGAAACCATCTGATTAAAGTAATTGGTAATAAAATATGAATAATTAAGTGACACCCTCCTTAGAGGTATTTGCTTTCAAGAGAGTTGGCTAAGTGCTCACTAATTGGGAGATCAGGAGAGGGCAACAGCAATTTAGCACACTGCTTCTGCTTTACATTTTCCTTTCTGGGTAATGTATTTTTTGCTAAAACCCCTCAGTTGTGTGTGCAATATTCTAAGACATGCACTACTTACATAGTAATAATCATTAATTATTTTCTATCCATGATTTCTGAGACTTCTTTTCAAATACTTCTTTTTCTCTCCACTCCCATACCACGTTCCTTTTCATTTCCAATTTGTACCTTTTCCTAAATGGAGTATCCACAAAGAAAGGCACATTTGGTGTTATTTTTCCAGACACTGACAAAATACAGTGCTTCTTGAACTTTTTAATAAACTAGTTACTCTTTATTATTATGATTGCTGTTTTATTGAATGTTCATAACTTAACACACTCCTATAACCCGGTTCAAGAAACTGAACATGACAAGCACAATATTCTTCTTCTTAAAAAATGTTTCTAGCTGGGCGTGGTGGCTCACACCTGTGATCCCAGCACTTTGGGAGGCCAAGGTGGGTGGATCAGGAGGTCAGGAGTTCAAGACCAGCCTGACCAACATGGTGAAACCCCCATCTCTACTAAAAATACAAAAATTAGCTGGGATTGGTGGTGCACGCCTGTAATCCCAGCTACTGAGGAGGCTGAGGCAGGAGAATCGCTTGAACCAGGGAGGCAGAAGTTGCAGGGAGCCGAGATCGTGCCACTGCACTCCAGCCTGGGCAACAGAGCAAGACTGTCTCAAAAAAAAACAGCAAAAACTGTTTCTAACCAAAAATAATGTCTATCCTTCCATTATTTTTGGTGAAATCACTTTGTGTTGTATCAGCTCTTTGAGTGACAAGGTTATAACACTGAATGTGCACAATATGTTTCAAGGACTGAAATATATAGAGAAAAAGATTGCTACTAAACTCTGGGAAAAAAATGTATGCCTAAAAAAAGATATAAAATTTTGATATAAAGCCCGTTGTTTCAAAAAGCAAGGATGCAATAACATTTGTGTATGTGGAGGAAAATAACTTTTATTCAATCAAATATTTATTAAAATAGTGTCTTTTCAGGCAGATAATTTAATTTAGAATGATCTCATTTGTTAAGCATTGAAAACTTTTTTTTCCCCAAAGGAAAATTCATTATCTTATTGAAATGTAATAGTAAAATAGCCAAAGGTAATAATAAAATAACTGACTTACAGCTCCTTTTGGTATGTGTTCCCTTGAAATATTAAGAAGTAACAAAAATTCTCTTCAATTAAAATTGTATGCCTGGTATCTGTTTTCTATGAAAGAAGCTTTTTATGTTTCACATCAAATTGATCAAAGCATATTACTTGCCTTTTGCAATGCAAACACATCTTTTTGAGAAGGCTGATTTTCTCATCCCTTAGAAAGTTTATAAATTATTTTACACAATGTACAGTAATTTATATTAGACATGTTAAAGTAGAAGCCTATAGTGAAATATTTATGATTAAAATAATGATATGTTTCAACTCAGTGATACTAGTCCAGGAAACTAAAGCAATGTGACAGAATTTGTCCGTAATTTAATTTAGCACTTATCAGAGCCCTTTTTTTTTTTTAATAAATTTTGACTTTCGTAAAGGTTACGGTCGTCAGGGTCACATAATATGTTTTGTTTCCCCCAAGCTAGCATGAGGTTCATATTAGGCCCTCAATACAACTTTATGATGGCGATAGTAGCACTCAAATTTGTGGAAGATAATTTACGTTTGATAGTTATCTGAGAACAACTAAACCCAGCTACATAAACACCAGTAATGGAGTTTTTGGTAAAGAATAAAGAGATTCTTGCAGAGCCGATCACAATTTACTTACAACAAAAAATTGAGATATTTCTTCCCATTTTAAACTTTCTACCTCTTAGCTCATCCTTACTTTCTATTAATTTAAAAAATATTATTATAAATCATTTTGTATTATTTGGGGTCCTCTGCATTAGTCATAGTTTTACTAAAAACAGTGTATTTTGGGTTGTTTTATTTTGTTTTTACATCATTATATGTGGAGAAATTAATGAATATATCTCCTTTTTGTTCCTGAACTTTTACTTTCTATTCTTCCTAACACTGCTAAGCTTTAAAGTCTTTTCATAAATCTTATTCTCTGAGTAAATGCCCGTCTGGGAACATGGCATTTCCACATTTTTTTTGAGCGGTCCATAGGGTAATTTATAACACAAACATTTTAATTAATAATGTTGATGTTTTTATTATTCCTAAATAGGTAATCTGGGTTTTGTTTTGTTTTGTTTTGTAAGCACGTAAGACCTTGAATTTCTTAGAGTACAGATTTCCCTTAGAATTACATGGGGGCATTACCGAGATAATTTCTGCTTGTCAATGCTTACCCAGAATATTCTAAAGAAAGACAGCAGCATGTCATAGAAGGGAGGTGAGTATTAACCACCTACTAAGTGTGAGGCACTGTGCTGGGATAAAGCAATCAACAAGATCTACACAATCTCAGCCCACATGAAAGTTATATTTTTTAGGGAAAAACAGGTAATACACAAATTCATATATGTTCTGATTTCTGATATTGGTAAGTGTGCTGAAGAAAATTGGAGTAGATGTGGTGATTGGGAATAATAGAAACTGCTATTTTTAATAGAGTGTTCAGGGAAGCCTACTCCAATGAAATGACATTTAGGCAGAGGCTTGCATGAAGTTAAAAGAAGAGAGACAGCAAAGAGTACAGGCTCTGAAGCAGGAGGACTCTTGGTGTCTTTCAGGAAGGTAGGTTTGCCTTGAGTTCAGTGACTGGGGGTGAGTGACAAGATATGAGGAAGGATATAGGGCCTGGTGAACAGGAGTGAGTTCCATTTTCTGGGCAATGGGAAGCCAAAAGAGGATTTAAGCAGTTAGAATGTGACTTGTGTTTTAACAGGATCACTCTGGCTGCAATTTGGGACATAGATTAGAGGGGTCAAGAATGGAAGGTGGACCTTGTGTCTAGGGAGAGATGATGGTGACTTGGGCAAGCAGATGAATATTTAGAGTAGTAGAAGAAAGTAGATCAAATGTATTTTGAGTGGAGAATTTTGTTGAGGGACTGCATATGGAGGTGATTCAAGAATTTCGATATGAGGAACTGGGTGAATGGTGCATGCCATATACATGGATATGGAGTTTTAATTTGCTACTTTTTGACAGTACACTTCGACATCCACTACGAACAGATATATTCGTATAACAATTATTTTATTTCTAATATTTTTGTGCAGCTAAGTGACAATCTGTGACCATTCCAGAAAGAATATCTTGATTGTTGTTTCCATTTTGCCCCATTTCAGTGACTGAGAAGAAATATGCCATCATTTTTACCTGTAAAACTATGTTTAAAAGTCCTACTCATTATTTAGAATCATTTCTACTGCATTGTCTCAGGTGAATTCAGAGGTATAAAGGTAAGTTTGCATTAAGGGCAAGGCCTGGGAGACCCGGGCGTAAAATGCGGCTCATAAGTGTTGCAAATCATTTGATTATGTTAGAAGTTAGAGTTCTCCAATTTGCTTAATGTGATTTTAATTTTTTTTTTAAGTCAGGGAACTAAGGTGTTTTAGATTTTAGGACCTTACCTTCTTGGTTCCTGCCCAATAAATGATTTTTTTCCTTAGCAAGGCTTTCTTTTTTAATGCACTAGATTCTCTGGCATTATTAATCTGAATTAATAATGTCTGTCAAATTAGATTTAGGTTGTGGGATAGGGAAGACTTGCTCTACTTTTGGGGAGGCAATAGCTATTTTTATAGGAACCTGAATATTATAAGTACTCCACATTCAGGGTATTTGCACTAGTAAGTTATATTAATAGGTAACTTGATAACATTTCTAAGAACTGGGTCAGAGGGAGATATTAAATTGGTGCCTTACAAGGTTTCTAACAGCTTGGCTTATTTTGCAAGCAAAGTTAGAGTGCATTTTCATGGAGACTTTTCTTTATAGTTTATGGCCCAGTTCAGGAAAAAGCTTCTTGAAAATAAACTTTTCCAAAATCTAAAAGCTGATATTTTATGTTAACTTATTTTGGACATTTTCAAACTAGTTGATTATTGGGTATTTTAATACTTTGCTAATGTATAAAGACACAGCATCCTTTTATCTGCTCTCAGAAGGCACTGAAATGGTTCTTTATTTATTTAGCAATCACTTATGGGATGCTATCATTGCTTCATCTATCTTTGCCCAGAAACTAGGGAAGCATTTGAGAAGACATCACTAGCAAAATCAGGTTTTTTGTTTTTGTTTTTGTTTTGTTTTAAAAGGTCATTCGAAGAAAGCATCCTGCCTACTTAACATTTCTTTATCACAGAAATAGCATGTGAATCTCAGTCTCTTTATGTTACCTCTCATGACTTTCCTCAAACACCAACTGCTCCTACACATTTCCTACTAGGCTTAAGTGTATCCTTCAGCTTTGGTCTTGGAAAAGTATCTTGTAATAACACTCTTGCCTCCCCACAGTGTTGTTTTTTTTTTTTTTTTTTTTTTTGAGGCGGAGTCTCGCTCTGTCACCCAGGCTGGTGTACAGTGGCCCAATCTCGGCTCACTGCAAGCTCCGCCTCCTGGGTTGACGCCATTCTCTTGCCTCAGCCTCCTGAGCAGCTGGGACTACAGGCGCCCGCCACTATGCCCGGCTAATTTTTGTATTTTTAGTAGAGACGGGGTTTCACCTTGTTAGCCAAAATGGTCTCGATCTCCTGACCTCGTGATCCGCCCACCTCGGTCTTCCAAAGTGCTGGGATTACAGGCCCCACAGTGTTTTTTGCTTGTAACACATTTTCTCTAACCATACCTTTGACTCTCTGCTTCTTGACCCTTGGACCCACGCATTGGCATTGGTAAAGTGTTTAATTCCCAAGGCCAATTTTAGCCTTCAGATATGGCTTCCTGAGCAGCCACTGGGGTCAGCTAATGAAGCTCAGCCATGTGGGAAAGTTAGTTCCTCTCGGCATGAGTCTAGATATATGGGAAACAGGAACAGGAAGGGATAAGACAGATAATTTATTATTATTTCTCCCATCAGGGAATGGCAATGGAAGTATGTTTTCCCTTTGCAAACCTTCCAGATAATCTGGTATGCAGAAGAAAGGCATATCACGAACAACACATCCTTTGCATTTCCTCACATTTTTCCTTGCCACAAGATTGTCCATCCCCTTTTCTTCTCTCATCTTCATTTCCTGAGCTTGCACCTCTCAAAGAAAATGTCAGTACTCTAATCCTTGCTTCAGGCTCTGGTCTTTTTAAAGGATTCAGACTAAGATAACTGTTATTAATCTACGCATTTAGCAAAGATTGTGAGGAACAGAAAGGTTTTTAAGATCCCCTCTGCCTACACTGTCTGAATTGCCATTAGTTGTTCACATTATTCTTTCGAGGATGAGTTTCTAAAAAAGCAAAAACAATAAAACCTCCTCCTTCAAAAGACACTGAAACTTTTTTGTATCATAATTCCAGGACTAAGAAAATTTCTTCCCAGTCAAAACTTTTAAGTAATAAATGTATTATAAATTAATAAATTGAATGATTGAACCAAAGAATCATGAGCTATTACTAATAGGCATTTTGATATGTCATAGGTTGTGATATGCAAAAATTGTTTTATGACCCAGTAGGATACGTGACTTCTGTCATTAGCTTCTCTTTGTCTTTCAAGTCTTATTAACTTTGGAAAGTAAGCAATTTGGAAGACAATATTGTAAGTGATGCTTGAGATGCTTAAGAAATATCTCACACTCTTTTAAAATCAATAAGATAATGAAGATTTTGATCATTTCAACATACTCTAATTATATAATTAGATATCATAATTACGTGTTCAAATTGTTACACATATGAACACTAATTTCTTAATAAAAGACAAGCCAGCTTTGTAAATATACCGTAATTGACTGAAGTGACAAAATTAAGTAAATACTTCCATCAGAGAATATTAGGGAAGGATAAAAATACATTTTTATAATACAATGCCTTTCTATGAACTCTAGCATCTGCTATTTGTTGGAAGTCTTATGTGTATTGTATTCATTTTGTAATGAGAGTTGCTGTGAGACTGTTACCTAAAATAATGAATGTATAAATGTATTAGGTGAGGCAAAAATCCTTATCATGAAGTGCCACAGTAGCGTCTTGGAATGTATGTCATTTCCTGTGGCCTGATAAGTTTAATATGTATTTATTTCCTCTTGGTGTTGTATCTTTAACATGTACTCTTGCCAGAGAAATTGATATTTGAACATATTTAATATCCCAGGACTTCTTGGGAATCAAGTATAGAAGCTGCAGTGGTAGATGTGCATTCGGAATACTGAGATCCTAGGTTTTTATCATTTCCTTTACTTAAGGAATACAGTATGTGAAAATTGCTATGATAAACCAAAATTTCAGATATGTCCAAACCTTAATTGATAATTGATAAACGGTGTCTATAATTTACCTTATGGTATTTTGTATACTAGAGGGTTTGTTATTATGCTAGATGACTTATGATTATGGTTTCACATATATCTACATATATGCATTTATATAATATATAATATGAATATTTACATTTAATATTTATAATTTAATGATATAAGTATTTATAGCATATATGCACACACATATATTATTAAGACAATATTAAGTTACTGTGTCTGGTAATTTTATTTTTATTGCTATGTGATTGTCGGTCTTATTATCTGAATGTAAAAAGTAAGTTCAGTGACAAGAAAAATAAATATTTAAAAAAGATATTTTGCTGTTTTTAATTTGAACTAGCCAGGTAGACGAAAACATTTTAAGGGTTACCCTCAATAGTTCAGGAGGCAACAAACAGGCTGAATAGTTTCAATTGTGTCACCTATTTTCTTAGAGGACCTGAGTGCAAGTTGTGAGGCTAATAGAGAGATCCATTAGTAGGGGTTCTAATTCATAACTTTTAAAGGTTTGAGTTCTCTCTCCCCAGTCCTTGTGGTGGGAGTGAAATGTTCTCAGAAATGTCTAAATGTAGGTTTGAATTGAAACAGTCTAATATACTATCAGGTCAATACTTTGCCTTTTAGTTAACCACATAGCATGGTTTCTTTTATAAACTGTAACAAAATGTTGTTTTCCCGCCCTTTGCGTAAAATTTTCTATAGTAACATCTTTTTCTTTGAATTTTAGGACCAGTAATTCCTCATTTTTATTCTCCCTCTGCCATCTTGCTTTAATGACCCACCTTACTCATACTACATATCACATGAAGAGTATTCAAAGCAATGAGATATCCTTAAGAAAATGACAACCAAGGCTAAAGTACAAATTTGGATTTTTAAGAAATCAAGGACAGTACACTGATGCAAGTTGAATATATGTTCACATAATTGCTAGCTTGAAAACTAAGCGCGTAAGGAGAGACGACCAAATCTTTATCATACGCATTGTAATTTTGACATAGATTTTAATATATCGGTTTTGTAATAAGAATTTTATTTATATTTTACCTAACATATAGTTTAGTGTTTTATATGCAGTTCTCTCAGTTATAAGGTCTAATGATTGTAAATATTGTGAAATATATCTTCATTTATGTCAGGATGAAACTAAGTATTCATGGGTTTTTGCAGATATTGGTTTTATCTTTACATGGATAGATGAACTGGTGACATAGTTTACTATCAAGCAGTAAACTTTTAGTTTTAAACTTTATAAAGTTATTTATTAAAGTGTAAGTACACTGATAATTTAAATACTGAGTGTGAAACTCTTTTATAATAGCAGTTACTTTCAGTTGAAGGCACATTAAAGTCTTTATGAATTACGCAGAGTAGCTTCTGCATGTTTAAAATAGTACCAAGTAATGTTTTCATTTAGCAGAACGTAACTTCTGATTGTTCACACTCTGTTGATGGTGCCACTTCTCTCTTTAGTTACCAATGCCCTCCTATTTTCCATCATTCCTCTTTCTGTCATTAAAATTATAGAATTGAAAACCATCATTTAAACTCATGGGTTTACAGATAATACTTAGGCAGCTAAGAGTATCTGTCAACAAATAAATTTCACTGGGCAGTTAGAGTCTATGGTGTTGATTTATCATTTTGGAATAAAGCTGCGGTTTTCTTTTATAGGTACCACAGGTAATTCCCTGGAGGGAGCATACTTTTGGAGAGTGGGGGCTGTAGAGGTGGCATAGTAGTACTGACTTTACACTTCACTTTCTTTGGCCTGGCTTTCAAGGTGAACCTCATTGAGGTTGGTGGAGAGTGAAGGGAGAAAAGGTTTATCAGTCAGGGTTCAATTGCAGACAATAGAATTCATTTAGCTTGTTTAAACACAAGTGGATTACTCTAGGTAATTAATTCCTTACAAAACATAAAGTCTGCAGAGAAATGTCCTAAGGCTATGCCTGCAAGAATAACATACAGAATAATATCACAGCACTTGCCCACCAAGAGAACTGCTTCTTCTGTTAGAATCCAAAGTAACTCTCCCTACCAAGGTCCAAGAAAAATGTACCTTAGTTATAATCAAAGGATTAAGAAGCCTGCCCTAAAACTGTTGGATCTGTTTCTTGACTATGTATACTGTGATTTGCACCAACAAAAACTGATGCTTTACAAAGCACATCTCTTCCCACTTAATCTGGTTCTGAATTCTTCATGATATAACCCAAACTCTGTCTGCAAGCTTAGAGCAAGGGAGTCTGGTAAACATAGATTTTAGCTTTCTGGCCCCTGAATTGAAAGAAGACTTTCTAGTCAAAAGTGGAATGAGATGATGAGTGTCCAGGAAACTGTATCCTGTGGTCATATGGGGCAATCATATGGAGAACTTTCCTATCCATCTACCCCCATAACCCATTTGATCTTACCATCTTTGTACAAAAGTCAAAATATCTAATTTGCTACTCAAGACATATGTCTGGAAGCTGCCAGTATGTTAACAATTATATCCTATCATTTCCCTGCTGTTTGTGGAGAAGAACACTCTGTTTTCAGAAGATTCTCAGACCTTTTTTATTTTAACTTTTGAATTCTCCATCTTCTCCCTTTTTTTTTTTTCCAACACGAAGGTTCAATTTTTTTTTCTTTTTCTTATTTTTTCCGTACCAGGAACATTCAGTTCCAAGAAACCCAGGTAGTGTTATTATAGGATAACTTTGTGTTTTATTCTTCATTGCTATTTCAATTAGGAAAAAAAATCTGGTAGAAATATAATATGTATAGGAAACTTTACAATGGCTGAGTAAAATTTAATAATGTGTGCTCACTTTACCAAGAGTTACAGCAGCCTTCCATTTTCACTTGTTCTTGGAGAAAGGTTTCCTGATCTACCTAAATTAAAGCTACTGGAGTCAATGTCTCTTAACATCAAAGTGAGATTGAGCACAGGCTCTGGACTCAGATGGTGTAGGACTTCCATCCTAGCTTGTTCATGTACTACTTTGGGATCTGAGAAAATCATTTTCCTTTCTGATGCATCAGATTCCTCATCTGTAAATTTAGGATCTAGTACTTAGTTAATGTGACTCTTAGGAGGGTTAAATGAGATGCATTAATAAATAATTTGGCCGAATAAGTCTTTAATAAATATGTGTGACTTTCAGTAGAAAAACAGTCAATACAGATGCTTGTTGGAACCCTGGAAGCACTATTTACTAATTGTGCAGTAGTAGGAAAGTTAGTTAATATTTTTGAATCTCAATTTAGTCATCTGCAAATTGAAGACTACAATATATTTACTGCTGGGGTTTACATGAAGACGATTATTGAAAAATCCCCAGTAGAAAATCGAGCACAAAATTAGTTTACATTTCTTATCTTTTTAAGCTTTATTCAAAATCCAAAGAAGGTAAATATAAATCCTTGCAATATTTAACCCTACATTAATCTAGTGGGTTGAAATATTTCAAATGTGTGTAGGAATAGTGTACTGTTAATGCTCTCTGATTCATTGGTCCTAAATTGGGCTACTTACATGAACATTTAAAATGGTCCTCTTTAATGTATATTGTTTCTTATGCCTCAGTTTAGTTTCGCATATCTTATTGATAGCTTTCAATCACCTGGATGTTGAATGGAGTTTAAATTGTAAACTGACAGATGTAAAGGTCATTTACATCTCCAAGTGTTGCAAGGTACCCATATAATGTGTTGTTGTTCTTGTTCCTATTTTTCTAAAAGTCGTTCAAATATTATAGTGGCAAAATATGAGGTAAAAATTTGTCCATAAGATTGAAAATGTACCGATAGGAATTGGAGATGTTAATTTTCTCTTTCCAGTTTCAGATGCCTGGAAAAATGCAGAGGGGCAGATGTTTCACTCTATAATATTCCTTAAGCCATTTTAATTTAACTTGTTTTGGGGGGGATTTTAGATGAATTATTAGAAAACACTGTTAGAATTGCACTGTATTATGTATTTGGTATAGTTTGGCTAAATTTACCTGCTAGAATACTTGAATACTGTAATTACAAACATCTCTGTCAAACCTATATGCCTTGGAAGCATCCCATTTTTCTATAATTGTGCTGTTGTATAATTTTGTTGGTGTTTAATCCCTTAAATAGCAGGAGTTCATTTGGTTACCTTATGAATAGATGTAAATATGACTGTAGTAGAGCACACTGGAACAGAGCAATTTATTTTTATTACATTTCTAATACTCTGCAGTGTTTGCAATACTGTTAATTTAGATTATATTCTATTATAAAAAATCATTAAAGGAATTTCTGCTTCATTTTCAACAAGATTGAGAATAATGGTGAAAGAAATTCCCATAAGAAACTTTTAAGGAAAGATGGAAATGCTCTTCCACAGCAACACTTAAAAAAAATCTTCCATTTGTAAAATTTGTGATAAATCAATATTGATTATTAAGTGTAAAAGTGCCAAATTTACATCAGGGAAACCTTTTGAAGCTATGGGAAAAACATTACAGCCAACTGGAATATCCTCCTGTATTTATTAACTCTCATTACAAAAAAGGGCTTGGAATATATGGTATGTCATTATAGCATCTTTACCTACATAAAAATGACATACTGATGATTCAGCTGTGATTTCCTGTTTTAGGCCATTAAAGGCCCAGTTTAATTTTTTTTTTAATGAATAGTTTATTTTTTCTCTCATGAGCTGCTACTCAATATTTTTTTTTAGATTTTTAAAATATAGCATTTCTAATGAATGCAGTTTTCTTTATTTCTTTAGTTACTTTTAGTTGTTTCTTCAAGGGCATTACTTTTATTATTTTGCATTTGATTAACAGATCTTTTATTTATAGGGCCTTCACATTTTAAAAATGTATTTGTGTATTTTTATTAAGTAATTTTTTATTAAAAATTGTTTGCCTGCTAATTCTGAATTTAGAAATAATAACTAAAGATAAGCATCAATTCTGTCTCACAGAAAAACAGTCTAGTGATAGAGATTATTGAGATGGTATAGTGGCTTCATGGTGTCATCAGGGACCCATTCTTAGCACATGACTTCTCTCTTGAGGTAGGCCCACAATTTAAATTGGATCCTGGATTCCCAGCTATCACACTTGAATTTCAGAGAATAAGGAAGAAAAGCTAGAAAGATAAGCTCCTTTTAAGGAGCTTTTTCAGAATTCCCACATGACACTTCTGCTTATGCGGTATACTATATATGTGTAAAAAAAGAAAATAGTTAATTTAGCAAGCTTGAAAATACCATACCTGTTTGCCAGGTTAGCCTTTGGCTGGCATCTCTGAATCTGGACTTCAAGAAATGTCCCACCATTCTCCAGCTGATAAGAGTGGCTCACTATGTCTATTTCTTTCTCTTTTTTTGCAAACAATATAGTTTATGCTGGAAATTTGCTTTAATTTTGGGAGACTGGAATTTTGATATATTGGGCAGAGGGTGCCTAAGTGGCCAGCCCCCAGCAAAAATCTTGGGCACTGAGTTTCTAATGAACTTCCCTGCTAGACAGCATTTCACAAGAGTTGTCATAATTCAACATTAAACATATCCTGTGTGACTCCATAGGGAGAGGACTCAGGAGCTTGTATCCTTTTTTCACCAAACTTTGCCCAATGCACCTTTTCCTTTTACTGATTGTGCTTTGCCTTCTTTCATTATAATATGTCATAGTCATGAATATTACTATACATATGCTTCTTGACTTACAATGAGGTTACATTCCAATAAACCCATTGTAAGCAGAAAAAAATGCATTAATTTACCTAACCTACTGAACATCGTAGCTTAGCTTAGCCTACCTTAATGTGCTAGCTAAAGATGCTCAGAACAGTTACATTATTATACAACTGGGCAAAATCATCTAACACAAAGCCTATTTTATAATAAAGTGTTGAGTATCTACTGTAATTTATTGAAAAGATCAAAATTTGAAGTATAGTTTCTACTGAATGTGTATTGTTTTCACACCATCATAAAGTCAAAAATCAAGTAGAAAAATCATTAAGTCAAACAAATCGTAAGTGAAACAATCAGTCAGAGACTGTATAATGAGTTCCACAAAGTCCTCTGTGAATCATTGAACCTTGATGGGGTCTTGGGGATCCCTGACAAACAGGAAATTTAGTAAATGACTATTTTACTACTTTTCAAGTTATGAAACATGTTTTAAAGTCTATCACAGATCCAGTATTTTTTTTTATAACTAAGATAAATACTAGTATGTTGTGTTTTTATTAACATTCTCTTTTCATCAAGGTGGACTGTAAAGTTTTGGTTTAAATAACTGGAAGGATGGAGTTACCAGTAATCGAGATGGGAAAGACTGGGAGAGTTGGTTTGGAGGGGAGATCAAGAGTTCATTTTGGATGTGTTATGTTGGCGATGGAGAGCAGGCACTTGGTGGCTAAAAGTCTGGGATTCAAGGGAAAGGCCTGAACTACAAATACTAATTTAGGAGCCATCATTACATAAATGGTATTTAAAGTACTCCATGAAGTGACTGAGGAAGTGAATGTACAAAGAAAATGATGAGGCTTTAAGGCAGTCAACTGTTCAGAAGTCAAGGAGATAAGTAAAAACCACCAAAATAGACTAAACTCATTCTACTTTGGGTGCATTGTGGAGTGAGATTTTGTCTAATTCATAATTGTATTCTCAGCAGAATTATATTGCCAGGAAACAATTCAAGCAACAATGATTTTTTTTTTTAATCATTACTGTGTCTCAGGCTCAGTTATTTGGGCTGGAGATACCAAGTTTACGAATAGTCCTTGCCTTAATGAACTTACCATTGGTTAAGGCAAAATTATTATATTTTAAGACTGATTCTTTAGAAATGGAGCTTGAGATGAGGATTCATGTGCAAGTGATTTATTAAGGAAATGCCCTTAGAAGAAACTGATAATGGAGCAAGAAAGCAGGAGAGGAAAGGGAGGAAGCTGAGCCAGGATGTGGTTTCACGAGGTTAGCGTCAGCCTGACACTGCAAATAAATTGGGGTGTAAATTATGCTGCAGAATCTATCCCATCTAGAGGCACGGGAGCAGGGCTTTCATATCCCACAATAATCATTCATCGGCTAAGAGTCACAGGGGTAGGGAATAAACTCCCAAGATTTCCCAGGCTTTCCCTCTGAGTGCAAGTAACTCTGAATCCCTAGTACCTTATTTCATGAGAAACAAAAAGTCCTAGTGAGGTAACATATAGGAAGGGTAAAGGGCTCTAAGGGAATCAGACAGAACACCTATTATCTCCTACAACATATACACAGCTGATTTCTAAAGCATGTGATAAGAACTCTCACAGAGGGAATTTCAGACTGCCATGGAAACAAAGGGGGCAGGACATAATAGAGCTTTATGAGAGAGGGAAAGCTTTCTAAAAAAATGATATCTGGAGGACCGGAGGGTGTTAACTAGATACTAAATGAAGGAAAAAGGGAGAACTTTCAAGTCAGAAAGGATCCCAGTATATAATAGCACATAGTCTCACGGTCATGGAAGGACTGGAGCTGTAAAATGGGGAGGAAAATTTTTCTTACCTTCTAAGCTTGTTGTGGCATTAAAATCAGAGGATGGAACAATAACATTTTGTAAACTTTTAAAGAGACCGAATTCTGATAATGGTGGTTTTGGGGCCCAAGAGTAATGTCTTGGCAGTGCGACAAAATCAAACTTCTCTATGATGATTGCATTCATTTCCAGCATTTTATATTTATAAGCATTTGCACCAAGATGTACCCTCCTGTCACCTCTAGTGTGAAATAGTGCCAGCAGGCCCTATCGTAGTGCTCCACATGCATATAGGAAGTCTGATGCTGTTTAAGAGAAGTACTAAGTTTATCTGTTTTCTCCGATTGTTTATTCACAGAGGTGAATAAATTCCTCAAAGGTTAAATTCAAAGAAAAGACAAAGGGAAAAAAGGATCGGAAAACCTATTGCTATCTGCTTTAAGGCCCATCTAGTGTTCAGAAATATTATGTCCTCGCCCCGCTATTTTACCTGTTTCTTACTTGTCTACCGTGATGAGTCCCTCTTCATCATTCTGTTTTCCGCATAGTGAGTAGACCTACTTTGTGAATCCCTTGTTCTTCAGACTCCTCCCATTTATTTATTTATTTATTTATTTATTTATTTATTTATTTATTTATGGTGAGACAGTGTCTCACTCTGTTGCCCAGGCTGGAGTGGTGCCATCATAACTCACTGCAGCTAGGAAATTTTTTTATTTTTATTTTTTGTAGAGATAGGGGTCTCCCTATGTTGCCCAGACTGGTCTCAAACTCCTGGCTTCAATCCATCCTTCTGCCTCGGCCTCCCCAAGGGCTGGAGTTAACAGGCGTGAGCCACTGCTCCCGGCCAGGCTCCCTTTTTCTATTACTGCCATGAGCTTCTTATCTGCATATATCTTGCAGAAATATTTTAAATTGCATCTTAGTAGTAGTAGTGGTGGTGGTAATAGTAATAGTAATCATGGTCCCTAATATTCTGGATATACTAGAAAAATGGGTTCTTATGCATTGAGTAGAGAAATGGTTTTTTTTTATTTATTATTATTACACTTTAAGTTTTAGGGTACATGTGCACAATGTGCTGGTTAGTTACATATGTATACATGTGCCATGCTGGTGCGCTGCACCCATTAACTCGTCATTTAGCATTAGGTATATCTCCTAATGCTATCCCTCCCCACTCCCCCCACCCCACAACAGTCCCCAGAGTGTGATGTTCCCCTTCCTGTGTCCACGTGTTCTCATTGTTCAATTCCCACCTATGAGTGAGAACATGCGGTGTTTGGTTTTTTGTCCTTGGCGATAGTTTACTGAGAATGATGATTTCCAATTTCATCCATGTCCCTACAAAGGACATGAACTCATCCTTTTTTATGGCTGCATAGTATTCCGTGGTGTCTATGTGCCACATTTTCTTAATCCAGTCTATCATTGTTGGACATTTGGGTTGGTTCCAAGTCTTTGCTATTGTGAATAGTGCCGCAATAAACATACGTGTGCATGTGTCTTTATAGCAGCATGATTTATAGTCCTTTGGGTATATACCCAGTAGTGGGATGGCTGGGTCAAATGGTATTTCTAGTTCTAGATCCCTGAGGATCGCCACACTGACTTCCACAATGGTTGAACTAGTTTACAGTCCCACCAACAGTGTAAAAGTGTTCCTATTTCTCCACATCCTCTCCAGCACCTGTTGTTTCCTGACTTTTTAATGATTGCCATTCTAACTGGTGTGAGATGGTATCTCATTGTGGTTTTGATTTGCAGAGAAATGTTAAGGTTAAAATTTTGTTGCTTTGTTAGAAAATTGTGGTTCTTTTTTTATAAAAACAGATTCAGAAATAAGTGTGACATATTGCTATAATTATTGTAGACTGATACAATTTATTAAAAATTGAACCTGTATGCTCTAGAGTTCTGTGCCATTCAGAATTCCACTTATTCTAATAAGTAATTCAAAGAGAACCTATTTCCTCTGTAATTTTCCCTGATATCAGTGCAGGACAAAAGGATAATTTTTATTTTGAAAACTCTAATAAACTCTGCCTATTAATAATTACGTACCATTGATAGTTCTTAATATTCTTGCAGGCTGGCACTCTGTAACCTTTTTAGGTTTAGTTCCCAAGGCTCTGGTGGCAGATCATCCCAATAATTATAGCAGATCAGGTGATGTTTATGTAATTTTTTTCTCAAGGATTCTTTTAATGCTAAAGGATCTTCCTTCAGAGTACAAATAATGCTGGGACAATGCTCACATTGACATGAGTACATCTGGCTGAACTCCTTGGCAAACAATAGAAAGGAGCTTCAGTGTACAAATCCTCATTCACTAGACATTAATTAAATGGGGCAACCTAGAAGTCTCAGGTCAAAGTATTTATTGAGTTTGTTGCATCTACACAATATACTTTTTGGATTCAGCCAAGTCTATCTATGCTTCAGGTTTTTAATATTTTCCTAAGATTATCTCAGTCAATACAGATTTAATTTAAGGCTATGTAAAAGCAATGATGTTTCAGGAAATATCTATATCTATATCTATATCTATATCTATATCTATATCTATATCAGACTCTATTGGGAATTGAATAGGCCTGAAATAAGAGAATCTCCATGTTGTTTCTTCAGATTAGGAAGAGAGTTACCAAGAAAAGTATTTCCTAAACTCTAGTATCATTCTTTTTCTGTTAATGTTATTTTTACAGAAATGAGTTTAATGTTAAATTGTAAGAGGATTTAAACACAAATGTAATAATATAGCTGATATGGTTTGTCTGTGTCCCCACTCAAATCTCATCTTGAATTGTAGCTCCCACAATCCCCGTGTGTGGTAGAAGGGATCCAGTGAGAGATAATTGAATCATGGGGGTGGTTACCCCCATGCTGTTCTCATGATAGTGAATCCTCATAAGATCTGATTGTTTTTTAAGGGGCTTTTCCAGCTTTGCTTGGCACTTCTCTCTCCTGCCGCCATGTGAAAAAGGATGTTTTTGCTTCCCCTTCCCCCATGATTGTAATTTTCTTGAGGCTTCCTCAGCCATGTAGAACTGTGAGTCAGTTAAACCTGTTTCCTTTATAAATTACCTAGTCTTGGGTATTTCTTCATAGCAGCATGAGAACGGACTAATACAATAGCATATCTGAAATCTGGATGTATTTTATTCACATTGTGAAACCAGGGGTTGTCCGAAACATCCACTCTTCTGTTTTTCCAGAGTTAAGTAACTATCAAATTTTAGCTGGGGGATAGGAAGAAGGTGCTATTCAGAGTAAAGAGTATATTTCCTAGCCTTTCTTGTAACTAAGGAAGAATAACCATATCATATAAGCAGTGTCATGAGGCAGCTTCTAGAACCTTCTGTAAAAAACAAGTAGCAGCTGCTTTTTGCCTGTTCCTCTCTCCTAAACAATCTTAAGCAGTAGTTTACGATACAGCCCAAACCAACATTAAATTAAAATAAATGCTGATGAGTACTGAATTAAGTTAAAATAAATTCAGATGAGTTTTTTATTCATTCATTCATTCATTCCTTAATATGTAGAGGGTACTTAAGGTTTATATTTTCCTGTGTGTATTCTTTTCACTGTTGATATGGTTTGGTTGTGTTCCCACCCACCTTAACTTGAATTTTATCTACCGGAATTCCCACATGTTCTAGGAGGGACCCAGGGGAAGGTAATTTAAACATGGGATCCGATCTTTCCCATGTTATTCTTGTGGTAGTGAATAAGTCTCACAAGATCTGACGGGTTTATCAGGTGTTTCCGCTTTTGCTTCTTTCTCATTTTCTCTTGCCACCACCATGTAAGAAGTGCCTTTTACCTCCTGCCATGATTCTGAGGCCTTGCCAGCCATTTGGAACAGTAAGTCCAATTAAAACTCTTTTTCTTCCCAGTCTCAGGTATGTCTTTACAGGCAGCGTGAAAACAGACTCGTACAACTGTATTCATGGATTTTAGTATGAAATGGTTTTCTATTCATCGGCTTCTGGATACTTAGCAATTTTCCTTTTAATTTTCTCTTTGAACAATAACAATGTGAATAAAGGTTTCCATGTATTAGTCATCTTTTGATAATTTATTTATAGCTGTATTGAACTAAGTTTCAATAGCATGCCTGTCCTACCTCTAATTTTTGATTAGTGAAGGTTTACTTTGCTATCAACTACATGATCAATTTTTGTAAATATTTAATGGACATAAGAAAAAAATTACCTTGTGGATAGATGACTTTCTGTATATTTATTAGTCTTATATGTTTATTGTATTTTTTTAGTTTGTCCTGTATTTCCTCTTAACTTAAAAAGTTGCACTATCAAGAACTGCCTGAATCTCAGAAAGCTGTATTGTAACTTTCTACTGCAATTGCGTGTTTGTCAAATTCTTCCCTTTTTAATTTTGTTTGCTTTTTGTCTTTAGTGGCTCTGTACTTTACTGAATACCAATCACAAGTAATATATTTATGCTTTTGACTTTTAATATTACAAAAAGTGATGTCTTTCTCTCCCTGTTAGTTTTTAACTGCAAATTTATTATTAATTTAATCTTATTATATATAAATATTATCACTCCTAATTGGTTGATTGATTTTAGTTTACATAATTCCATTACAACTTTATCCATGCCTTCTTTTCCCATCTTGGCTTCCAATTTTCTATTGTTCCAATCATTTATTTTTATTAGATGTTAACTGTACGCAAGCTTGTTTTAACTTTTAAATTCAGTCTAGTAGGCTCTTTTAGTGGATAAATTCAATCTATTCACATCTAGTCTATGACTGATATAAGTGTTGTATCTTACTGTATAGTGGTCTATTGCATAGAATGGTGACTCTAGTTAATAATAATGTACTGTTAACTGGTTTCAAAATTAATAAAAGAGTAGGTTTTAAATGTTTCACCACAAAAAAAATTCGAGGAGATGAAATTGTCAATGGGCTTGATTTAATCATTCCACAATGTAAACTTATATTAAAACATCACATCGTACCCCAAATATATATACACACATATATATATTTGCCAATTAAAAATAAAATAAAAATTAAATGTATATTTATTTTAAATTATACATTTTTCTTTTACCTTTGCCCTATTTTTCTCATCATTTTACCAAGTTTCTATTTTTTCCACTCACTTCCCGTAATCTCTTTTTTTTTTTTTTTTGAGATAGAGTCTCGCTCTGTCACCCCGCCTGGAGTGCAGTGGTGCAAACTCTGCTCACTGCAAGCTCTGCCTCCTGGGTTCACGCCATTCTCCTGTCTCAGCCTCCCAAATAGCTGGGACTATAGGCGCCTGCCACCACTCCCGGCTAATTTTTTGTATTTTTAGTAGAGACAGGGTTTCACCATGTTAGCCAGGATGGTCTCGATCTCCTGACCTCGTGATCCGCCTGCCTCGGCCTCCCAAAGTGCCGGGATTACAGGCGTGAGCCACCGTGCCCGGCCCTCTTTATCTCATTTTTCCTTCCATTAATGAAACTGATTTTTTTGTGATACTTTAATTGACATTTATGCTTTTTAAAATGTATAAACAAGATCTGTTTCACCCACAGGGACACATTTTCCCCTTTCAACTATCCCAAGGTTTAAGATTCCAGAGTAACTTTTTTCTCTCCTTTCCTTTCCTTCCATCCCTACAATGTTACCTCTGCTTTGCATTACATTCCCACCCAAACTTCTAGGTTTTGCTAGGTTATTACAAATCTTCTTATTCTATGTCCTTTTGGTTTTAAAAAACTTTATTTAGTATTTAAATTGTATACTAACCCAAGGAAATCCTCCTTATTCATTAAATGAATATCTATTAACTGCCCACCACAATATGCTTTTCTATATCTTCTCACAATCCCAGACCTCAGATACAATTCGTTAGTTGGGAGTTAGAGTATTATTTCAAATATTTTCATCATGGGGGGCTATTTGAACCCTGAGGTTAATGAATGTTTGCATATCACTGAATATTTTTATTTCACACAAATGAGCTCTTGAATGGATATGGGATATTGGGAGATAGCCCTTTCCCTCACCTTTTTCAGTAAATGTGGATGTTATTCCACTGTTTTTGAGCTTTCCGTGTTGGAGATGAGAATGCTGAAGACAAACTGACCTCCATACCACTCCAGGAAAATCAATTAGAATTGAGTTTGGCTATCAGTCACAGAAAAATCTGAATAACAAGTAAACAAAAATTTTATTTTTCCCCATATAGAAGTCCAGGGCTATAAATAGTTTAGGTTAGGTAGGTATAACTCCATGGTGTCAGGATTTCAGATTTCTTCTATTTTACTACTTCTCTGTGCTTGATTTTTGTTTCAAATCGGCCCACTGTTCAAATGGAAGCTACCAAAACTGTGCAAAACATGAAGTGCTGCTTCCCTGTAAGGACATTTCTGCTTGAAACAGCAAGAATGTGGCTAAATGGATGGCTGGGAAATGTCTTTATCCTGGGCAGCCATGTGGCGATTAATAATTTGGGGTTTAAGAAGAAGGAAAGACAACATTAGGGAGTGACTGGGCTCTGTGACATTACAAGTTTGTCCCTTTTTCCTGGAAGCCTGAACAATTTTCTTTGTAGACTTTGAGGTCACAACTTTTATCGGAGTATGTATGGAGGTTTCTTTTCTCATCAGTTAGGCATGTGACTTGGTAAACTCTTCCAATGTGTAAATTTATGTCTTTCTACCACTCAGAAATATTTTATTTCAGTATTTATTTCTTAAAAGTAGAGAATAAAAAGGGAGGAAAAATTTTCTAAGTGATTATTTGCATTTCTTTCTACTTCTATTTTCTACTTTTCTATTTCCTATGTTTCATTTGAGAATTGTTTCATTTTTAAAACTTCTTTACAATAAACAATATTTGCTTCTGGTAAAGTAAATTAAGTATAAATAAGAATTTAAAATAAAACTTAAGAAAATAACATATTTCACTATCCTCTTTTTACTCCCAGTCCCATTTACAGAGTTTTGTATGTTTCCTTGTGTAATTTTAATAAACATTTAGTAATATGTACACACATGAATACACACATATGCTATTTTTACACAGACGAGACTATTCTCTTGTTTCTTGCTTTTTGTCTTTTTTAACTTAATAATACATTTTGTATTTTATTTTTTCTAATGACTGTATTCAGTTCAATTTTAGAGTCAATTTATAACCACCTATCGTTTAGCATTTATATCATTTCCAATGTTACAGTTTTATACATACAGTAGGCTAATTTCTATGCATTATTTTGCAAATATGTTAGTAAGGTAAATTTTAACCAGATAATTGCTAAGTGAAAGTGTTAGTATGCTTCCATTTTTGACATAATTTACAAATTTCTCCTTTTCTTCTTATGGGTATGTCAGTAATACATTTATAAACTACTGGAAATCAGAAATTATGCCATTTGCATCTTTGTGTATTCCATATATATAGAAGATTTGGAATAAATATTGATATTTCTTTTTGTGATTTACAGATTTTTAAAATTCATCTCTTAATAACATTTTTATTCCATTCACAATTAAGGGCAAACGTGGTTATATTTATAGATATTTTAATTATGTGGATAACTTTTAAAGATACTTTTTATGCCATTAGCTCATACATTTTAATTAACTTCATATGAAAATAGGTATATATAATGGCAATATTATAGGATTTCTGTTTTGATGATTCAGTATTTAGTTTCATTTTCCATGTCACAGCATATGTGTTTGAACAGAGGATTTCTATCAGCTGTTTCTCAACCTTAAAAACAAACTAAAATATATAGCAGGGCACAAAGGGAAATAAAATCAAATTATTTTTACTTTCTATTTTGTATCACTTTACAGTATGAGTATGTGGCTTTTATTCAGGTTTTATACACTAAAATACACAAAAGTTGAGTTGAATACCAGTCATTATTGCCAGCAAAAACGAAGTCTGTTGTAGACAGCTGTGTTTAAAATAATGGTATTGTTTATAATGAAATGTTTTAGATATTCAAAATGTTTTGGCAGTTTAGTAGAAATGTTCTCCTTGAAAAGTTTACATTATTTTTTAAAATAATTATTGATGTAAAGTGAATACTGATGATCAAAATAGACAAATCATTTGTGGGCTTATTAAGCAAAGCCATCAAAGGAAAACAAACTCTTAAACAACCAGGTGTTTAAAATTATACATAATCTCAATAAGCCATTATGGTATTATGTCTAAACTATTCAAATCAAATAGAAAATTTCAAATAAAAGAATGAGGCATGTCCAAAAATAAAATGAGAACCTACTTGGACAAAATAAGTAAAATTATCTCACAAGGTTTGGAAAATATGAAAAACAGATATAAATGTCCAACAAAAAGAAAAGTTAATCTATATTTTCAATGTACTACTGATATTTAACTCCCTTTATGTTATAGTTTATATTGCCCTCCACACTGACTAGGCAATTGATGAATTCTATGCAATTGAATTCAAATTACACACACTGTACAATGATGACATTACATTAAAAATTTTTTAATTCAATCGTGTCTGTAAACATTAATTTTTTCTTCAATAATTTGATGGGAGAGGCAATGTAGCAGCTCTAAATGCAAACTCTTCAAATGAGTGATTGCTATTTGATTTCTCTGTGGGAAAACCAACCTAAAGTAACAATCTTTGTTGATGCTTGCTCAGATCAGGTGGACCAAAACAGCAGGAAGTGCCTCTGACAGATTCCAAGACTCAAGTGTCTTCAATGAGACTTTGAGGATTACAAATATTCAGCGACACCAAGGAGGCCGGTATTACTGTAAAGCAGAGAATGGCTTGGGGTCTCCAGCGATAAAGTCAATCAGAGTGGATGTATACTGTAAGTAAATTTTCCAGAAAACTATAATTAAGCCTATTATGGATTTCTTTTGTCTTACAAGTCTATGGTTTTCTGAAAAACCATAGCGTTCTGTTTAGCTGAGAATGAAAACTGTGTAAAATAATGATAGCTCCCTTAAAACGTTCCTGAAGAAAGGAATCTTCACTAGAAACTTTCATAACTTCTATGATATAATACATATTCATTATGGAACACTTAGGAACAATATTAACAAGAAGACAGTAACCATTGGTAATCCCACTAATAACTAGGGTTTTAATGCACACATTTTTTATCTTTATATATAAAGATATACATGCATTTTTATATTTTTATTAAAATAGGATCATGCTGTATATTCTTTAACTTATGTTTATTTTTTTTACCTACATGTGAATACAGCTATTCTTGTTTATTTTTAAATGTACATCATACAAACAGAGCATTATGAATTGGCCTGTAAATGACCAAAAATCTCTACGTATAGTCTGCTTTTGGTCCAATTCTGTTAAAAGTAATCAGCACCAACCCTGGACAATGCTGTGCCACCTGAAAAGTGTTTGTTGATTTATTTTTGTTCTTAGTCTCATTTTCCTACATTTTGCTCTTGATGATAATATTTTAAATCTTTTTGGTCTCCTTACTTAATTCCCCACCGAAACAAAGCAAGGGCCTACATTTAATTTGGTCTTTTGCCCAGGTTTTTCTATCACTTCATTATGTTTTTACAAGAATTTGCATTTTAATTTTTAGGTCTCTGATGTAAGATAATTATTTTTCTTTTCTTAAAGTAATTTAGACATAAGCAACAACTGAGAGATGTTGTTTTTCTGCCTATCTTCCTTTCTTTCCCCTTTCTTTTCTTTCATTGCAGGATAGGATGTTACCTAGTTAGCAAGGGGCTTGAAATTATACATGGTCTACTTGTCAGATGCTCTGCTGAATCTCATTTAGTTATTTAGATGACTGAGAAGTGGGTGATAAAGCAGCACTTGTAATTTGCTTTCCACACTCAGATACCTGCTTTCCTTCTGGAAAGGATGGGGGAGAAATCCTTGTTTCATCCTCTCCAGTATCTTCTATTTCCTGAGGCCCCCTGCCCCTCATCCCTTAGCATAATTCAGAAACATTCATCCCCTGTACCACCCTTTCCTTATTATTATGGGTGCACAGGTTGACCACACCTGTATACTTCCCAAAATAATATAGCCCCTGGCTTCCATTTTCCTGACTAAATATTTTCAGTATTTTTGTTCATATACAATTTTAAATTAGGTTAAGTTTAATTTACATGAATTGAATACTTTTTGTAATATAATAGTGTAGAGTACATCCTTCTGCTGTTTTAGTTATTGTAGTTTAGGTCATGAAATTTTAAAATACACCTCTTCAATACCTTAAACACAATTGTAAAATCTAAAAACTTCTGAAAATCAGTGGGTATGTTTTGTTTGTAACTTTTATAAGCAAAACTTGATGTTAACTAGTGTGGTGTCAAAATTTGACCTGAAATGACTTGAATAGAAAAATAGAAAAAAGCTTTACACTCTTTATTTACCAGACTTTGAATAATCACGTTTTGCCCAGGAAATGTGTTTGATTATACAATATAGCCAAATATCCAGCTAAGTTTGTTATGTAATAGATGGCATGTATACTATATAACCTTTCTAAAATCTGAAAATTTCTGAAACACATACTCCAAAGGTTTTGAATATGGAATTTTTGACTTGCATTTCTGCAACAATAGGTCTGATAATTTAAAAATCTTATTGCTGGGTTAACAAGTTAAATATAAAGCGGGAAATTCACATTTTTAGAGACTTAAAAAATATTTTTCTCTTTTCCTTTTACTAGAAAGCCTTTTTCATTGCTAGTCTGCAGTATCCCTTCTCCTTTCTACCTGCTCATATCTCTTGCTGTGCAGACTGGGTTGTGCCTGAGTATCTCATTCATATCACACACCTTACTGGAAATAATAGCACTGTTATCTCCAGATTTCCCAAACCCTGCTAGCCTTCTAAAGTTTGACTCCTCTTCCATTCAACCACGCCTGAAGACATTTATTTTGTTACCTTTCTCTTCTTTGACTTCCTTTGGGGTTTTCTCATGCAACCTCGACTTGACAAGCATCTCGTTCTATGTTATTTCAATGAAACATCACTGTGATGCATACCATGTTGAAGTACTATTTTCAGTACTTGTTTGGTGGCTAGGCTTTATTAACAAGCTGTCTACAATTATACCATTTGAGAAAATAACATGATGTTAAGTTCTATACTCTATAAATAAACATGACATCTCTCTAATATAAATTTCCCAGAGAATGCCTTACCTTTAGCACCAATGATCTTTCTACTATGCGGATGTAAACATATATTTAAAGTAGTTATTCCTATTTTTGATGGCTTGAATAAATTAATTCCTTCAGATAGTAAATTTTCAAACATCCTTTGAGTGATAAGAACACTTAACAATAGAGACCACTAGACCTATCTAAGGAGTCCATGTGCTCCAAATACAACCTTGATTGAAGACCAGAGTTTTTAGGTTCAAGTACATTTTCTCTACCTGAGTTTCTATAATTTAAAACATGCTTTATCATTGTTGATAAAGACATGACTAGTGTATTCATGTTATGTTTAAATATGGCAATGCTGGTGTCTAAAATTGAATTATAATCCTTAAGATTTATTTGTGCTCTAATTTTGATTGAATGTTGGACAGCTTAGTTGAATAGATATTCATTTATATAAACTATAAGCAAGTGAATGAGTTAATTTATTTCAGGTACTTTTGCTTTAACTATTTTAGGAAATGCTAAAAAAAAAGGACTGTTTTTATCTGAAATCATGCCTTTAAAATCATCCACTGCATTGTAGGTTTCTGTTTCTTTTTCTAAACTGATTTCACATGTGGAACTTTCATCAATATCAGTACAACTTGGAAGCAGGATATGCATAAAAACAAAATACACTCATGCAAAATCAGCAGTAAAAACTATTTTTACAACACCAAGCTGAGGCAGACTATGACTTGGTTTAACAAAAAGAATAATTAATGATGTTAGAATTTATTCTTGAATCCCTTGTAAAAGATTGTCTCTAAAATCTGCCCCATAATCTATTGATGTATAATAACACATAATGTATATATTAATGTAATGCATCAGTAGTCTTAGAGAGCTTTTATAATAGTGAAAATGGGTACCTCTCAGCAAATCCCACGTTCTACAAGTTTCTACCTTTAGAGCTAAAACCTTCCTAAAATAAAATTATGTGCTAACATTATTTTGATGAGGAAATGTAGTTTCACGAAAGGAATTTGACACAATGGTGAATAATGTAAGATGAGATGACTTTCTTTAGATATTTTGAAATCTTTGTAATATCTATATTAACATTTTGATCACTTTGAGAAAGTTTATGTATCTTTATTGGCGACTTTTTCCCACATAATTTTCTAAAATTTAGTAGAAAATATTAAGGTATATAGATTTTATAAAGGAACTACCACATGCATTTTTTTACTATGTTAATCAAGAATACAGTTTGAAAAATTATTATAATCATGTTCCTCAATTTATAGGACCTATAATTTTATCATTTAAGAATTGTAAAAGCATTCCAAGAGTTTTAGGAAACATAATTTATTGATAAAATATGTTTATAGGCTGGTAGATTTTATAACCACACAGTGACTTGAATTTCCCGAATCTGATTTGGTTATTTATGCAAATATTTCTGATCAAAAGCTAACCAATTACAATTTTTGTTGTTGTTGTTGTTGGGGTAAATCGCTTCTGAGTGTCTTCTGAGTGGCTGAACATAGTTTCCCCCATGCCCACACAAATCTCATCTCGAATTATAATCACCATAATCTCCACGTGTCAAGGGAGAGACCAGGTGGAGGTAATTGAATCATGCAGGTGGTCTCTTCCATGCAGTTCTCGTGATAGTGAGTTTTTATGAGATCTGATGGTTTTATGAGGGACTCTTTACCCCCCTCTTCGCTCGGTACTTTTCCTTGTGAAGAAGCTGGCTACTACTCGCCAAAAAGGTACTCTTTCCATTCTGTGCTCAGCACGGCCGACTTGCGAAGAAGGTGCCTTGCTTTCTCTTTGCCTTCCGCTGTGATTGTAAGTTTACTGAGGTCGCCCCAACCATGCTGAACTGTGAGTCAATTAAACCTCTTTCTTTCATGAATTACCCAGTCTTGGGCAGTTATAGTGGTATGAAAATGGACTAATAGTATTCTCAGAAAAAAAAGGAAAATACTGTATTCATGAAACAAGAACAGGAAAACACAAACAAGGGACTTTCAGAGAATATAAAATAGCTCTTACATATTAAAAGTGATAACATAAAAATCAGCAGAAGGGCTGGAAAACAGTAAAACAAAATTTTACAATCAAGTAGATACTACGTAAGAAGATAAGAAAATTAGAGTATTTATCTAGCAGATCAAACATTTGAATAATAAGAGTTCCAAACAGTCAAAATGACGTTTTTTTTAAATTAAGAATTTCCTATCATAGTTGGACATGTGTTCTTAATTATAAAGCTACCACTGGATCCTTAACACAATGAAATAAATCTTCAATGCACATATCAGCATGCAACTTCAAAACATTAGGAAAAAAACGAAGCTCTTTAAAATGTCCAAACAGTTTTTATTTTTTCCAAAATGCTCACATGTAAAAAATTAGGAATCAAAATGGCACAGGTCCGCACAATGGAAATCTGGGGCTAGAAGGCAACTGAGTAAAGCTTTTGAAATTCTGAAGGAAAATTATTTCAACTAGAATCTTCTGTATGGCCAGGCTATTTTTTCAAATATCAAAGAAGAAGAAAGACATTTTTAGACCTATAAGATTTCAGTTTTTTTTGGCTAATGCACCCTTGCTGAGGATACTACTTTTATCTATTTTCCTCCAAAACTAAGAAGTAAACAAAAAAGGAAGAAATATCATCCCCAAAATAAGAGGCTATGTATAGGAAGATATTGAAGTTAATCTCAGAATGATAAGGAAACAGGGCAGCACGACAATAGAAGCTTGTCATACATTGAGCTTCAGAAGCAACCGGGACAGATTGAAGCTGGAATAATGGATGCTTACCTGATATTTTAGAGACAAATTCTCATGGAAATCTTAATAATATGGTAATGATAGGTGGATACAAAATTGAGTATACAAAATACGTGAGTTATTAAGGGAATGTAAAAAGCTATATGAAATGAAATGTAATCCAAATACACTACAAGGTTCCGCGGTAAAGATCGCTTGCATAGTCATAATAGCAACACTTGATTTAACCAAAAGCACGCTATAAATATATAGTGGATGAGAGGAGGTTAGTATAAGAGTTAAATGCTTCCTTTCTGTAAGAAGAAATCAGTAAGACAATGTGAAAATGAAAAATAAGTCTATAAACAGAAGTTGAACACTTAAAAATATGAAGGCAAAAGCATTTATAAATAGTTAAGAGGAGATGCATTAGAAAAGGTTGCCTCTGGGTATTGGAAATACCTAGGGTTGTTTGATGTATCATTATTTGGCTTTTAAAACTGCACTTGCATAGTTTGATTTTTAAAAAATTAATAAAGTACAGATGTGAAGATTTTTACCTTGGAGGTTCTTGTTACTAAGCTCCATGAAGTCAAAACCAATTTCATTCCAAATTTTAGCAGATCATTATTAATTCAGAAACTTAAAACTAGGTTTATACTCACACTTTATTTATTCATAAGAATTGGCATTCCTTTATATTCGACACCAAATAAAGTTGACTAAAAACATATTATCTCCTATATAAAAGATAGGCAAATAGCATAAGGAATGTTGGTACTACATTCTGATAACTAATTTTTCTTCTAAACTTTTTAGAATAAAACTCTTTAGGTTAATTTCCACTACAATTTTCTTACATGTTGTTTAGAATAAAATATTTTAAAAAATAACTTTGACTTTTACGTCATTCATTGAGTGTCTATTCAAAATATAGCTCCACTGAATTTTGTGGGCTAAAAAGGAACTTATTAAATAATTTATACCTTCAATGGGTTTAAACTACTTAAGAAGACAAAGTGACAATTTAATTCATTTAAATGGTTTACAAATGTTAAGTAATAAGGTTAATAACATAAATTATGCCACACAACAGTGAATGATATGCTAATGACCCTGAAAATATAGTGCTGGAAGTAAAAGTTTATTGTGGCCTCTTATGAAAGAAGTAGGATTTACATTGCAATTTTAAGGATGGGTTTTGAAAGAATTCTCCCTGGCAGTTCTACACTTTTTTTGGCAGCTTGGGTTCGGAACTCCTTTTTTCAAGAGTGTTTGTGTAACAAACAGCCTTGGACAATAGAGATAGTGTCTGCCTTTAGGGAAGAGGGCAGATTTGTTTCCTGACCAGGATAGTAAAGATAATATCTACCTCAGGGGCAAAGATTAATCAGGCTTTCTTGCAGGACCTTTATAAGATGGGGAGCTTCCTGAGCTCAGGGTCTCTTAGCTGTGTCAAAAACCAATGGTGTGCCTGGCATTCACCTGGGCTGCCCAACACATTGTTCCTATGAAAATTAAGGCGGGAAAACCTATGAAGACAGGAAGCACATACTTTTGAGGCTTCAGTAATGAGGTCTTTTCTCTCAGACCCAGGAGTCTTGTGTTTTTGGTTAGCATCCATGAAACTGTGGCAGACTAACATATTAGCAAGTAGGGAAAATATCAGACCCCTCACCATTCTTAACAGAGTAGTAGGGAAGGCCAAAGGTATCTTTTAATGGGTGAGAAATTTGATTAAAGGCACGAAATAAGGGAGAATAATCCCACAGAGTTTAGGGACTAGTGGTTACGATGGTGGGTTTGGGGGAGAAATGAGAGCTTAAATTGAAAGATAGACTGTTAATTATGTCATAATTATGTTGAACTTTTACTGCCAATGTTTTTACCATATGAATGATGATCTGCCATTTATGTAAGATGCAAAATAAATAAATTGTAACTTTCTTTTTTTATGTTTTATTTTTTTTAGAGACAGGGTTTGCTGTGTTACCTAGGCTCCAGTGCAGCAGTACAATCATAGCTCACTGTAACCTTGGACTCCTGGGCTCAAGGGATCCTCCCCCTCAGGCTCCTGAATAGCTAGGACTACAGGCATGCATAGTGGGGTCTTGCTTTGTTGCTCAAGCTGGTCTCAAATGCCTGGCCTCAAGCAGTCCTCTAGCCTCAGCCTCCCAAAGTGTTGGGATTACAGGCGTGAGCCACTTGTGCCCAGCCCCTGCAATTGTAATTTTATAACTGCAGAACTACTGATGAGGGTCAGCATTCTAATACCGATACTGTTTCATTTGTCCTAAGAAGCAATGGCCACTTATTGAGAACCCTAAAATCTATCTTTGGAGGAAGAAAGAGTATATCCTAGGTAGGAAAAAAAACGGTTTCATAGAATTTTGATGTGCTTATTCCCAAATATATTTGTTACCTTAAGATTCTTGAGGACATTTAAACAATTTTCTAAGAGTGTGTTCATCTAATTTTTTCACTTATTCTTAGCCATGACTGTGTGGTTCATAGGGTAATAGAGGCCATATGACTTTAAAGGTTAGGGTTTGATTAAAACTTGTTTTTAATTCAAAAAGAAATTAGACTGAGAGGCATTAGCTTAATAAGTTTTTATGTGTACAGACACTGTTCACACATGAGACAAATCTTTTCCAATATCCATTAAACATGTTGTAAGCATTCTTATTTCTGAAGCTTATCCCCTACTTTCATGTCACTTAGGTAGATTGCTGCATTTCATTATGTTCAGAACAAGCAGTGATATTTTTGGTCCTTGTCTGATAGATTTATTACATTTTCAACTGGGAGATTAGTATAACATATTATCAGTTTATTTTACAAGTACAATTTACCTGTGTTAGAAAGAATTATAAACCAAACAGCAAAATATTATTGACAATGAGTTTATTTTTATTGGAACCATCAACTTGATTTTTAGACAGAAAAGTTTAGGAAAAGGGCTAGAATGACTAATGGGAATTCTGGAAACGTGACAAACCCTGGAAAGAAAACAATCCTTTATGTAAATCCTATTAAGCAAAATTTTCTCACCCACCACCCATCCTCCCAAAACATCAGCCTTGGGTTTGGAAGGTCTTAATAATGTTTGATGTGGCAATTACAATGCTTATTAAAATGAGTTGCTGTCATGCAAATTGCCCTATTAATAAAATTTGAGACAGGATTTTGCAATTTTCTGAATTATACCGATGAAGAGTACTTGCTTATCAGTGTTATTTACAAGTGGGACATACAACCAATCTAATTTCCAAATAGTATTAGAGTTCCTAATAAAAGAGCTTTGTCAAAAATCCTATTACATACCTGTTTACTGATTCGTGTTCAGAAGACATTAGAGAAGAATTACTTTTAAATCAGTTTAGTCCTATCTCAATTATTATCCATTCAGTACTGGTCAAATGCACCCTCTTAAGATGCATTCACAGAGCACCTACTGGAGTCTTCCAGAATCTCACAAATACATCATCAGAATGGCAACTGTCAGCTTTCCCTCAGTTGCTCTGCACCTGTTCCTACTGCCTTTAGGTCCCTCATTCAACCTGATTCTGAAAATCTCAGGCATTCTATAAGCCTTCTGAGCTGGAGGGCTGGGAAGGCCACTTCAATTAGTCTGTCAGTTTGCAATGTTAACTGATGACCTACAATATGAAAACCACTCTACTCGAACTACTGGTGAGAGATAAAACAAAAATACAAGGCTTTTGCCCTGTAGAACCTTATAATTGGAGACATGAAAAATAGACCTAAAAGTATTTTGGTTAAAAATTAGATGAGTAAATCTAAAAAATTTGTTTACATATCAAAAGTACTAAGGGAAAAGTGATGCATGACATTCATTAGCCCTCTCACTAAATATGTTAAGGAATTTAAAAAAAAAGGATATAATCATTACATCAGTGTGCATTTAATTTCTAGGTTGTTACTCTTATAAAAACTATCCATTCCCGAGCAAACGTATTCTCAGGAATACATTTGTAATGAAAGCTTGTAGTGTTTTTCATAAAGATAGAAGGCTATTCGAATGTGTGCCTGTGTTTATACTTTTGCTCTTATTGTTACCAAGAGATCTTTTAAAATGTTCACATCTAAATTTCATAAAGATTCTCTTTCATCTAAAAATTATTTATAAATTTGGTCATTTAAAAGAAGTAAATCTATGGTTAAACTGAATAAAAGGCCCTTAAGAACACAGTCCATTGTCTAGGTGGGATTCCCTAGCCAAAGGTTATGTGGCAGGCAGATGCTCCTGCTGAGTCAGCCAGAGAATGGACATTGGCATCCAGGGTTCTGATTTCCAGGCGGTTCATGGAGCCCTCTGAATCTAGCTTTCTCCCTGAGGGCAAAGTCTGCTACCGTCAACTCTGTATTGCACAGACATTTCATAAAAAAAAAAAAAAAGAGTTTAGAGAAGGAATATAATTTGTACAAGTAAAGTGAGCTAATAAAATGGTTTGAATATAAAAAAGGGAGGATGTTTAATGTGTTTTTTTCCCACGTATTTTAAAGTCCAGCAAATTCTGAGTCACACAGAAGGTAAAGTAAAAGTTTGAAAGGTAAATTATTGCTTACTTAATTATTTAGCACTTGAGGCCATACTTTCTCTGAATGTATTCAGAATACATTATACTATCAAATTTAAATTTATAACAGTTTCAAGGAAACCTGGCTACCTTTGCTTTTGCTGTTTGGTCTATACCGTGAGTAAGGTCAAGTACTTTAAATATCCATTGTTGACTGGCATTATAGGATAAGGTGGACGGATTCTCAGAGAGAGTAAAAAAGCCATGAGATTCATACAAAATAAGAAGCTCTTTAAAATTAAAATGATTTCTACCTCCAACTTTAAGACAAGAGTTTATTTTATTTTTTCCCTTTGACAATTGAAGGAAATGATTCTTGAGAAGGGTGTCAGAGAGTACATCTGACCTTGCTTCAATACTTGATATTTTCAAAAACTTAGCTGTTCTCTCTTGATAGAGGGAAAAATTTAATACGTCTTAGCTTCTGAAACATACTGGTGTGATTGATCCATGAAATACTGAAGTATCTGAAAAGCAGCCTACTTTCAATCTCTTAAACTGAAAGTGAAGTGAAAATTTCTGCACCCTGCTAGAGGGCACTGCAGTGTTTTTATTCATGATCTCTTGAGTTTGTCACCAGGCTTAGAATATAAAAATCCCTGTTTCATGAGGTAATGCTGAGGCAGATATGCAATCAAGACATCCAGATGGCTGTGAATGAAGTAAATGAAAGGGTTTGTTTCAAACGTTTTCAGGTGTCCCTCCCTAAGCGCTGTATTCTAAATGTAGAAGGGAATATGTGAAAAAAAGCTTTTAGAAATATTTTCCAGTTTTCAGAATGAGCTAAAATAGAGAAAGGGGAACAAATTCCATTTTTTAATCCCACTTCCACTATCTTATTCCAGTCTCTCATCACTTCACACCTGGTTCCTGCAAAAGGCCTCCCAGCAGACCTCTCCCTCAATAATAGTTCTCTCCTTAAATATATTCTGCAGATTATTGCCAGATCAATCTTCCTTAAATTCAATGCTTATCACAGTACTTGCCGCTAAAAATTTACATTCTTTCTATGTTTTTGATTACTACAAATCCAAGCCCCTCTGCTTATTTTTTCTCCTATTCTGTTGAAATTAAATTCCTCATCCTCCTAAAGCAACATCCTTCGACCTCACCTCCCTGCTCCCCATCCTCTATCATGCTTCTTGACCCCCATATTCATAGCTATACATTTTGTTCTCCCAAAGGTCTTGTAAACTCCTACAGAGTAGAGGTCACCTTATGTCATTATTTACTGTAACTATGTCCAAATGAACAACTCAGTGACAAACTTAGGGTATGAGAAACACGTGTTGCTTAATTACTCAAGGGCACTGGAGACAAAATCAAAGTGATGTTATCTCTTTTAAAATGTGCATTTGAATTTTTATCTTCATCCTTCTTTAGACTTGTGGACTTTCATGATCTCTGACTTCTAAGAAATGGTCTGTCAGTCATCTATCTATCATCTCTCCATTTTTTAGGACAAGGTCTCACTCTGTTGCCCAGGCTGGAGTACAGTGGTGCAATAATAGCTCTCACTGCATCCTCGAACTTCTGGGCTCAAGTGATCCTCTCACCTCAGCCTCCTGAGTAGCTAGGACTCCAGGTGCACACTGCCATGGCTGGCTAATTTACTAGCTTTTTGTAGAGACTGAGTCTTGCATGTTGCCCAGTTTGGTCTTGAACTCCTGGCCTCAAGCAATCCTCCAGCTTCCACGTCCTAATGTGCTGGGATTACAGGTGTGAGCCACCGCACCCAGCCCTACCTATATACTTATTTTATTTTATTTTTATATTTGAGACAGAGCCAGAGTGCAGTGGAGTGATCCTAACTTACTGCAACCTTTAACTCCTGGGCTCAAGCAATCTTCCCACCCCAGCCTCTTGAGTAGCTGGGACTACAGGCAGGTGCCAACATGCCAGGCTATTTTTTTTTCTTTCTGTACAGACGAGGTCTCACTCTGTTAACCAGGCTAATCTCAAACTCCTGGACTCAAGAGATTCTGCTGCCTCAGCCTCCCAAAGTGCTGGGATCACAGGCATGAGCCACCAGGCCTGGCCTCTCTATATGTTTTAAATTAAAGTCTGTGATAACTCATTCTCAATGATAACTTACTGCTTAAACATTGTGTTCTTATAAATTTCCTCAAAGCAAGCATTCAGGCAAAGACATGATGGCATTTGTCCATATGTATATTATGAAAAAGAGAGCAAGTAACTAATAATCTTAATGGCAGTTCTCTGAGGGGTCAGTATGTTTTGGTTGGAAAACCCAGTGTTACAAATTAGCTATCTTCTTTCTTTTTTCTATGAACAGCAGTATTTTCAATGTGAGACTGAGATCTGCAAAACAATGTTTTTGAATAGTGCCCTTTGTGGGAGTAAAATTCTACTTCATATGGTACAGTATATAGTGAAGCATTCAGTATTCATTCAACAAACCATTATCAAATGACTTCTGTGTCGCAGATTTTGTGTGACTCAGTGCTGGGAACACAGTGGTAAACAGAGACAGCATGGTTATATCATCAGGGAGAGTAGAATCCAGCATAGCAGAGTTAAGATAATTGTTGTAGTAGCTGAAATGCTAAGCTAAGATTAGAAGATCACGGTTCCATTTCTCCTTGTGTTAGCTCTCAGACTTGCAAAATTGTGAATTTAACAAAGAGACTTACTTTTCTACATCTAAGCTTGTTTTTTCCTTTCTAAATGAAAAAATTGGATGAAACATCCTTAATCATCTGCAAAAGTTTTAGATTATTTATGAACTTTTTTTCTATTGAAAGGATATTTCACATTAAGCAGAAATCATCTAGAATGAAGATTTTTGAGTGTTTTTTGTAGTATAGAAGGAAAAATAGACCTCTAATAAACATATATTTACTTTCTTTTTCTAAGAACAGTTCTGAATAATTTTAATAATGTACCAATAAACATTTTCTGAATACCCATTAGGCTTGGAGATATTAAAATGTATAAAGCATATTATCTACCCAATAATAAATTATAGACTCTTTGAGAAGTAAGAATAGACATAAGATCATAAGCACAAGGAAGAGATGTTACAGAAGCTGAGGGGAATAAATAGTCGCTAAAGACCATCATGATCAAAGGAAGTGTTGAAGTTGTCAAGAAAGAGTTGACTTAGCAAGTCTAGGTGAGAGGGAGATATTTTTCTGACAGGGAGAATGGGGCTACATATATATGCATACATATGCACATATATATACACATATGCACATATATATACACACAAACACACATATACACGTACAGACAGAAACGAACTATATATGTATGTTATGTATCTGTATATATCATTTGTCATTTGAAAAAATTTGCTAGTATATGTGTGAATGATGAAGGGGCTGAGAGAGAGAAAGCAATCAATAGAAGCCCTCTTGTCTACATTTGTGACTTAGGCCACTCCAATTTAAGTAGATTGTTCAAATCTTCATAGCATGTTGTTGGCAAAAATAGGAATTAGAAATTAAGTCTTGTAACTGTGTACCCACAATTGGTACATAGTAAAATTGTTTTAGAATATATAATGTTGGTAGTAGAAGAACTCAACATTAGAAATAGAAAACTAGCACATTTTCCTTTTTAGCATGTCATTTAGCAAATAACATGTTTTATTAATAACATAGTGAATAACAAGTTCACTATGAGTCTGAACTGTTGTAAACTATTGTCAACAAGCTAATTCATTCAGTGAGCACACCTTTTTGAAGTTCCACTGTTAACAGAATAATACTAGGAATGAAGAAGGTGTTGCAACCGATGGGAATTAGAGGAATGAGATAATGTATTTTTAAAAACCCATGAATATAGTTTCTGTACTCTAGCTTAGAAGAGAATGCAAAGTATACCTAAAATGAAGTAACTGATTATTATATACTTTTTCAGTAAGTGCATTAACCTTTTGACAGAGAAGATTTTAGTTTTTCACTTCTATTTCAGGATTTCCTTTCCCATTGAATTTGTGTTTTATTTTACTTGAAAGACATATATGCATAAATCAACACATTTTCTGCATAACTTTATAATAAAATCATTTTACTAAATTGTTGCTGCTTAATTTTCTCTCCATGGTAAGTCCATTTCCATTCAGCTTTGTCTACCATATATCTTCTCTTGTAAGTTAAACATGTAGTGTTGTTCTAAGACAAGAATGGTAATATTGGTAATATTGACTGTAACTGCTGGATAAAACAAAGTGGAATGACTCCAGTCTTAGTATGCATAAAAAATTAATTAGCAAGCCTTTCAATTAAGATTGTATAGTCCTTTCAAAATGTTCACTGTGTATATGCTCATTTCTAATTCTGTTTGAATTTTTCATCTTTGTACTTTTCTAAATATTATTATGTGCCAACTCAAATTTTTCTTATTGACACCTGTCAGATCTCACCACCTCTTTTACCTTGCCTAAAGACCCCAAAGACATTTATCTGCTCTGTTGCAATTAGAGTGTATCCTCAGGAAGTATTTTTAGATAAGTTTCCTTCTCATAGCTCTGAAACCATATTGCGGGTTTTAACTCTGGTTATATATCCTAATCTCTTGTGATTTAAAACATTTGAAGACTCTTGGTCTAAGCCCAGATCTCTTGAATCAAAACTAGGTGTGTCATTTTAACACTCTGTCAAAAGTCTTCCCCTAGGGTTTCTGAAAATTACCCTGGTTCACAAAGCCTTCTGCCTCCTGAGCTTCTACTTCTCTTTCTCTGTCACTGTGCAATCTTGCTTGGGCCAATCATAAAGCATGGTGCCATTTGTTTTCACACCAAAACTCCACTACCACCAAGCCTCCATGAGCCCAGAAGACTTAACTGAAAATTGTCCAGATATGATTGAGGCTCCTAGCAATACCTAAAGCTCTACCTGGACCTGATGGAATCATTGATCCTAGTTTCTTGTGTTCCCTCAGTGTATTCAAACATTCTCTGTCTTCCTGGCACCATTCATCCCTGCATGCTTCTCTTTCCTTCTTCCTTTCAGGACCACAAAACAAATCTCTTTCCCCATCTGTCATCAACTCCCATGTCATGACAAATAGCATCCCCCTTCTCTAAGCCCCGATAGGCCCTCCCTCCTGAACTCCCAGCTTTACCTTCACCCTGAACACCTATAAATGTATTTTTAAAGAGTGATCTCTTTGGGGAAACTAGTGCCAAATATTAGATTAATGAAATGCTTCTACCTTGTTATAGCCAAATAAGAAATACCTGGATTCCTGTTACTGCAGAGTGCCCAGGTGGTGTTCGTGATAGGATCTGTAATTGCTTTTACTCTTCTTCTCCTTTTTTAATGTCTAGGTATATGTTAAGACCATAAACACAAATCCTTTAGCTTCAAATTGAACATGAGAATTGGAAACTCTTTTTAGGTATTTAAAACACCAAACTGGAGAGAAAAGTTATTTTCCAGTATTTCAAAGATCTTCCTTAACATTGCATTTAGCTATGTGTTATATAAGTTCTATAGCATTAACATTTGTCCCACAAGTATGTATTCAGTATTATGTGCTACTAACTTGGGCATTAAGGTCATTAGAGCACCATTGTGAGTACAAACATGAGCCAAGCTGCTGGCTTCTCATCCTGGATTTACACTGTCACTTGTATAAATTTTTATAATTCAGATATTTTCACTGTCTGAACCTCATGCACCTAAATGCTGCTCATTTGTAAAATGGAGACAATAATAACAATTCCTCCCTTATAGGATTGCTGTAAGGATAAAATTAGTCAGGGCCTGTATAGTTATTGGTTCAATGGCTGACACAAAGTCAGAGCTCAGGAAGGTCAGCTCTTAATTCCTATCGACAAATGGCATGCTAGGTTATAGGAGACAAAAGCTCCAAGAAGGATTGTTGTCTTTGACAGCCATTGTGACCTTCACATGGGTTGGTGCCTGATAAAGGGCCCTTTTTAAAAAAAAATCAGGAAGTTAATGGAAAGCTTCCAAGGGTAGGTATTGTTAAGCAAATGTGTTAATGAGTTAATCTAATTGCAAGCATGCATCTCCACCTTTTACTAGGTTTATAGCCTTGGACAATTTCCCTGGCTCTTTATCAAAGGCCCATGATGATATCTATACAGTTGTTTTTATTATCTAATCATCACAACTACTTTTACTAACATTAATCAAGTACTTGCTATTTGCCCCCAAAAGTGTTAAGCCCATTATAAGGATTTTAAGTTTTACAACTATAGAAAGGTTTAAAATGATGAATGACATGGTAAGAACTCAATAAAGGATGCTAAGAAGAAAAAGAGTAAGAGTGAAAGGAAGAGGCAGTGGGATATGTCATATTTAATTTGTTTATATTTAGGTGTAAAAGACTTCATGTATATTAAAATTATATCACTATTAATACTACTGGTACTCTACTAACAATAATAAAATAACATCTCATAGCATTTAATATGTACTGTACATGTGTCAAGTGCTTTACATATAGGATTTCACCTAATACATTAAATAGGTACAAGTCCCATTTTACAGATGATGAGTGGGAAGAAAGATAAATGATGTAAAGCAGAGAGGATATTTGATGGAATTGAGAATCTGGAGGGACTGGAATAAAAACTCAGATAACTTTAGGAAAAACTGTCTTTGTAATACAAAGGTAGACAAGAAGGAAATAGAAAAACAGATAAAGTAGGCTGGCAGTGGCTAGGAAGTTGAAAGAGTTCGTATGTGTTGTCCATTTTGAGACACTAAAATAGAAAGTTATTTTGGTGAGAATGTGAGCAACAGTTGGGTTAGAGGTCTGAAGAGAATTCTACATATTTGAGACAAGTATTGTGAAACATAGGACATGCCATTTACTTGGAGGAGAGAGGCTTGTGAAACAGCACTAAGGTTTCAGTCAGGTTGATGAGTAGGTGCACCAGGCAAGACAGAGAAAGAACAGGAGATGGGAGGCCAAGGTAAAAGGGAGAACAATCTGGGTTTATAATTTCAGAGCTAGGATGTCTTTGTGTGATCCTAAGGTCTAGATAATACTTTTGTGAGAGTGTTGCCGAAGTGAAATGGAAGTGACTGTCCTTTCAGTAGAGGGTATTAGGGAATATGGAGTTAGTGAGGATGGATTGATGCGGATATTGAAATCACAGCATTTGGTAGCAGGAATCATGTAAGAGAGAGGGGTTATAAACCACGTGAAAAATGTTCCTCAAGAAGTTGATGGAGCAGGTAAACTAGCAGCTAATGCAATAAAAATAGAAAAAGGGCTTTCCCAAGCTGCTGCCGAAGATGGCGGAGGTGCAGGTCTTGGTGCTTGATGGTCGAGGCCATCTCCTGGGCCGCCTGGCGGCCATTGTGGCTAAACAGGTACTGCTGGGCAGGAAAGTGGTGGTCGTATGCTGCGAAGGCATCAACATTTCTGGCAATTTCTACAGAAACAAGTTGAAGTTCGGACCGAGCGAGGCTTGCTGCCCCACAAGACCAAGCGAGGCCAGGCCGCTCTGGACTGCCTTAAGGTGTTTGACGGCATCCCACCGCCCTATGACAAGAAAAAATGGATGGTGGCTCCTGCTGCCCTGAAGGTCGTGCGTTTGAAGCCTGCAAGAAAGTTTGCCTAACTGGGGCGCCTGGCTCACGAGGTTGGCTGGAAGTAGCAGGCAGTGACAGCCACCCTGCAGGAGAAGAGGAAGGAGAAGGCCAAGATCCAGTACTGGAAGAAGAAACAGCTCTTGAGGCTACGGAAACAGGCCGAGAAGAACGTGGAGAAGAAAATTGACAAATATACAGAGGTCTTCAAGACTCACGGACTCCTGGTCTGAGCCCAATAAAGACTGTTAACTCCTCAAAAAAAAAAAAAAAGAAAAGAAAAAGAAAAAAGAAAAGAAAAATAGAAAAAGGGAAGTGGTTGCATATATGAGTAATTAAAAACTAATGTCATATATTGATTATGGCATTAAACTCTTGATTGCCTCCAGTGAAACAGATTTATTCTATAAAAAGAATAGTTTTAGAAATATGATATTCTTTTAAATTGTTTCGTTCATTCTGTTCTGTCTTCAATAAATATTTCTAATTATTTTAGCTCTATTGTATTTGATTACATTTTACTTCAGCAAAAAATAAATTAAAAATGCCATATATGGTGGTGATAATTGGTGATTTTTTTGTGCTAAGGCTTCTCCACTATTAGGTTCTTTCTTCTTCCTTTTTCGTTCTTTGGTCATCCTTATTACTATATAGAATATACATATGTAAACACATATATACAACATACAAGTAAATATATAAATATATATAAAGCATGTATTCTGTTTTCTTTTTCCATTTTTTCTCTATTAACAGCTCTCTTTTTGTTTCAGTCTCCTAATTTTCTCTTTCATTTACCCTTATTCATTGCATTTGGTTTACATATTATTTCTGGGTTCTTATGTCATCTGTATTTTATGTTACTGAGATCCATATTATGGTTTTATACTTTTAAATTTACTTAAGGATGCTTTTTACTATTGGTCAGCCATTTAAGCCAAAACTTGCAATGAAGTAGAAATGTCATACATTATGTTGTTCTAAAACTTCTGACTATCAAATCCATCTTTATATTCTTTGCAAATTGATCTGAATTACTATTCTGTAAGCTGAAAAAATAGTGGAGGAAGAAACTGTCCTTGTTTTTCCTGTTCTTCAATTATGTAACAAATACCTGTCTGTTTATTATTAATATTTATTCCACATAATGTATGATTGTTTTTCTTTGAGTATGATATCAATGTAGTATCTTATTAGTAGACTTCATCCTGTTATGTTATTTGTATGACCTCAGAGCAACAATCACTTTGAAATGAGTGAGTTGGAAGATGTTTTTCTCAGGTACACTCTAGCACTGACATTTTACTACAATCTTCATTTCTGATAAAAGTTTATGGTTTTGAAGCAACAAATTAGTGAAACCAAAAAATTAGTAGAAAGTGAATATTTTAAAAGCTAATTTTATTATTCTTTCAGAGATGCTTACTTTGTCATAATGATTTGTTGAATTAAAGAAAGTGTTTCTAGGATAAATAGTCAAAATTGTTGGAATGTTGAATTGGAAGATGGGAAGTTACCTAGACATCAAGTTTTATGTGTCTTTATTTAAAAAATCAGATGTGAAAATACTATTTCAAATTATATATATGACATATATATGTATAGAGAGAGAGAGGGAGAGGGACAGAGGAGGAGATTTATTTTAAGAAATTGGCTCCCACAATTGTGGGAGCTGACAAGTCTGAAATTTGTAAGGCAGGTCAGTAGGATGGAAATTTAGGTAAGAATTAATGTTTCAGTCTTGAATCCTAACTTCACAAAGCAGCAGGATGGAAACTTAGGCAGAGTTTTTATATTGCAATCTTGGAGAGAATTCCTTCTTTTCTGGAAACCTCAGTCTCTGTTCTTAAAGTTTTCAACTTTAAGCTTGTTCACATTATAAAGAATAATATGTTTTATTCAGCGTTTATTGATTAAGATATTAGTCACATCTAAACAATAACTTCCAAGTACTAATGTTTGACTAGGCAAATGGGCACCATAACCTAGGCAAGTTGACACATAAAATTACTCATCACATCTCTTTCAATTATTTGAGAGTTTATTCTTCATCCAAATGTCTAATCAATTCTCTTTTAAAATAAAAGACTTATAAAATAAAAGTCTGAAAACATTGCTAAATGAGTCTGGTTGAAAGCTTTAACAGAATATTCATAGCATCATTGCAATGTTTTCATCATAATTGTATTCATTTATAGCTAGTACTCATCCTATCATTTTATCAATTTTTTTTTTTGAGACGGAGTCTCGCTCTGTCGCCCAGGCTGGAATGCAGTGGCACAATCCCCGCTCACTGCAAACTCCACCTCCCGGGTTCACGCCATTCTCCTGCCTCAGCCTCCCGAGTAGCTGGGACTACAGGTGCCTGCCACCAAGCCCGGTTAATTTTTTGTATTTTTAGTAGAGACGGGGTTTCACTGTATTAGCCATCATGGTCTCGATCTCCTGACCTCGTGATCTGCCCGCCTCAGCCTCCCAAAGTGCTGGGATTACAGGCGTGAGCCACCATGTCCAGCCCTCAATCATTTTTTAAACAAGTTAAAGTAGATATCACTAGCCAAAGTTTAAGAAGTAAAGACTAACCATTTAATCTATTTTAAACAAATTGCTGTTTTGACCAGTTTGTTTTGACTAGGTCACACAAAAGTAATTCAATGCAAATGTATGAAGACAATACACTTATTGCTCATATGCACAGATCTGTAGCTAGAGATATAATTACATGGCTATGAATATTTTTTAAGTAAAAAAAATACATTTTTTACTTAAACAGGATTGCTGCAAAAGTGCATATGAATGGTATCATTTTGCAGGAAATCAAGGACTGAATATGTTACCATAACTCCATAGTGCTAAAATAATATAAGCTTTCTTGGCTGTTATGGTCCTTTCTGTTTTTGAGACAGAGTCTAGCTCTGTCGCCCAGGCAGGAGTGCAGTGGTGCAATCTCGGCTCACTGCAACCTCTGCATCCCAGGTTCACATGATTCTCCTGCCTCAGCCTCCTGAGTAGCTGGGATTGCAGGTGCACACCACCATGCCCAGCTAATTTTTGTATTTTTAGTAGAGACGGGGTTTCACCATGTTCGTCAGGCTGGTTTCGAACCCCTGACCTCGTGATCCACCCTCCTTGGCCTCTCAAAGTGCTGAGATTACAGGCGTAAACCACCAGGCCCAGCCTACAGTACTTTTTTCTAATCTTGTTGTTTCAGATTCACCAACAAGAACATTTCTGACAAACATGCCTGAGGGCAGTTGTCTTAGTCAATCAAGTTACCAAACAATACCATAGATGACTGGGCAGCGTAAATATCAAACATTTATTTCGTGCAGTTCTGGAGTCTGGGAAATCCAGATCAGGGTGCTGGAAGATATGGTATCTAGTGAGCCACGGAGCACTTTCTGCTTTGCAGATGGCTGTCTTCTTGCTTTGTCTTCACATGGTGGAGAACAGAGAGTGACAGCAAGGGTCTATCTCTTAAAAGGATGCTAATCCCCTTCATGAGGCTTCCACCCTCATTACCTAATTGTTGACCAAGGGCTCCACCTCCAGGTACCATATCATTCGGGGTTGAGATTTCAACATATAAATTTTGAGGGAACATAAACATTCAGTCAATAGCAGCAATGAACCTTTATAAATATGTATTACGTATTATAAAAATAGACACATGCACTTTTGTGTTCATCATGGAACTATTCACAATATCAAAGACAGGGAATCAACCTAGATACCCATCAATGGTGGACTGGATAAGGAAAATGTGGTACATATACAGCATGGAATACTATGCAGTCATACAAAATAATGAAATCATGTCCTTTGGATCAACATGAATGCAGCTGGAGGCCATTATCTGAAGTGAACTAACACAGGAACAGAAAACCAAATACTGCATATTTTCCCTTATAAGTGGCAGCTAACCACTGAATACACATGGACACAAAGAAGGGAACAATAGACTGGGGACTGCTTGAGGGTAGAGAGTGGGGAAGAGGGTGTGCATTGAAAGGCTACCTATTAGGTATTATGCTCACTACCTTGGTGATAGGCTTATTCGTATACCAAGCCTCAGCAACACATAATTTACCCATGTAACAAACTTACACATATTCCTTTGAACCTAAAATTAATAATGCCTATGTTGTAAATGATGATACATGAATCCTAAATTGAGAATATACTTTTAAATAATGAAAATAATTTTTAACTTCTTAAAATGTGAAGCTCTTATAAAGTAGCTTTTTAGGGTTATGCCACTATTCATCTGTTTATATTATAATGTAGCTTGTAAGACCTGATGTTATATAAAGTTAGTGGGCGGTGTTAAATCACTGCAAAAAGTATACGCTTAGGAAGCAGCTAGTACTTAAAATTCTGGCTCCAATGCTTAGAAGTTGTTTAATCTTACAGTATTTAAAACCTCTGCATCTTTCTCTTAAATAATAAATGGAAATAATGATTTCTTCATCCCAGGATTCTTGTCACTGAGAACCTCTTTACTATTACTACTACAGCTACTTATACTCTCCTATAATATGTTTAATGTGAACCAATTATTTCACACAATGTGTTTGGTGCTTTACATAAATTTTACCACTCAAGGGAAAATTATTTAGCTTATTTTAAGGTATTCTAGTTCCATTTTCCCTGAAAACAAGTAACTAAAAGCAGAAAACACTTTTTAAAAATGACTGCAATATTCTTAGAAATTAAGTAGATTACAAAGTCATTACATAAATGTCTCTTTGTTTTGAAAACTCTTCCTTATAAGTTTACTATTTAACTAGTGATATATATATATGTATATATGACTAAATGCCTGGACTAAGTGCCAAAATAGGATATATTTAAAATGTAAATCAAATTAAAATTAGCTAATACTAGAATGCTCAAAAATCATAATTTGCTGCATTTTCTCTTTGTGTCAGTTTTAACTTTATTTCAGACGTGGCTTTTAATTTTCTTTATTAGGCATGGTTTTCAGATGACTTTCTATAAATGCACTTCTCAGGCACTTAAGATGTTATCCACAGATTGAAGGGAATATGTAATCTATTTATAAATTCCTCAGCTGCCTTTCTTTCAATTGTCAGTTACAGACTTAAGCAAGTTTTAAATCTCTGTTGCAATAGCATTTTAAATTTCTATTTAAGATACACAACAAAAGTCAATGAACTGCTTGAACTTATCTCTTTTTATATGATTTTCAGTTTTGCAAATCACCAGGTTATTTCTTGATTTGAATATCAAAAGAAACCTTAATATGAAGATAATTAAACTTTGTAGATATAAGCCTATATTAATTATTTATCATTTTCCCATGGCCCAATAAAACCAGTTCATCAAACACATCCAATACACCCTGCATTGAGATGTAGTAGCTGGTGAGCCTTAATGTCTTTGCATTTTAATAAAAGGTATTTTCAAATTTTAAATAAGGGCTTAAAAGTGCTCCTTGGAGATTTGAGAATATTTTCTCTATTTTCGAGTAGATTAGCAATATTATTAATAATTTTGTTGAAAGAGGATGCTTTTCATGCTAGTTAAATAAATCTAAAAACTATTGCTAACCTTGATGGAAACTAAAAACAAAATACAATCATTGAAACTTGAAATATAAGTAAAGTGCACATGAAAATAATATAATTTGAAGTTGAATGAAGAAAAATTTTTATGCCACTGGTTTTAAATAGAATATGTACTATCATTATTTAACAGATACACTGAATTTTATGCCAAAATATGAGAATTGTACCTTATTGCACCAGAGAAAAAAAGTGAGAACTTGTGTTTAAATCAAACACATTCATATTACAGTCATTCCAGAATATATAAAATAAGTAAGAAAATGATACATTGCAACAGAAAACACAAACAATGCATTTGGTCCTGTCTCTATATTTTATAGCTAAATGGCTATGGGAAAGGCATGAAGTGTCTTTAAACTCAGATTTCCTATTTTAAAAAACTAGTGTAATAGTAATAATCTTGCAAAGTTGTGATGGGGGAAGAGAGAGAAAGAGAGAGTGAGAGAGAAAGAGAGAGTGAGAGAGAGAGAGTGAGATTCACCTAACTTCCTAATTGTAATTCTAGGATAACTTAAAGCATCATATCTCTGTGACATTCCTTTATGTGAATCTTCAGTTCAATACTGTAGTTTTATTATTGGTTCCTGGTTTATTATTAGCTGGTTGCTTTATTTTGTCAGATCCAAGTGCTTATCTTGAAACTGTGCTTCCTAGAGAGGGCCCAAGGGTCCAGTTAACCTAGTGGAATGAGAATTATTTACTATTCCTCTTATGCAAAGGGATAATCCCTATTTTTAAAAGGCTCAACAACTTTGAAGTGTGGATACTGTAAAAAAATATATATATATCAAAATGGGTGAATTTACTACAATTCTTCACTGAAAACGTGCTGATGATTAAATTTGTCTATGCTATATATGCATCAGAATGAAGCTACTTTGAAAATAGTTTTTGAGAAAAGCCTTTATTATTGGTGAGTCAGCAGAAGAAAAATGGGAAATGAATGACTCACATTCTTCTGGATGAACTTAAGCCTGAACCTTCTGAATCTGTTATTATTTAATTAAATCAGTCTTGTCTCTCAAAGTATTTAAGAGCATTGTTGCTGTGTCTAGAAAATCTCTTTCAGTTAAATTTCAACACTATTATTAGAATGTGATTTTGCTATTTAGGATACAGTATAGTAAAATAGAAATATAATTATGGGAAATACATGGAAACATTTCTTAAACACCTCTTTGAGTTATAGTGCTGCAGAAGTGATTTTTGAGTTACTTGTGCTAAAGGGACTTCAGAAAATTTATTCTGCTTTTGATCTTAGTAGCTAAAGAGGTAAGTCTGACCATTTAATAACTATACCATACGACTAAAGTAATTGAAGACCACTATAGGAAATCTTTTTCCTACTGTCCTTTATTGTTATAGCATGTTTAATGTAATTTTATAATAAATGACAAGTGACAAATGGCATTTTCAGCAGCTGTCTGAAGGACGCCTCTGAAAAGCACCCGAAGAAAGGAGCACAATTTTATCATTCTCTGAGCTCTAGGTGTGCTGTGAATCCAGGCTAGGACACCTCAAATAATGCCATAATTCACTGACTTTGCAGACACTAATTAGTAGCTTTCTGTCTGCTAATATGAGAAAGCTAGTGTGCTAAGCCCTTTATGTGCATTTTTCTATTTTTGTGCATTTTCTATCATGAGAACCATGACTTCCCCATCTTAACTTATATACATTGAGAGATCAAAGATAAACAGGATGGCATATTCTACATCTTCAGAAAGTTCATAGGCTACTGCAAAAAAATTCAGAATAATAAGGAAGTATTACATAGTCACATGGTTAAGATCCAAGACTCTGGGACAGATGGGTCTGATTCCTAATCTACTCTATCTATGAGACAATAGGTAAGATTCCAGATATTAAAGTAGTTAATAGTGGTATGGTACCTACCATACAATGTGATGACAAGTATTAAACAATATAATAAGGTAAGATGCTACATTCAGTGGCAAACTATTAGTTGCTGTTTCTGCTGTTACTGTTGCTATTATGACAGATCCTGCCTGGAATCTAGTTATTACGGAGGATAAATAAAGTTGCATTCGATTACTGAAATCTTACTTTTTCGAGAGGACTGAGAAAGTTTTCCAAGAAAGATAATACTTAAGATAAGTCTTAAAGTATGATTAGGAATGTCACCAAATAACTTAAGAATAAAAAGGTTTCCTGAACTTGGGATTTTTAAAAAATACAATGATATTCTTTCAATGAGATTCAGATAGCTCTAACAGGAGGTTTACATGAAAACTGTGCTGTTAGCACCTGCCTTTGAACACAAGACTGCACCACTGGTGAGTTTTGGGGAAGGAGTTTTATAGCAGTGAATATCAATCTGTTTTTATACATGACTGGTTAGAAGACACCCTTGCTAAAGTTAACAAGCATATGTGGTTGGCCTATTTAGCTAACACATTTAGGAGCTAACTGAGAATGACTGAACACATTCTATAAAGTAATAATTTTGTATAACTTGTTTTTATAGCTAAATTCAACAGAGTTTTGTACAGTAAACTCTGAACAATATATTCTGAAGATGTACTATTTTTCCATATCTTGTTTATTTATTTATTTTTATTTATTTATTTTATTTTTGAGACAGGGTCTCCCTGTGTCACCCAGGCTGGAGTGCAATGGGGTGATCTCAGCTCACCTCCCAGGTTCTCTGCCTCCCAGGTTCAAGCAATTTCCATGCCTCAGCCTCCCAAGTAGCTGGGACTACAGCTACGTGCCACCACACCAGGCTAATTTTTGTATTTTTTGTAGAGATGGGGTTTTGCCATGTTGCCCAGGCTGGTCTCCAACTCCTGAGCTCAAGCGATCCACCCACCTCGGCCTCCCAAGTTCTGGGCTGACAGGCATGAGTCACCTCGTTCGGCCCCATACCTCCTTTCAAAGTATTAGAAAAGCAATTGTTTTTCTTCTGGTCTGTCCCAAATTTCTCTTAGTCCATCTCACACTTTCTGGGCTTACAGGCATGAGCCACCTCGTTCGGTCCCATACCTCTTTTCAAAGAATTAGAAAAGCAATTGTTTCTCTTCTTGTCTGTCACAAATTTCTCTTAGTCCATCTCACACTTATCTCCACTGCAATTGTCGTTGCCTTGCCTTTATTATCAACTACTAATTGCAGAAAGTTCTTATTGTCTGCACTTGAGCACAGTTTAGATTTTAAATGCAGGGGCTTCATTAATTGCTTGGCTGGGGTGGTTGTTTTCTCCAGTATGCTCACTAAGGTGCAAGCAGTCAGTTACTCATTCTCTGGGATGGTTTTTCTCATTTACATGAGCTGTAGTAGTCTGCACTTGATTAGCATCCAGTTTTTTCTGCCTTGGTATTCCCTCCCTATGTGCTCATCATGGGTGGGTTCATTTTACTCTGTTCTGACTCTGAGAAGAAAAGCTAAACAGTAGATATGCAATATTACTCTTTTCTGACTGCGGTACATCAGGAGATTTATTATTTAACTATGATGTGTCCATTAATTGCAAAGATTGGCCAGCCGATGAAAAAATGGGTAGAAAAGTAGCAACTCATTATTAGTGGGAAAATTTATATTATTCTTACTTTGGTAATCTTGTTTTCATGGACATAGGGTCATTTTTCTACTAAACAATTTTGTTTGAAAAAGTAGTTAATCAACACCTTAATCAAATCAAGATGTTAAAACAACTGATGTGACAACTGAAACTTTTTGAGAATATAAAGATAACCGTAAGATGGCCTTTTCTAATAATGGATACTATAAAAATTGGTGATAATATTTCTAGAATTTTCATATATATATATATATATGTAAATATATATGAGATATATTTCCTAAATGTATACATTCAGAAGCTAATGTATTTTGTAGAAAGAAATTTTTGCTTTCTTAAAATGAAAGAAAAGATACTGGTTAATTTTATTGAGTCTTTAAAAATATAGATATATAAAAGAAGAATATGTAAGAACATTATGGTAGGTTTCTAGGGTCTCCATATTGTTTTCAAATATTTGAAGTGCTAATATGCATGAGATTGTAGTCCTAAGGGGGAAAATAGACACATACTTGTGTACTCACACACACACACAGATATGTATATATATGTTAGAGTGGCTAAATTCAGATGCTACAAGTACTTTTTGAACTTAAAAAAATTTAACATTCAGTTGAAAAACTATCCTTCCCTAAATCTAATATAAGAACCATAGGGCAAGTCTCAACTTGATATTTTCAAATAGTTGAATGAATGAATGTCTCCCGAAAAAGTGAGCTTATATAGAGAAAAAAACTGCACTAACTGACCTCTAACTATGTTGTTTCAAACAAGGTAGTGTAATAAGATTGAAAATCCAGTGCACATACAAGTCTCCATATTGGATTTTCCACTATGTTACCCCAGCCAGTTATAGCTGTATTCAACTATGAATATGAAATGAAAATTGATTTAGGTAGTTCCATAGTGAGCTACTTTCTCTTTTTTCCCCTCCTGGAAATATTTCTGTTTATAAAACTCATTTTATTAAGAGAGGAAAGAAAAATACCGAATAATTTATATGGGATCATGATTTTCTGAACATTATGAGACTAAATGTTACATGTTGTACAGGTATGGCAACCTTGTAGAGATGCACTTTTGCTTTTATTTTGTTGTTGTTGTTATTTTTACGTAGCCAAAGATAATGTTTTAAGGTCTATTTCTGGGAACTTTGACCTTACATTCAAGTCAATCTGTGAAGTAACTTAATTGAATTTGCTGTTTTTATATTTCCTCCGGAGATTATAAGAAAAATTCCAAAGGACACATACCTTGAAGGTCAATGTGTTTATATAATACAGCATGTCCTGACTTTCTAATATTTCAGCCCAAAGGACAGAAAGGCCCTTCGACCCAAGTCATTGATTTTAATCTGGCTTGCTGTCCTGGGAGGCTGTGTATATTGCTGTCAGTGAGACTGGTTACACATTCATGCTATTTTACCACAGCAGCGTTGCAAAGGGTAATTAGGTTCCAACTCTTAAATCAGCAAAGTGGCCATGTCCAGGAACTATACGGAAACAAAAGGAAGATCTGGCATGTTTCAATTTGCACAAGTAAATTAACTCTAGCCTCATTTTGGGTGTAGTGACAGATTTGAATTTATCGTGGACTGTTTAGTAAATAGCCAGGAACCTGAGCACTTCTGTAAGATGCTACCACTACCCTACAGCTAAAATGACAGATAAATGAGACAAATGATGGGATTTGGCAGACAAATTCTGGAGAAGTAATCAAAAGAGTGACATTTTACTAGGGCATTGTAACACAGCCTCATTATTTCTTTTTATTGCTACATGAAGGTGTCTTTTAGGTGTTAATTGTCACCATCTCAGTGAGAAAGACCACCAAAAATGATTTTAGATATATTAAGTCCATCTCCTACCTGACAAAGTGATTAAATACCTCTTTAATTCTGTACTCTTCAAAAATCATGTATCTAAGTTCTGTCTGTCACATTAATAATTTAAATATACACTGAAATTTAAGATTTGTTTTTATGATTTAGGAAACAATTATGGGATTAAACTTTTAAATGATGATTGTCTAACAGCAAAAGCATGCTTTCAATCATCATGAAACTGCAAATCAATGACAGCATTTTTGTTTAAAAGGTGATGGGGAGGAGGAAAAGTAAATGGATTCAGAATACCTCAATTTTTTTTTAAGGAGGAATAGAAATGACACCTGACTCGATATCAGCAGCTGTGGTTGCCATAAATAATATTTTTCACCTTTATCTTATGATTCTTAAGCAGAGGTACTTAAACCTACTATATTCCGTGGCTGTGGGGAAATAATCTCTATGGTTTCTTGTCAAGTCACTCTGGGAGGAATCTTTTCACAAAAGAGCAACATGATGGCTCTAAATTGTCCCTGTATCATGTGGGATTGCAGTAGCAGCACCGATAAAATTGTTCATATAGTTTAGCGTGTGTTTGTGGCTGAGCATGTATGGGTATTTCTATATATGGATGGGGGAGGGAGGGGATGGTAGGGTGAGAAAGAGGTAAGGGGAAGAGAGAGAATGTGTGCCACAGGATAGAGTGAGATCAAGGTTGCAATCTCAGGATACCAGAGCTGTTGGCTCTTCTGTCTTCTTGTTTTTAACTGAAAAATACCTCAAATTAAGTGAGCTGTCACCAACAACAACAGCAAAGCTTCTTGTTTCTAAGGACTGCTTAGAGTATTATACAGACAGAACCTGGTTGGGGTAGAGGAGTAGCCACAAGCATAAACACCACACATTTTCATCCTTTTACTTGAAGTTCAGTAAATATTGGGAATAAGTGTTCACAAAACAGTTTGTTGTATGTTCACAGTCATTCTCCAGCATGTTGGAATGTTGGTTTTCTTTTGGGGAGAGTATTTGAGGATTTTTTTGATCTCTTTGCTCTGACGTGCTAGAAATGAATCTCCTCCAATCATCTTTTTGAATATGTCAAGACTGTTTCATTTTTGTTCTTTGTAATTTTAACTGCTACAAACATTTTTTACATTTCATAGCCTAGTTTATAGTATTTTCCTAAGAAGAGAATCTTATTTATTACTGTGGAATAAATTACCCCAAAATTTTATGGCTTAAAATAACCAACATTTATTATCTCACAGCTTATGTGCATCCGGACTCCCTTCATGGCTTAGCTAGGTCTCCTCCTTAGAGTCTCACGTAAGGCTGTCATCAGTGTGTCATCTAGGAGAAGTTTGACTCGGGGCAGATTCACTTTCAAGCTTACTCACGTGATTGTTGGTGGGCTTCAACTGCTGTTCCCTCACAGCCTGTTTGCCAGAAATATCAGTTCCTTGCCATGTGGCAGCACACAACATAGTAACCACCTTCTCTTAGAGCAAGCAAGCAAGAGAGCAATAGTGGACACCCAAGAAGGAAGCCACACTGCTTTTGTAACATACGTTTTGAGGTGAAATTCTATCACTTCTGCTGTATTCTGTTTGTTAGAAGTCAGTCAATAGGTCCAGCCCACATTCAAAGGGAAAAGCTTATACAAAGACATGACTATCAGATAGAGGCAATCATTGGGTTTTTGTTTTAGGAGCTACTTTTCACAAATAGTGACATGCAACCAACGATGTTACCAAACAAGCAAACAAAAAGAGACAGTTTCCGGAGTCATTTTTATAAAATCTCTAATGGGAAAATATCTTTTCCTTTAGACTATTTTTACATTCATATTTTTACTACACTTTTTGTAATTTGATGGAGTATTTGGAACATAAAAAATGTAGAGCAATAAGACACACACACACACACACACACAACCTACTTTAATAATAAAACATGAACAATGTAGTTAAAATCCCCGATGTACCCTTCCTTTCCTAGGGATGACTGACATCCTGACTTTGATTTTCCTTCCGATATATTTACTTGTAATTTTGCTAGATATATGCACTATTAACAATGTGTTATTATTTTGTTGTTTTAAAACTTTAATGGTATCTTTATGTGTTCCCATGAATAAATGTTAAAGATTGTTGGAAAGTGCATTGTTCATAACAGCCAAAAAATCCAAAACTTTTAAAGAGGAAACAATCAACATATCTATTAATAGCAGAATGGATATATAAATTTTGGTGTATTCATAAAGTTGAATATTATGCACAGTGAAAATGAATGAACTAGAGTCACATATTAACATGGATTCATCTCACAAGCATTAAATTGAAGAAAATATGTTTAATACTTAATACTTAAAAATTTCAATGAATTTTTAAGTGGTTCAAAGTTACTTGCTAAAAATGCATGTAAGTCACCTTTCCTGAAACTGAAGAAATTATATCTTGCACTTTGTTTTTTTGGTTTGCCAATTGTTTATATGGGGAAATTAAACAGAATATTTCTGAAAACTCTTATAAAAGTTTAAACTTTTAAATTACTAATTCCAAGCCTATCTTATGATTATGCTTATTGTATATATTAAGTGTTGCTGGGATTTACATAGGTTTATTCAATTCAAAGTTTAGTGTCCTGGAAGCAAATTATTATTTCTCGTTTTTTTTTCTTTCATATTTTATTCTGAATGCCTAGAGAATTGATAGATGTAGTTGTGCCCCCATTTCCCCACCTAATTTCTCTTTCTTACAATTGGGAAAATTGCAGCAGCTGTGGCTAACTATTTACATTTTAAATAATAACATGTGTAAATAGCATCTTTCTAACTCTTCATTATTGGCAGCAGAAATAAATGGGAATATTGGCCCAGGCTCATTGTAGAAACAGAGCCACATTCAGAATGAGATAAAACAAATGATTATAAACTCATAGCAAAACAAGAGAACAGATTGTCAAAAGAGGGTGGTAATAATGATAATCAACAATACATAATAATCCTAGAAAATCGAAGAAATGCAGCAGATATATTTCTTCAGAGAGGATTAGATTCCATCTGTTGATTTACAAATGTCGAGTAATTTGAGAAGGATTAAATTACTAGAGGTTTCAATGACAGTTAAAAGTCAACTGGTGTTTAAGGCACATTGGTTAATAGCATGAGCTAGACTGTCTGGATTTGAAAATCAGCTCAATTACTTAATAGCTATGGAATCTTGACAATTTCCTAAACACTCCAGTTCTGTTTCCTTACTTGTAATCCTCATATGCTTCATAGGATTTCTCTGAATATTGAGTTAATTTTCACAAAGCATGTAGAAAAATAATTAGGCTATAGTAAGCACCCTATAAATGTTAGATTTTACAAGTGAAGCATGTTATGTGTGCATTTGTGATTATTTGAAAATAATTTAGTACTATAGGTTTATAAGAAATTTGATATTTAATAGGGCAAGCCCTTCTACTCTTTTTTCAAGTTTGTCTTATTTTGGCAATTTATTCTTTCATATGAATTTTAAAATTAATAAATTAAAATTAATAAGCCAAATTCCATAAAATAATCTTTATGTAATCATTGCATTACATTTATAAATTGATATGGGGTGGGAGTTGTTGCTTTACAATAGTGAATATTTTTATCTGTGACCATATGAATTGTTTCAATTATTTAGATATTTTTCTCAAGAACTTCAATAAAATAATTCTATTTTTTCTTAATAGTTTTGAATTTATTTTGTTTAATTTGGCCCCGAATTTTTTATGGAATCTTGTTTTATGAATGGATTTTCTTCTTCTTTTTTATCTAAATGAGTATTGATGGTATGAACATATGTACACATATTACTGATTTTTATGTATTAAGCTTGCATATAGCAAGCCTTCCATCCTAATTATAAATAGGTATTGAAATGTTTGAATGTTATTTTCTGTCTGCATTGATTTGTCATCTATATTTGTGGGTTTTTTGTATCTTTTATCTTAATGCGACTAAATATAGTACTCAATTTCCAAACATCAAATTTTACCAGTATTTCTGTGATAAATACAATTAAGAATGATGCTTGCTAATATTTAAGATTTTTGAATATGTTTATAAATAAGATTTATACTCATAAATTAGATTAGCTAAAAGTCCTTTCTCCTTTGGTGTTAACCAGTTTTATGGTTAAGATTATGTTAGCCGCATGAAACAGATTTTTTCTTTCCTAGGTAATTTGGTAAACATTCTCTGTAAATTGTCTACATGTTTCTTTTTACAGTTTTGACTCTCATTTAATTTTATTGAGTTATAATTCTATTCATGTCTTCTGTTCCCTCTCGAGTCAATTTTGATACTGTGTACAAATGTTTATAGTATATATATTGCCATCACATAATAATGTGTAATAATAGGCAAATTGCTTAAACTTTCTGACCTTTAGCTTCATTAACTACAAAATGGGAATATTAATAGTACCTAAAGCATAGGGGTGCTTTTAGGATTAATTAAGATAATACATGTTAAGTGATTAAAGAACACCACCTGGCATATAGTTTTTCATTTTTTCCAGAATAATTATTCTGTATTATAAAGTAATGACACACTTTATAACTATTGCCTTATTTTTCTACATTAATAGTGCTTCCATAATATTATTCTGGTTAATATTTTCCTTTTCCTATTCATCTTTTTTATTTAAAATTCTATTCATCTTTTTAATTCAAAAACTTTATAAAATTATTTTAACATATTTTATGTATGTCTCTTGTAAAAGATAATTAGACATTTTGAAAAGCAAATGTTTATCTTTTATTATCAAGTTAAACATATTTGACATAGTTCTAGCATATTACTCATTTATTTCTATTTTATATGGTTTATTTGCTTCATTTTCTTTCTTTCATTCCATTTATTTGTTTTCGTTTTATTTATTCTTTTAATGGGTTTTAAATTCACACATTCTATTTTTATATTTTAACAACTAAAATTTTAGCATGCATATTCAACCTTATATGTTAAACATTAATCAGTGTCTCAGTTCCCTTCATGATATATATGTTTTAAACATCTTTATTCACCTCAGTCCTCTATGTGCTACAAGTCTATTAGTATAATTAAAAATTTTTAATATGGTATTGTTACTACTAAAAATTAAAGACAGAATATTATGCTCTACTTTTGTAAAACAATTATTTCACCTTAAGTGTCATCTAATTAGTGGTATTTTTAAAGAAGTGTCATAGAATATTTGTTCTATATAGCCATATTGGTATCAAATAGCAAAACTTCCTCTGAAAAATGCAAATGTTGCTAGTCTTATAGGTGATGAAATAGCGTAAGAACTTGGGAAGAGAAAGAAAGAACATAGAAATGAATCTGGGCTACATGGGTATTTAATAATATAACCCAAAGTTATACCAGTATCAATTTATAAAATCTGTCATTATCTGGGTTGATTTCCGGTTAACTACATGGACAAAAAAATGTTCTAAAATATCCCAATAGAGTTCTAATTTGCAGCTGGTTGATTGTTTTACCCTACTATTATCTACAAAGCAATCATTCATGAATAAATACATCTTGACTAGCTTTCAAGGAAATATTGACCACTAATACATTTTAATTAAGGAATATCGAAGCAAAAGAGTTTAAATCAATAAGACAATATGAAAACAGCATGAAGTTTAAGCAGTAAACAATTATAAAACTTAAGAAAATAAATGTTTTTGTTCCACATTCATACATACACACATATACACATACACACACATAGATTTTAAAATTTATTTATTATATATAGTGAATGTGTAATAGAGGAAATACAGTCTTTCCTCTAAATTGCATGGGAAGAGGATTTAAGTCAGTATTTGTTAACAGGAGGAATTATCATGGAAGACATATTCCTGGAATTGATGTCTAAGTTGAGACCTCAAGAACTATGTCAGAGTTATGGATGCAAAAAGGGAGGTGGAGATTTCTATGTAGAGGAAAGTATAATATATAAGGCACAGAAGCAAGAGAGCCCAGGGGATTTTCATGTCAGGAAGACCTGGATTTGAATTCTGGTGCTGAACTATTTCGTGGAGGTCATTTTATTTCAAATACTGGTATAGTCTCTAACAATAATAACAATCTCGAATTTATGTTTTAGAGATTTGCTATGCATATGTATGTGTTTGTGTGTATGTTTTGCGCAATTCCTAGCCCAAAGTAAGTGATCAATAAATATGCTATTATAATTATTGTTGCAGTGTTTGCTATAATTATTACTGTTGCTTATTTAAGATGCTATAATTATTTCAACATAATTTGAGCACACTAAAATGAAAGAGTAGTAAGAATTAAAGTAGGAGGAAAAGGTAAACTATGGCAGATCATGAACCATCTTATCAACCTCATTAAAACATATGAACATTGTGGCAGTAGGGATCTATTGAAATGTCAAAATTGGAATATAGAAAGCTCTTTCTCGCTATAATGTGATGAATGAATGTAGGGGCAGGTGGAATGAAACCGAAAGGAGAAATGCTTGTAATGTAAGAGATGATGGGCCTAAATTGTGGTAGATGAAGTAGAGAGTGATAAAATTGGAGAGATACTTAGAGGTTCAACTGTGCTGGGCTTAGTTATTAGATCCAGCGGTTGAACCAGAATACATCAAGGCTGATGTAGATGTCTCAAATGTAGTAAATTAGATAGATGATGATACAGTTCCCTGGAAAAACAGGGATGAGCCCATATGCAGAGGAAGATAATGAGTCTAATTTTGAACATGTATACATATAAATGTTCAGAAAACAACCAAATGTATGTGTCTAAGCAAGCAGTTTTTTGAGCTGGATTTCAGTTTAGGAGATATGTCAGCTAAAAATAATTAGACATTATCATCAACATTTAGATTAAAGCTAAAATCATGTAGTGAATTAAATTGAATTGAGTTTCTGTAAAGAGTGAGAACACACCTGAGAAACACCCAGCCATATTTAAATATCAAATGGAATAAAAAGTTTCCCAAAAAAACCCAAAAAAGCAGTCTAATTTGTTTGAGAGCAGATTTGTATATGAATTTCATTAGGAAAGCAGAAAATATAAAACTGTATCAGTTATAGTTCTTGTAATTGTTGGTGTTATTTTCAACTAATTCAAAATGTCAACTACAAAGACCAATTTTACCTTAAAGTATGCATCTTTGGTTACTGTCTTAGTCTGCTCAGTCTGCTATACAATACTGCAGACTGGGTATAAACAATAGAAATGTGTCATCTCCCAGTTCTAGAGATGGGAAGTTCAAGGTTAAAGTGTCTGCCCTGTAGGTTTCCAGTGAACCTCTCTTCCTGGTTTGCAGATGGCTGGCTTCTTTCTGTGTCCTCTTCTGCTGGCCTTTCCACTGTGTGCACACACTCCTAGTGTCTCTTCCTCTTCTTATGAGGATCCCAGTCCTATTGGATTAAGACCCCACCTTTATGACCTTATTTAACTTTAATTACATCCTTAAAGACCCTATTTCCAAATAAAGCCACATTGGGGGTTAGGGCTTCAACATATTAATTTGGGTGTGGGGTACATAACTTAGTCTATAAGAGTTACAATATCAAAATGAGTTGAAAATTCTAATCTGCAATAGGATTAAAACTGCCTCAATGAAATGATTATTACAAGAAAAAAAATCTACCCCTTTAGAGTATTCTATATAAAGAGATAAGAATAATTATCCTGATATCATAGATATATAGAAGAATCAAATATTAAGGGTGCCTTCTCCCACACATACTTGGAACAACTCCTAGCATAGATTAACGTGTTAAACTATTAAGTTTTGAATGAACACTAAGTGAAAAAGTTACTATTTGATTAGTTCATCAGCAACTAAATGTAGGCAATTAGAAGTTTATATATAGGAACAAAGAAATAATTCAGTTTCAACTTTTTAATATAAATATGAATAAAATTACAGATCAGTCTAAATACTTTACAAATGTCACATAAGTTAGTTAATGGAAAAATTGTGTTTAGGACATAGCCTTTTTAATTTTTATTTCACCCACACTAGCTCATGATGTATATTGGTTTGCAGGAAAAACAGTATAATGTGACTTGCAAAGCAAAATATGAAAATAGAAATCAGGAGAGAAAAAAGATCAAAAGATGTGATGTTCACTTATTTAGTAGGAAAAAAAATAATTGAGAAGATAAAACTAAATTTCAACTAAAATGAACTTTCATCTATGAATCTGAAGTGAGAAGTAGTAAACCCTTGTTTCTAAAAAATCACAAGCTAAGGTTATATTAATGTATTTGTGATTAAGTAAAAGCATAGTGATATAAATGAAAGGATTCAATAACAGAATAATTTGCTGACGATGATGGCTTCCAGCCTCATCCATGTCCCTGCAAAGGACATGATCTCATTTGTTTTTATGACTGCATAGTATTCCATGGTGTATATGTACCACATTTTCTTTATCCAGTCTATCATTGATGGACATTTAGGTTGGTTCCAATGCTGCAATAAAACACAACAGAAAACCAAACACCACATGTTCTCACTCATAAATAGGAGTGGAACAATGAGAACACATGGACACAGGGAGGGGAACATCACACACCAGGGTCTATTGGGAGGTGGGGGACAAGGAGAGGGAGAGCAATAGGACAAACACCTAATGCATGCAGGACTTAAAACCTATATGACTAGGTGCAGCGAACCACGATGGCTCATGTATACCTATGTAACAAACCTGCACATTCTGCACATATATCCTGGAATTTAAAGTAAAATAAATATTTTAAATAAATAGAATAAGAGGAATAACTACACTGTCTTCCACAATGGTTGAACTTACTTACACTACTACCAAGTATATAAATGATCGTTTTCCTCTGCAACCTCACCAGCATCTGTGTTTTTGTTTTTGTTTGTTTTATTTTTTTGTTTGTTTGTTTTGAGTGGAAGTCTCGCTCTGTCGCCCAAGCTGGAGTGCAGTGGCACGATCTCAGCTCACTGCAACCTTTTTCTCCCGGGTTCAAGCGATTCTCCTACCTCATCCTCCCTAGTTGCTGGGACTACAGGCGCGTGCCATCATGACCGGCTAATTTTTGTATTTTTAGTAGAGACGGGGTTTCACTATGTTGCCCAGGGTGGTCTCGAATTCTTGACCTCATGATCCACTGGCCTCCCAAAGGGCTGGATTATAGGCGTGACTTTAATAATAGCCATTCTGACTGCTGTGAGATGGTATTTCATTGTAATTTTGATTTGCATTTCTCTAGTGATCAGTGATGTTGAGCTTTTTTTCGTGTGCTTTCTGGCTGCATGTATGTCTTCTTTTGAAAACTTTGTCCACTTTTTATGGGGTTTTTCCTTGCAAATTTGTTTAGGTTCCTTATAGATGCTAGATAGTACACCTTTGTCAGACGCATAGTTTGCAAAAAATTTCTCTCATCTCATAGGTTGTCTGTTTCCTCTATTGATAGTTTCTTTTGCTGTGCAGAAGCTCCTTAGTTTAATGAAATCCCATTTGTCAATTTTTGCTTTTGATGCAGTTGCTTTTGGTGTCTCTGTCATGAAATCTTTGCCTGTGCCTATCTCCTTTTACTTAAAAGTGGGAGCTAAATGATGAGAACACATGGATGCTTAGAGGGGAACAACATACATTGGGGCCTAACAGAGGCCAGAGGGTGGGAGGAAGGAGAGGATCAAGAAAAATAACTAATGGGTACTAGGCTCAATATACCTGGATGATGCAATAATCTGTACAACAAACCCCCATGACGCAATTTTACCTATGTGACAAACCTGCATCTTTACTCCTGAACTCAAAATAAAAGTTTAAAATAAAAGTTAAAGAATAGAATAAGAATAAAATAATGAGTAAATAAGTCAAATTTATTAGAACACATTAAGATATATTAACATAACTAATAAAAGTATGTCTAACAATCCCAAAACAGTCACTAAGAAGATATTGGCAAATTAGGGAAATATCCAAATTTAGTTCTAAAAAAGATAATCTGGTTAAGATAGAATAAAAAATAGAATAATTCAGTATCATGAATCTGTGAGTAACTACTCCAATAGAATATTTTGGTGAGAAGAAATATTTGAATTTGAAATATTTCAATTTGATAATTAATTTTTTATAATTGTTAGTTTAACATTCTTCACCTACCTCTGTGAACCATAGAACCTTATAATTCTGTGCTTTAAATACTTTTATGTGATGTGTATATAATTAAATCTCCAATATCACAGTAGCCTATTAAAATATATAATAAAAAAATGATTTTACAAAGAAAACCCCAAACCTTTAATTATGTGTAAATGAGACTCGAATTAATACAGGGATGTGTTGTGAACATGATTTTAGGAGTTGAATAGTATGGATATATCAGGTCTTCACAAATATATAATAGTTTACTTGCAATAATACAAATATTTAAAAGTCAAAGAGTTATGAAAAAAATGAGGATGTTTGACCTTAAATATTAAGCTACAGTAGAACGAACTATGTAGTGTAAATATAAATAGAAGAAAAATAGTAAAAGTCTCAAGTAATGATTCTATCAAAAGTAGAAAACATAAGTATAAATATTTTTATTACATATGAAAACTTTATTATGAGTGCTGTTGATTCGGCTCCCCATATAATATTGTACACATGTAATTATTATTTAATTATTATTATTTGTTTAATATTTGTCTTCCCCATGAGGACAATCACTGAGTTTTGGTCACAGTCAGTTGTTTGTCTTCTAACAAAAGGCTAGGCACAGTAGGTTGTCAACTAAAATTGTTTACCAAACAAGTTAACATTCTAATGATATATAGACCGGTTATCTACCAAAGTCCCTGGTGGATCTTCATTGCTTTTAAGACCAGTACTCCCATATGTCTCTCTAATGGATAGCTCTTTGCAGTTTCCTGAATATACCTTGTTCTCTTATACCTACAAGTATAAGGTACTTGTATACTGTATACAACAGTATACTGTTCCCTCTACCTGGAACAGTGCTCACTTTCTAAACTCAGGTAAAGTATCCTTCTCTACATTCCTTCAGGCAGAATTTGTTGCTATTTCTGACTGAGTTTCTATATACATTTGAATAGCTTGTGTAGTTAATCACATTTCTATAACATAATTGTTTCTGATAGTTCCCATAGCACCACGACACAAGATGATGATGGCTTATATTTCTGTTTCTTTCTGCCTCATTGAATTGTGAGTTATTCCAAAGTAGAAATGTTCTTTTATTTATTTATTCTTATACCTAGGTCAGTGCCTGGTACATAAATGGTAAACATGAAACATTTTTATATAATAAGTGAATTAACTGAACAATGCATTTTGTAAAACTCTTAAAGAAAATAGACTGGAAAAAAGGTATTTTGTATCTCCAAGAGCCCAAAGTTAGAAACAAATAAAAGGCAATATAGTCAAAGGTTTCCAGGCATACCAGGCATAGTCCCAGCTTTAAATATCTATTATGAATAGGGAAAAAACACTGATGTCAGCCTTGTGGCCCTCGACCGAGTAGAGATGCTCTTGAATGCTTTTTAGATATGGAAAGAAACAATGGCCCTAGAAAAGTCCTGGGAGTTTAATGAGTTGCCAAATGTGCATTTCTTGTTTTAAACCAGAAAATGACAGTGCCATGTCAGTTACTTTAAAACACCATGGTCCTTTTCAAATGAATTTTAATATTACTTAATGCCTTTAACTTTTTTTTTATCAAAATGGAGCTGTCCTTGACTATATTTTTGGATTATGAATCTACAATACCCAACCCCCTCAATGTGTATATTAAGTAATATATCCCTGGGATGCACTCCAAGGGGAATCTTCTTTGTGACACTATTAGCCATGGAACAGAATTGATTATGATGAAATATTACTATATATATTTGCAGTTAATCCTCTAAGCATTTTTATTAACCTTTGTTCCTCAACAATTCACAAATGCAAAACTAGTACAGCAGGTTTAATATATTATGTATATACACACACACCACATACATATAATAAATTAACATAAAATTTCTTCTTTTTAATTTTTATTTTATTTTATTATACTTTAAGTTTTAGGGTACATGTGCACAATGTGCAAGTTAGTTACATATGTATACGTGTGCCATGCTGGTGTGCTGCACCCATTAACTTGTCACTTAGCATTAGGTATATCTCCTACTGCTATCCCTCCCCACTGCCCTCATGCCACAACAGTCCCCAGAGTGTGATGTTCCCCTTCCTGTGTCCATGTGTTCTCATTGTTCAATTCCCACCTATGAGTGAGAACATGCGGTGTTTGATTTTTGTCCTTGCAATAGTTTACTGAGAATGATGATTTCCAATTTCATCCATGTCCCTACAAAGGACATGAACTCATCATTTTTTATGGCTGCATAGTATTCCATGGTGTCTATGTGCCACATTTTCTTAATCCAGTCTATCATTGTTGGACATTTGGGTTGGTTCCAAGTCTTTGCTATTGTGAATAGTGCCGCAGTAAACATACGTGTGCATGTGTCTTTATAGCAGCATGATTTATAATCCTTTGGGTATATACCCAGTAATGGGATGGCTGGGTCAAATGGTATTTCTAGTTCTAGATCCCTGAGGAATCGCCACACTGACTTCCACAATGGTTGAACTAGTTTATAGTCCCACCAACAGTGTAAAAGTGTTCCTATTTCTCCACATCCTCTCTAGCACCTGTTGTTTCCTGACTTTTAATGACTGCCATTCTAACTGGTGTGAGATGGTATCTCATTGTGGTTTTGATTTGCATTTCTCTGATGGCCAGTGATGGTGAGCATTTTTTCATGTGTTTTTTGGCTGCATAAATGTCTTCTTTTGAGAAGTGTCTGTTCATGTCCTTCGCCCACTTTTTGATGGGGTTGTTTGTTTTTTTCTTATAAATTTGTTTGAGTTCATTGTAGATTCTGGACATTAGCCCTTTGTCAGATGAGTAGGTTGCGAAAATTTTCTCCCATTGTGTAGGTTGCCTGTTCACTCTGATGGTAGTTTCTTTTGCTGTGCAGAAGCTCTTTAGTTTAATTAGATCCCATTTGTCAATTTTGGCTTTTGTTGCCATTGCTTTTGGTGTTTTAGACATGAAGTCTTTGCCCATGCCTGTGTCCTGAATGGTAATGCCTAGGTTTTCTTCTAGGGTTTTTATGGTTTTAGGTCTAACATTTAAGTCTTTAATCCATATTGAATTAATTTTTGTATAAGGTGTAAGGAAGGGATCCAGTTTCAGCTTTCTACATATGGCCAGTCAGTTTTCCCAACACCATTTATTAAATAGGGAATCCTTTCTCCATTGCTTGTTTTTCTCAGGTTTGTCAAAGATCAGATAGTTGTAGATATGCAGTGTTATTTCTGAGGGCTCTGTTCTGTTCCATTGATCTATATATCTGTTTTGGTACCAGTACCATGCTGTTTTGGTTACTGTAGCCTTGTAGTATAGTTTGAGGTCAGGTAGCGTGATGCCTCCAGCTTTGTTCTTTTGGCTTAGGATTGACTTGGCAATGCCGGCTCTGTTTTGGTTCCATATGAACTTTAAAGTAGTTTTTTTCATTTCTGTGAAGAAAGGCATTGGTAGCTTGATGGGGATGGCATTGAATCTATAAATTACCTTGGGCAGTATGGCCATTTTCACGATACTGATTCTTCCTACCCATGAGCATGGAATGTTCTTCCATTTGTTTGTATCCTCTTTTATTTCCTTGAGCAGTGGTTTGTAGTTCTCTTTGAAGAGGTCCTTCACATCCCTTATAAGTTGGATTCCTGGGTATTTTATTCTCTTTGAAGCAATTGTGAATGGGAGTTCACTCATGATTTGGCTCTCTGTTCATCTGTTATTGGTGTATAAGAATGCTTGTGATTTTTGCACATTGATTTTGTATCCTGAGACTTTGCTGAAGTTGCTTATCAGCTTAAGGAGATTTTGGGCTGAGGCGATGGGGTTTTCTAGATATACAATCATGTCGTCTGCAAACAGGGACAATTTGACTTCCTCTTTTCCTAATTGAATACCCTTTATTTCCTTCTCCTGCTTAATTGCCCTGACCAGAACTTCCAACACTATGTTGAATAGGAGTGGTGAGAGAGGGCATCCCTGTCTTGTGCCAGTTTTCAAAGGAAATGCTTCCAGTTTTTGCCCATTCAGTATGATATTGGCTGTGGGTTTGTCATAGATAGCTCTTATTATTTTGAGATACGTCCCATCAATATGTAATTTATTGAGAGTTTTTAGCATGAAGGGTAGTTGAATTTTGTCAAAGGCCTTTTCTGCATCTATTGAGATAATCATGTGGTTTTTGTCTTTGGTTCTGTTTATATGCTGGATTACATTTATTGATTTGCGTATATTGAACCAGCCTTGCATCCCAGGGATGAAGCCCACTTGATCATGGTGGATAAGCTTTTTGATGTGCTGCTGGATTCGGTTTGCCAGTATTTTATTGAGGATTTTTGCATCAATGTTCATCAAGGATACTGGTCTAAAATTCTCTTTTTTGGTTGTGTCTCTGCCCGGCTTTGGTATCAGGATGATGCTGGCCTCATAAAATGAGTTAGGGAGGATTCCCTCCTTTTCTATTGATTGGAATAGTTTCACAAGGAATGGTACCAGTTCCTCCTTGTACCTCTGGTAGAATTCGGCTGTGAATCCATCTGGTCCTGGACTCTTTTTGGTTGGTAAGCTATTGATTATTGCCACAATTTCAGAGCCTGTTATTGGTCTATTCAGAGATTCAACTTCTTCCTGGTTTAGTCTTGGGTGGGTGTATGTGTCGAGGAATTTATCCATTTCTTCTAGATTTTCTAGTTTATTTGCGTAGAGGTGTTTGTAGTATTCTCTGATGGTAGTTTGTATTTCTGTGGGATTGGTGGTGATATCCCCTTTATCATTTTTTATTGCATCTATTTGATTCTTCTCTCTTTTTTTCTTTATTAGTCTTGCAAGCAGTCTATGAATTTTGTTGATCCTTTCAAAAAACCCGCTCCTGGATTCATTAATTTTTTGAAGGGTTTTTTGTGTCTCTATTTCCTTCAGTTCTCCTCTGATTTTAGTTATTTCTTGCCTTCTGCTAGCTTTTGAATGTGTTTGCTCTTGCTTTTCTGGCTCTTTTAATTGTGATGTTAGGGTGTCAATTTTGTATCTTTCCTGCTTTCTCTTGTGGGCGTTTACTGCTATAAATTTCCATCTACTCACTGCTTTGAATGTGTCCCAGAGATTCTGGTATGTTGTGTCTTTGTTCTTATTTGTTTCAAAGAACATCTTTATTTCTGCCTTCATTTCATTATGTACCCAGTAGTCATTCAGGAGCAGGTTGTTCAGTTTCCATGTTGTTGAGCGGTTTTGAGTGAGTTTCTTAATCCTGAGTTCTAGTTTGATTGCACTGTGGTCTGAGAGACAGTTTGTTATAATTTCTGTTCTTTTAGATTTGCTGGGGAGATCTTTACTTCCAACTATGTGGTCAATTTTGGAATAGGTGTGGTGTGGTGCTGAAAAAAATGTATATTCTGTTGATTTGGGGTGGAGAGTTCTGCAGATGTCTATTAGGTCCGCTTGGTGCAGAGCTGAGTTCAATTCCTGGGTATCCTTGTTAACTTTCTGTCTCGTTGATCTGTCTAATGTTGACAATGGGGTGTTAAAGTCTCCCATTATTATTGTGTGGGAGTCTAAGTCTCTTTGTAGGTCACTCAGGACTTGCTTTATGAATCTGGGTGCTCCTGTATTGGGTGCATATATATTTAGGATAGTTACCTCTTCTTGTTGAATCGATCCCTTTACCATTATGTAATGGCCTTCTTTGTCTCTTTTGATCTTTGTTGGTTTAAAGTCTGTTTTATCAGAGACTAGTATTGCAACCCATGCCTTTTTTTGTTTTCCATTTGCTTGGTAGATCTTCCTCCATCCTTTTATTTTGAGCCTATGTGTGTCTCTGCGCATGAGCTGGATTTCCTGAATACAGCACACTGATGGGTCTTGACTCTATCCAATTTGCCAGTCCGTGTCTTTTAATTGGAGCATTTAGTCCATTTACATTTAAAGTTAATATTGTTATGTGTGAATTTGATCCTGTCATTATGATGTTAGCTGGTTATTTTGCTCGTTAGTTGATGCAGTTTCTTCCTAGTCTTGATGGTCTTTACATTTTGGCATGATTTTGCAGTGGCTGGTACCGGTTGTGCCTTTCCATGTTTAGTGCTTCCTTCAGGAGCTCTTTTAGGGCAGGCCTGGTGGTGACAAAATCTGTCAGCATTTGCTTGTCTGTAAAGTATTTTATTTCTCCTTCACTTATGAAGCTTAGTGTGGCTGGATATGAAATTCTGGGTTGAAAATTCTTTTCTTTAAGAATGTTGAATATTGGCCTCCACTCTCTTCTGGCTTGTAGAATTTCTGCCGAGAGATCCGCTGTTAGTCTGATGTGCTTCCCTTTGTGGGTAACCCAACCTTTCTCTCTGGCTGCCCTTAATATTTTTTCCTTCATTTCAACTTTGGTGAATCTGACAATTATGTGTCTTGGAGTTGCTCTTCTTGAGGAGTATCTTTGTGGCGTTCTCTGTATTTCCTGAATCTGAACGTTGGCCTGCCTTGCTAGATTGGGGAAGTTCTCCTGGATAATATCCTGCAGAGTGTTTTCCAACTTGGTTCCATTCTCCCCGTCACTTTCACGTACACCAATCAGACGTAGATTTGGTCTTTTCGTATAGTCCCATATGTCTTGGAGGCTTTGTTTGTTTCTTTTTATTCTTTTTTCTCTAAACTTCCCTTCTCGCTTCATTTCATTCATTTCATCTTCCATCACTGATACCCTTTCTTCCAGTTGATCGCATCGGCTCCTGGGGCTTCTGCATTCTTCACATAGTTCTCGAGCCTTGGCTTTCAGCTCCATCAGCTCCTTTAAGCACTTCTCTGTATTGGTTATTCTAGTTATCCATTCGTCTAAATTTTTTTCGAAGTTTTTAACTTCTTTGCCTTTGGTTTGAATTTCCTCCTGTAGCTCGGAGTAGTTTGATCGTCTGAAGCCTTCTTCTCTCAACTTGTCAAAGTCATTCTCCATCCAGCTTTGTTCCGTTGCTAGTGAGGAACTGCATTCCTTTGGAGGAGGAGAGGCGCTCTGCTTTTTAGAGTTCCCAGTTTTTCTGCTCTGTTTTTTCCCCATCTTTGTGGTTTTATCTACTTTTGGTGTTTGATGATGGTGATGTACAGATGGGTTTTTGGTGTGGATGTCCTTTCTGTTTGTTAGTTTTCCTTCTAACAGACAGGACCCTCAGCTGCAGGTCTGTTGGAGTTTGCTAGAGGTCCACTCCAAACCCTGTTTGCTTGGGTATCAGCAGCGGTGGCTGCAGAACAGCAGATTTTCGTGAACCGCGAATGCTGCTCTCTGATCGTTCCGCTGGAAGTTTTGTCTCAGAGGAGTACCCGGCCGTGTGAGGTGTCAGTCTGCCCCTACTTGGGGGTGCCTCCCAGTTAGGCTTCTCGGGGGTCAGGGGTCAGGGACCCACTTGAGGAGGCAGTTTGCCGGTTCTGAGATCTCCAGCTGCGTGCTTGGAGAACCACTGCTCTCTTCAAAGCTGTCGGACAGGGACAGTTAAGTCTGCAGAGGTTACTGCTGTCTTTTTATTTGTCTGTGCCCTGCCCCCAGAGGCGGGGCCTACAGAGGCAGGCAGGCCTCCTTGAGCTGTGGTGGGCTCCACCCAGTCGGAGCTTCCTGGCTGCTTTGTTTAGCTGAGCAAGCCTGGGCTATGGTGGGTGCCCCTCCCCCAGCCTTGCTGCCACCTTGCAGTTTGATCTCAGACCACTGTGCTAGCAATCAGCGAGACTCAGTGGGCATAGGACCCTGTGAGCCATGTGCGGGATATAATCTCCTGGTGCACCGTTTTTTAAGCCCGTCGGAAAAGCGCAGTATTAGGGTGGGAATGACCCGATATTCCAGGTGCCTACTGTCACCCCTTTCTTTCACTAAGAAAGGGAACTCCCTGACCCCTTGTGCTTCCTGAGTAAGGCAATGCCTCGCCCTGCTTCAGCTCGCGCATGGTGTGCTGCACCCACTGTCCTGAGCCCACTGTCTGGCACTCCCTAGTGAGATGAACACAATACCTCAGATGGAAATGCAGAAATCTCCCATCTTCTGTGTCGCTCACGCTGGGAGCTGTAGACCGGAGCTGTTCCTATTCGGCCATCTTGGCTGCCCTCTCCAAATTGACATAAAATTTCTAAAGTAGACTAGCTTCTGAAATGATTAGCAGCATGCATTCAAAATGTATATTTTCAGGAAAGAAACTACTTCCCTTTGAACAATAAGAAATCTCCCCCATTGATTTGTGTCATTTGTCAGTAATGAATAATTGAGAAGAATCCTAGAAAAGTAGTTACATTTTTCATATAAATTGCCTCTTCCTTGGTTAGTTTTTCTTCCAGTTAATCCAAAGGAACTTCTCAATTCTCTCAATGGTAACAGTGTGAAATTGTTTGATATTTTGTATTATTTTTACTTGTTTTTATGGCATATTCAGTTAAGAATTTATATAATATTCATTATGTTTGGGCCTTAGTATTATTAAAGCAAAAAAAATAGTTTGTATTATGTACACTTAGAATTCTCTCATTGTACATTCTATATTTAGAACCTTCAGTATTTTCCCACAATCTCTTCAGAGATTATGGCTTTCTGGACTGTAAAAAACATAATATTTCTAATAAAAATAAGCAATTTTTTAAAACGTTATGATTTTTAGAAAATTGCCTTAATTATCCTTGGGGTTGTGAGCCAATGGCTTATGAGTATATGACTTTACTTTTTCAAATGTATATTTGAATTAGCCTATATTTATTAAGCCAATATCTAATGTGTCAGACATCCCATCTTTTGATATTTCAATTTAAGTATATGAGAAGATGCTCTATAAACCACAAAGCGAAACATTTAAAGTTTATGTCAATTAAAAAATCACATCCTTTTGTTCACGTCGTTAACTTAAAAAATATTCTTCTTTAGGTTAGCCAACTTTCATCTAGGAAAATGAAAATACAGCTGAATCAAAATTGGTTTTGAAATTAGTCTATAGAAATGTGTTTCTTAAGTAGACTTGTCAGAAGTTTTTATAGGAAACTTCCTAGAATGTTTTATTCTTTTGTCATTTTAATATGATAACTCTGTATCTAATTGTTTTGTATAAACTTGTAATAATGCATTAAAGTTCTAATTAAATATATAGAGCTGTTTCCCCCTAAACAAAATGTTCATAGTGGCTCAGCTTTTTAATTCTTGCAGAAAGAGCTTTGAGGTTCAATAGACTAATCCTTGAATCTTTGCTTGACTTCTTAAGTCACTCAACATCTCTGAGAAACTAGCAGGTGAGTAGTTTCTCACCTATAAAATGACAATGATAGCACCTTTGTCAAAGCATTCTTGTAAAAGTTGGGTGAAATGTCAAATGCCTGTACAGTTTCAGACACATAGTTGGCTCTGACAAATCATAACAAATAATTTAGCATTATTTGTTATTATGATTTATTTCCTCATTATCAGTTGTTTCAAGTAAGCATTTCAAAATTTCAAACAATTTCTTATTGCTGTTTCTTACTTTCCTTCTTCTCATTTGCCTCTGGTTAACTGAGAGTTGAGCAATTAAATCAAGAAGCAATTTATTAATGTATCTAAAATCTTGGAGTGAGACTAGAAGCCAAAGGCAAGGTGCCAACCCCTGGGATTAAAGGGCATGAACTTATTTTGTCTAGTCAGAAGAGCTCTGTGTTCATGTATGAACTCCAGGAGTTATTCTGGTGATTGACAGTATAGGCAGATTAACTCCGGATTGTTGCAATATTATATTTAACATTTTGTATTTACTTAGTAATTCATCGTATTGTCTTGGCCTGACTGGAATGTTGTGAATGTGGAAGGAGAGTAGAGTGTGTCTTTGACAATATAGGTAATTTTTTTCAATTTCTGGGTGAGTTTTCTCATTTAAATATATTTGACTTATATTTTAGAGGAAATTATCATTTAAAAACCTTTAATCAGTAGTATCTAGTTAATAAGCTGAGAAACAAAACTACAGAAATTTTCAGTTTTAATAAACTACAGAAAAGTTTGTCTGTTATGCCATTGTTATTTTATCATAACTGTCAAGTAGAAAAACTGATTATGTATTATTAGTAAATATAAAAATCTCAGTTTTTAAGCTAATGCTAGGCTTACTTTTGTTCTAATTAGATCCATAAATTCATGCCTTAGTATTAAACTTTTTGTCATATGTAAGTAGTAGTTTATTTCCATGTTGACAATTTTTGGAAATTCTTAGCAAAATTACTGGTTACCAATAAATATGAATTTTTTTGTTAGTATCTATAGATAAATGAAGGCAACATGATATATTTTGAGAAGTTATAGTTACAATTATATCTGACACACTACATATTGGCTTCATGCATACAACTTAATTCAAATTTATATATATACATATATATATGAAAAGGTAACATCATATAAGCCATTGGCTCACAATTCCTTGTATAATTAATTAATTATAGAAATATCTATGAATATTTTAACAACAAGAAATGAAAGAAAATATTCTGAAAGGAAATTAGTTGTTAAAGTTGTCAAATGTTATATTTGGTCATATCGAACTCATAAGTAAGCTGAGATTCAATATACTCAGCATGCCTGTGTTGAAGGGTGTATGTAAATAAAGCAAAGTGGCTTTTGTTTCCTGTCACCTTACCATGCCCATTTGGAAGGGGAATTTTGGTAAGTTCATATGAAACTCCTTAATGCCTGAGAAAGACCAACTAAATAAATAAATTAATTAAATTTCTATCTATCTATCTATATATCTGAATTAGCCACTTAATTTTATCAATAATGAGACAATAAAAGAGTACTATTTAAAGTCTCATGTTATTTTACTTATACCCAGAAATATCAGATCTAAATGTTGCTAAGGTTTAACAGATTGAAATACTTTAGGTGATTTAGTTCCCAGTCAAAAGAAAAATCATTGAATTAGTGTCTTGAAGGCAGAATTTCTTCCATTAGCCTTATTAGCATTTTATTACTTTGCTGTGAAATTTCAGCTTCTTTAATTTAACATATAAATGTAATTTAAGGTGAATTAATTTGACTTTGAGGCAGTTTCTTAAAATGAACTTGGTTGATAGCTCTATCAGAATCTAAAACTTAGCACATTCAGCTTATCTTTGTTTCTAGAACTCAGTACGTGCCATGTAACTGCTCTAGATTCTGAATTATGTAATATATTATTAGTTTCAACACTCTCTTTAGTAATAACTTTTCATCAATTATCCAATGAGAGACAGGTAGTTAGGGGAAAAGAACTCGAGCAAAAGAAAAACAATAGCTTATATCAGTTGAGAATACCCAACTTAAAAGAATCTGAAGAGTTGTGTATTAATTTAGCAGCATTTTACTCAAATTATGGTAATGAAATTATGGTAAATTTATGATGAAAAATTATATAGAATATAGATGTTATTGAAAACAAAATTAAACTGACATTTAATTGTGGTCAAGATGTTAAGGTTTTTTTTTTTTTTTTTTTTTGAGATGGAGTTCCGCCCTGTCACTATGGTTAAAGAGAGAGAGAGAGAAGCAGCAAGTGGTTGCTTTTAGGCTCTTTTTTTCTTTTTAAAAAATATTCTCAGAAACTCCATAAGAGGAAAAGCAAACTCCTTCATGGCAGAGAAGGGAAGGCAGTTGTCAAATAAAGAGATGTAGACCTACTCCCATTGCATCCAGGCCATACAGATACACAGGTTTTCTGTAACAGATGTCTAATATGTTGACAATGGTCAGTTTAAAATGGGGAAATAGAGATATTTATCCATAAACAATGTGTCTATGGCCAAATGCAATGGAGTTGTACATTTTATCAAATGGAAATATGCAATAAAAGAGATGCAGCTGTGGTTGAAATGCAATTAAGTTATATGCTTGGGACATTACACAGGCAGCAGTCACTCATTATTGCAAGGCTGGTCTACCAAGATTCTCAAGTTTTACCTGATTGAGACTATAAATGAAATAATTGTATTTAGAGTAAAATATCATTTTGTTCATATAACCACTCACTTGTCAAATAAGAAATTGAAATATTTTTCTAGGATTGACCTTCCTGAATATTTCCGATAACTCCCTGAGATGTTTTCCATGTGTAGCTGGAATGTGCTTTAACTCTTGTAATCTAATATGCCTGAGAGGAGTGTCAATCAGAGCACTCCCTGATGCTTGGAAGTCCTTCACTTTTGCTATTCTTGCCTCCCTTCTGCTCCTTTTGGCCTTTGTAACTTTGTCTCTTGTGAAAAAAACACTACTGCTACTGATTTTTTTCTTCCTGGAAAATTTCTATTGCCTTTCTCCCTATGCACTCAGTCAGCACATGCTTTATGTTTTTCACAATCAACTGGCTTGGAGGTGCTTCCCACAGCAGAGCCTTTATAAGGAGAAGACATGAGTACACAGAGAGGTTAAGTATCTTGCCTTAAACTGCATTATTAGTTTTATGAGAAGAGCAAAGATCTTGGTGATTACTTAGTTTACCTTGTAACCAGTATGATAAACTAATTCTTATTCAACTTTAATGAGAATTTGTTTTATCCAGTTACTTTAAAAAATATGTATCAACTTCAGCAATAATAGTCTGGACCAAAAAAAAAAATATGGATGGTCACATCTGCATTTGGAAGCTAATTCTAGAGCAGCATTAAAAGTATATATAGAGAGAGTTGGTGGATTCTCCTAGGTTAGACATACCAGTGGTGACTGGTCAGAGTCTACATTTGAGAGTATTGTTAATTTTTCCCAATTTTCTGAGTGCTAAGCCCAGACCAGAGATGGCAACTGAGAGCAGAATTCTATGTGCCGGATACTTGGCTGTATTGTCTGATTATTCTAGCTGACACACACACTGTCTTGTCAGCCTGGAGGCCCTGTTTATCAGTTTTAAAATTAATAATTAGAATGAGGAGCATTTGGTAATCAGTGGAAGGTACAAAGTTGGTTATGCTCTTAGTACTATCAGGCTACAACTGGAGTCGTGTGTAATATGCTCTTACGTCAGGTGAAGTTTTTGTTGTGACGGTTCATATTTTTGTTTTGGCTTTTGTTTTTCATTTCGATAATCATTTGTTTCAAGTTGTATTCCTCCTATTCCTTCAAGCTTTGTAGACTAGAAGTCTAGAGCTGGAGATAAAGTTCTCTCTTGGTTGTATCTCTTTTGAGGACTATTCTAAAGACCTATTCTTAGAAGAGGTGCTAATAAAGTTATGTTGCCTAAGACCAGATAATGCTGATGACTGCATTGTGGATGAGAGAGCCAATGTTGTTAAAAGAAAGAAATGCAATTATGTTTCCTTTGAGTAGACAGAGAATATAGAAAATTATATATCTATAAATATTTTTTGAACTGATGAAATAAATTCTATATATGTTATTATTGGTATTAAATCTTTTGAAAGTTTTTAAGAATGAATTAAAGGTTAAAATAGTAAACAGTGGTGGGGCGCCATGGCTCACGCCTGTAATCCCAGCACTTTGGGAGGCCGAGGCAGGCAGATCACGAGGTCTAGAGATCAATACCATCCTGGCTAACACGGTAAAACCCTATCTCTACTAAAAATACAAAAATTAGCCGGGCCTGGTGGCATGCATCTGTAGTCCCAGCTACTCGGGAGGCTGAGGCAGGAGAATCGTTTGAACCTAGGAGATGGAGGTTGCAGTGAGTCAGGATCACCCTATTGCAGTCCAGCCTGGGCAACAGAGCGAGACTCTGTCTAAAAAAAAAAAAAAAAAAAAAGTAAACAGTGCTGCTTATAAAATGGGATAAATCAAAACACAGAAAAGGGTGTATAGGTGTATATGAGCCTTCAAAAAATGGAATTATCTCATATTTAGCCACTAATTCTTTTTTTATTTATGCAAATCAAGGTAGAACAAAAATGTGTGTTTTTATTCTGCCTATCGGTATGTAAGAGATTAGTTTGGGACAAGGGTTTATTACAAGAGCCAAAAATATCTATGTATGAGGACTTATAGTTCCATTATTACTACTAATTTGTTCTGAAAATATTATTTTTAACTGAGTTTCTTTGTATATCAGTTTTGGCAAAGGCCTAAAAAGTGAAATCATTTTAAAAGACCATCCATACCAGCATTGGAGACCCTTCCACTTTGATTTATATAAGCAGCTCAGAGTGGAACCTAGAAATGGAAGCAATTGAGGGTCCTTCGAGAGTTCCACCCTAAGATCTGTAGACTGTTTCCTCTACAAAGGATGGGGTACCTTTATCCCTTACCTCCCCTGCTTCTATCATCACCTCTACAGTCCTGAAGGAGTTATACCCTATGGCTAGTGAAAATGGAAGGGTCAAAGAACAAAGCAGATAAAGAGGGAAGAAAGGCTAAGTAATACCACTTCCACTCTTTCCCCCTCAAACTTTCGGGATATCAAGCCTGAACTAGAAGACAGCTGGGAAGAATAGAGAAATTTTAAATCAGAAACTTCACAGGTCTTTTACAAAGTTATTGAACTGGATATTTTAATTACAGAAATGGGACTGTTCTTTTTTTGTATTTTTTTATTATACTTTAAGTACTAGGGTACATGTGCACAATGTGCAGGTTTGTTACATATGTATATATGTTCCATGTTGGTGTGCTGCACCCATTAACTTGTCATTTACATCAGGTATATCTCCTAATGCTATCCCTACCCCCTGCCCCCACCCCACAACAGGCCCCGGTGTGTGATGTTCCCCTTCCTGTGTCCAGGTGTTCTCATTGTTCAATTCCCACCTATGAGTGAGAACATGTGGCGTTTGGTTTTTCGTCCTTGCAATAGTTTGCTGAGAATGATGGTTTCCAGCTTCATCCAAGTCCCTACAAAGGACAGGAACTCATCATTTTTTATGGCTGCATAGTATTCCATGGTGACTATGTGCCACATTTTCTCAATCCAGTCTATCATTGTTGGACATTTGGGTTGGTTCCCAGTCTTTGCTATTGTGAATAGTGCTGCAATAAACATACATGTGCATGTGTCTCTATAGCAGCATGATTTATAATCTTTTGGGTATATACCCAGTAATGGGATGGCTGGGTCAAATGGTATTTCCAGTTCTAGATCCCTGAGGAATCGCCACACTGTCTTCCACAATGGTTGAACTAGTTTACAGTCCTACCAACAGTGTAAAAGTGTCCTATTTCTCCACATCCTCTCCAACACCTGTTGTTTCCTGACTTTTTAATGATCGCCATTCTAACTGGTGTGAGATGGTATCTCATTGTGGTTTTGATTTGCATTTCTCTGATGGCCAGTGATGATGAGCATTTTTTCATGTGTTTTTTGGCTGCATAAATGTCTTCTTTTGAGAAGTGTCTGTTCATATCCTTTGCCCACCTGTTGATGGGGTTGTTTGTTTTTTTCTTGTAAATTTGTTTGAGTTCTTTGTAGATTCTGGATATTAGCCCTTTGTCAGATGAGGAGATTGTAAAAATTTTCTCCAGAAATGGGACTGTTCTTGTGATTGACTCAGGGAACTGGGAAAGCTGTGGAATGTGCCTAAAATTTCATCCAATAGCAGGATAAGAAATAGCCTGTCACATAGGCTTTCAGGGCCAGTGGGAGAGGGAATGGAGTTAATTTATAGCTATATCTATTGATTAATACTCATTTAATAAACTGTTCCATACAAGCAGCAGATTTCAAAATTGGCTGATTTAAATTAATCAACTAACTTACTGACTCACCTACTAACTAAACAAATAAATAAGTAAAAGTGAACTTTATAGAATTGCTTTACGATCATAGAATGAAATTTGGAAAACAGTCTGTGAGCTAGATGACATGGAGAAGCACAGCCCTCAATCCCTCCACGAGCCAGTGAGGACATGGCTGCCTCTTTTGCAGCCAGGGTGTGCTGAATTTCTCAATGTGTGCTGTTGTGCTCATATTAAATTCAGGGTGCTGTAATTAGCACAATTGCTCCTGCTTCCCAGGAAACAACATTGTTGTCACTACTGTCACCATATGCCACTGGAATGGGTCCTTCCAGTTCTTCACCAATGAATTATGGGACTAGATGTGTCTGAGTGCAAGGTTGGCTAAATGTGTTTTCCTCCTCGTGCTGAAACACAAAAGTGCACTGTATTAGTCCGTTTTCATGCTGCTGATAAAGATATACCAGAGACAGGGCAATTTACAAAAGACGGAGGTTTATTGGACTTACAGTTCCATGTGGCTGGGGCGGCCTCAGGATCATGGTAGAAGGCAAGGAGGAGCATGTCATATCTTGCATGGATGGCGGCAGGCAAAAAGAGAGCCTGCTCAAGAAACTCCCACTTTTAAAACCACCGGATCTCACAAGACCCATTCACTATCACCAGAACAGCATGGTAAAGACCCCCCACCCCCACAACCCACCATCATGATTCAGTCATGATTCCCACCAGGTCCCTCCCCTAACATTGGGAATTATGTGAGCTACATGATGAAATTTGGGTAGGGACACAGAGCCAAACCTTGCCATGCGCATAGTAGAGGTAGGTTGGGAAAGTGTTCTCTGTCCTGAGGCTGAAAGACTATAGCAACAAAGAAGGCAGGGAGATTGTCTCCAGTTCTTCAGAAGAGGCTAGTCTGCCTCTTCACCACTGGTCCATGGAGCAGGGATGACTTTGTCTTCCCACACTTTTGATATCACCTACCATTAGGATTCATCAACAACCAGATTAGAGCCCCAAAGATGTGACAAAGAAGAATAACCTATCAATAGTGTCCTGTGTCAGAAGCAGAAGTTAGTAAAAATTAAATGGAACATATACCCAATGAAACATAGAACAGCTTAAGTGTTAATAAATAAAAAGAAGGCTAATATTTAAAGAGATTTATTTGTCAGGTACATTCATTCGAGTGCATGTGCACATACATACACATATACGTGCTAGATTTGGTGATACTGAAAATCATAATTTCTTAACTAAATAGTTCAGTAAAAAAATTGGAAATGGGGATCAAATTAGTGGCCTAGGACAGGAAGTGCTAGAAATATCTCAAAATACAGAGCATGAAGTATGAAGATATATAAATCATGAGGAGGGGAAAGAGGGAGAAAGACTTGGAGGATATAGCCTATGGAAATAATATACAAATACCGGAAATTTTAGAAAAATAATTACATTAAGTTGAAAAGGCCTGAACTTGTAGCTGTGCTTACTGAAAATCCTGAACTCATACTGAATCAGGAGAAAAGATAACCACCTGAGCTAATACAAAAAGATATGAAATCCGAGGAGAAAGAGGAAATCACAAAGCAAAAAAGGACACATTTTAAAAAAGGATTTATATCAGAGTTCTTATATTTGATTTCAAACGATAAAAGGCAGCAGAATAATATCTATAGGTTATTAAAGAAGAAGACAGCAACTCAGGAATCCTGTAGCCAGTGACCATGTCATTGACCATAAGGAGAAAATATTGTTGTACAGGAATCCAGTGAGGATTCCTTTATATTATACAGTCTAAGATATATACTGTAGAAAAGATTGAAGGAAAAAAATAGTGACCTCAAATGGGTCAAGAATGTGGGTTGGCCGGGCTCGGTGGCTTATGCCTGTAATCCCGGCACTTTGGGAGGCCGAGGCATGCAGAACACGAGGTCGGGAGATCCAGACCAGCCTGGCTAACACGGTGAAATCCTGCTTCTACTAAAAATACAAAAAACTAGCTGGGCGTGGTGGCAAGCACCTGTAGTCCCAGCTACTTGGGAGGCTAAGTCAGGAGAATCACTTGAATCCGGGAGGTGGAGGTTGCAGTGAGCCGGGATTGTGCCATTGCACTCCAGCCTGGATAACAGAACAAGACTCCTCAAAAAAAAAAAAAAAAAAAAAAAAAAAAAAAAAAAAAAAGGATCTGGGGAGGGGGGTGTTTAAATCTAATGGATATGAATAAACATTCTGCAGTGTGTGGAATAAGAACCCAATTAGATTCTTAAAACTGAAAGCTATGAGTTTAAGGGAAATCTAAAATCAACGAAAACAAAATATAAGAGTTGAGGTTGGCAGGAGAGAAAAGAAGAAATAAAAAGTGTTCTAAGTTTCCTTATCAGGGGCAAGGATGTGGGCAGCAGAGGGTGGGGGCAGAGTGTGCCCTGAAGGGCATCTAAAATTTTTGCTTTATTGAAATGAGGGGAAAAGGTAGAAATTAATCACCTTGGAAATGAAAAAAAATTACCTCTTCTTGGGTATTCTCTCAAAAATTTTTGTATTTGACTAAATATATGTATATATATATTTTAGAAAAATAATTACATTAAGTTGAAATATATATATAACCTTACATTCTAATATGTAAATATTTGTATGGCATAAGTTCTAACCATAATAGAAATAAGTAATAAAATGGTGATTGTTAAATTATTTCTTCTTGGACATTTTAAACATACCTGGATAATCGTTGTATCAAAGGAAAATCAGTAGTCAAATTATATACCATTTAGAAGGCACTTAAACAGATAATTGATAGTAAAAACTATGAACAAAACAAATGCTAAATTCAATGGAAAATCAGCTCAAAATGCCGTAATTATTTTTTTAAAAAGTAATGGAACACCAGAAATTCTCATCCTAATGAATCACAAAAATGTAATTAAATTAAGTAAATTAGTACAGCATTAGTAAAGTAAAAGCTGAAAATAGCATAACAGCAAGCAAATACAGCTAGAAATTTTTAAAAATGCAAATCTGGTTATTTTAAAAGAAAAATAAAAATGACAAACCTCTTGTAATTCTAATAAAATAGGGAAGAAAGGAAGTAAAAATACTCCTGATTTGGAATAAGGAAAGAGACATAACCTTAGAAAAAGGAGAGATCACAAAATTAAGAGATGCTTCATGCAGTTCTTAAGGAAATTGATTATTTTCTAGCAAAATTTAAATTGTTAAATATTGTCCAAAGAGCAGTGCCAATCAAAAAATTTGCTTTTAAAGTTAGTATTAGAAATGTGATTAAGTATCTGTATTTGGTTGATGGCACCAGGTCAGATGGATATCTGAGTTTTCACTTACCTAAAATTAAAATTTATATGTGAATTTAATTGATTCTCAATGAACAATCCCAGCAGAGTTTTATGTTTGTCTGTGTGTGTGTTTATTTATTTATTCATTTATTTTAGAGACAGGTCTCGCTCTGTGGTCCAGAATGGAGTGGAGTGGCATGCAATTATGGCTCACAACTGCAGCCTCAACCTCCTGGGCTTAAGTGATTCTCTTGCTTCAGCCTCCTGAGTAGCAAGGATTACAGGATGCACCATGCCCAGCTAATTTTTAGTTTTTGTAGAGGCAGGGTTTCGCTATGTTCCTTAGGCTGGTGTTGAAATCCTAGCCAAAGTGCTGGGATTATAGGCATGAGCCACTTCTCAGCTGCTTTTTTGTTGTTGTTGTTTGTTTGTTTGTAAAAGAAAATAATCTGGACATTAACTGCAAGATAGATGCCTGAGAATAACCAAAAAAGCCCGAAATAGAATAGCAGCAAGGGACTGGGACAGGGTGAAGTTTTATTAGTAGAGTTCAGAAGCTAAAAACTTCTATGTCACATTAATATGGTTTTGCACAAGAAAAGAAAAATAAATTCTTATAACAGAGTAGGTAAGCCAGAAGTAGATCCTAACATGTGAAACTTTAATACATGATAAATTTTGGGTTCAACTCGTTGTGGAAGAATGAGTATTCAATGGTGGTGTGGCTACTATATCTCCATCAAAAGAAAATAAAATTAGACCTCGAAGTGACACAACATTCAAAATTCGGTTCTGGATGGAGTAAAGACTTCATCTGCAATCTAGGGGAAAACTAGCCATACTTTATTATATTTTGCCAACCAAAGCTATGCAAGAAAAGACAGTCATATCTTACTATATAAAAATTAAGTTATATGTCTATGAAATGATATTTGCTGAACAAAATTAATAGAAAAATAACCAAAAGATTCTCCATAATATACAAAGATTTTTTAAATTTTTAAAGAAAAAGATAACTAACCCAGGATAAAAATAGACAAAGGATCTAAGTAGACAGTTCAAGGAAGCAAAAATCTAGAAAATCATCAAGTGAAAGCCCAATCAAGTTCACCAGTCATCAGGGAAGTGCAAATATAAAGTAACAATGAGCTATCACTTCACACAATCAGAGTGCACAAAAATTTAGAAGAGCAAAAAAGCCTGTTACGGCTGAAATTCAGGAAGAAGAATACTCATATGCTTGTGGTGAAATGTACATTCCTTTTGGAAAGCAATCAGGCAAAATTCGATACAACTAGTTACAAACCAGGTTCCTTACAAGAATTTAAGGACAATTAATGGGAGTTTAGAGACAATTAATGGGAATGATTGACTAAATTAGAAAACATTCATGACCAGGGATATTATACAACTATTTTTAAAAGGGTGGGGAGGATTAGAGCTCTACCTTGGAGGAATTTCCATGAAGTAGTTTGTGTGAGAAAAGTAAGATTTTTTTTTAAGTGTTATATTAAAATTCCCATGTACTTCCTCCTCCATGCATGCACAACCCCTCCCACTACCAACTTCCAGTACCAGAGTGGCTGATTATAATTGATGAACCTGCATTGACACATCATTATCACCCAAGTCCATAGTTTACATTAGGCTTCACTCTTAATGTTGTAAATTCTATAGGTTTGGACAATGTATCATGACACATATCCACCATTTTAGTATCACACAGAGTAGTTCCACTGCCCTAAAAATCCTCTGTGCTCTGCCTATTTATCCCTCCTTCCCTACAAATGTTTGGCAACCACTGGCCTTTTTACTGTCTCCATTGCTTGCCTTTTCCAGAATGTCATATATTTGGAATCATATCATGTTGCCTTTACAGATTGGCTTCTTTCACCTACTCATATGCATTTAAGATTCCTCCATGTGTATTCATGGCTTGAGAGCTCACTTCTTTTCAGCACTGAATAATATTCCACTGTCTGTATGTGCTACCTTTTATTTATCAGTTTACCCACTGAAGGACATCTTAGTTGTCTACAAGTTTTAGCAATTAGAAATAAAGCTGCTAGCTGGGCGTTGCTCACGCCTGTAATCCCAGCACTTTGGGAGGCCGAGGCACGCTGATCACCTGAGGTGAGGAGTTTGAGACCAGCCTGGCCAACATGGTGAAACCCCGTCTCTACTACAAATACAAAAATTAGCCAGGCAGCTGTTCGGGAGGTTGAGGCAGGAGAATCACTTGAACAGGAGGCAGAGGTTGTAGTGAGCCGAGATCGCGCCACTGCACTCCAGCCTGAGTGGCAGAGTTAGACTCCATCTCAGAAAAAAAAAAAAAGGCTGCTATAAGTATCAAAAAAGTGTTATATGATTTAATTTTTACAAAAAGACAAAAATCTGTATACATTATATGCGTACATGAACACACACACACACACACACACACACACACACACACCCACCCCAGGGATATGTTCTGAGAAATGTGCCCTTAAATGATTTCATTATTGTATGAACATTGTAGAGCATACTTACACAAACCTAGATGGTATAGCCCACTACACACCTAGGTGATATGGTATAGCCTATTAACCCTAGACCACAAACCTCTACAGCATGTTACTATACTGAATGCTGTAAGCAGTCGTAACACAGTGATATATATTTGTGTATCTAAACAGAAAAACTACAATAAAAATGTGGTATTATACTTTGTGGAACCACCATTTTATATGCGGTCTGTTGTGACTGAAACACAGTTATGCAGCACATGACTGTATGTATAATGTATGTGTGTGTGTGTGTGTGTGTGTGTATAGATACTGTATTAGTCTGTTCCACACTGCTATGAAGAAATACCCAAGACAATAATTTACAAAAAAAAGACATTTAATTGACTCACAGTTCTGCATGGCTGGGGAGGCCTCCAGAAACTTAAAATCATGGTTAAAGGCACTTCTTCACAGGGCAGCAGGAGGGAGAAGAATGAGAGCTGAGTGAGGGGGGGAGCCCTTATAAAACCACAAGATCTTGTGAGAACTTATTATCACGAGAATAGCGTGGTGGACACTGTCCCTATGATTCAATTACTTCCCACTGGGTCCCTCCCACCACACATGGGGATTATGGGAACTACAATTCAGGATGAGATTTGGGTGGGGACACAACCAAACCATATCAGATACACACACACACACACACACACACACACACACACACACACACATATATGTACATAGTTTAAAAATTTATATCCTTTGTTATTTTCATTTTTCAGGAGTTTGATAGAAAATGAGTGAGGAAGAGGTAAAAGAAAAATCCTGGGACAGTTTTTCCAGGACATATCAAGGTTCAAAAACTCTTTCTCTAGAATAATATGCAAAATCATCAGGATAATATTAGCAAAGATATATAAAACATGTAGTTGCATATATTTTAAAAAACTTATTGAAGATGCAATGGATTCTAATTTGTGTAAGTAAATGAGTAAAAGCAAAATTTCACATTAGAATGAATGAATCTAAGTTTTATAGATAGCCACATTCTTAGAAATGTCCCATTTGAGGAAGTTGGCTGTAAGTATTCATTTTGTCTTTTATTATGAATGATCAAATAAGATTACCCGTTATTCAAAAATTGCTATGTAGGAAAGATATGAAACATTTCCTGTCATCAATATTTGAACAAAATTTCCCATCGATTTATCAAAGAAAACAGTGCTTTTGAATTGATATCTGCAGAATTACAAATCATTTATATTGATGCTTTGTTCTTAATTATTGATGTCTAACAATGATTTAATTTCTCTTTTGTATAGCTTCACAGTAACCATTTCAGTCAGGTTGTGGTCATTGACAGACATATGCATATAATTAGCGTTATCTATTGTTATGAGCTATCACTCATATAGTGCATTCATATATAGTTGTATTAGTAATATAAATTCTTGTTCATAAAGTGAAAAAATAATATGCTTCTCTAGCTTTAGTGCCTCCAAGTATATTGAGCAATTATTTTCCTTAAGGAACCACATTTATATATCTTCTGTATAGGATTTTTAAGATTTCTGGAACTTTCCAGAGAAAAAGATGACATCCAATATAGTTTTTAGTGTGTCTTTCCATCTGGGTTTTCAGATTAATTTGGTTTAATTCAAAGATTAAAGACAGAAAAATTGGACCAAATGGTGGAATAAACTCCTGTGGAAAACATGCTTCTGCTGTGAATATTTTTTAGATTAATTGATTTTTTTAACTTGTGACTACATCCTGTGACTTCAGTCGCAGTTAATAACTGATTAATCATAAGCCTATGGATTAATTGCACCAGTGCATGTTGGGAGGTGAGTTAGCTGGTTTATGTCACTAGAGAAACTCGAGTGGTAGTGGAGAGTGGACTAAACAAATGCTTCCATAATTTAGTGAACTGAACTCAAACGAAGCTATTTAGTGTATAATAACTAACTTTGGAGTTTTTGAGGTTAAGAAAGCGTATGCCTTGATGTAAATATAAGGAAGGGTCAAAAATAATTTTAAGTTTTCTAGCCTAGAATCCTAGAAGCTTAAATGAAAACCTTCTGAAAAATAGGGACACACAACTGATAAAATAAATCTTGGCCAGGTGTGATGGCTTATGCCTATAATTCCACACTTTGGGAGGCTAAGGTGGGCAGATCACTTGAGGTTAGGTGTTTGTGACCAGCTTGGCCCAGCATGGTGAAACCCCGCCTCTACTAAAAATACAAAAATTAGCCGGGGTAGTGGCACGCACCTGTAATCCCAGCTACGCCAGCGGCTGAGGCATGAGAATCGCTTAACCTGGGAGGCGGAGGTTGCAGTGAGCCGAGATCGCGCCACTGCTCTCCAGCCTGGGTGACAGAGACTCTGTCTCAAAAAAAAAAAAAAAAAAAAAAAAAAAAAAAAAAAAAAAAAAAGAAGAAGAAGAAGAAAAGAAAAGAATTGTAAAAAAATTCATATAAAAAATGTCGCAAGACCCTTGGGGTGTCGCTTTGCCAGCCAGAAACCTCTGTGGCCAGTGGCACCTTTGCCCAAGTTTTGCTCAGTTTCACTGGGTTTGTTTTGCCCTCTCGGCCTGTTAGGCTGTGCTCAGCTTGCGCTACTGGCCTGGATCTCACACCTGTCAAGGGTGAGCCAGCCATGGAACGGTGAGGGCTGTTTGAGCAACCACAGGGTCTGGCCACTGTGTACAGCCAGACATGCCAGCTGTAGCGGGGTGGGCAACTCCCGGCATGGGCGTTGGCTCCCTGCTAGGCCGCAGCTGGAGCAGGCGTACTGCAAGCGGCTTTCACTGCAGACACTGGGGAACATGGTGGTACCCAGAATCTTGGAGACGCGAGGAACTGCAGAGCTCCGAAGAGAGTGTCACAGCTCTGGCTTGGGGAGCTGCTAGGTCTGGGTTTCCCGAAGGACCATGGCTCTTCTCTGTTTCTGTCTTCTCTTCTTCTCATCATCCGCAATGTGGCAAGCAGGGAGGCATGTTTCAGTCCTGTTTGTGTTATAGCTCTTTCAATCCTGCCATTCAGAAGGTCCCGAGTTCTTGTCCCGCATCCAGTGAGCATGAGGTACAAGGACAACTACAGGCGTGAGCAAGGCGAAGAGGAGCTTTATTGAGCAATAGCACAGGTCTCAGGAGACCTGAAGTGGGTACCTCCTTTCGCAGGCAGGTCATCGCAGCATCTGTACGGCCCTCAGGTTGTCATGATGAGTGTACAGCTCTCAGTGGAGAGGAGACCCACAGTGTGTAGCTCTTTTCCCTAGGGAGGTTATCCTGTTGTCTGTCCCAGTCTGGCTGAGTCTGGGATTTTAATCGGCTTCCGAGGGGAGGAAGTGCTTGCTGATTGGTCCATGGGCAGCCATGGGCAACCCTGGAAAAAGCACCATAAGTTCTCACTTTGGTAGGGGGAACTGGCAGCCTAGGCCCCATGCTACAGAGTCCATGGTTTGAAGGTGGGATTTCACAGGGGTCCTGCCCCTTTCCGCCCAGCCGCCTATCTGCCTCTTCATGGCGCCCTGGCTGTTCATGCTAGGGAGTGCCTGCAGGCCGGTGCCGAGTGGCCCTCAGCCCCATCTTGGCCTCTCTGCTGTACTTGTCACTACCTAAAGTCCGGAGGTGGGTGAGGTAGTAAGAGGCTGGTGTGTCAGTACCGACCCTAGCATCATACACACCAGGCCTGGTCTTGACAGCGCTTGGGCTGGACCACAACTTTGCTCCAAAATTGGAGCCAGTGCTGGGAGCCGGGAGAGGCCAGGCAGTGGGAGCAGGCACTTCCAAGCATGCAGGGGCAGGGGGGCTTCACAGGCCAAGAGCACAGGGATGTCCGGGTCCACTGCTGCGGCTGGGTGGCTGCAGCTGTGCCTGGGATCACAGGGCTCCCACCCCACCAACTTGGAAGGGGGCAGGAATCCTGCCTGTTCCCGGCTCCCGCAGTTTCCATGGAGTGCACAGCCTTAGCTGCATCTCCCCCACTGCGGTCGTCGTCTTTGCAGCAGCCACTCCAAATGGGGCCACTGCTGCCATCAAAGTATAACACTAAAATAATAATTATTTACTAAAAAATAGCTATTTCAAACATTGGGCATTTTCCTAATGCTCCTTATGTTTTATTTTATCCTAGGAATTTAAATGCACTCAGCTTAAGGAAAAACAAACTCTCTCTGCTTAATGAAAAACAAAACAGGAACAAAACAAAACAAGACTCTCTTGATCACATGTTGTCCTCTACTCCCCTAACTACTTTTTTTATTTTTTATGTTTTTGTTAGAGCCAAGTTTCTTGAAAGGATTATACCCATTAATCTCTCCATGTTTTTACTTGACTTTCACTCTGTAAAGTACAGGAAAATGCTAGACCCATCACTCCACTGACACAACTCTGGCAAAGGTCCCCAGTGATCTATTACTTGCCAAATTTAAAGTCACTTTCCAGTTCTGTTGTCTTTTCACCACTTATTCTGCTCTCCAACCTCTCCATGGCTGTGGAAGTGCTATTTTATTTACTATTGATTTGTTTTGACTCTACCTCTCTTCTTCTTTATCACTTTTTCCTTAGTCTTTTACAAAGCCCTCCCGCCCAACTGTTTTTTTTTTTTTTTTATTTCTTTTCTTTTCTTTTTTTGCCTGTACTTAGTGCTGCCCAGGCCTCTCTCACTGGTCCTTCCCTTTTTCCATTCTGCATATTCCTTGAGTGGTCCATTCCCCTCCACAGCATACTGATGACTCCCAAATCCATATCTGTAGCCCAGACTTATTTTGGCTCTAGGTCGTGTACATTGCAACTGGAGGAGCTGCGTCAACCAAACAGAACTCAACTTTCTTACCTTTTACAACTCCCATCCCACTCCACCCACAGCCAGGTGAAGTTCTCTCTTTACGTTTCATGTTTCAGTTAGTGCACTGTCTACCCAACTGCCAAATCCAGGTCCTTAGAGACCTTTTTTAACTCCCACCTTTTGCCCAGCCCGGTTTCTAATCACTCACCTAGTTCAGTTCAGTTAAGCCTCCTCTCCATGCCCATTGTCACCCTTATTTCAAAGCCCCTGTCATTGTTCATCTCAGTTGTTACCACAACCTTCTTACTGATCTCCTTACCACTCTTTTTGCCACCCCCAAATCTCTTCTCCAGAAGGAGCTAGGATGATCTTTCTAAAGCGAAAGCCTGGCTAAAAAAGTAATGGAATGGATTTTCTTTAGCATAGATGGTGCTACTAATGATTTGGTCCATTTTTGTTTCTCAAACATCATACCAAATTACTATTCCTCAATACCCAGAAGTCTTTTCTAGCTTTGCTGGATATCTGATATTGGCTCTGATATCTCAGAGCTTTATGTGTGCTACTTCCTACTCTTCACATGTATACATTACTCTATACTTGTGAAGAATTTTGGCCCCTGTTGAATAATAAAAGTCATATGCACTTAAAATAACATTTTGTAATTATTTAATTTAATATATTATCTGGCATACTCTCTTCATAATTTAGGATTTATTTCAGGCATCATCTTTTCAGGTAGCCTTTACTGTTCTTTCCAGAAAGAAATAGTTGTCTGTATTTGGCTTACATCTCTATAGGATCATTTAGTTAATTGTGTTGTGTTTTTTTTTCATCTTATTCATTTATTTGCCTTTTTTTGACTCATGAACTGTAGGCTACTTGTAAACTGAGTTATTTACATAATGCTTACCATATTGTAGACATGTAAAATATGCATGAAGATAATGAACATAAACATTTTAGATTAAGATATATTTGATAATACTCATCGTGTTACATATATACTGGCAAATTACTTCATTTCTCTGAAACTTGACTCCCAGGACATTAAAAGAGACGAGGTTTCTATAAAAATGAAATTAGTTGGCATATGTAAAGTTTCTTCCAAACATCCTGGCCCAAAATAGGTATTCAATAAATATTAGGCATAGCATTCATTAGTTGATTATTTGTACACCATGTCCTGAACACCTACATGTTGAGATTAATAGAAACTCAAAAAAATATTGCAAAGTAAAACTGGGCAAGTAGATAATTCTTATAGGTATACAAAGAAAAACCATGGAAAAGTTCAGATTGTCTTGGAACATTTCTCTTACCATTACATCAAAACCTATGTCAAATTTTTCATACCACAAATTCTTTTGGGAGACAATTGGGAGACAGTTATTTCTAGAGTTGAGGAAAACAGCATATATTACATTAATTTTCTTAAACTGACTTTAATCTACTAGTGTTTGGCACATTTGATCAGCCAAAAAAAGTTTCAAGAAAATTAGTTTAGTTATAAAGGGGTAGCTACTGCATTTAAATGAAAAAACACATTTTTCTTAATTATTATGATACATATCAATTTCCTTGCTGAAAACTGACATTGACTATATTCATGACAGATTAATCTTCCTTTATATTAATTTATTAGATTATTGAGTGTGCCTATTATATTGGTTTTTAAGAATATAAATATAAGGTATGAGTCCTATACACATAGAAATATATTTTATAGGAAACCATATTGTTATTGAAATATATTTAAAATAAATACATATCAAATAAGATAATTATTTACATTACTGTATATATGTGAAGAATTTTGGCCCCAGTTTAATAATAAAAATCATACACTTTTAAAATAATATTTTGTAATTATTTAATATCTAGATATTTGAATTTCACACATTTAGCTTATAAAATTAAATTTATTTTAAAGAGATAAATATAAATAAAATAACAATAACAGAAGAGAGTTCAGTGTGGTTAGGTAATATTATCAGGGTCATAAAGTATGAAAATTGACTGTTGAATAAACATAGAGACATATTTTATGCTTCCTGAACTACATTTAAAAGCTAGAGAAAATTATGAATAGTAACTTCAAGTCCTTATCATAAAACTCTGTAGCAGGTGCTTTTTCTTCCTGGAAGCGTTGGAAGATGTTGGCTCTCCAGTCAGCCCTTCTAATGGAGTTGTCCTCAGCTGGCAAGAGCCACCTCACTGTGGGAAATGCTAATGCAGTGAAGCATCAATCTCCTTTGTAGGAAAACTCTGCAGGGCCACTCTGAAAGGCCTTCTCAACTGAACAGCTCCATCTGACCTATTTGGAAGTAATGCAGCACAGTTGAACTCATTCCACTGCCTAATCCCTCTTTTTTTAAAACACTACTACATGAGTTGATTCTGAGGGCACTCTCCAACAAACTTCCGAAATGCATGTCTTCGTCAAAGAATCAGATTTCCAAAGAACCCATTCTAGGTGATCTGAGGAAGATAACTTTAAAATGGAATTTTAGAGGTGGATCACTCAGCAGCCAACTAGCTGGCTGCAGTGAGGGCCCCATTGCTGTTGGCAGGTAGCTACTGATAGCTCTTTTTTTTTTTTTTTTTTTTGAGACAGAGTCTTGCTCTGTCACCCAGGCTGGAGTACAGTGGCACAATCTCGGCTCACTACAACCTCTACCTCCCGGGTTCAAGCGATTCTCATGCCTCAGCCTTCTGAGTAACTGGGATTACAGGCATGCACCACCATGTCCAGCTAATTTTTATATTTTTAGTAGAGACAAGGTTTCACCATGTTGGCCAGGCTGGTCTTTAATTTCCTACTTCAGGTGATCCACCTGCCTTGGCCTTCCAAAGTGCTAGGATTACAGGCATGAGCCACCACGCCCAGCCAACCACTTATAGCTCTTGATTGCTATAGTGGGAAGTTGTTAAAATCTTCACCTGTGATAAGGATAGGTATTGAGGAAAGGTAATGCCCTGTGAGTTCAATATTTCAGGCTTCTGAGGAATTCAGAGGAAAGTAATAATTATAAGGACAATGGAATCAGGTTCTGCTGGGTTCCTTTTACGCAGTGGAGAAAAAAAATGAAAGGCTGAGTGTAATTAATCATCACTTGACCGTGGTATGTGAGCATAAGACCTCTTTGGCAAAATACAAAGAGATTCTTATCTTCTGCAGTCAAAGGTCATAAAAGCAGATAATAAGGCTTAGGACTTATTTAAAAGTATAACAGAATTTCAAGAGGCCTGCATCCTCAGCTATGCCAGAGTCTGAACCCTGGTTGGGAACAAGGGGAATCTTACGGGAGGTTACATCTGAGTTTATGGACTCCACAACCTTGAAGTCTCAAATTATCCTAAACCATCTGGACCTATGGAAGTTGCCTATTCCTCCTAATTAGAGGCAGTCATTTCCATCTTGCTTGAAGATGATACAGAAACCTCTTCCCTTGGAGGTAACTCACACCCTTCTCGGGATAGAACCCCACTTCCATTCTGGCCACCAGATCCATATAGGGTCAATAGATGACATTACTTGGCTCTGGAATTGTTGGGCTTCTAAGACAGGAAAAAGATTATGCTTTAAATTAGCTATAGACCTCAGCCAGGAGTTAGGGAAGTATGTATGGAGCTAGATGCTGAGGCTGCTGGATGAGATGGGATGGAGAATAAGAGATTGAATAAAATTGAGGATGGAAAATAGGATCAAGTGAGGATAGTGACACAGATTATTGATATGGGAACATTCCACCATGATACAAGATTTAACACTTAGACAAGGACAGCAGGAAATAGTGTTATACACTGCTAGGATGGCTCTTGGAAGCTTGGGGAAAGCAATGGTCTCCACTAAATAAAGTATAAATGCCCAAACTGCTGTGCAGACAATGAAAAAAGGACCAAATGACTCAGAGAAGTGGGAATGCTAAAGTGAATATGTCATATAAGTTCCAGAAATATCATCAGCTCACTTTTTCTTTGTAAAGGCTTGGAGAATACCTCCTTGACTAAAGCAGTAAGAATGTGCTGATGGCTGAGACACAAGCATCATTAAGAAGCTCAGTGGTGACTGGACTGTCCTCTGTAGGCAAATGTTGATAGCAGTAGATGCTATTATAGAATTGGCCTCTCTCGTAACAGCGGGGATGACAGGTTTTCAAAATAATGGAGGCTAGGAGGTAGTTCTTAGTTGTCACAAGAAAAGGAGGCACACTTATTTTTTGTTTTTTGTTTTTGTTTTTGAGACAGAGTCTCACTCTGTCCCCCAGGTTGGAGTGCAGTGGTGTGATCTTGGCTCACTGCAACCTTCACCTCCCGGGTTCAAGCAATTCTCCTGCCTCAGCGTCCTGACTAGCTGGGACTATAGGTGCCTGCCACCATGCCTGGCTAATTTTTGTATTTTTGGTAGAGATGGGTTTCACCATGTTGGCCAGGCTTGTCTCGAACCCCTGACCTCAAATGATCCACCCAACCTTGGTCTCCCAAACTGCTGGGATTACAGGCATGATCCACTGTGCCCAGCCAGGCACATTTATCTTAATGAATGGCTTGTTCAAATATATCTAAGACTCCAGAATCACAGAGAGCTATGGAGATGGTTAACAGAACACAGCATCTCTAGGGGAAAATAAGTGGACAGCCAAGAAACTATTGCACAATCTACACAAATTAAAAATGGGTGAGTAAGAGTCTGCATATGGCTGTCTAATGAAAAGCCACGATCCTTGTCCAATTTCTGTACCTGAGGCAATTTTCAGATTTTGAGCTCGTTGACTGAAAACTTCAACTGAATCACCAGAAAGAACCCCGAAACACCATAGCAAATGTATGTGGTAATTATTCTCTCATTTCTTTCTATAAAAAACCTACATCCATTTACTTGAATAATCATACACTAGGGAGAATGGACTCCTGAGATACTTTGAGAAATGTCATACACAGGATCCAGATTGACCTGGATATCAGTATTCTGGAGTGGGCACATTGCCATGGATTATCTGGTCATACGTACTACATCAACTAAAAATGCCAACTTAATAGAGCGATAGAATGGCCTTTTAGAGAGGGCAATTGAGTCTTACAGAGAAAATATTCAGTAAGGAGTGGGTGCTACCCTCCATGATGCAGTTAAATTCTAAATCAATGACCATTATTATATGCTGCTTTTTCTCCTTATAGAATACCAGGTCCAAGAACCAAGAAGTGACCTCACTATCATCACATCCAGTGACCTACTGGAGGATTGCTTTCCTTCCCGCAACTCTGGGCTCTGCCAGTTTAGAGGTCCCAGTTCCCAGAAAGGGAAAAAGCTTCTATTAAGTGACATAGCAAGAGTCCCATTAATCTTTAAGCCATAGCATCAACTCAGTAACTTTAGGCTTCTGTGTCAGGAAGCAGCAGACAAGAGGAGTCACTATCCTGGTGGGAGTGACCAGCCTATATGAGGCTGTTGGTAGGACTGTTGTTACATAGTGAGGCAGGAAACAGTATGTTTGATACCCAGTTAATGCAGTGAGTCATTTCTCGGTATTCTCTTGTTCAATTTTGGTCATAAACAGACAAGTACATCAGCCTTGGTTTGAGAAGATATTATGATCAAGGGCTCAAATCTGACAAAATTCTAGTAATGCAACTAGGTAAGCTACCTATACCAAAAAATGTACTAGCGCAGGGTGAGAGGAATCTAGAATGGCAATAGTAGAAGGAGATGATGGATATAGTCCTACTATAGTTCCTTTTGAAAGTTTTCCCAGAAAGAGACTAACCAGAGTCTTGGAATAGCTTTTCACAGATAGATTTATCACACCTAGCAAGTAGATCTGACTGGATACTGCAGTGCACCAGTTAGATCCCTTCCCCAGAACTGAAGCACTCATTCCTCCCGCTGCTGAGAGTATTAACAGATGATTGCTATCAGGTAAAATTGCTCTCTCTAGAAATAAGCCAAACAGAGCAGGCCCTCCCAAGGTTATGTCTCCTAGCGAGGAGTAGCACAAATTGAATGACCTGTTGATAGGGGAGGTGGTCGGTGTATAAAGGCTTAGCCCCTTTGCCTCAGGGCAGGGCAGCTTTGAGGGGATATCACAGCTCAGAGAGTTCTGCAAAGCTACTGAGACCTTTTGTAGTTCAACCCTCCCCTTGATCAGTCCTACTTCTTTCACTCTCTCATATGTGTTGATCTGTAAGATACTTCCCAGAACCATTTCTGCGCACACATCTCTGAATCTGTTTTCTCAGAAACCTGTCCTAAATCAAATACAAATATTCAATATATATTTAGTAATATAAAGAATATATATTAAAATAGATTTAAGTGATATGTGTGTATAAATTACTTACATTATATATTATTATATATATAAGTATGTATATCTACACATGGGCATACATGTGGGCACACACAAACATACATATATAATCTCCCTTAAAATTGTATATTTTTAGCTGTGCCATCATTTCACTTGTCTTAAACAAATCTTGTTTTGGCATGTTGTTTTTAAATCTGAAATGCAAAAAACACTTAGAAATTTCTAAACATGAGTCAATTCAACAGATAACCTAGCCAATACTATAAGCCATTGTCACAAAATTAGAATCTTGAAAACCAATGACCCAAAAGTCATCCAGACCAGGGAAGAACAGGTTTGGTTTATTCCTGACTGAGTCTGTTGACACCACCACTTGACAAGAAAGAGCTGGGGATACATCAAGAAATGGGTGTTGGAAAGTACAAACCTATTAACTGTTTGGAAGTCATCATTGTTACACTGTTTACCATCAAATTCTGTTTTGTTCCTGAGCTTTCTGAATTCAGAATTTAATTTTTACAACACATACAGCTCATAACTTCTAAAAATGAGCCTGTGACTAAAGAGATTATGTTTTGAACAAGAAAAAAAGTAAATTGTTTACAATTGAATCAGAGTATCTTTTATCAAGTCACTAAGGCTAAATTCAATTAATCAATATATATGATGTATATGAAAGGCTAATCACCAAATTAATGAATATTTGATAGGTTTTAAAAATCTCAAAACATTTTATGATAATGATGCTGGTATCCCTAAATATCCGAACTTAATAAAACCAGACAGCATATATCGCTGCACAGCTAATAGAATGAATTTAAATGGAAAGTTCCTTTAAGCTTTACCAAAAAGCAGCAGTTGTTCTGTAAATTTAAACTACTAAAATTAGAGGCCTTTGAGGTAGCTGTGAAAATATTCTGATGTTGGAAGAAAAAAAGCCCTCAGAATGTTGCAAAACTAGAAATCAAAGTAGGGCTGTCAAGTGAATCACATTTGAAAAAAAACTTTTTAAAAAATGGGGAAATTTTGGATTCTGTTCTTTACTTTGATTCTCTAAGGTAGCTATTACTTCACTACTTTGGTTGGCATTTTATTATGTTAACACATCAGAGAGAATCTTTTCTAAGGAACAATGTCTTTTAAATATTCAGGGTAGCATATGCTCACACACTTCACTATTCTTATGTCCATATAAATACTGTAGGTTATTTCCAGGCCTTTGTTAAAGTTTTTGTCATGTAGAAGCATTTGATAGTCTGGACAATGGGCAAGTGGCATTTTACCTATTTATAATAAGAGTTGAATGTATTATGAATTGGTGAAATAAAAACAAGAAAACAGCATAGAATCAATAGGAGTTTAAATGAGACTCCAATAATGATAGTAATATTATTAATAATAGTAATAGCCAACTTTTATTAAGCATTCATTAAAAGTAATGTCAAAAACTGAAATTACTTTTGCACCAACTTAATACTATGTGTCCAGGGCTTTATGGACTATCTCATTTAATCCTTCAACAGCCTAAATAATATGGTATCATTATCATTCCGATCTGCTGACAAGGAAATTGAAGACCCCAAAGTTAAGTAACCTTTCTTGGTTATAATTAAAAGGGGTAAAGCTGGGTGAAGGTGGTAATGAACACAGCAGGTTTTGCATCATACTTAAAGTATATACTAAGTTTATACTAGCACATGGAACTAAAAGCTTGCTGCTTTAAGGGAAGTACACTTTTAAAATTTATCTTTCGCTTAAGAAAAGAACCTGGAATATGCCATATCAGGGGTTGGCAGATTATGGCCCATTAGCCAAAGCTGGTTGAGGAGTGTCTGTATTTATAAATAAAGTTTTATTGGAACTCAGCAACATTCATTATTAATTTACCTATTGTGTTTTGCTGCTTTCACACTGCAATGGTAGAGATGGGTAGTTGAAACAATCATTTGAATCACAAAGCCCAAGGTATTTATGAATTGACCTTTTTCAGAAAATGCTGAGCCTCTACTGTACAGTCTTTCTTTAGGATACATGCAAAATGACACATAATTAGTTCCAATATCCAGTAATAGAAACAGGAGTGCCTTTTAATAATGCCTTTTAGCACTCTTCAAATTAACAAATATAATCTGGAATATAAAATTTGAGATAACATTTAGTCCTGTGCAAGATCATATTTTGGTACTATACATATTCTAATCATTTGTAATTTTTAAATTATTTTTAATATATAAGTTATAAATAATTGGAAAAAGAAGTATATTAAGACAAAGAGGTCTAGTATAGTAGTTCACGCCTGTAATCTAACACTTTGGGAGACTGAGGTGGGAGGATCGCTTGAAGCCAGGAGTTTAAGACCAGCCTGGACAACATAGCCAGTCCCTGTCTGTACAAAAAAAAAAAAAAATTAGCCGGGCATGGTAGCACATGCCTGTAGTCTCAGCTACTCAGGAGACTGAGGTAGGAGGATGGCTTGGGTTCAGGAGGTTGAGGCTGCAGTAAGCTCTGATTGCGCCACTGGACTTCAGCCTGGTTGACAGAGCAAGACTCTGTTTTAAAAAAAGAAAAAAGAGAAAGAGTAAGTCAAGCAGCCTGATATTAATTTTTTTTTTGTCACTGAGGTTCATTGTTTTGGCTAAGCTCTTGAATTTGAGTGTTGTAAATTTTTATCTCTCTCATGGAACTCTGTTTTATGTGGCTATTGACAAAGAGTTAGAAATATACAAGATTAATTTTACTATATCCACAAATAGAGATACTAATATACTTCTTATCATTGGAAACGTCTTTGTAAATGAATTCAATAAGCTGAGTGAAAAAAAGAGTACCTAGTGGTAAGTAATACAATCAATGAGGAATATGCATTTTTGGTTGGGTTATATAAGCACAATACTTTAAAAGTCATCTATCTCATAACATTGCCATTTGGTTGTTTTTATTTCCTTTAGATTTGGATGATCCAGTAGTAACTGTTCATCAAAGTATAGGTGAAGCTAAAGAACAATTTTACTATGAGAGAACAGTGTTCCTCCGGTGTGTTGCCAATTCCAATCCTCCTGTTCGGTATAGCTGGAGACGTGGCCAGGAGGTCTTGCTGCAAGGATCTGATAAAGGAGTTGAGATTTATGAACCATTCTTTACCCAGGTATGAATTAAGGTACAGTATTTCCACCCTACTCTGCTAGGATACTTTCCTAATTCAGGCAGCATGAATTCATAGCTATTTGAAAAGATAGTTTCTCTATTCTGGCCTTTCAAAAACCAATGTGTGCTTGACTTAAAGATTAGAGAACTTAAATATAAAGGACAACTTATTTTTATGTGGTTAGTTAAATTTAAAATGTTAACTTTTGAAAACATTTTTTAACTTACTATGTCCTAACTTTTTTTTAATCTATAAGTTTTCCTATGTTTCACTATAATGTACATAGTTATACATTTTGCTAGCTGATTTGGGTTTTGTGGAAAGTATTTCTCAAAAGGAGAGATTTTGATTTCCCCATTTGCAAATGGTGAATAACTATTAAAAAAATGAAGAAACTTGTTTGAAATTTATTTGGCTTTAGTTTTAGGAAAGATATGTCTTTAATTTCCTTTAGTCATGTTTGTTTTTGACTTGGTTTAGAAATAGAGCTTTAATTATGCTAAAAATGAAAATATTTAACGAGTCATTAAAAATGTATTTAATAAAAGTTGAATTAATTTTACATAAAGTGAGCGTAATATGAAATATTCTTGTGTAATACACAAAGAGTAAGGAATTAATAAGTCCTGAGGAAGATATTGAAATTCGTGGGAATATTTGCATGCTGTTATTATAAAGGTTTTTTGATGAAAGAAGCATAAACCTAAATTAACAATGAAAAAGTTTTAAATAAAAAAAAATTTGGACAAATGTTCAAAAGTATTGTGATAATGAAAAATAATTTTAAAAATTATATAAATTGGCTAGGCGTGGTGGCTCATGCCTGTACTCTCAGCATTTTGGGAGGCTGAGGCTGAGATGAGGTCAAGAGATTGAGATGATCCTGGCCAACATGGTGAAACCCCATCTCTACTGAAAATACAGAAATTAGCTGGGCATGGTGGCACGTGCCTGTAATCCCAGCTACTCAGGATCCCATTTTTCACCATTGAATATATTTCCTTATATGGTAAACTAAGGCCTGAGATCCTTCAGATTAGTATAATTGCCAATATTTAGACATTAACTGTGGAATAATGCAGTGATTATATGATAACATCTGCACACATCATATATATTCCTGTTTTGCAAATAGATTGTAAATTAAAATATGTATTCTTTATTTTTTAAAAGGTATAGAACAGTTTTAACTTACCAAAATATAAATCTCTGGAAATCAGCATCGCACATGTATTACTAGTCAGTTCACCATAACATAGTACTGAAACGAAGCCTGTTCTAATCTGATCGTCTCTTGATTTAGGCCACTATGATACTAAGTGTTCTCTGCCAGCAGGCAGGACTGAATTTTCCCCCATACATTCCGCAGTACTTTAATGCATTCTCCAATTGTTACTAAAATGATTTTTTTAGTTTAAAATATTATCCAGATAAATGATCATCTATTACATATTTTATTTTTCTATTGTCAATTTATTTTTAAAATATGGACATTAAGATTTAGAAAACATGTTTTCCTCTAGAATCTTGTAAAACATGATAACATTTATAGATAATGAGGAAATTCTAAACATCTTTTCTCTATATGGCTATTTCTTTTTGTTTGTTTGTTTGTTTGTTTGTTTGTTTGTTTTTGAGATGGAGCCTTGCTCTGTCACCTGGGCTGGAGTGCAGTGGCATGATCTCCACTCACTGCAACTTCTGCCTCAGGGTTTAAGCGTTTCTCATGCCTCAGCCTCCTGAGTAGCTGGGATTACAGGCACCTGCCACCACACTGGGCTAATTTTTGTATTTTTAGTAGAGGTGGGGTTTCACCATGTTGGCTAGGCTGATCTCAAGCTCCTGACCTCAAGCAATCCACCTGCCTTGGCCTCCCAATGTGCTGGGATTACAGGTGTGAGCCACCGTGCCCGGCTATATGGCTATTTCTAACCTGCAAATGGGTCTAATCACTTGGAAATGAACACAGGGGCCTTGGCCAGATTTTGGAAAATCTTTCATACTATCAAAGTATTTAGGAATTTATTTTAAATTTATTAAACAAGCACAATCAAACTTTTAAAAAATTGATACATTGTAATTGTCCATATTTATCTGGTATGGTGTGATGTTTTGATACATGTCTACACATTGTATCATAATCAAATCAGGGTATTTAGCATATCCATTACCTGATACATTTATCATTTCTTCATGGTGAGAACATTCAGAACATTCTCGTCTAGCTGTATTGAAACATACAATACAATATTGTTAAATAGTCAACTTATTCTGCAATAGAACACTAGAATTTATTCCTCCAAAGTGTAACTTTGCACCTATTAACCAATCTCTCTCTATTCTCCCTTCTACCTCCCTCTCTCTAACCACTGCTAATGATTATTGTGCTCCCTAATTCTATGAGGTCAACTTCTTTAGATTCCACACATGAGTAGATAATATAGTATTTGTCTTTCTGTACCTTAATTATTTTACTTAACATAATGTCCTCCAGATCCATCCATGTTGCTGGCTCTGGGACAGACCCATCATTTGCAGCAATGTGGGTGGATCTGGAGAACATTATATTAGGTAAAATAAACACTCATTATTTTATAGCTGCATTCATTATTTCATAGCTGAATAGTATTCCATTATGTACATATTCCACATTTTCTTTATCCATTCATCTGTTGATGGACACTTAGGTTTATTCCATATTTTGTCTATTGTGAATAGTCCTGTAATAAATATGGAGGTGCAGGTATCTCCTCGACATACTGTCTTAATTTCTTTTGGATCTATCCAACAGTAGGATTGCTGGATCATATTATAGCTCTATTTTTAATTTTTTGAGGAACCTCTATACTGTTTTCCATAATGGCTGTACTAATTTGCATTCCCGCCAACAGTGTATAAGTGTTCCTCTTTCTCTGCATCCACACCAGAATTTGTTATTTTTTGTCCTTTTGATAATAGCATTCTAATGGGAGGGAGGTGATAGCTCACTGTGGTTTTGTTTTGCATGTCCCTAATAATTAGTGATGTTGAGCATTTTTTCACATAACTGTTGGTCATTTGTATGTATTCTTTTGAGTAATGTCTATTTACATCTTTTGCCCATTTTAAAATGAGATTTTTTTTTGCTATTGAGTTGAGTTCTGTGTATTTTCTAGATATTAACCTCTTATCAAATGCATAGTTTGCAAATATTTTCTCCCATTCTGTAAGTTGTTTCTTCACTGTGTTGATTGTTTCCATTCCTATGCCCAAGCTTTTTAGTTCAATATAATTCTGTTTCTCTATTTCTGTTTCAGTTGCCTGTCCCCAGACCAATGTCATGAAGCATTTCCCCTATGTTTTCTTCTAGTAGTTGTGTTATCTCAGGTCTTACATTTAAGTCTTGAATTCATTTTGAGTTGATGTTTTTATATGCGGAGAGATAGAAGTCTAGCTTTACTTTTCTGCATGTGAATATTCAAGCTTCCCAGCACTATCTACTGAAGACACATTGTCCATTCCCTAATGTGAGATTTTAGCACTTTTGTTGAAAATTCATTGGCTGTAAGTGTGTTGATTTGGTTATGTGCTGTCTATTCCATTCCATTGGTCTCTATGTCTATTTTTATGTCAGTACTATGCTGTTTTGGTTACTATAGTATTGTAGAATATTTTGAAGTCAGATAGTATGATGCCAACTTTGTTGTTTTTGCTCAAAATTGCTTTGGCTGTTTGGGATCTTTTGTGGTTTCATAGAAATTTTGGATTGTGTTTTCCAATATCTGTGAAGAATTTCATTGGTATTTTGACAAGATTGGATTGAATCTGTGGATCACTTTGGATAGCACAGACATTTTAACAATGTTAATTCTTCCAATCCATTAACCTGTGATATCTTCCAATTTAATTGTATCCTCTTCAGTTTTTCTCATCGATGTTTGATGGTTTGAATTGTATCCATCTTTCCCCTCCTTGGTTAAATTTATTTCTAGGTATTCTTTAGTTTGATAATATGGCAGAGGCCTTCTTAACACTGAGGACTCATCATCTCAGAGAAGCCATCTATGAAAAGCTGATATGATGTCTCATTCCTTCCTTTTTATACTTCCATATTGGGTTACTCTTTCCCTGTTTACTTTATCTTTTGCTTATTGTGCTAGTGTTTTTATGCCTCTCTCTCCCTCTCTCCATATGTGTATATATATATATATATATGTGTGTGTGTGTATATATATATATGTGTATATATATGTGTGTATATATATATGTGTATATATATGTGTGTATATATATACATATATATACACATATATATTTGTGTGTATATATGTATATATAACCTTATATAAACATATACATATATACTTCTTAGATGTTATTGATTTCTTGAACTACTGTTTCCCATACTGCCATGTGTACTCTATAATGAAAAAAACTTTTATGTTAGTATTGTTTGTATTGGAGCACTTCAATAATATTTTAATTTTTAAATTTATCTCCTTAGGTTGATAGTCATTGACCTTTGTGGCTTCATGACGTAAATAAGATTCAGTTAAAATAAGATCTAGTATATTCAAGATATGGGCATACCTTTTCCAGAGACACAGAGGTCACTAGGCAAGGCTTCTCCTCTAATGTTTGTTGATATATAAAGGAAAACTTAAGGTGATCAATAATTATGATATAAAATAAAAATCGTTGTCTAAATAGAGCTACACAACACTGCTATGGAGGGAGCACTCAAGGTGGAGACATTAGCACATGCAAGTAATGCAGAAGAAAGACAATGTCTCCAAAGAGTATCTGTATCTCTGGTTAGTTAGAACAATAATTAGTATGTGTGGAGAACAGGGAACTGTGAAGCTGGGAAGTCATACTGGGTATATATGGTGGAAGGGTTCAGATAATAGATCATATGTCTACTTAAGTTTTAATGTTAGAAAATGAAACTTCTTTTGAAGATATGTTTTCAATAATAATGTTATTTAATAATAATGTCTTGTTTTTAATAAAATAGAATTTCTAAGATGAGATATATCTATTTTGTATACCCATTCATTATATGTTAATAACTATAGCAATTTGAATTGAATATTTATTCCTGAATTCTGTTGAGTGACAAAAATCTTGTTTATACCTTTTTATAGACAATGTTTCCAGAAAAAAATTGGTCTGTGTTCCTAAAGCTGATATGAATTCATAAGCACATAATGCAGTATTTCTAAGACGAATAATTATACTTTTCGTCCTTCCACTCACTTACTACTAAAAGACATAGGCCAGCATATATCATTTTCTATTTATAAATTTGTAATAAATTAGTCATTAGAGCTTCATAAAATGAATCTAAATTGACAGACTTTAGTTTTTACTGATATCTAAGTATCAAAATGAATGAATATAATTTTTTTAAAGTTCTAGTTTATTTTATAAGTAATATGGAAATACGGCTTGAGGCTGCTTCATTACAGCAATGTCAGCATTGGTAAGGGCCACTAACTAATATACATTGTATGTCTTCCTTTTATTTCTTTTGTTAAAAAATAATGTCAAAAGTTAAATATATGTATTGCAGATAATTTTGTAATTGTTTAAGAAATGTTAAACAATTGCTTAAATCTTACAAATTGAAAATTCACTTTCCATTAGTCTAGAACTTTTGTAAAGATGTTCATGACATCATCTTGTGTATTGTAATTATACCATCTAATTACAAGACTGAACATATTTACATCAATTACCTAATTAGTTATAATTAGTCTAATTAGACTAATTATACAATTAGACAATAATCAACTCAAAATTCCTTTTTACAAATCATGAAAATTCACTTGCAAAAAGCCTCCCAACACCCAAAGTATCAAATTCAAATGATCAACAAAATAAAATTAATGTTAAAGTAGTTATAAATAGTAAAGCCTAAATTATACTCATTATCACAGGTATACATATATGCCATTTGATAACATTAATCTATGTGTGCACATATTCTCTGCTTTCTTATACATTCTGCTGTATTGTTTTAAAATATTTTTATTATATGCTGACTGTCATGAATTAAGAAGGTAAGGCTCAAAATTTTCCATAATTCTGTTATTTTAAACAATATTCCATTAACAGACTTCATCTGTATTACCCACTCTCCCATTGGCATGGTATATACATTAATCTTACATATTAACTTAGAGACCATGTTACCTGGGCCCTCTAGGTTCACATATCTTGGTATCTTGTTTTCTGACTGCAGGAAATCATTTTAACTCACCCAGAACAACTCTCCAATCCCATGATAGCTGAACCATTGGGAAATCATGGCTCTAGAGGCTTTTCTTTCTTTTTTGTCTATTCTTTACAGTCCATTTTGTTATTGTGTTCTGTGTTTTGTGTTGCCATATAGGAACACCTGAGATTAGGTAATGTATAAAGAAAAGAGATTTATTTGGTTCTCAGTTTTGCAGACTGTACAGGAAGCATGATGTGGCATCTGCGTCTGGTGAGGGCTTCATGCTGCTTTCACTCATGGCAAAAGGCAAAGGGGAGCTGGTATGTGCAGAGATCACATGATGAGAGAGGAAGCAAGAGAGAGAGGGGGAGGTATCAGATTTCTTTTTAACAACCAGCTCTCAAGGAAATTAACAGAGTTAGAACTCACAGCCCCCCTCAGGACATTAATCATCTATTCATGAGGGGTCTGCCCGCATGACCCAGATACCTTTCATTAGGCCCTACCTCCAACATTGGGATTAAATTTCAACATGAAGATTAGGGACAAACATCCAAACTATAGCACCTTCTCCTATGCCAATTTTGTTGCTGTGCTCTGAATAAGAATTAACTAGGATATGGATGTGCATACCATTGTATTTATAGGGCCACACTTGTAGGTCTTTAAAGAATAGAAATCATCTCAAACAGTAGCACAAATTCTCTTTTGTAATATCAATATTACCACCAAATTCATATTTTTTACCTTTAGATAACATAAATACCAGCAGTGTCCATGACCAAAAAAATTCAGGTATACAAAATATTTTAAGGATGCATCCTTTACAAAAGCCACCTCTGCATTTTAATGGCCAGAGCTGCATTGATGTTGATTCTCTGTACTTGATTATTGTATATATTTCCCTTGGGGCTTACCTTTCTTTTACATTCTCTTTTCCATAATTGACTGTTCAGCTCTGCTATGGGTGGCCCCAAATGCAGCTTCATAAATCTATCTTGCAGGCTACCCTAATGTAAAGATTTTTAAAGTTCCTATTACTACCATTAGAGTCAACATGGTTCAGGAAGCTTACTAAAACCTTACTGTGTGCTCTATTCCTATCTAGTCAGCAATCTTTTCTGAGTTGACAACATGCAAAACACTGCCCAAATGGTAGGGAAGAGAATTTGAAGTGATCTCATTAAATGGAAAGGCAGGATCAATACATAGACATAATGTAAATGATAAAAACATATATAAATATATACACAAATGTGACTGATATAAATAGACAAAAGCATTAACTCAAAAAGTAAAGGAGAATACGTATAGGAAGAATACACTTTTAGAGGATGGATCAGAAGTAAGAGCTTTTAGGTTGAAATCTCTTCATATTGAGGCTGGTGCAGTGGCTCATGCCTGTAATCCCAGCACTTTGGGAGGCCAAGGCAGGCAGATCACTTGAGGCCAGGAGTTCCAGACCAGCCTGGTCAATATGGTGAAATCCCGTCTCTACTAAAAATATAAAAATTATCCCAGTGTGATGGCATGCACCTATAATCCCAGCTACTTGGGAGGCTGAAGCATGGGAATCGCTTGAACCTGGAGGCAGAGTTTCAGCGAGCCGAGGTTGCGCCACTGCACTCCAGCCTGGGTGACAGAGCTAAACTATGTCTCAAAAAAAAAAAAAAAAAAAGAGAGAAAACACTTTCTTGAAATAATGGCTGTCAGATAAAATTCAAAAAGACTGGAGAGTAGAGTTGTTTGGTGAAATGGAGAATTAGGGTTGGTGGAAATCAAGTTTGACGTATCTTCCAAGAGGAGAAAGCAAGCCTTGGTGAAAAAAATTAGAAAGAGGAGATTAGTAGCGTTAAACACAGAATAAGTAACTTTAGAATAAATATAAATCTGCGATCATAGCCCCTCTAATATGACCTTTTCCAAGCTTTGAAATCTTATCTCATTTTATGCTCTTTGTTGCGCTGCACTCCAGTCACAATATATTTTTTGAAGGACACATCAGTTCAGATAGGAACAAAAAAATGACTCATAGCAAGGAATGGGGAGCATTAGGAAATCATAAAGAGATACCTCAAGATAGTGACATAACTAATTTGATGAGAATGAAGAGTTTATGTGAGGAATAAGGAAAAAGTGTTTTGCTTAGACTGCATAGAGTCTCAAATGACAAACTAACGGTTTTTGAAATGACCTTTCAGTGAAGGGGAACAATTCAAGGTTTTCTAGCCCTTAAACCTTGACCCCGCCCACCCCCTGAAAAAAAAAGAAAAGAGAATTAGAAATGCAGCATAGATTATCTTAAGAGATCCAAAAGGATAAGAGACTACATTTCTTCTTGGGGAAAATGTTGAGTGGGATAGACCAAAATTTAAGTATGTCCTATAATGTATGCTAGCAAACATTGCAACTCCAAGGACAAGAAAAATTAGGATAATCTAGAATTTATTAATTATAATACTATTGGTGATTTTTAGTAAGTTTGCTTTTTTTCTTTTTGTCTAGAGATTTGTCAGTTATCTATACATTAGTGCTCATTGGAACCATGATAATGGATCAGATTTCACTAGGAATATATTAGTAAAAGGTTGCAGACTTCAGTAACTAGAATATTCAATGGTAAAACAACCAAGAAATGACTAAATTATTATATCTGTAATTAATTGCCTATATACGAGGAGCTGTCACAGTAGTAAAGGTAATCTAAAGTGTTAGAAATAAGCAGAGAAGTATGGAAGCATACAAAAGAAAGGTTTATTAAATTTTAACAAGAGATCATCATCATTAATGAAATTACTAGGTACTATTTCAGTGGAATGTTGGAAAAGTATTATTCAGAAAATGCAAATTGAAACAGAATTTGTCAGTGGAAACAGAAACAAGGACTGACAGAGTATAATTAACTCTATGTGAGTAAAGAGACTTTATTATTAAATATACATCTAAATGACAATGTTCATTATTTGTTTATATCTGAGAATCATTATCACTCCGTGGTTGCTTTTAGAATATTGACTACATGCAGTAAATCTTTCAGAATGATTAGAGGTTGGTTATTTTTGGAGTAATTATGTGTGTGATATATATATATATATATAGTGTGTGTGTGTGTATATATACACACATAAATATGTAATTGCATGTATTATATATTGTTTCATTATATCATCATATATATGTAACTGCATGTATCTGTACCTATATATCATCAATATCTATATCCATGTGTTTTTTCAGTTGTAATTCTACTGATTTTCATTTGTTTTATTTCTTTTGATATGGCTCAAGTTTTGTCTTGAGTTTTGTCCTGATAATTTGTCTTCAGTTCAAATTTCCTTCCAAACCTAAAAGCACAATCTAGATAAATCATTACTAGAGTAACAGACCCACTTTCTTTTTTACAATATGCACAAATATCTATTGATTATCTGTAATAATGTAAGGGAATTTTTCTCTTAAGTGTATTTAGGCTCTGATTATATTTTACTCATTTAATTATATTGAGTTTATACCAGTGCCAAACAAATAGTAAATTCTGGAGAAATAAATATATATAAAGCAAACCTTGGGTAGTTACAGTACTATTAACTGAAAAAGTATTAACTTAAAAATTGTCTCCTCTCTGCTAAGCCCTGTGTCACGTGCCCAGAATATAATGCTGAGAGCAAGACAGACATAATCTCTACTCTCTGGGTACTTACTGGCAAAGGGAGAAGTCTGGCAAGGAGATGGCATAATTAGATTTCATGTATTTAACAAGTGAATAAAAATAATTATGTGAGGTTATGTATATGTTAATTAGCTCGATTGTGATGATTATTTTACAATGTATATCAAAGCACAGTTGTATACCTTAAATGTATACAATTATTTTGTCCATTATACTTCAATAAAGCTGAAAAAAATATTGGTTAAAGTGTAAATCATTGTGGCTTGCTTGCATTCTTAAGCTATACTAAGTACAATCATGAGTTTTTTAGTTGATTGTAGGGTTTAGAGCATTATGATTAAAAATAGATACAAAGAATAATTGGGATTGAACATGAGTAAAGATCAATAAAAGGATCTAGCTGAGAGACAGAGATACTGAATGTATGAATAAGAAGTTATAATTGGGTGTAAATTCCCATTATTACAGAAGGAGGAGTAGGTTTAAAGGAATATATTTGAAGTTCAATTTAGGATATGTTGAGTTCAGATGTGTCTGAAGTATCAGAATGGACATATTGACAAACATTTGTTATGTGTATCTGAAACTTAAGGGAGAATTCTGGAAATGGGGCTTAGACTTGGGAGTGGGGCAAGAAAATAGAGCTTGTAGTAGAAATTCATCAGCAAGGATAATGCCACCTAATGAAATGTTATAAAGTGAGGTTAACTATGGAACAAGTAGAATTCCAAGGAATAACACTAGTCGTATTGAGAGGAGAAAGAAAAGCAAAGAAATTTGAGCAATACGTGTGACAAAGGTAGGAGAGGTAAGATGTATCACTTTATTTAAAAATTATCTGAGTTGACTAATTCTAGCATATCATTTTCTTTCAACTGTTCTTTCTAGCTAAGCCCACTTTCTAGGCATTTTATATCATGTATGGGAATTCTGTAACACAAGAGAATAGTTTTATATATAAACTCTAGAAACATATAGATTTATGTGTATACTTGTATCGGATACATTTATATTTTCTTGTAAGTTAAAAATTCAGTGTTTCTTCTAAACAAAAATTGAAAGGTAGTTTTTTTTTGTTTGTTTGTTTTTTTTTTTTTTACCACTGAGGAAAATGCTAAAGGGGTGACTGATTTAAGACTGAATTTGGACAGTGAATGAAAATACTTATGGCCACAATTCCATGCACACTAGAATAGAGATTCATTTGACAGATTTGCAAAACTGTGTGCCTATGTCTGGGTAAGCTTTCTTGCAAATGAACAGCAGTGTTTTTATGTAGTAAGTCACTAAGTATTCCAGTCCTCCTCTATAACATATGAAAGTATTGCAAGTTTTAGAACTCGACAAATGTTACCCAGGTAAAGTGATGAAACACATTGTTCCGTACACACGTTATCTGGAAAAAATAAACATTTTGAATTTTTATAGTATCCCTAATACTATAAAATCATTGAGACACTGTTTTGCCATTAAAATAAGTAAGTTATTTACAAGAAGAACTATTTTGAGATGATGCATTAATGACTTTAGAAGGCAAAGAAAGCCCAGGGGACCTAATTTGAATTGGGCAGGAGACTACGTTTTGTTGTTTGTTCTTTTTTTCCTTTCAACAATTTCAATCCAATGTTTTTACAAAGTCTTTCTTGGTTCATCAAGAGTTTGTTAGATACTTCTGGCCACTTGCTTGATTTGCATCTATCTACAGTTGTGCAGATTTACCTGGAGAGTTACCCCTTAAACTCTTGAACATGAAATAACAAGAACAATAATAATATAGAAACACTCACGAATGCTTCTTTCCTTCAGTTTTAGATCTGTCACCTGTCATTGCTCCATATACAAAATATTTATGTTTATAAATGTAATTATCTATCATTAGATTTACGTAATTAACTTTGTTCTAACAACCGTGTTTCATTTGTTGGCGCTTCTTCAGATTCTTTTCTTTTGTCTTCTCACATCGATGTCTGAATAGATTGCAGTGTTTGTTGAATGCACTCCATTATTAAGTACACTGCTCTGATCTTTGCATAATAATTTGCATAACTACCACCAGAAATAGACTTTTCCCCTGAGGAAGCTAGTTTGCAAAGAAAATGTTATGAATTTTCATTGTAGTCTGTTAGTTTTTATCTCCAGGCATACTTAATATTACAGTATTATTTTAAAATGCAGTGTTATTTTAAAGTTAGTTCATTTATAACTTATTTGAAAGATAGGACATTTCCCTTAAAAAAAGACAGTCTGTCATATTCTGATAATAATATGATTTAATACAATGTAATGTGATGTGATGTTTCATTCATTCTGGTTGTGTTGGCTTTTTCTAATGACTTTTATTTTTTGTGTACATTTTCAGGGTGAAACAAAGATCTTAAAACTAAAGAATCTTCGACCTCAGGACTATGCTAATTATAGCTGCATTGCTTCAGTGAGGAATGTATGTAATATTCCTGATAAGATGGTGTCGTTTAGACTGTCCAATAAAACAGGTATGGAATTATCTCTGTATGTTACATGTATCTTATCTACAACTAATGTTTAAAAACTCTCTTTAACTTTTTTAAAGACCAAATGATTTCTACGGTGTATGTAGGAATAAGCACCTTTATTCCCAGAAAATCCTGGGATATCTGAAAAGCTTCATACATGGACACAGTAAAATGTCATTGTAATATACTCCATGTAATATGTTTACGTGTATAACATACAAAATTATAGCTCTTTAAAGTATTGCATTCTAAAATGTCACTAACGAGCATATATCCTGTTCAAAAATATTCTTGAGAAATACTAGATTCTACATATAAAAATTCGTGATTGAAGTTGCTAAATGAGTTTTGTGCTTTCAAAGTTAAGTAAAAGAAACTTTCTTTTACTTTGTGTCAAGTCAAGAAAACTAATAGGTAATTTCAGATAGATGTTTTTAGAACAATATTTTTGTAGAAAATGTGAAAACATTAATAGGATTGAAACTTAAGTTAGCCTTTGTTCAATAATATAGACCCCAGAATAACGGTAAACATATTTAGAAGAAATTGATAAATGAAAGAGCAAAGAGAAGGTATATGAGAAAAACATATTTTGTATGAATGTGCATAAAGAATTACTTTAATAAATTAAAATTTGAACTGGTTTTGAGAAACTCCAATTTTTCATATCAATATAAATTTTTACATATATATATTATTATACTTTAAGTTCTAGGGTACATGTGCACAACGTGCAGGTTTGTTACATATGTATACATGGGCCATGTTGGTGTGCTGCACCCATTAACTCGTCATTTACATTAGGTATATAAGTTTTTACTTTTAAGTAACTATATTAGACTAAAGATTTTTAAAGACCCTTTTCCCATTAAACAAAAATCTCTAAAAGTGTGGGCTTTTTTTGTGTCTGGGTCTAGACTCTGCTTGTGCCACTTACTAGCTTTTGCACCTTGTTGAGCAAGTCATCTTACTCTTCTTTGCCTGATTTCCTCATAAACTCATGAAGTTGTAGAAAGAATTAATGAGTGGATACGTATAAAGCATGTGAAACACACTTTATTAGTTCTTCCAACAAAGAGCTGGTCAGCAAATCCAACTAACTCAGTTGATAAAAAGATTAAACCTAGGACTTTATTGTAAAATATATTTTAAAAAGTCAACTATGACATTGGTTCATCAACATGTGTTCCATCGAGTTGCCAAGATTTCAAAATGTTCATTGTTTTATACATTTATTTTTCTATTCATCAGAAACTTATTGGGACCCTCCTATGGTTCAGCAATGGAGGAACACTGATTTTGGCTAAGATTTAAATTGTCTTAAACTAGAGAATGCTCGAAAAACAAGCAATGGGGGAAAGGATTCCCTATTTAATAAATGGTGCTGGGAAAATTGGCTAGCCATAAGTAGAAAGCTGAAACTGGATCCCTTCCTTACACCTTATACAAAAATCAATTCAAGATGGATTAAAGACTTAAATGTTAGACCTAAAACCATAAAAACCCTAGAAGAAAACCTAGGCATTACCATTCAGGACATAGGCATGGGCAAGGACTTCATGTCTAAAACACCAGAAGCAATGGCAACAAAAGCCAAAATTGACAAATGGGATCTAATTAAACTAAAGAGCTTCTGCACAGCAAAAGAAACTACCATCAGAGTGAACAGGCAACCTACAAAATGGGAGAAAATTTTCGCAACCTACTTATCTGACAAAGGGCTAATATCCAGAATCTACAATGAACTCAAACAAATTTACAAGAAAAAAACAAACAACCCCATCAAAAAGTGGGCGAAGGACATGAACAGACACTTCTCAAAAGAAGACATTTATGCAGCCAAAAAACACATGAAAAAATGCTCGTCATCACTGGCCATCAGAGAAATGCAAATCAAAACCACAATGAGATACCATCTCACACCAGTTAGAATGGCAATCATTAAAAAGTCAGGAAACAACAGGTGCTGGAGAGGATGTGGAGAAATAGGAACACTTTTACACTGTTGGTGGGACTGTAAACTAGTTCAACCATTGTGGAAGTCAGTGTGGCGATTCCTCCGGGATCTAGAACTAGAAATACCATTTGACCCAGCCATCCCATTACTGGGTATATACCCAAAGGACTATAAATCATGCTGCTATAAAGACACATGCACACGTATGTTTATTGCGGCATTATTCACAATAGCAAAGACTTGGAACCAACCCAAATGTCCAACAATGATAGACTGGATTAAGAAAATGTGGCACATATACACCATGGAATACTATGCAGCCATAAAAAAGGATGAGTTCATGTCCTTTGTGGGGACATGGATGAAATTGGAAATCTTCATTCTCAGTAAACTATCGCAAGAACAAAAAACCAAACACCGCATATTCTCACTCATAGGTGGGAATTGAACAATGAGATCACATGGACACAGGAAGGGGAACATCACACTCTGGGGACTGTTGTGGGGTCGGGGGGGGAGCTATAGCATTGGGAGATATACCTAATGCTAGATGACGAGTTAGTGGGTGCAGTGCACCAGCATGGCACATGTATACATATGTAACTAACCTGCACATTGTGCACATGTACCCTAAAACTTAAAGTATAATAATAAAAGAAAAAAAAAAACTAGAGAATGCTCTATTTCGTATAGTTAAAAGTCATTAAAATACAAGAACAATGAGAGAAAATTAAACTTTATCAATAATCATAAGAAATAGTTGATGGAGGCTGGGCACGGTGGCTCACTCCTGTAATCCCAGCACTTTGGGAGGCCGAGGTGGGCAGATCACGAGGTCAGGAGATTGAGACCATCCTGGCTAACACAGTGAAACCTCGTCTCAAAATACAAAACATTAGCCGGGCATGGTGGCAGGCGACTGTAGTCCCAGCTGCTTGGGAGGCTGAGGCAGGAAAATGGCGTGAACTCAGGAGGTGGAGGTTGCAGTGAGCTGAGATAGCGCCACTGCACTCCAGCCTGGGTGACAGTGAGAGACTGTCTCAAAAAAAAAAAAAAAAGTGATGGAAATTATGTTGCAGAAAAAAATAGAAATATAAAATCTTAGTGGACTTAGCACTTATAAAAGTTAATCTCATCTGACTTAAAAAAGGGGAAATTGGATATTGAGAAACAAGAATAAACAGGTTAACATATAAGAACTGGTTATAATTATGTTATTCTTCATGGCATGAAATGTATTGTGCCTTATAACTAATTTTGTTTTTCTTAGCTTCTTTAATTTTTTTGAAATATATAGATACAGAGAAAATTAAAAATAAAATGAAAGTATGGCCTATGGGATGAATAAAAGAATTACTATGGAATGAGGAAGAAAAAAACACTAGTATATATTATTAATTAAGTTACCACTTTGCACTTTAGCAGTGCCTTATTAATTTTTAAAATCTTTAGTGTTTTTATCTCAGTTTATTTTTATAACTATAGGAACATAAACAGGTAGATTTTTCTTGTCATGTATTTTTCTATCATCTGACACATAATGAACTGTCCTGCAGCAATTAAAGCATCCTCACTGGATTGTTTTGAGAATGAACTAAATTGACTTATGCAAAAATTCTTTAAAGACAAAGATAACCAATAAAATTATATTTAATATTTTTATGTTGTAGATGTGATTTTTATCATTTTCCAAGGTCCCACAGCTCATAAGGAATGGGGACTAGATTGACTCCAGTGTTTGAAGAGTTATTCTAAATAGGAGACTGACAGCTCTTCTTAGTTTTCACAGAGATGGAGAAAATGAACTTAAATCTCAGCCAGAGTGTTTTGTTAGGAATAAATAAGGACTTCATACCTTAAAGCCAAAAGGGGAAGATTACCAGGAAAAGTGATAGAATTCCTGAGATCTTTTAAAGTAACTGGATGACTTTATTTCTGTGATTATTAAAAAAAAAAATTTGGCTTAGAAAACAGTCTTTGAATACCTGTTCTATGGAGGTCACAGGAGTGCTGTACTAGAGATACTTTATTTAACCTTTCAGCTTTATGTTGCATTTTTTATTTTTCAGCTAATATGTATCTAGACTGGGCAAACATAAAAACCTATTATTCACCTTTATAAATTATCTCACAAAGTTTTTGATTGATGTTCACTGCAAAATGAGTATTAGAATTATGGTAAGTAATTGAGTTTAAAAATATAAACTAGTACCTATTCAACTCTTCAGTAACTGTAATCAGACATGTCATATGCTTCATACTTTACACATTCAAACTGGGTTCACTTCAGAAATTTTTCCATCTGGTGGTGCTCATAGTTGGAAGGGTTTGTGAATTTCAAATAGGTGAAATAAATGAGGTAGCTTTCAAAATACACAGGGTATAAATTAAGCTTAGAACATCCTCATGCAAATGAGTCTGTAAACTACAAGTAATTGCATGCGAGATATTTCATTGCTCTTTTAATAGTGGAAGAGGAACATAAGTTACCATTGCTATAATCAATGTGAAAGTCAGTTGCTCCTAGTGATTCTTACTGTTTTGAATCTCTAAGTGATGTACGTAAAATTACTGTATTTTAAACTGTTGGTTTGCAAAATGTCAAGGAAAATGTGTACCTTATTGAAAGAAGAAAATTATACATATTGTAATATGTTTCGTTAATCTTCTCTGTAAACCAATATGTTTATAAAAGTCTTACTTTACTTTAGAAATTATTCTTTCAATGAATGTCAAATAATTGGCTAATCAATGTACTTTTGGTAGAGACAAAATGCCACTGGAACATCTCCACAATCACATCAACTTTTTAATTGCAGTCAGTCTATGGACCTGATTTGCACAATGCCCAAATGATACAGGATGTAAAGATGGAAACAATGTATACTAGAAGTAAAAATGTCTAAAAAGTTCTTACTGCAGAACAGTTACACCATGGAGTAAGTTTTCTGGCTCCATCCCATACCTGCTGAACTAGACTTCCTGGCAGATGGCCTGGCAATGTATACACTTTAAACAAGTTTAAATAATTACTTTGGATGATAATAATATGTAGTCCTTGTTATCCTACTGTTTCCATGAGCCCATTCCATTTTGTGAATAGAAATTAATTATCTAGAACTGCTTCGAAAGGCAGTGTCTAGGTGTCATGATAAAGTCAATGTCATCTGTAGAATTCCAGTGATGTGGTTTCTTAACTTTCCTACTGTGAAATAGCATTGTGGTGGAACTCATAATTGTATATCAGCCAGAGAAAGTGTTAATTAATTTGTTGACTCCCATTTCTTGTTTGGCATGCTATGAAAATGTCTCCTGCCACAGAAGTGTCATTATGTATCACACCTAATCTAGCTGTCTTAAAATTTATCAAGACAGTTCATAGAATTTTATAAAAGATAAAGTGACTTATTTATTTATTTATTGTCATGCACCCTGACCAATTGACACAGTGCTTAGGAGGGTCTAGAAGTTGTTTTGGTTGTTTCCCTACTCATATTTGGATGAAAAGGGGGCTTACCTCTTGATTGGTAAATTATTTTTAAAATTTATATATATCTTTAACCTGGGAGCATAAATTCAAATTGCCATGAATATATACTCCCTTGATTGGTAAATTCTTAATGTAGCTGTATTTCTCATAGTTTATTAAAATAAGCCTGTTAAAATTTATAAGTTTAGATGGTAATATAGGTGTATTTTGAAATTATCATAATTAGGATAACTGAGTATAAATTATTTTAAATTTCTTATATTATGTGTGTTACCAACACTAGGACACATAGAAATTATGATAAAACAAGTTTTATTTATTTTAATGAATTTCAAGCACTTATGACTTGATGTCTCACAACTTCAAAGGCAAATAAGAATTAAGTAGGTTACCTATATTAGGATGAAAAACATATTTTTTACCTGCTTGAGAGGTTATGATGAAGTGTATAAAAAAGGGATAGGTGTGGCTCATTTGGCCTAATTATATAAGTCCCTTGATTTAGTCTGCTCTACCTTAGCATTTATAAACATTATCTAATTAAGATATCATCTTTAAATGGGATTTAATTCAAGAAACCAAGCCATAAAAGTATTACTGGCTATAGAAATAGAGGGAAAATATTTATCTTTCTCCTCCCTCCCTCTCTCACTTATTCTTCAATTTTTTTTCCTTTCTCTTCTACTCTTTTTTTTTCTTTTTGTCTCAATAAATTTTCATGGAAAAAGATAGAGGTCAAGAAACGTCTTTGTTTCCTATGTTAGGCAACTATTATCTCTTTTTATTATTTTATATAGCTCTTAGGAAAGTTATGATATAAATGTCCAGAAATTGTTGTGAATTTCAGTATAAAACCTTTGGTATACTGTTATCTATTCATGATAGTTCTCTTCATGTTTAGAGGAATTTAACTAACTTACTTAAGCCTTATGAAAAAGAAAATATCTTAGTTATATAAATTTTGATAGCTGTGGGCATGAAACAAAATACAAAAACAATTTCTCTTGCGATATGCTACACCTATGGTCATAGACAGCCAGTGTAAGTGCAAGAGGAAGTAGCAGCAAAGATTTTGCCGTAACTTGCACCTTAGTACTAACATCAGCCATTTTCCTTAGCCATATGAATTTCTCTAGCCTCTTGTGTTTAGATGATCTTCATAGCATCTAGATAATCAAGAGAATCATTTATTAGAATCTAGATATGCTAGTTAACCATCAATAACAGTTTTTAAGGACTATTTAGGTTTGTGAAAATAGATGGTATACGTATGATGATGTCCTATGTTAGTCAGCTTGGGCTGCCATAGCAGAGCACCACAGACTGAGTGACTGAAACGGTAGAAATTTATATTCTCATAGGTCTAGAGGTCAAAAGTTTACAAGGTGCCATCAGGGTTGGTTTCTGGTGAAGGCTATTTTCTTGGCTTGCGGATGGCTGCTTTCTTGCTGTGTCTTCATATAACCTTTCCTCTGTGCATTCATGGAGGGAAAGAGAGAAAGCTCTAGTGTCCCTTCCTCTAGTGTCCCAAACATGGACACTAGCCATATTTGATTAGAGTCTCATCCTTAGGACCTCATTTACCCTTGGTTACCTCTCTGTAAAAGCCCTATCTCCAAATACAGTCACACAGACAGGATTCAGGATATGAATTTGGAGGGAAAGACACAATTCAGTCTATAATACTCCCAAATTACTGAATGTGGACTTTGCATTTAGGATTGCTTTTCCTTAAAATTTCAGACATAAGTTTATAATATATGCTAAATCAAAGCAAGAAAATGAGTCAGATATGTTAAAGAGCCTATTCCTCACTGAGAACTCAAATTAAAGAAGTGACTCTATTGAGAACATTTATGGCCTTGTATTCTTAGCTTTGGGGAAATACAAAGAACACAACTCTAAAGGAAGAAGGTAAGATGAAATTTTAGGGAGAGACAGATATCACTCCTGTTATACATCATGGATTTTTAAAAGCATCGTCAAAAGATTACAGCAGGGACATAAATGATAAGTCAGTGAACTTGTGCATTATTCTTGGATTTTTTTCCCTGAGTTTCTTTTTCAGTGAGGGCAAAGCTAATATGTGAAATGGAAGAAAAAACATTGGACTTTTCACCTTTCATGCGCTAAAATATTGGAAATATGGGTGCTTTAATAATTTTTTATCATAGATAATAATCCAGGTTATCTGAACAACAGTGTTTACTACTACAGCCAATAATGGAACACAACAAATCTTATTAGAATATTGTAGATATAGAGAATAAGATGTTCCCTGTAACTCTTTTGCATAAGTTTTAACATTCAAAAGTATAAGGTTTAAATTTTGGTTCTGAAATCTTTTATGATGTTACTAATAGTTAGCTTCTCTAAACTTATTTTTCACCTTCTTAAAAATGAAGAAAACATTTTTGTTTTCAAAAATAATAACACATGGGCATCTTTTGGGGACAGCATTGTTCTGCCTACAGGGTATAGCTTCAATCATGGATGATTAATCTTGAAATAAGTTCATGATCATTTTATGGATGACTTTTGTCACTGCATATGTTAGATATTAGTATTTCCCACTAAAATCTATAGAAATGACTCATATTCTAGGTATATTTATATCTAACCTATTAGGAGAACAAATGTTTAACATAAATACAAAATATTTTTTATGAAATTGATAATGGTTTATTAGGAAATAGAAGAAACTTGCAAGGTTGTGGTTGTTGATATTCAACAGATTCTTCATTTCAGTGCTCTGTCATTTCCTAAGGTAATCAAGCACATATATGACCTATTTTCACTAATGTAACTTCAGAAATGTAAAAATATAGATGATGATAAGACAGCAAATCTTGAACAGAAGCAATGGTCATTAAGAGGTTTCAACTTTGGTTTTCCTAAGGCAGTATCCAGAGCAATAAGATGACCCAGATTTTTTAAAATTCTATTACTGTCATAAAAGGAAGTTTGCATGTTGCTGAGATCGCCCTACATTGGTGCATTTTGTTGTCCTACCAATGAAATTTTTGTATTTCTTTATTCAAATGTATCTTGAAACTATGGGTTCTTAACATAAATATACCCCATAAACTAGTAACTCTCCCAGAAGATATCATAATCCAGATACAATAAACAGCCTTAGTCAAATGAAAGACAACACTAAAAGCCATCTCACAATACAAATATTTTGGACCATATCAAATAATCTGTGTTTTAGCAAACATCTAGGATATTCATTGATTATATTTTTCTAACTTTAAATATGTATTATTTTTAATATGCTGTTAGATTATAATTGAAAAATTTAAAATAATTATTCATTAGAAAATCTTGCAAAAGTCCAGACCATGTATTTTGTATTTGTTTCAGTAGATTGGGTCGAGGATATGCTAAAATAAAGTAATAGGATTTTTTATACTCCTAAGAACAATTAATTTTTAATTTTCAAACTTGCTAGATTATGGATTTGTAGACCACAGCTTGGTTCTTTTCAGAGTTTTACTGGTCTAGTGAAATACTAAGAATTGCATTATCATAGGCAATAATTCAGTTGGTAGAAATACATTTTACAATTTCTTGATGATTTTTGAGCTAGTCACATATAACTTGTGGCTTAGAATAGCTCCATGATCATTTACTGACAATTTGCTTTTATAGGTTACTGGCTCTAACAAAGGAGATACAATAAAATACAAAATATTATTTTCTTAAGTTCATGTGGCCAGTCATATTACTTATTCACTCCGAATACTAGGATAGATTATGTCAAAATGTCATCTTTAGGCAGGGCAACCATCCTAATTTGCCTTGGACTCACTGGAAGTCCCACATCCTGGGAAACCCAATAGTCCCCCCAAAACAAAACAATTGGTCACTCAATGAAAAAATCCACTATCCAGCCTACCTCCATGTAAGATTCAAGTCTTAATGTCAATTATTAATGTTGGTGCATATGGAGCCTTAAACAACTCTACCTAAAGAAGCATTATTGAACAAGAGCTGGGTGTGGATTCTGGTTCTCTCTACAGTAGAGTAGTATGATCAATTCCTTCAACTCTGTGAATTTGCTTTCTGCTAAATCATGTTTATGAGGTGTTCTAGGGTAGGTAACATAATGATGGGAATAGAATGCTCACAATAAAATTTCACATTTATTTAGCAAAATAATGACAATAACAACAATAATAAAACACAGAGGAAATGAGGTTGCTACAAAGGAGTAGATGCAGCCCATAAGTACACAGCTGCCCTTGAGCCCCAAGGTCCATGCAAGCAAAGTTTAGGCATACAGAATTTGAGAAGATTAATACCTGATTGTGCTATTATCCTTTTATACATGGGGCTTACATGATTATTTCTTAAAAATTAACTGACAAGTTATTTCTGGACCTAATGCACATATTTGAGTGACTCTTTGCAAATATTTGTGCTATCAATATTTCTAGTAGAAAAAGTCACTGTCAGGAAGATTTTATCCTAACTTAAGAGAAGATGCATACCTAGCCACTGTTCTTCTCCAAGCTGTAAGGCATTTACAGTACCAGTTTCCCCAGATTCATACCTCACTACAGATATTGTGAAGATAAAATTAAATCATATGTTTATAGTAACTGGCAAATAGTAGGCTCTTAGTTATGGTGGTGGTAGTGGGTGTACTGAAAATATCCTTTGTGAAGAAAGAAAAGAGGCTTTCTAAAATATCATCTAGCTCATCAATTTTCCTTTTTCTTTCTTATTTAGTGAAAAGTATCAATGATATAATCTATCTACTAATATATATATTCAGAAGTAATATTAAATCATAGCGAAATTCCAAAATTTTGTCAATAGTTGGCAAAATAAGTAAATATAAAATATTGTATATCCATTTAATGTAAATTATATTACTATTATGCATGTTAGAGTGAGTATGTTTATTACATTAGTTCTGCTGAATTTTCTAAAGCCTTTTTGGAATATTCTATATTTACTTTCTTAATGAAGAAACCTAAACATGTTCTTATTGTGTCTGAAGACCAAGCAAACTAATCAGTGCCAGGTAAATACAATTTTTAAAAATATTTTAGTAGGAAAATAGAAACTGGTTTTTATCTCACCAAAGAACGCTTATAGGATACATCTCCAAGTTACAGACAAGGCAAAATGCAAACAGCTCTCCTTTGGCTCAGTTATAAATGAGTGAGTTTTTCCCCCCTGATATTCTGATATGATGAAATACATTTTTGTTAAATCTTCATGCTAAAATATTTATGCTTTCAAAACATTTTTCTGATGTTAGCTACACTCATAGGATTTAATAATGTGGTATAGCTAAATTTAGCCTTGGGGCCACTGTTAATATTACAGAGGCATGTGTACCACAACTCGGCATGATTTACAACATCCACATTGGTTTACGTGGAGCTTTTAATTAAATCAGAAAAAAATGACTCTATGTGGTAGTTCATATTGTAGGGATAGTGTATCCAGTCCATTGTTATAAGGACTAACAGGAGAGAAGATTGGTATGCTGGGAAATAGTGAACAGGTCAAGTATCAGAGATATATTAGCATCAACCTTTAACTGTACATCTGGATGCAGCATGTACTTTTTGTCTGCAGTTGTGGCAATTATTTCCAAAGCATCACAGTAATTTCAGCTGTTCCCTCAATTTCCAGCTTCTGCAAAGTCTCTTCTAAGAGCCACCTTTATATTTATTTTTTTCTTGATAACAACATACTCTTCTTGCTACTCTTCTGTTCCTGAAGAAAATAGGTATGTCTAGTTGTTTAGTAATATGCTTTAGTTCATATTTCAAAGGTATTTCTTTCTTCTACCTCCTTTTAGTCATTCTGCTTTAGTTGCTGTATTCTACTGTTTAATCATTTATGGATTGCATTTTCAATCACATTCTATCCAATAAATCTGCAGTTAGTCAGCAGTATTGGTTTTTGATAGGCACCCTGTGTCACAGGAATTTTTTTATTGGAACCTTGCCCTCATGTTCTGGGGACCTATTGCCTTGGTTTCACAAGCATGGAAATAATCAAGAGACAAGGTATTGGATTTTGGGCACAAATAGGTGTGACAATTAAAGCTACTCTTTACGTTTTTACTTTAAGAAGCTACTCTTAAAGTCTTTTCTTTGATTTGGCATTATGACATTGTACTCAACCAAGGAAAAGGTAGGATCTGTAGTCTTCCCGGTGAAGCGTCACTGGGTAGTGTAGTGTCTTTTTAGAAAATTCTTCAAAACCAATTTTCTTTGTTTTGCTGGCAAATGTTTGTAGTTCTGAAATGACCAAATAGAGGTAATTTTATACAGCTTGATTTAACAAGTAACAGTAGATGAGAATCCTTCAAAATGATTGTCACATATTAAGTGCAAATTAAAATACCTATGTCCAAAGTGAAGAGAGAAAATATTAGGCACCACAGGAAAGATATAAACAAAGCTATTGGAAAAGAAAGCAGGTAATATGGGTTCTTTATTTATCTGGTATTCAATATACAAAGACAATTGTCTTGAAGGGGAAAAAAGGAGGAAAAGAGACTAAATTCTTTCTATTCTTAATATGTCTTTCTAATTCCCTTGATCAGGAATACTTTATAAAGTCCTGTATTACTGCATATTTTCTTTCAAATTTAAACTTAGTTCAATGTGAAGAAAGCCGTAATGTTAGTGGCTTTGTTTTTTCATTTTGGAATCATCAGTAAAAAGCAATCTGATGTGATAGCCACATAAAATTATGATACTGTGAACTGTACAAAGACATTATATTACATTTTAAGGAACTGAAATATTCACTGAATATGCATGGTCTGCACACTAAACATTGTGTGTTTAAGAAAAATGTTAGATATGAATACAAGTTTAATAAAGCATTATTGTATGCATACAGATCCACAGTTAAAGAATATGTAGGGCCGGGCCCGGTGGCTCACGCCTGTAATCCTAGCACTTTGGGAGGCCGAGGCGGGCAGAGCACGAGGCCAGGAGATTGAGACCATCCTGGCTAACACGGTGAAACCCCGTCTCTACTAAAAATACAAAAAATTACCCGGGTGTGGTGGCGGGTGCCTGTAGTCCCAGCTACGGGGTGGGGGGGGGGGGGCGGGGCTGAGGCAGGAGAATGGCGTGAACCCAGGAGGCGGAGCTTGCGGTGAGCCGAAACTGCGCCACTGCACTCCAGCCTGGGCGACAGAGCGAGACTCCGTCTCAAAAAAAAAAAAAAAAGAGAATATGTAGGCTGGACATGGTGGCTCACACCTGTAATCCCAGTCTCTGCTTTGGGAGGCAGAGGCAGGAGGATTGCTCAAGGCTGGGAGTTTGAGACCAGCCTGGGCAATATAGTGAGACCTCATTTCTATGAAAAATAATTTAAAATATTATCCAGGTATGGTGGTGCATGCCTGTAATCCCAGCTACTTGGGAGGCTGAGGCAGGAGAATCACTTGAGCCTGCCAGGTTGAGGCTGCAGTGAGCTCTGATCACGCCGCTGCACTCCAGACTGAACGACAGAGTGAGAGACCTTTTTTTGTTGTTGATGTTGTTGTTTTTATAAAAAAAGCGTATATAATATGGGTCTAACTTTCAAGTCATTGGAGAGTTAAATAGGCAAATCAATACACATATACATTAAGAACTTGGAAAACAAAATAATTCTATATTGAAAACAAATGGTATTTTTTGTTTTTGCTCTACAAGGATATTTCAGTAGCTCATTAATCAGATAAAAAAGAGAAATGTGATGGTACCAAAATCTGTATTGAAAATACCAGAACTAGAATTTGAAAGCTGTATTTTCAGTAGCTTCGAGAAATAAAATATTGACAGAGAGGAAGTGAATTCATAGGTGATCCAATGTTTTATGTTTCATTTAAAAATAGTATTAAAAGGTTTTGTTGCTTTTTAATATTTCTTTAAGCAATATTCAATTTTGTGTAGTAACCTATTTAGTTCTTCTATATGTATTCCATTACAGTATTATCTTATTCAAAAAATAAATACCTCCTTTATCATGTAGGAGCATTGTCCTAGAACATGGCAACAATCTGCTCTGAATGTCTGAAATCCCTGATAAGAAATGTAGCTCCTTGAATAGTTAGGCTTGAATTGGCTCTTGTTGAAATTAGATCTGTGATAACAATACTAAGCAGCATTAAGTATTTATGGTAAGTCAATAAGTAATGACACCTACTACAAGGTCTGTAGTTTAAAATTGTCATTTTATTCAGGTAAAACACTTTTTTATGGCTTTGTAATTCAGTTCAGTAAATTGGCTTCTAACTGCATGCAAAACTTGGAACTAAATCCCTCTCCTTGGCACATTTATTTTTTAAAACATGGTTTTTAAATTTTATTTTATTAATTGCAGTAAGAACTCAACATGAAATATATGCTTCTAAAGTTTTAAGTGCACAGTACATTATTGTTGACTATAATTGCAATGTTGTACCACAGATCTCTAGAGCTTATTCTTCTTGCTTGACTTAAACTTTATGCCTGTTGATTAGTAACTCTTCATTTCCCTCCTCACTCAACCCCTGATAGCCACATTTCCACCCTTTGATTCTATGATTCTATGAATTTGACTACTTTAGGTACCTTATATAAATGCAATTGTGCAATATTTCTCTTTCGGGCTCATTTCACTTAGCATAATGTTCTGAAGGCTCATCTATTTTGTCACATATTGCAGACTTTGCTTATTTTTTCAGGCCAAATAATATTCCATTATATGTACATACCACATTTTCTATATTCATTCATCAGTTGATGCACATTTAGGTTACGTGCACCTCTTGACTGTAGTGAACAGAGCTGCAGTGAATATAGGAATCCTAATATATCTTTGAGATCCTGATTTCATTTCTTTTGGAAAAATAAGCAGTCCTGGAAGTAGGATTACTGGGTCATATGGTAGACACAGTTTTAATATTTTGAGGAACCTCTATATCGTTTTCCATTGCAGCTGCACCAGTTTGCATTGCACGAAGCTTCCAGTTTCTTCACATCCTTGCTGACACTTATCGTCTTTCTTTAAAAGTAGTAGTCATCCTGACAGGTGTGAGTTGGTATCTTATTGTGATTTTGATTTGCATTTCCTTTATGATTTGTAACACTGAGCATTTGTTCATATACTTATCCATTTGTGTGTCTTCTTTGGAGAATGTCTGTTCAAATCTTTATCCCATTTTTGAATCAGGTTATTTGTTGTTTGTTTGTTTTTTGCTATTGAGTTTTGGGATTTCCTTAAATATTTTGAAATCTCAATTGGATATATGGTTTGCATTTTGTTTTCTCCCACTTAATAGGCTGTCTTTTCACTCTATTTTTTTTTCTGTGCAGAACCTTTTTTTTTATTTTGATGTGGTCCCACTTGTTTATTTTTGTTGTTGTTTTCTATGCTTTTGTGTTATATCTATGAAATCATTCCCAAGATCAATGGAATGAATCTTTTCCTCTATGTTTTCTTATAGTAGTTTTATAATTTTGTGTCTTATATTTAAGCCTTTAGTCCACTTTGAGTTGTTTTTGGTGTATTGTGTAAGTTAGGGATCAGATTTAATTTTTTTCTTTGCACATGGATATCCAATATTTCCAACATCTCTTGTCTTTGTCTAGGAGACTATCTTTTTCCCATTGTGTTTTCTTGACCCACTTGTCAAACATATATTTGTGGATTTGTTTCTGGGCTCTCTATTCTGTTCCATTTGTCTATTTGTCTGTCTTTATGCCAGTGCTCTACTGTTTTGATTACTATAGCTTTGCAATACAGTTTGAAATCAGCTAGTGTGCTAACTCCTGCTTTGTTCTCCATCCTCAAGATTGATTTGGCTATTTGTGGTTTTTGTGGTTCCATATGAATTTTAGAATTTTTTTTCTATTTCTGTAAAAAATACCATTAGAATATTAAATGAGATTTCATTGAATCTGTAGGTCACTTTGGGCAGTATGGACATTTTAACAATATTAAGTCTTCCAATCCATAAAATGTGATGTCTTTTCATTTGTTTGTGCCCTGTTTCACCTCCTTCACCAATGTTTTGTAGTTTTTAGTATACAAGCCTTTTGCTTCCGTAGTTAAGCTTATTCCCAGGTATTTAATTTTTTTGGTGTTATTGTAAATGTGATTGTTTTTCAAATTTTCTTTTTAGATAACTTGTTGTTAATAGTACAAACAGGACTGGTTTTTGTACATTTATTTTGTATCCTGCAATTTTCCTGAAGTATTTTTTCATAGAGTTTTTAGGGCTTACTATAAATAAGATCATATGTTCTGCAAACAGGGACAGTTTCACTCGTTCCTTTTCAGTTTTAATGCCTCCTATTCTTTTTTCTTGCCGAATTACTCTGGCTGGGACTAACACTACTGTGTTGAAAAGAAGTGGTGAAAGCAGGCATCCTTTCCGTATTCCAGACCTTATAGGAAAACCTTTTTGATTTTCACACTGAATATGTTATTATCTGTGGGAGTTACATATAGGCTTTTATTAATATAAGGTAATTTCCTACCATTCCTAGTTTGTTGAGAGTGTTATCATGAAAGGGTGCTGAATTGTGACTAATGCTTTTTCTACATCTATGAAGATAATCATGTGATTTTTATCCTTTATTCTACTAATGTAGTGTATCACATTAATTGATTTTCTTATGTTGAATGATACATTTCTTTTTAACAAATGATGCTCTGAATCTTTTTCTTTCTCCTTTTCCCCTCTTTTTATTTAATTAACCATGTGGAAGGCATATCAATATAAACATAGAAATAAAAAAAAACTTGATATATCTGTGCCTGAAAAGCAAATATCTCACACAAACATTTAAGACAAAATCTATATATTTCTCGGGTTTCTTAGGGAAGGCCTTAATTTATTGAGGCACGTCTGCCTTCTAGAATTAGTCTCCTCATCCAGACATCTTCAATGCACACATATCCATTAAAGGGTAGAGCAGCAATCCCAGACATGAGCTAGTAATGAGTATTTGGTAAGATTTGAAGTATATATGACACAGTACTTGTCTGAGTTGTGACCCAACTCAAGCAATCAAGATATTATATTCTTATTGTATTTTATAAAATTACTTCTGGAATTAAAAGTAATTGACAGTTGTAATGCTTGAATGTGTTAAGTATGAATTTATATGTAATTTGAATGCTTTTATTTATTTTATCTGCCCTTTAGTCTAGAGTGTATTCAGCAGAATGTTGATCACTTTTGTCCTTTTGTCCACTTCTTATGTTTTACATTATACCGTAAAAGCATAAGCAAAAATTTTCTTCCATTTTGTAGGTTGGCTCGGATGATAGGCATTTTTTTTTTTTTTTTGGCTGTGCAGAAGCTCTTTGGATTACTCGGGTCCCATTTGTCAATTGTTGCTTTTGTTGCAATTGCTTTTGACGTTTTTGTCATGAAATCTTTGCCCATGCCTATGTTCCAAAAGGTATTGCCTAGATTTTCTTCTAGGGTTTTTATAGTTTGGGGTTTTACATGTAAGTCTTTAATCCGTCTTAAGTTAATTTTTGTATAAGGTGTAAGGAAGTGGCCTAGTTTCAATTTTCTGCATATGGCTAGCCCATTCTCCTAGCACTATATATTAAATAGGGAATCTTTTCCCCATTGCTTGTTTTTGTCAGGTTTGTCGAAGATCAGATGGTTGTAGATGTGCAGTTTTATTTCTGAGATCTCTATTCTGTTCCATTGGTCTATGTGTCTGTTTTGTACCACTACCCTGCTGTTTTGGTTACTGTAACCTTGTAGTATAGTTTGAAGTTGGTAGTGTGATGCCTCCAGCTTTGTTCTTTTTTGCTTAGGATTGTCTTGGCTATATGGGCTCTTTTTGGGTTCCATATAAATTTAGTAGTTTTTTCCTAATTCTGGGAAGAATGTCAATGGTAGTTTAATTAGAATAGCATTGAATGTATAAATTATATTGGGCAGGATGACCATTTTCACCATATTGATTCTTCATATCCATGAACATGGAATGTTCTTCCATTTGTTTGTGTCCTCTTTGATTTCCTTGAACAGTGGTTTGTAGTTCTCCTTGAAGAGGTCGTTAACTTCCCTTGTTAGCTGTATTCCTTTGGTATTTTATTCTTTGGTATTTTATTCTCTTTGTAGCAGTTGTGAATGGGAGTTCACTCATCATTTGGCTCTCTGCTTGTCTACTGTTTCTGTATAGGAATGCTTGTGATTTTTGCACATTGATTTTGTATCCTGAGACTTTGCTGAAGTTGCTTATCACCTTAAGAAGCATTAGGGGTGAGATGATGGGGTTTTCTAGATGTAGGATCGTGTCATCTGCAAATAGATACAGTTTGACTTCCTCTCTTTCTATCTGAATACCCTTTATTTCTTTCTCTTGCCTGATTGCCCTGGCCAGAACTTCCAGTACTATGTTGATTAGGGTTGGTGAGAGATGGCATTCTTGTCTTGTGCTGATTTTCAAGGGGAATGCTTCCAGCTTTTGCCCATTCAGTATGATATTGGCTGTGAGTTTTTCATAAATGGCTCTTATTATTTTGAGGTGTGTTCCATCAATACCTAGTTTATTGAGAGTTTTTAACATGAAGGGATGTTGAATTTTATCAAAGGCCTTTTTGGTGTCTGTTGAGATAATCAAGTGGTTTTTGTCTTTAGTTCTGCTTATGTGATGAATTATGTTTATTGATTTGTGTATGTTGAACCAGTCTTGCAAGTTGAAGCTGACTTGATCGTGGTGGATAAGCTTTTTGATGTACTGCTGGATTCAGTTTGCCAGTATTTTATTGAGGATATTCGCATGGATGTTCATCAGAGATATTGGCCTGCAGTTTCCTTTTTTTATTGTATCTCTGCCAGGTTTTGGTACTAGGATCATGCTGGCCTCATAAAGTGAGTTAGGGAGGAGTCCCTCCTTTTTGATCGTTTGGAATAGTTTCAGTAAATCCATCCGGTCGTGGGCCTTTTTTGTTGTTGTTGTTGTTGGTAGGCTATTTATTATTGCCTCAATTTCAGGCCTTGTTATTGGTCTATTCAGGGATTCAACTTGGGAGGGTGCATGTGTCTAAGAATTTATTAATTTCTTCTAGATTTTCTAGTTTGTTTGAATGGAGGTGTTTATAGTATTCTCTGATGGTTGTTTGTATTTCTGTGGAGTCAGTGGATATCCAGAATCTACAATGAACTTAAGCAAATTTATAAGAGAAAAATATTCCCGTTAAAAAGTTAGCAAAGGACATGAACAGACACCTCTCAAAAGAAGATACTTAAGCAGGCAACAAGCATATGAGAAAAAGCTCAACATCACTGATTACTAGAGAAATGCAAATGAAAACCACAATGAGATACCACCTCATGCCAGTCAGAATGATGATTATTAAAAAGCCAAGAAACAACCAATGCTGGTGAGGCTGTGGAGAAATAGGAATGTTTTTACACTGTTGGTGGGAATGTAAATTAGTTCAACCATTGTGGAAAGACAGTGTTGTGATTCCTCAAAGACGTAGAACCAGAAATACCATTTGACCCAGCAATCCTATTACTGGGTATATACCTAAAGGAATATAAATCATTCTATTATAAAGATATATGCACACATATGTTCATTGCAGCACTGTTTCCAATAGCAAAGACATGGAATCAACCCAAATGCCCATCAGTGATAGACTGGATAAAGCAAATGTGGTACATATATACCATGGAATACTATGCAGCCAGAGAAAGGAACGATGTTCTTTGCAGGGACATGGATGGAGTTTAAAGCCATTTTATTCAGCAAACTAATGAGGAACAGAAAACCAAATACTGCATGTTCTTACTTATAAGTGGGAGCTGAACAATAAGGACCCATGGACACAGGGAGGAGAACAACACACACTAGAGCCTGTCTTGAGGGGTAGAGGGAGGGAGAGCATCACGATAAATAGCTAATGAATGCCAGGCTTAATACCTAGGTGATGGGTTTATAGGTGCAGAAAACCACCATGGCACACGTTTACCTATGTAACAAAGCTGCATGTCCTGCACATGTATCCCAGAACTTAAAATAAAATAACACATTTTTTAAAAAAGCATAAGCAAAAAATTTTCTCATTCTGTCTCCCTTTTTCTCCTCACTCTTTCTCTTCTCTTCCCATTTCTTTTATCTTTCTTTCCTCTCCCGCTTTTTTTTACTGTTGAATAAACTTTGCCATTGTTCTGCATTCCAGGTTCCTCATCTCAGTCCTTTCAACTTAGCCCCTTTGTTGTTCATATTACAGGTTCATGATAAAGAGTTAGCCTGGGCAGACAGTAAGAGCATGAGCTCTGCAGTCAGACAATCTACATCCTTGTCAGGCTCTTCCTTGGAGAACTATGTAATTTTTGTGTCTCAAAATCTTCATCTTATTACTAACATCTAGCTGCTCAAGTGTATTACCTCTTATCTTTTTTAATCTGGCATTTTGGGGTGATAGTTGAAACATATGGAAGATAGGTTAATATTGTACTTTGTGACCCCATTTACTGTTCTATATTAGATAGTTGTTTCTTTCACTCTTTTCTTGCTGGCAGATTACCAACTGCTACTGTTGCTCTCCATTTTCCTG